>NC_000005.10:41375698-42008224 GCF_000001405.40 Homo sapiens
GCCCACTCTGTCACCAGCATAATTTACTTTCCTAAACCCCTAGACCTGACTCTGCCTTCCAAGATGACAGAGAATGTATTAAATGCAGCCAGTGCTAAGCAATATTAATTTTACCTAATCTGCAACAATAAGCATGGGACTTAGAGTCAAACAAACCCATGTAATAATCCTAGCTTATTAATTAAGGAATGACTTTAATATGGGATTTTAAAGTAAGGTATTAGACATCTCTCAGCCTCAATTTCCACCTCTAATGGATTTAATAATACCTAATTTGTAAGGATGCAAGGCCTTAAATGGACACAAATCATGTAGCGCTCTTAGCACAGTGCCTGGCACATAATGTGGGCTCAACAACTACAGTTGTCTTCCTTTGCCCAGCTGGGTAATATTAGTGTATACTCACAACCACATCCTGAAAATTCTACCTTACACTCAAGATGATCACTGTGATGATGAGACTAAGTGGCCAGGGCTGCCCATCATCCAACTCCAAGGGATGTCATCCATATAAAATGATACTGTAAATGGTATTCCAAGGGGGCAGCACTGTCAGTAGGGCTGAAGTCAAACCATGTCAGCAATTTTTATCTCTTTCTTTCTAAACACTTGCTGGCATGCCACTCTGTTTCCCCCTTTAAACTGGTGGCTTCTTCTTCAGTCTCTTCCTTCCTTACTCAACCTACATAATTAGGTGGGTTTCATCCTCTGAAGTCCAGTTCTGATTTGCCCTCCTCAATATCTTCCTAATATATGCCTAATTCAGCTAACCATAATTTCCCCCTTCACTTTTTCCTCGACTCATCCCCCATGTTCCTTTGCACATCACTCTGTTTCTGTAACCAACCCTGATTTCTCTTGTCCTCAAGATTTCCTACCTCCATGCTTTGCTCTTGCTATTTCCTCATCCTGAGAAGCTACCCCTATCCATCTCTGCCTATCCCAGTGCTTTTTGTCAAAGCCAGCCAAAATCTTTCCAGATATCTCTCTCCTCTAAGTTACCATAGACCTTGATCTTTAATTCTCCTGTTTCTCTCCAATTTGTATTTAGGTATTGCATGTTCTTGTCTTTTCAAACCCACTTGATGCTTGATGGGAACAATGGCAAATACCAATTTTAATATGCCTCACAGCACTTAATGCAGAGCCGTACTCATAGGAGCTGTTTAACAGATAAGGATTAAATTGAACTCGGTCTACCTGAATGTACTGCCAAATTTGATCTAGATATTGTCATTTAATAAGATGAAAACAAAGTTGCAGTCACTTCTTTGGAGTCTCACAAATAGCAGGGAGATAGCATGATGTAATGGTTATAAGACTCCATATCTGAGATCAGTCACTTGAACTACAGTGTCTAGAACAGATTAGGCATTTAAATGTTTGCTTTTGTGAATAAACGGATAGATAGAGTTTGGATTTAAATTCTGAATCCACCTTTTCTTAACTGTGCTATCCAGCTAGGTTGCTTAACACTTCTAAGGCTCAGTCCCTTTATTGTTAAGATAGGATGGCAATAGTACCTCCACTTGGAGGTTTTATAAATATTGAACCTAATCATGAATATAACACAGTAAAGGATCTAACAGATAGTGAACCCCTAATAATAACAGTTATTATTATTATTATTGTTATATTAATCATTACCTAAACTGTTGGCCTGTACAAATATGGTCTAATTTAACTCAGCATCACTTTACTTGCAAAGATGCATTGCTGCTTAAAAATTCTGATAGGTAGTATGACTGCATTTTTTAAATTAAGAAAAACCTGTAAGTTAATAAACTTCCGCAAATTAGGAAAGGACTTTACTCAAGTTGCACACCTTCTTTTTAAGAATGTGTGAATTGCATGGGGGTGAGGTGCAAAAACTGGTGTTTGAAAAAGAAATTAAAAATAGGTCTTTAAGAAATAAAAATCTGTGTCTTTTGGCATTGCTACAATGTAGAAAACGAATCTGCAGTATTTAGAACCATTGGCCAGATCGAAAGCTACGGTACCTAAATCCAGGCTAGATTTAGTTTCCCTGAAAGCCACCCACAACTTCAAACGCTGTTTTCTAAATGCATGTGCTCAGAGTTTTGTTAATCCAAATATTAGGCATGATTTTAAAAATTGTAGAGAAACTAGCTAGTCAAATGGAGGATCTTGGAACTGTAGGATTTACAACTCAAATGGATCTTGGAGGTAATCTAGCTCAAACTCCAAACTGTGCAGATGAAAATATGTAAGGCCCAGAGCAGTCTTATAATTGCCTGGTAACTTTCCTTTCATGGCACAGAAGAACTTACTACACCTTTTGGTGCCATCACAGGACTTTATGAATGAATGGCTTTTGCACAAAAGCGAGGACAATGTCAGAATCAGTTCACTTCATAGGCTTCATCACTTGGTAAGAAGAGAAAGCCAACAAGTTCTGGGGAGTCAAGTGCTCCTTCACTGAATAAGTGATAAGTATTAATAAATTGCTTTTGCAAGGCATGACCCCAGAGCTGACAATAAGCTTTTCCTATAGGCTCCATGCAGAAGGCTGGAGTATGTCCAATAACCAAACCAAACCAAAACAAAAAACTGAGCTTCACATTAATATAACATTCAGAATACAGCTTTGCAAATGGTTAAAAAGGAAGTCTTTCTAGTACTTCTGAGGCTAAACTCCACTGGAGAGTGCCAGCACATCTATAATGACAAGGTTCAGATATACTGGCAAATTATTTGTAAGTAATTTTCATAATCCTATAGAGGAAAGAATTAGTTCTCTATATGGAGTCTTCATTCCTACTTTTAAAATTTCTTTTTCTTCTCCTTTTTCTTGTCAATGATACAACTCTACTATTCCAGATACATAAGCTAGAGGCAAGTAGGAAGTTCTGAATTAAAGGGCTGAGAGCAGTTTTTAAAAATTAATTCCATGTGCTGTTAATAAGTGTTATCTGAACAAAATTTAAGTGCTTGGAAAACATTGTATTAGTTAAATTTAAATAGGATTCATCACTAAAATATTCCTTAGGCATTTTACATGCTAAAGTACACTGTGAATCCTTTGGGAGAGTTGTGTAGAATATAATGTTCAGCACTTTCCTAACTGATTTGATTTTTTTACCCACAAATCCTACTTTAGTAGTAGGGTACTAGAGCATGAGTAACCAAAAAGCAGTTTAACTATGACTTGAAAACTTCTAAATTACATCAAATGCCATAAGAGGAAAAAAATGAAAATCATTTATCCTTGAGTAAATTCTTCTTCTTGGCTTCTTCAAAGGATGATCTCTACACAGGTAAAATGAGGGTAAAGTTCTTGGCTAAAATGCAAAGCAAGCATTTAATACAAGCAAGTGTTTTGCTAAGCATAGAACTATGCTGGAAGCTGGAAGAGGTCATAGGAAGACTTGCATCATGCCCAAAATGTAAAAGTTAAAAATGAAGCTTCTTTCATTCAAGGTGTGGAGAGAATAGAGGGAGTTGGAGTCAGTTCCCTGCCAGGCTCCTGCTGCCTTTTCCCCACCTCTAGTGACCCATCAGAGATTCTTCAAAATCTGGGGACTCTGTGGGATACAGTTAAAAATAACACATTTTTATATGTACACAACTCCCTCACTTTCTAAGTTTGTGAGAAAGGGGGTAAATTGTTAATTACCAGAAAAAATAACGTTTGTAGAAAATGGTGCTATAAAGCAAAAAGCCCTCTTGTTTTGATGAATAATTTGTTGGAACTAGCTGAATTTAGGCTTAGGAAGCTGGAGAGAGGTGACTAGTTAGGCAAAATCATCTAGAAATGTTAATCTAGTTACACAATCATCTAGAACGTTGGGTCTCAAAGGCAATTGAAGGGTAATGAAAGAAAAGAAGTGAAAAATGGTAAAGGAGAAGATTCAGTCAGAGGATATGAGGCTGAGGTGTACAGTGTTATAGATGTTGTCAGGGGCTGTTATCCTAGGGCAGAAGATTTGTAATTAAAGACAAGTCTAAAATTTGGTTTTAAATTATGTACATTATTGTGATTATAAGCCATTCCTGGCCTCTTCAGATCTTCAGTAAAATCTAAAAAACATTGTGGAAATGAACATGAAGCAAGTTTCATGTCTCAGAATGGGACATGGACAGACTGCGTGGGATAATTAAGCCATAAAATGATATAATCCAGTAGTAGAAAGGGACCTACCATACAAATATAAGAAATGTAGACATTAGCAGAAATCATAGAGAAAGTCATGCACTTTCATAGAGTATACAATGAATGGTTGGTAATGTTATTTAAATTTTAAGGAACAGAGCAGTCCCGGCTAATGGACCATTCTGAGTAACAGAAGAAAGTTATGATTTTATGTGGAGGAACATTTCCACTCCAATGACTTGGAGTTTTCACCATCGAGAAATGCCAACAACCCCCAAATGAGTTGGCCTATATTTGTAATGATCAATTAGCCACATCTACCTGAATGCCTTACTCATGCTTTAAATTCAGCATGACCCTGATGGTACCTTCCCCACTTCCTCCCAAGTCCCTGTGTCTTTGTTTCCTGACTCTGTGAATGCTTCCATTACCTGTCCTGCTTATCCTGAACTCTTTTCTCCCATTCATATCACATAGCCAACTAGTCACTGAATCATTTTAATTTTCATTGCTTGCGTATTATCCCCTTCTGTGTTTTTTCGCTTCCCCAGTGTAGCTTGCATTACCTTGCTGAAACAGTTCTAAGCACCTATTAACTGCTCGCTCTCTCCATTCCATCAATCCTCCAGGCTGCGTCAATTATTACATAAAACACAGATCATGTCAAGTCATGCTACTTTTAAAGTTTATTATCTAGCTCCCCATTGCTCACAGGATGAGGTTCTCTGTAGCCTGGTTAAAAGATTTCTGGAAAATGTATTCTTACACCACTCCAAGCTTTATCTCCTTTCATTCCCCATCCTATATGCTATGCCACAAGGTCACACATACTATTTTCACTGCCTAATCTTTTCTCTTCATCTTTTGTCTTTTTCCACAAAGACCTTGGGTCCAAGCAAAACATTCATGCTGTGTCTCTTTAGCATAATTCGAAATGTCAGTGAAAGATAAAAATAAGAGATCTGATAAGGATTTGTGTTCTTTCTTCAGATGATGTTTGCATTGTTTAATATTTTAACTCAAAAGAATAAATAATATGTACAATTCAGTATGTTGTGTCACACTCGCAGGAAAAACTGTGATTGCTCAAATTATACCTCACAGGTAATGAACATCCTACATGTTTGGCTGGGCTTGACCAATGAAGTGACCACTTTCTCAGGGTAACCATTCCTTATAAGGCTGCGTATGTAGTATAAAAGGCATAGGATATAGTTTAAGAATAGAGTTTGAGTATCTGTGTTATCATTCACTGTTGAAGGGGTCTTAAGAAAAATATATCACTTTTTTGAACCTCATTTTTTAAATCTGTAAGACAATATCTACTTCTCAGTGTTGTTATGCATTTCAAATGGAATTAGGGATATTAAAAGACTCTGCAAATGGTAGAGAAAGGATATTGCAATCTATAAAGCACTACACAAATGTGAAAAAGGGTGCTATGAAAAGACAACTAGACATGGAGTCAAAATACATGGTGTTATGGGTTGATCTGTGGTCCACAAAAATACACGTTAAAGTCCTAACCCCTGCTACATGTGAGTGTGACATTATTTGGAAATTGGTTCCTTGCAGAGGTAATTGAGATGAGGTTATTAGAGCAGGCCCTAATTCAATATGACTGGTATCCTTATAAGCAAAGGAAAACACAGAGACACATGAGAAAATGGCATGAGAAAAAGGAGACAGAGACTGGAGTGATGCATGTATAAGCCAAGTAACACTCAGGCTTCCCAGCCACCACCAGAACCTAGGAGAGAGGCATGAAACAGATTCTTTTTTAGAGTCCTCAGAAGGAACCAACCCTGCTGACATTGATTTCAGACTTCTAGGTTTCAGAACTGTGAGATAATATATTTTTATTCTTTTAAGAAACCCAATTAGTGGTACTTTGCTATTGCAGCCCCAGGGACCTAATATACATAGGTATAATTTCAGCTTCATCACTTATGAGCTCTATAAATTCAAGTTAAATTATTTGAGGTTTCCCCCTGACATTTTAAAGACACTTACCTTTCTGTGATTGTTTCTCTGAGGCCACTTGCCACCCCTTTGACCACAGTGCTAGCTTTGGGGGTCAGCACCACCTGAGATATAAAAAACGATCCCTTCTTTCTTCTCTCAGTGATGGATGCTTGAAGAAACTGGATCAGTTTCTCGGGGTCTGTGGTGTTGGCCCAGGGTGCTGGCATCATCTGCCCAGGCCAGAGAAAGGGCACTTCCAGAGCCACTGGACTATGGTAGAAGACCAGCACTTGATAGTCCTTCTCCCACAGGTACTTTAAACTAACTTCCTGGGCAAAAATCGCTGGGCACATTTTATTTCCATAGATGTCTTTCAGCATTTGGACCAGTTTTTCATGGTGATATTTCTGCATCCCATAAAAGTGGTTGAAGTCCAAGAACACTACCTCCTTATGGTGATCTGTGAGGAATGCATTGATCTCCTCAAGGCCTTCATTGACTTTGGCACTGAACAAACCATGAGCAAAATAGAGTTCATTGTCGGGGTCTCTGGGCTTGGTGGAAATTCGAAGATCAAAATAACGAATTCCAGCTCCTAGCTGGCCAGTAAAATTCATTGTCTGAGTGGCTAACCATTTCCGCATGAGCTTTTTGGCCACAGTTCCAAACACAGAGACAAAATTCTGGACAGTTTCTGGCTGCTCAGGACCTACTGGAGAGGCTTCATCAATGTAGAAGCTGAAGGAATCATGAGACCCTAGGAGAATAACAAGGCATAGTGTGGTTAATTTCCACGTCTTTGCCCTTCCCACCTTCTTTCCCTCTTGCAATATCCATACCTCTCCCTCAAATGAGCCACAGAAAATACTAAGAAATGTAATACTAGTTATTTTTTATGCCTTAGGAGGGTCCTTTATATAAATTGACATAAGACACAGAACACTTCAATAGATCAAATTGGTTATTAAACAATAAGAAGATTTCCTTATAATTAAATTTAAAATTTAAATAATCATCTATTCTGTGAACCAAGAATGTAATACACTCACTAGAATTGGCTTTCCTTATGGGTGACTTAAGTGATCATTCATAAAGCGATATCTATGAAGACTCACCAATACCCAAATACTTTGCAGTCTTACCCTTTTCCTTGATTTTGGGTTGATTTTAAGCCTAGAAGGATTGTCTCAATGAATAAAGATGCCCTTTTCACAGGCAATCAGCATATGAAGTGTTACCTCATTCACTTCGGAAGGCACAAGAGGTCAAAGTGATAGGGGAAAGGAGAAATAAGACAAGAAGGCAGTACCATGCTGACATATTTAACTTCATTCCTGACCTTGTGTTTGGGCAATTGTAAACTTAGATGAGGTCAAGTACTTTTCACATATTGAATAAATGATGAACTGTTCTTGCAAGTCAACAGCATTTAAAAATTAACAGCATTTAAAAATTGACAGCATTTAAAAATTAACTAATAGACTCTTTTCTTCACAAATTTTCTCTCAACAGCATAAACTCTTTTGGGAATTGGCTTCTAAATTTAGAAGAATTTCTTCCTAGGAAGAAAAAGGACTATTTATTTGATTATTTTTGGCAGTTGCAAATTTCAAGACTCCAGAAATGTAGCAATGAACATGTGTGTGATTTGTCACAAATAGAGAGTGCCATTTGAAACTCTTTATTAGGACCCAATAAAGAAAAGTTATGTCAAGGTTGCATTTTATTTCTTAAAGCCTCCTTTTATTCTTAGGCATAACCCACTGAAGAGCTAAAATTAAATTAACATATTCTAAAAATTTCATACATTAGAGGGTAGATATGCTTTAAATTCTGACACCCTTTCCTGTTTCATGACCTTGTCCTAGTACCATCATTCCCTATCTGATACTCAGGCTTCCTCTGAGTGCACTTTGTTGCCCCATTCCTGATTTCCCTTCCTTGAGGCATATCTTTTCCTAGTTCTTTCACTCCCCAACCCAAAACTCACATACATATAAATACACACAAACACACACAGAAACCTTAAGTTTATCCATACAACACTTCAAAGCCTTGGTCTTATAAGCTATTTGAAGCATTTTTTTCAGTGATGCAATATATACCTACGTCTATATTCCATATCTATGTATATTTCTACATTTATGTATATATATCCATGTATCTCTCTATCCAGCTTTAACAGCCCATAAGAATCACAAGTGCCTAAATTTCAGACACTGTGGTAAGTTGTTAAAGAAAATAATTTGTAAAATATTTTGATACCCTGAAAATCATAACCTTTAAAATTTAGATAAGTTCTCAGAATGATTTCCTTTTTCAAAAACTATAAAAGATAACCCAAATATACAGAAATGCCATGTTTAATTTAATCTGAAACTGCATGCCTTATCTTTAGTAGATGGTGTGGCAAGAAAATGTCAGTCCTTTCTGAATAAGCAAAGCTGGGAGTTAGGTTCTGATTGGCAAATTTTAATAAGCATTTAAATTGCTGCATACTGATTTATTAGTTGCTATTCATTTGACTGCTAATTGAAGTGAAAGCTAAACAAATGATGCTAAAACTCAATATATACAAAGAAGTGTGTCTACAGATAGAAATGAAAGAAAGTTTAAGAAGAATTATGATTAAATGATCTAAGATTAGGAGAGGTAATAAATACACTTATTTAAAAATAAATTTAAACTCTCAAAATAAGAGTTTAAAAAGTTAGTTTCCAGGCACATGAAGGGAAAGGTAGATGAAAGTAATTGGTTACTTCTGTAATCTAGTAGAAATTATACTTGGAGGCAGGCAAAAAGGGAATTAAGTATAACTAGATTTCTTTTACTAGAAATGAGTGGTTCTCTGTTTTCAATATGGCTTTAGTTTCACCTTTCTATCACATGGTTATGTGGCAAGTAAAAAAATTGTAAAAATAAAATTTTAAAGGCAAGGAAATCACCACTTTTGAAAACACTGTGAAAGGATATTATACTTGCTAGAGCACATGATTTCTTGATCTTCATGGAAAGTAGCTTCTTAAGGTCAAAATAAGGGAATGTTAAAAATAAAAATAGGCAGAAGGAGAAACCAATGGTGGCTTCACCAGTATGTGTTTTGAGCCACATGACTCTGAGGTGTAGCCACAGCACCTCGTATAAAATGGTGCTTCACACTGTAAATATTATTAGACAAGAAAATAAAACCAATAGATACAAAACAGTATCTATGCATTTTGTAAGAAATATATAATATAGTGTTGGCTAAAAAATGAATATTTTGATGACTTTTAATTTTATTTGGAATAGTACTTCCCAATTTCAACATTTTCACTGAACTAGTAAGTTTTCTATTTGTTTGAATGTAAAGCAAAAATACAACAGGACTTCATAACCATTCAATAATTGAGAGGAAAAGCCTAACCTCGTGTCTTTAAAGCCAGGAGTCCTCTTTGATCTTGAACTTTTCGGCTATATCTGGTCTGATATTTTGCTTCTACATTGACTTGGTATTCTTGGGCTTCTGACCTTTTATTCTTCTCTCATCCACAGTCTCAAACTCATATCTTGGACCTGGTACTTAATGTTACTCCTCTGATGTTGAGTTTAGTTTCTCATCTTTAGTTTCCATTTGCCCTCTCTCCTCAGACAAGGGCTAACCACTCCCATTATAAACCCAGTCCCATCAAGCTTGGTTGCTTTGGCTCTGAATAAATAAATGTAATCAGAGCAACTATTTATTTCATTTCTTGGAAATAAGCACTTTAATTTGTTTCTCCTCAGTGTGATAAATTGTACCCTCATTCAGGCACTGTGGGAAGCACACTTCTAAGATGGCACCTAACAATCCTTGCCCTCCTGCATTCATACCCCTCTCTGTGAGTGTGGGCTGAACCTATGACCTGCTTCTAATGAATTACATAGGACAAACATGATGGGATGCCGCTTCTGAGATTAGGTTACAAAAGGTTATAACTTCTGTCTTGTTACTTTTTTCCTTGCTTTGATGAGTGAACTGCCATGTTGGAGAGGCCCATGTGACACAGAGGTTGTAGTGGCCCTTGACCAAAACCAGCTGGGAGCAGAGGTCTTTAGACTAACAGCTCTGAAGGAACTGAATCCTGTTAACAGCCAATGAGTAAGCTTGGAAATAATCCTGCATGAGTGAGATCTTGATTGCAGCCCTGTGAGAGAGACCGAAGCAGGGAACCCAGTTAAGTAATGCTTAGCTTCCTGATTCATAGACGTACACAGAAACTCTGTGTTGTTTTACGCCACTAAATTCAGGGGTAATTGGTTATACAGCAATAGTTAACTAATACAGGCCATAGCATCTCTTTGTAGT
This sequence comes from Homo sapiens, assembly GCF_000001405.40. Lineage (NCBI taxonomy): Eukaryota > Metazoa > Chordata > Mammalia > Primates > Hominidae > Homo > Homo sapiens. The sequence continues at coordinate 41,386,105 of NC_000005.10, forward strand.
TAATGAAGGGACTTGTGGCCAATAGACCCAACTGGCTAAAGGGAGGAGTTGGAATTTCAAAGAAGAGAAATTAACTATGGTTATGTTATATGCATGTTTCTATGCTTGAAAACTGTATCAGGTATGAGAAAAATTTTAAAGATGGTTTAAAAAATATTCTTGAATTCACAAATGGACTTTCTTTTTTCCACATGCTGTTATGGATGATCTGAGATATCATCTGGCCTAACCAAATGGCACATAGCATCAATTTTATTACCTTATCTGTGTAGAATGTGTGTAATCATTTCTATATTTTATGATTTCCAGTAGTACTGGACTTAACTTCTCATTCTGTCATTTGGTATGGTAGGAAGATTGCCCCCAAAACATCCTTCTGGTGACAAGACCTATATAATCCCTCCGCTTGAGTTTCATATTTTTCTTGTGACTATGTCACATTATATAGAAATGAGACTTTTAAAAATATGTAATTAAGGTCCCTAATCAGTTGGCTCTTAGTTAATTAAAGAGAGATTATCCTGAGTGGGCCTGACTTGAGCAGACAAGCTCTTAAAAGAGACAACAAGCAGCAACAGAGCAAAATGCAGTGTTGTAGAGAAGGCCATACGGCAATGGAAGTCATTAATAGCTCACTAAAGTGGTATAAACATCAATTTAAACTGACAGCATCTGAACAATCAGCAGCAACAGAAAAAATATTATTCAAACTTAAGCAGACCCTCCTGAAAATATAGTTGCCATTGCCTCCCCTTCTGATTGAAAAAAAGACTGATCCTTATCACCAGGAAGTGCAAATGTAGCTGTCCATAAGCATCATAAAGCCCAGTAGACCATTCCATACTTTTCCAATTAAAATCTTAACTTTTTGTTAAGTTTAGTATATGAGCCTTTATTTCTGGTTATTCAGGGAGTTACTCCTCACTGAGCACTCCATCTGCATATCATGCATGTATAAATAAACCTTGTGTTTTCATCTGTTAATCTGTCCATTGACAGTTAGTTTGCAGGCCACCAATCACTGGACCCAAGATGAAAGGGAAAAGGTTTTCCTCAAAATATAGTGACTAAGTAGCCTCTAGGAGCTGAGGTCTGAGCTCCTACAACTCAAGAAACCACGTTCTGTGAACAACCAGCAAGCTTGCAAAAGGAACCTTAGCCTCAAAAGAGATCGCAGTCTTGGTCAGCACTCTGATTTCTGATTCTAGCATGATCCTGAGCAGAGGATCCAGCTAATTCATATCCATCGTCCTTATTTACAGAAGCTGTGAGAAAATTTGTATTGTTTAAGCCACTATATTTGTGGTAATTTTAATGCAACAATAGAAAACTAATACATTTGGACACTACTTAAGATCATCTCTATATGTAGTGTCATACGAGTATTACAGTATAGTTGAGAAAATTATTGCAAGTATTCTGTAATTTTTTAGACTTTATGTGTAAAGGGATATGAATGACTTGAGGCAATTACATCATTCTGATTAAAGGCCCCCAGTAACTGGAAGTAAGTTAGTCTCTCTGTGTAAAAAATTATATGTACTACTAGTTCTATTTTGTAAATGTTTTCTTCAAGTAAAATGGTCTACCAACCTGATGGAAAGAAATGTTCTTATTTTTAAACTAATGAATTTCTCATTCAGTAAAACATTTATCAAGCACCTGCTATAAGTGCTGTTATTATGCTAAGTATAAGACAAGCATTGTTCTCATCCTCATAAATTTACAGCTTAATATGTGATGCACATAGATAAATAATTATAATACATTTTGGTAATGATTTTTTAGGCACTATTGTGTAGCATGGGGTAGAGAGGAGAAAATGTTTGATCATTGATTATTAATATCAATGGGCTTATGCAAATAATTTTTAAAGAACTAGACTAAATGCAAAAGTAGCCTTGCTTTTTGGGTTAAATGATAAATGGCTCTTGGGAGCCACACTAAACAGGGTACATAATGGGACCATTTTCATCTGGCTAATTTTGCCTTAGTTTCTTGCTGTGGACTAGTTGGAAACTAAAAAAAAAAATACATACAATCCTTGCCCTCAAGAGTCTTATAATTTAATTAGGGAAGTTAGGCATAGAGACAAACAAATAAAACCTTATACCAAATAGCATTCCTTCATTCTTTCAACAGACATTTACTGAGCATCAGCTGTGTTCAAGGCACTTACAATTAGGCAGTGGAAGTAAAGGCAATTGATCTGGATGTGGAAGGAAAACATGTGCACTTCTATTTTTATTTATATATTTATCTTAAAATAATAAAAATTAAGCATTAATAACATTGTACTGCCACTGTCACCTCCAGGATAGCCAGATACCATATTCAGTACTCAAGATATTTTTAAAAACAGTGAGAATTCCACTGCCCTGAATGGTACCCTCATTCATTTGATCAGATTGTGCTGCATTGCAGTTTGCTGTAATATACTGGCTGGTTAAGTAGACTTTAGACTTGCAGAGTTTAATTATCCAAGCACTCCCAAAATAGACATGTGGTTTTAGAAGTTTTTTTCTTTTTCATAAAAAAGGACCAGACTAAAGATAATTCAATTAAGTAAATAAGAAAACTAAAACTGACACCTATACTTTTATTATGAGCTTTTCATTAGTCATATTACTGTATTATAATTTTAGCTAATAGAAAGACAACCAAAATAATATTAAATTACCAAGAAGACTACCTGATATGTGGATTCACTTTTACTATTAACTATGAACTTCACCCTATGTATGTACCATGTTTTGTAATACCAGTTCATAATAGAATAATAACACTACAGTAGGAAATATGTTTTAAAAAAACATATATTTTATATTTCATTAGTATAGTAATGCTTGTATAATTTATATATAAATGTATTTATAATATTTATACATATATACAAGCACACTCATAAAATTTATGGATAAATATACTTCTATCACAGTTACTTGCTTGATTTTTTTTTAATTGATAGGAAGGCCTCTGATTTAGTCCACTGGAATGATTAGACTGGAGGAACTAAGTAAAAATGACTTGGATCAGAAAATACTGGAGACAGAGAAACCAGTTAAAGCCTATTGATGTGCTGGTGATTTGAGATATAGAGCATCTCTGTGAAATAAAACGTACTGAAAAACTTCAGCCCTCAGTGCTTCTCCCCATGTTACAAGATACTGGCATCAGAAAAGACCACAAAATGAATACCAGTCTTTACTACTTCCTTGCTTTCCAAATCCCTACTGGGAAGTAAGATTTAGCAGTGTGAGAGTAATTAAGCAGAATACCTCCTTCCTCCAGATACCAACACAGATGCATAAGAAGACATAGCTGAATTTTTGAGCAACAGATGTTAACTTACAAAGGACAAGATAAGCTGTACTGTGTTCTTTGCAACAGAAGTCAAATATCCCAACATGAGAAGAGCCTCTGTGCATATAGGCAAAGATAACCAACTGTAGCTAAAGGCTCCCGTGTACTTTCAGTACTCAAAATAGTCATGCATATGGGGATTCTGTCAGTCAACACCATATCTGCTGTTGATGTTGGTAACAGTGACCATCAGAAACTTCAGGAAGTGAAAGAAGATCTCCCATAGAAAAGGAAACCATGGTCAGTATAATTTTTGTGATGAATTTGTGTTTCTTTTAAATTTTCTAAATTTCTAAAAATATACACATCATATATATTTTATATGGTAACTTTCAGTTAACTAGAATTTTTTACATTGACATGTTCCTTTTTAAATTATTATTGAGGAATAATGTACAGACAGTAAAATGTATTCATTTTAAGTATACAATTCTGTGAGTTTGAAAAATGTATGCATCCAAGCAATTGCCACCACAATCAAGATACAGCACATTTCCACCACAAAGGTCATCCCTTGTGACCCTTTGTAGCAAATTCCTCCTATCCACCCCAAGATCCAGGCAACCACTAATCTGCTATATATCACTCTAAGTTAGTTTTGACTTCTCTATAATTCCATATAAAAGAAATATACAATATGTACTTTCTTCAGTCTGGCTTCTTTTCCTTAGATGATATATTTTGAGATTCATCCTATATTGTTGTATGTATCAGTAGTTTTTTTTCTTTTTATTGCTAAATCATATTCCAACAGTATTCCATCATTTGCATACATCACAATTAATTTAACCATTCATTTGTTTTTGAGCATTTGGGTGGTTTCCATTGCTGACAATTCTGAACAAAACTGTTCATTGCTGAATATTTTTTCTGGAAACATTTCTCTTTCATTATTATTGCATAACTCCAAGGAGTAGAATTGCTAGGGTAAATGGTATTTGTTTTACCTTTTAAGAAATTGACAAATTTCTCAAAAAGATTGTCTCATTTTATATTTCCTCAAGCAATATATCAGAGTTCCAGTTACTCCACATGGTACCAATGCTTGGTAATGTCAGTCTTTTTAGTATTAGTCATTTGAGTGGTTGTACACTGGTATCTCATAGTGGTTTTAATTTTCTAATATCTGACAAATAAAGATGTTAAGAATCTTTCTGAGAGACAGGCAGAGCAAGAGCAAGAGGGTGGAATAGAAGGCTCCACCAATCGTCCTCCGTGCAAGGACACCAAGTAGTTAATAACTATCTACACAGAAAAAAAAACAAAAACACCTTCATAAGGAACAAAAATCAGATGACCACTCATAGCACTGGGTTTTAACTTCATATTGCTGAGAGAGGCTCTGAAGAGATAGAAAAAGCAGTGCTGAATGGCTGACGCCACTCTTCCCTACCCTGGCGGCAGTGGCCTGGTACAGAGAATAACTCTGGGTACTGGGGGAGGAAGAACACAGCAATTGTGAGGCATTGAACTCCATGTTGTCCTGTTACAGCAGAAATGAAAATTGGACAAAAATCAGCTGATGCTCGCTTCCTAAGGGAGCATTTAAAATAGCCCTAGCCAGAGGGAGAATTGCAGATCCCAGTGGTCCAAACTTGACTGCCTGCAAACCTCACAACTGAGGGCTACAGCACTCTGAGCCTCCAAGTAAACTTAAAAGGCAGTCTAGACCATAAGGACTGCAATTCAGGCAAGTCCTATAGCTGAATTCAGCCCAGGGACAGTGGACTGAGGTGGAACATGATACACAGAAACATCATCCAAGGAAGCAAAAAGAGTACTGTTATCACCCCTCCCCTAACCTCAGGCTGCACAGCTTGAGGCTCCAAAAGAGACCCCTTCCTTTGTCTTGAGGAAAGGGAAGAGTTGAGAGGAGTTTGTCTTTCATCTTGGATACCAACTCAGCCACAGCAGGATAGGACACCAGTCAGAGTCATGAGGTCCCCATTTCAGCTCTAGCTCCCAGATGACATTTCTAGACACACCTGGGCCAGAAGGGAACCTGCTGCCTTGAAGAAAGAGATGTAGTTCTGCCGGCATTCATCACCTGCTAAATGAAGAGTCCTTGGGCCCCAAGTAAACAGCAGTGATATCCGGGTACTACATCAAGGGCTTTGGGTGAGCCTCTAAGACTTGCTGGCTTCAGGTGAGTCTCAGCACATTACCACCTGTGGTGGCTACTGGGCAAAATTCCTTACTCTTGAGAAAAGCAAAGGGGATTTTGTCTTGCACCTTAGGTGCCAGCAGAGCCACAGTGGGGTAGAGCACCAAGTGGGTTCTTGGGGTCCTCGATTTCAGGACTTGACTCTTGAACAGCATTTATGGACATGCCCTGGATCAAACGGGAGACCATTTCCCTGAAGGGTGAGTCCCAGGCCAGGCAGCATCTACCACAAGCTGACTTAAGGGAACATAGGCCTTAAGGGAACACCAGCAATAGTGTGGCAGTACTCCTCGTGGCCTGGGGTGGTGGTGGTGGCTATGGATGAGGTTCCTCTGCCTTTGGAAAGAGAGGGAAGAGTGGCAAGGACTGCATTTTGTAGTTTGAGTGCCGGCTCAGCTGCAACACAGTAAAACAGAAGGTAGACCTATAAGGTTTTTGATTCTAGTCTCTGACTCTTGGACAGCACTTCTGGACCTACCCAAGGCCTGGGGTACCTGTCTGCTCTGAAGGGAAGGACACAAGCCTGGCTAGCTTTGCCACCTGCTGATTGTACAGCCCCAGGGCATTGAGTGAACATAGCCAAGGAGTGGTTACAGCCAGTGCTTTTCTGACTTCAGGTCTGACCTAGCACAGTCATAATTGTGGTTGCCACAGGGGTGATTCTGTCACTTCACCCCCAGCTTTAGGTGGCTCAGAACAGAGAGAGAGGGAGAGAGAGAGAGAAAGAGAGAGAGAGACTCTGTATATTTGGGATAAAGTAAGAGAAGAGAACAAGAGTCTCTGCCTGGTAATCCAGAGAATTATCCTGGATCTGAACCAAGACAATAAAGGTGATGCCTCTACAAGTCTGCAGGAATCACAGTGTTACTAGGCTTGGGGTGCTCCCTAAAGCAGATACCACTTAGATCACAATACCCAAGTCCTTTCGAGTATCTGGAAAACCTTCCCAAAAAAGATAGCTACAAATAAGCCCAGATAGTGAAGACTACAATAAATACCTAACTGCTTAATGCTTAGACTCTAAAAAATATCTGCTAGCATCAACATCATCCAGGAAAACTTGACCTCACCAAATTAACTAAATGAGGCACCAGGGACTAATCCTGGAGAAACAGAGATATGTGGCCTTTCAGATAGAAAATTCAAAATAGCTGTGTTGAGGAAACTCAAATAAATTTGAGATAACACAGAGACGAAATTCAGAATTCTATCAGATAAATTCAACAAAGACATTGAAATAATTAAAAAGAATCCAGCTGAAATTCTGAAGCTGAAAAATGCAACTGGTATACTAAAGAATGCATCGGGATCCTTTAATAAAAGAATTAATCAAGCAGAATAAATAACTAGTGAGTTTGAAGACAAGCTACTTGAAAGTGTACAGCCAGAGGAGAAAAATAAGAATAAAAACAATGAAGCACTTAGACAGAATCTAGAAAATAGCACCAAAAGGGCAAATCTAAGATTTGTTGACCTTGAAGAGAAAGTGGAAAAAGTCATAGGGGTAGAAAGTTGATTCAAAGGGAAAATAACAGAGAACTTTCCAAACTTAGAGAAAGATATCAACATCCAAATACAAGACGGTTATAAAAAACTAAGCAGACTTAACCCAAAGAGGACTACCTCAAGGCATTTAGTCATCAGTTTCCAAAGCTCATGGATGAAGAAGGGATCCTAAAAGTACCAAGAAAAAAAATAAATAACATGAAATGCAGCTCCAATATGTCTGGCAGCAGACTTTTTAGTGGAAACTTCATGGGCCAGGAGAAAGTGGCATAACATATTTAAAGTGCTGAAGAGAAAAGCTTTTACCCTAGAATAGTATATCTGGCAAAATATATCCTTCAAACATGAAGCAGAAATGGAGACTTTCCCAAACAAACAAAAGGTGAAATTTAATTCACGCCAGACCCACCCTAGAAGAAATATTAAAAAGTCCTTCAAACAGAAAGAAAAGGACATTAATGAGCAATAAATCATCACCTGAAGGTACAAAACTCACTGGTGGCTGGGCACGGTGGCTCATGCCTGTAATCCCAGCACTTTGGGAGGCTGAGGTGGGTGGATCACAAGGTCAGGAGATCGAGACCATCCTGGCTAACATGGTGAAACCCCGTCTCTACTAAAAATACAAAAAAAGAAAAAAAAATTAGCCGGGCATGGTGGTGGACACCTGTAGTCCCAGCTACTTAGGATGCTGAGGCAGAAGGATGGTGTGAACCCAGGAGGCAGAGCTTGCAGTGAGCCGAGATCGCACCACTACACTCCAGTCTGGGTGACAGAGTGAGAATCCATCAAAAAAAGAAAAAAAACAAAAACACCTCACTCGTAATAGTAAACATGGCAGAAAAACACAGAATATTATAAAACTGTCACTGTGGTGTGTAAACTACTCTTATCCTAAGTAAAAAAACTAAATGATGAACCAATGAAAAATAATAACTACAACAATGTTTCAAGACATAGACAGTATAATAAAATATAAATAGAAACAACAAAAAGTTAAAAAGCAGGGAGACAAAGTTAAAATAGAGTTTTTATTAGTTTTCTTTCTGCTTGTTTGTTTATGTAAATTGTATTAAGTTGTTATCAGGTTAAAATAATGTTTATAAGATAGCATTGGTAAGCCTCATGGTAACCTGAAACCAGAAAAATGAATACATAAAAAATAAATACAATGAATACATAAAAAGTAAAAAGCAAGATAAACTAAAACATATCATCAGAAAAAAATCACCTTCACTACAGGAAGACAGAAAGAAAAAGGAAAGTAAAGAAGACCATAAAACAATCAGAAAGCAAATAATAAAATGGCAGTAGTAAGTTCTTACTAATCAATAATAACATTGAATGTAAATAGAGTAAATTCTGCAGTCAACAGACAGATTGGTTAAATGAATGGAAAAACAAGATCTGTTGATCTGTTGCCTACAAGAAACACACTTTACCCATAAAGTCCACACAGACTGAAAATACAGGGATGGAGAAAGATATTCCATGCCAATGGAAACAAAAAAAAGAACAGGAATAGCTATACTTATATTAGACAAAATGGACTTCAAGACAAAAACTAAAAGAAGAGACAAAGAAGGTCACTATATAATGATAAAAGTATTAATTTCACAAGAGTATATAAAGTATATAACAATTTTAACTATATATGCACCCAACAGTGGATAACCTAGATATAAGCAGGTAATATTATCAGAGCTAAAGAAAGATATAGGCCCCAATACAGTAATAGCTGAAGACTTTAACACCACACTTTCAGCATTGGACAGATCTTCCAGACAGAAAATCAACAAGGAAACTTGTTGGACTTCATCTGCATCATAGACCAAATGGATCTAATATTTACAGAAAATTTTATCCATGAGCTGCAGAATACATGTTCTTTTCCTCAGCACATGGATATATTATCAAGAATATATCATATATTAGGTCATGAAACAAATCTTAAAATGTTCAAAACAATTTAAATAATATCAAGCATCTTCTCTGACCACATTGGAATAAAACTCAATTTTAACAACAAGATGAATTTGGGAAACTATACAAATACACAGAAATTTAAGAATATGCTTCTGAATGATAAGTGTATCAATGAACAGGTTAGAAAGGAAATTGAAAAATTTGTTGAAACAAATGATAATGGAAACACAATATACCAAAACCTATGGGATACAGCAAAATTAGTACTAAGATGGAAATTTATAGCTATAAGTGCCTACATCAAAACAAGGAAAAACTTCAAATGAATAATCTAATAATCTTAAAGAACTAGAAAAGTATGAAAAAACAAAACCCATAATTAGTAGAAGAAATAATAAATATCGGAGCAGAAATAAATGAAATTGAAATGAAAAAACAATACAAAATATCAATGAAACAAAAAGTTGATTTTTGAAAAGTTAAACAAAATTGAAAAACCTTTAGCCAACAATGAAAAAAGGAGAGACTATCTAAATAAAATTAGAAATAACAAAGGAAACATTATAATTGATACTGCAGAAATTCAAAGGCTCATTAGCAGCTACTATGAGCAACTATATGCCAATAAATTGGAAAATATAGATGAAGTGGACAAATTCCTAGATACATTCAACCTAGCAAGACTGAACCAAAAGAAATCCAAAACCTGAACAGACCAGTAACAAGTAATGAGATTGAAGCTGTAATAAAATGTCTCCCACTAAAGAAAAGCTTGGGACCTGATGGTTTCACTGCTGAATTCTACCAAATATTTAAAGAATAACAAATACCAATCTGATTCAAACTATTCTAAAAATAGAGAAGGAGGGAAAATTTCCAAACTCATTCTATGAGGCCAGCATACCCTGATACTAAAATCAGACAAAGGCCCATCAAAGAAAAAAAAAAAACCACAAAACAAAACAAAAAACACAAGTACAGGCCAATATCTCTGATGAATATTGATGCAAAAATCCTCAGCAAAATACTAGGAGACTGAATTCAACAATAGATTAGAAAGATCATTCACCGTGACTGAAATGGTTTGGCTGTGTCCCCACCCAAATCTTATGACAAATTTTAATTCCCAATGTTAGGGGAGGAACTTGGTGGGAGGTGATTAGATTATGGTGGTAGATTTCCCCCTTGCTGTTCTCATGGTAGTGTGCAAGTTCTCAACGGATCTGGTTGTTTAAAAGTGTGTAGCACTTCCCCCTTCTCTCTCTCTCTCTCTTTCTCCTGCTCCACCATGGTAAGACATGCTTGATTCCCCTTCACCCTCCACAATGATTGTAAGTTTCCTGAGGCCTCTCAGCCATGCTTCATTTACAGCATGTGGAACTGTGAGTCAATTAAACCTCTTTTCTTCATAAATTACCCAGTCTCAGGTAGTTTTTTATAGCAATGTGAGAATGGACTAATACAGAAAATTAGTACCAGAGAAGTAGGGCATTGCTATAAAGATACCTGAAAATGTGGAAGCCACCTTAGAACTGGGTAATGGGCTGAGTTTAGAACAGTTTGGAGGCATCAGAAGAAGACAGGAAAATGAGAGAAAGTTTGGAACTTTCTAGAGATGTGTTGAATGGTTGTGATCAAAATGCTGATAGTGATATGGACAGTGAAGTCAAAGCTGAGGTGGTCTCAGATGGAGATGAGGAACTTATTGAAAACTGGAGCAAAGCTCGCACTTGCTATGCTTCAGCAAAGAGACGACTGGAAGCATTTGTGCTCCTGCTCTAGAGATCTGTGGAACTTTGAACTTGAGAAAGACGATTTAAAATATCTGGCTGAAGAAATTTCTAAGCAGCAAAGCACTCCAGATGTGGCCTTGCTGCTTCTAAAAGCCTACAATCATTTGCATAGACAAAGAAGTGACCTGAAACTAGAACTTACATTTAAAAGGAATGCAGATCATAAAAGTTTGGAAAATTTGCAGCCCTACCATGCAGTAGAAAAGGAAAACCCATTTTTTGGGGAAGAATTCAAGGCTGCAGAAATTTGCATAAGAAGAGCCAAATGCTAATAGCCAAGGCAATGGGGAAAATATTGCTAGGGCATTTCAGAGACCTTTGTGGCAGCCCCTCCTATCACAGGCCTGGAGGCCTGTGAGGGAAGCATGGTTTCCTGGGCCAGGCACAGGGCCTTGCTGCTCTGTGTAGTATTGGGACCTGGAGCACTGCATTCCAGCTGCCCCAGCTCTAGCCATGGTTACAAGGGGCCTAGGTACAGCTTGGGACATTTCTTCAGAGGGTGCAAGCCCCAAGCCTTGGTGGCTTCCACATGGTTTAGGGCCTTCAGGTGCACAGGAGGCGAGAGTTGAGGTTTGGAAGCCTCTGCCTAGATTTCAGAGGATGTATGAAAACACTTGGATGTACAGGCAGAAGTCTTCTGCAGGGGTAGAGCTCTCCTAGTACAGGATAATCTGTATGAGGGCAGTGCAGAGAGGAAATGTGGGGTTGGAGCCACGACACAGAGTCCCCACTGGGGCACTGCCTAGTGGAGCTGTGAGAAGAGAGACACAATCCTCCAGCCCCCAGAATGGTAGATCCACTGATAGCTTGCAATGTGTGCCTGGAAAAGCCACAGTCACTCAATACCAGCTTGTGAAAGCAGCCATGGGGGCTGTACTCTGCAGAGTCACAGATGTGGAACTACCAATGCCTTGGGAGCCCATCCTTTGCATCAGTGCGGCCTGAATGTGACACATAGAGTCAACGGGGATTATTTCAGAGCTTTAAGATATAATGTCTACCCTGCTGGGTTTTTGACTTGCATGGGTCCTGTAACCCCTTTGTTTTGGTCAATTTCTCCCTTTTGGAATGGGAGGATTTATCCAATGCCTATTGCATCTTGGAAGTAACTGACTTGTTTTTCATATTACAGGATCATTGATGGAAGGGATTTACCTTGTCTCAGATGTGACTTTGGACTTGGACTTTTGAGTTAATGCTGGAATGAGTTAAAACATTGGAGGACTGTTAGGAAGGCACGTCTGTGTTTTGAAATGTGAGAAGAACATGAGATTTGAGAGGGATCAGAAGCAGTATAATATGGTTTGGTTTTGTGTCCCCATCCAAATCTTATGTTGAAATGTAACCCCCAGTGATGGGGAAGAGACCTGGTGGGAGATATTAAATCATGGGGATGGATTTCCCCCTGGCTGTTTTTGTGATAGTGAGTGAGTCCTCATGAGATCTGGTTGTTTGAAGGTGTGTAGAACTTTCCTGTTTCCTCTCCCATGCTCTGCCATGGTAAAATCTGCTTGCTTTCCCTTCACCTTCTGCAATGATTGTAAGTTTCCTGAGGCCTCCAAGCCATGCTTCCTGTACAGCCTGTGGAACTGTGAGTCAATTAAATTTCTTTTCTTTATAAGTTACCCAGTCTCAAGTAGTTCTCTATAGCAATGTGAGAAAAGACTAACATAATGACCAAGAGGGATTTATCCCTGAGATGAAGTATAGTTCAACATATGCAAATCAACCAACATGGTACGTCATATCAACAGAATGAAGAATAAAAACTATATGATCATTTCAATTGATGCTGAAAAAAACATAATATCCAACATCTCTTTATGATAAAAATCCCCAAAAACTGGGGATAGAAGGAATCTACCTCAACATAATAGCCATATATGACAGACCCACAGCTAGTATTATACTGAACGGAGAAAAACTCTAAAATCTAGAACACAACAAGGATGCCTGCTCTCACCTCTGTTATTCAACATACTACTGGAAGCCCTAGCTAGAGCAATCAGACAAGAGAAAGACTTAAAGAGCATCCAAATTGAAAAGGAAGCCAAATTATCCTTGTCCACAGATGATATAAACTAATATTTCAAAAATCTAGGCTTCAGAGAACAACTATTAGAACTTATAAACAAATTTAGTAAAGTTGCAGGATATAAAATCAACATACAAAAAAAAAGTAGCATTTCTACATGCCAACAGTGAACAATGGGAAAAGAAATAAAGTAATCCCATTTACAATAGCCACACATAAAATTAAATACCTAGGAATTAGCTTAACCAAAGAAGTGAAAGATCTCTATAAGGAAAACTATAAACTGATGAAAGAAATTGAAGAGGACACTAAAAAATGGAAATATATTCCATGCTCATTGATTGGAAGAATCACTATTGTGAAAATACCCATATTACCAAAAGCAATCTACAGATTAAATGTGATCCCTATCAAAATACTAATGACATTCTTCACAGAAATAGAAAAAACAATCCTAAAATGTATATGGAACCACAAAAGACCTAGAATAGCCAAAGCAATCTCAAGCAAAAATTACAAAACTGAAGGAATCACAATACCTGACTTTAAATTATACTACAAAGCTACAGTAACCAAAACAGCATGGTACTGACATAAAAACAGACACATAGACCAATAGAACAAAATAGAGAACCCAGAAACAACTCCACACTCCCACATTAAACTCAGTTTAGATAAAGGTGCCATGAGCATACACTGGGGAAAAGATAGTATCTTCCATAAATAGTTCTGGGAAAACTGGCTATCCATATGCAGAAAAATGAAACTAGACCCTGTCTATTACCATATACAAAAAAAAATCAAAATTGTATTAAAGACTTAAATCTAAGACCTAAAACTATGAGACTACTACAAGAAAACGTTGGAGAAACTTTCCAGGACCATGGTGTGGGCAAACATTTCTTGATCAATACCCAAGAAGCACAAGCAACCAAAGCAAACATGGACATATGGGATCGCATCAAATTAAAAAGATTCTGCACAGCAAAAACAGCAATCAACAAACTGAAGAGATACAGAATGGGAACAAATATTTGCAAGCTACTCCCCTGATAAGAGATTGATAACCAGAATATATAAGGAGCTCAAACAGCTGTATAGGAATAAAGCTAATAATCCAATTAAAAATGGACAAAAGAGCTGAATAGACACTTCTCAAAAGAAGGCATACAAAGACAAACAGGCATGTGAACAGATGCACAATATCATTGATTATCAGAGAAATGCAAATCAAAACTACAATGAAATATCATCTCACTCCAGTTAAAATGGCTTATATACAAAGAGAGCCAATAATATATGCTGGAGAGAATGTGGAGAAAAGGAAACGCTTACACACTGTTGGTGGGAATGTAAATTAGTGCAACCACTATGGAGAACAGTTTGGAGGTTCCTCAAAAACCTAGAAATAGAGCTACCATATGATCTAGCCATCCCACTGCTGGGTATATACCCAAAAAAAGAAAATCAGTATACTGAAGAGTTAGCTGAATTCCTATGTTTGTTGCAGCACTGTTTACAATACCTAAGATTTGGAAGCAACCTATGTGTCCATCAACAGATGAATGGATAAAGAAAATATGGTACATATACAGAATGGAGTACTATTCAGCCACATAGAAGAATAAGATCCAGTCATTTGCAACTACATAGATTAAATTGGAGATTATTATGTTGCATGAAATAAGCTGGGCACAGAAAGACAAACACTGCATGTTCTTACTTGTATATGAGATCTAAAAATCAACACAATTGAACTCACAGAGATAGAGAGTAGAAGATGGTTACCAGAAGCTGGGAAGAATAATGAGGGGCTTCAGAGGAGGTGGAGATGGTTAATGGGTACAAAAAAACTAGTTAAAGAATGAGTAAGACCCACTATTTGATAGCACAATAGGTTGACTATAGTCAAATAATAACTTAATGGTCCATTTTAAAATAACTTAAAGAATATAATTGGATTGTTTGTAACTCAAAGGATAACTGTTCGAGGGGAAGGATACCTCATTCTCTATGTTGTGCTTATTTCACATTGCATGTGTGTATCAAAACATCTCATGTACCCCATAAATCTACATACCTATTATGTACACATGAAAATTTTAAAAAGCTAAAAAAAAAATAAAAAAGAATATAGTGTGCTTATTTGACACTTTTTTTTGAAGTGTTCATTCCAGTCTTTAACTCATTTTAAAACTTGGTTAGCTTCTAATTATTTAGTTCTGAGAGCTCTTCTGGAAACAAGTATTTTGTTTCTTTCAGTGTGTGACTTTCTTCCATGTACTTAATGTTGTCTTTTAAACAGCAAAAGTTTTATTTTTTATGAAATTCAATGCATTTGTTTTTTATTCTTTGGTTTCCTCTTTTGGTGCTCTAAAAAGTATTTGCCTATCCCAAAGTTGCAAAAGTTTAAAAATGTTTTCTTCTGGAAGTTTTATAGTTTTGGCATTTATATCTGGGTCCACAAACCATTTTGAGTTAGTTACTATGGATGACACGATATAAGAGTCAAAAGTTAAAAGAACATCCAGTTGTTCAAACACTACTTGTTGAAAAAACTGTCTTTTCTTCCACTAAATTACCTTGGCATATTTGCTGAAATTAATTGACCATATGTGTATGGGCCTAGCTCTGGAATATCTAATTAGTTTCCCGATTTCTCTATATGCCAGCACCACACTGTCTTAACTATTATGATAGGCAGCCTTTCAGATGGCTCCCAGTGATCTTGCTTTCTGGTTTTCTCATTCTATTATAACGAGACTCTTGATTTTCTAAAAGAGTTTGTGTAAGACATGCATTATTTTCCTCTTAAATTTTGAATTAAATAAACTGTTGAAGCCATCTAGTCTTGGAGTTCTTTTGTGAGAATCTTTTAAACCATAAATTCAATTTCTAAATTAAAATGAGGCTATTTACTTAACTAACTTTTGGTAATAGTTGCCTTTCAAAAAAATCTGTACATTTACTTTCTGAGCTGTAGAGTTTATTGGTACAAAGTTGTTCATAATATTCTTATTACACTTTTAATGCCTGTAGGATCTGGTGATGCCCCTCCTTCATTCCTGATGTTGGTTAATATTTTTCTTTCTTTCATTTTCTTGATGAATGCAAGTAGAGATGCTAAATTTTATTGACATTTCCTAAGAACCAGTTTTTGTGTCATTGTTTTTTCTGCTATGTATTTTCCTTATTGATGTCTACTTTTCATATATAATTTTCTTATTTCAAATTGCTTTTGGTTTAATTTGTTCCTTTTTTTTAGCTTTTTAAGGCTGAAATTTAGATCACTAATTTTTATACCTTATTCTTTTCTAAAATAAACATTTAATGATAGCTTTTTCTCTAAGTACTGCTTTAGCTACATCTCAGAAATTCTACAGTGTTATATTTTCATTTTCATTCAATTAAAATTATTTTATAATTTTCCCTCTGATTTATTCTTTAACCTCTAAGTAATTTATAAATGTGTTATTTTCCAAATATTTATAGATTTCTTAGGCAGCTTTTTGTTATTCTTTTAAATTTACTTCATTTTTGTCAGAGAACATGCTCTCAATAATTTTAATTCTTACAAATTTATTGATATTTATTTTATTTTATTTGGTAAATTTTTCATGTGTGCTTTAAAATAATTTTATTCTACTGTTATTGCACAAAGTACTATGTAAATGTTAATTAGGTTAACCTGGTTGATAATGTGCAAGTCTTCCATATCTCTATTAATTTTCTATCTGTTTTATTAATTATTGAGAAAGGAATTTTAAAATGTCTAACAAAATTGTGAATTTATTCTTTATTCTCTGTTCCATCACTTTTTGCTTTATATATTTTGAAGCTCTCTTATTGTTTATAAGTACTATAATTGTTGTGTCTTTTAATATGTTAATCTCTTTAATATGAAAAGTTTCTTTTTATCATTAGTAGTAGCCCTTGTCCTGGATATTAATATTTAATATCATATCATTTTTGTATTTTTACTTTTAACTTATTTGTGTTTAGATATAAAATGAGTTTCTTGTAGAAAACAACTTGTTGGCACTTAGTTTTATATCCAGTCTGACAATGTCTGCTTTTGAATTCAATTGTAATCCATTAACATCTAAGTATTCACTGCTATGGTTAGGTAAATACACCATTTATATTTACTTTGTCGCATCTGTCCTGCATTCCTGTTTTTCTCTTTTTCTTCCTTCTTTGGGTTAGTTGAATCATTCTCAGAATTCTATCTTATGCCAACCTTCGGCCTAGTAGCTAGACTCTCTACCTTTGGCTTTACTAAAAAGGTTTACTTTGTGGATATGATATAAAATGCATTTCTATAAGAATTTTCAATATCACTTTAGGGGTTCTTTTAAAACTAAAAACAAGATTAGAAAAGAGGAACTCTTTTTTTTTTTTTCTATTTAAAGGCTTTTAATTATTTGGAAATAATTGTAAGCATACAGAAAAGTACAAAATAACACTAAGAATACCCATATGCCATTTACCCAGATTGACTTATTTGTTGTTTTTTTTTTTTTTTATTATACTCTAAGTTTTAGGGTACATGTGCACATTGTGCAGGTTAGTTACATATGTATACATGTGCCATGCTGGTGCGCTGCACCCACTAATGTGTCATCTAGCATTAGGTATATCTCCCAATGCTATCCCTCCCCACTCCCCCGACCCCACCACAGTCCCCAGAGTGTGATATTCCCCTTCCTGTGTCCATGTGATCTCATTGTTCAATTCCCACCTATGAGTGAGAATATGCGGTGTTTGGTTTTTTGTTCTTGCGATAGTTTACTGAGAATGATGGTTTCCAATTTCATCCATGTCCCTACAAAGGATATGAACTCATCATTTTTTATGGCTGCATAGTATTCCATGGTGTATATGTGCCACATTTTCTTAATCCAGTCTATCATTGTTGGACATTTGGGTTGGTTCCAAGTCTTTGCTATTGTGAATAGTGCCGCAATAAACATACGTGTGCATGTGTCTTTATAGCAGCATGATTTATAGTCCTTTGGGTATAAATAGCTATTCTATAAGCCTAAATAAAACATCTTGATAATTTAACTTTTCTTTTTAAAAATCAAAGACAATATATGGTTGCTCAATAAAGAAAAGTGGTGCATAGAGTCAGGTATCAAAATGCATTAACTTCCAAGTTGGCTCTTCCAAGCAAATGACTCATATAAATTGGCCTTTAGATTAAAATACATTAAGCAATGGAGTGCACTGAAAGCATCATTGAAAGAATTTTTGGAAAAATAGGCTCAAATTTACAGTCAGTCAGTAACTCACTGTTTAATACTCGAGGATCATCAAACCTTCTAGCTCCAGTTTTCTAATTTGGTTAATTAAAATACCTTTCACACCTACTTTGCAGGACTCTTATAAGGAACAAGTGGAACCATGTGGAACCATGTTAATGAAAGTCCTATAAAAGTACTATAATACTTACAATTCCTTATTTTATTTTCTTATGGTATAACTCGGCACAAACATCTATTCACCTGAGAATTAAAAAAAAAATCACCTACACAAATGCACATTAGGATAGCTATGCAAGCACATAAGGAAGAAGGGCAAGGAAGGAAATGATTTAAGTTGCAGAATTTAGGTTTGTAAATATTAGTAAAAAATAAGAATATTTACTACCATCTGTCTAAGATTTTATAAATATGGAACAATAAAAACTGCTTCATCCTTTATTGCTTTGAGCAGTGTCTAAAGATTTATATTCTGCTATATTAATAAAACTTGTATATGATATATAGTAAGTATGAATCTTTCTCCATTTAATATCTTTCCAGTATTATTTATAGAAGTTTTTGGAATGAACTTCCGGTTGGTCTCTCAGTTTAGCCATAATCCCATTTCAAATTCTACAAAATTATAGGTTTAATAAACATCAAAGAAAATGTATCAAGTCAATTTCATCTGTGACCCTTCAGACCAAGAAGGCCCCAGTGTGCTGAGGTTTGACATGCTGTGAATGTTCAATTCCAGTATCCATATCCTGACCTTGGAATTCAGGCTTTGACTCAGTTAAGATAAGAACTGCTTCTCTCCTTGTTTTGGCAGAGCACTGAGCTTGCTTTTGACAACACTATGTGTTAGTACATCATGTTTTCTTGTCCTTGCCTGTTCTATTTCTGTTCTTTGGCTCAATGCTTTCTGGCAATAGGCTTTCTACATATATAATACCTCCATACCTTTTATGATAATAGGACCAACACTATGGTTGTTGGGAAGCAAACATACCTTCCACCTATGAACCAAAAAGAGGCTGCTGGATGAAGATATATAAGGGTAGCTTTGTTGTTTGAGGTCTTTTTCTAGGATAGAAGAAAGGCAAGTGGCAATATTTCTACTTCCCATGGGAAGAGATGGAATTCTGGAGTGAAGCTTACCCTTTTGTCTTGCCATATGAAAGTTTTTATCTTAGTCTCTTCTGTAACCAACATGTATTTCCTCCTTTGTACCAAAGCCTTTTACCCATAGTTGTCTTTCTCCTGAATTCACATTCATATCGTCTACCCCTCCTCCTATCAAGTAATAATTATTGTTGGATGTTATTACGAACACTTGTTATGTTCACTAAATTGTTTTTCTGTCTTTATATCTTGCTGTATACCTGCAGTCTCTCATGTACACACACTTGATTTTAAGCTAGATTATAAGCTTCCCTAAAAGAGAAAAAAGAACCTATGCCTTATAATTCCCTGTTCCCACTGCTGCATCTAGCTGTATTAATATAAAAATATTTGATTCAAGTCAATGGGTCCATTGTTCACATGAGATATGCTTCAAAAGTGAGAGAACTACATCCACTAATAACATTTTTTACCAATTAGGCAATCATTGGTCCAATTTTTTATTTGTTTGTTTTGTTTTGTTTTGTTTTGTTTACCATTTCCATTCAAATTCTCAGATTAGTCTACTTAATCTGCCTCTCTCTTCCCCAACTTTGGTTCCATCTTTAACCCACTGTAATAAGGTTATCACTGTTGCAACTCATATAAAACCCCAGCAAAATGCCATTGATGACTACTAAATAAAATTGACCGGTCACTGTCTTGACTTCATTCTTAAGTCTCAGCACAAAGCTTGGTAGACATAAGTTTATTCTATTAAATAAGCAAATACGTGAATCCTGCACAGCCTTTCTGGAACATTTGATACAGCTATGCTTCCTTCTCGAAATATTTTCCTCCTTTGGTTTTTGAGACATGGATCTTTCCTAGATTTTCTTCTCTTTCTGTGATTGTCCTTTACTGCCTCCTGTCCTTCCAACTCCCAAATGAAGGTTAACACCTTCATTTCCCTTCACCCAAAGCTGTATTGCAGACCTCAACTTGCTTCATACTTTTTCCTTGGGTGATATCATCCATTTCTTTAGTCTCTTTTGCCTTTATATAGATGCATCAAATATTGATACCATCTAATTTGACCTGCATTTTAGAGCCCCTGTGTGCCTATCTGACAACTAAATTTTATTGTTCCATGGTTACTATAAGCTTACATGTCCCAAACAGACTTTAGTATCTTCCCCTTTAAATCTGCTCCTTCTTGTTTGTCCACTGTTACATTTCCTTATCTCATCATCCTTCTATCTCATCCTTGGGTTAATCTTCAACTCTTGCTTGCCCTTCAAACCTTACACTCAATCAGTCTTGAAGTTGTACTGTGTCATGGTAAATACTGTGTAGAGGCATAAATCCTCTCTCTCCAAATCCTCTCTCAGATCTGTTTTGTTCTCTTCCATTCCATTGACAGTGGTCTGGCTTCCTGTGGGGGCCACTGAAATAGCTTTCAGGTACTGCTTTGATTCAATCCTCTGTAGCTTTCCCTTCATCTCAGCTGCGATCATTCAACCCTCCTCTATGGTCATTACCCTGCCTCAGCCTCTAGAATGGATTTAATCTTAGGTAAAAGATATATAATTATTTTCCAGCCCAATACATTGGCATTTGTTAAAAAGTTCCTTTTGCTTTTTGTCTCATTTTCATTAACAAGACTTTTGACTTGGTAATGTATTTAGCATTCAACTCGCCTAAAGGAACTATTTGCTTTTATAGCCCTCTACCACCCTGTCACTAAATGCTAGACTGGTAGCTGGAGCCTGGTCATCTGCTGAGTCTGCCTGCCTGCCAGTATTTTTTTCATACCACTGTCTTAAGAGTTCTAAGCTAGCACCATTCCCTGTTGCCTTATATCAAATCCCTAAGCATGGCCCTTTGTGTGGACTCTGGCCTTGAGAGGTTTCAAATCTGGCTGATGTTATGTGGGACTATTGACTTCAGTACATGGTCCTCTATGTAACTGGATAGGCAGTGGTTCATTCCTGATAGTACTTAGAAAAAATGAAATCTACTCTTGGTATGTAACTGAGGAGATAAAATACACAGATTATGAAAATAATATTAAATCTCAAAATACTTCTACTTGATTTGGAAGATAGTTCAAATTGTGAATACATGATGATCAACATGACAAGAAAAAAAAATTTCAAAATTTACTCATTTGATTCTTACCTGACAGCTAACAATTAATCTTAATTTTTGCTTACTGTGTTGATTAAACTTATCAGTTATTTGGACTTTTGGAGACAAAGACCAGCCATTGAGCAGAAAGGATCACTTCTTTTTCCTGGCACATAATTTTGCCTCAATCTTCCAGCTCGTGATTGAGTCTTTATGAACAATCCAAGAGATTTTATGTCATTAAAGACAACACACAATATGTATCACAATCTACAAGACTTCTAGAATTGAACAGATCATTGAAAACCACAGACCTGTAACTTAATATGTGTATTTCACTTGACATAATAAATGAATAGGAAATACATTTTTTAATATTAAACCCAAAATAGCTCACGGAACACTAAGTTTAATCCTTTTCTAAAGAAAGCATCAAGATAGTCATGCTGTGATTTCTCTTTGGGCAAATCTGTATCTTTCATATTGTGTAAAGCCTCCTCCTCAGTACATCTTACAGTGAGCTCATGTAAAGAAAGTTGGTTTCCTTATTTAAGTCTTTTGATCCAATATTCAAGATGCTAAATTTGAGAAGTCCTATTTTACTGATGACTCTGAGGAGTAGAGAAGTTCAGTATTCATCACAATTTTAATCAACTTGCTGGGTCATTTCTTTAAACCAGTAGATGAGCTGACAACGAATCATTTAACAGCATCAATATTCAGATTATTCAGATCAAGAGGCAGAAAAAAAGAGCTTGCTCCCATTGCCATCCATGGTGAAACTATTAAGTCTCTTTCTCATATGAATTTATTTTTAAAGATTATCAGCAGGGCTTCCAGAAAAAGAATTATAAGAGACCCAGGTATTACCAATGCTGCTCTTTCAAGGCCCACACTTTGAATGTGAGGTATTAAGGTAATACAGACATCTTCTTGCTCATCAACTACTCATTACATTGCCTTCTTTCCTGAGCCCTGAGTTTCCTGTGCTTCCACTCTCAGTCTCTTTTCTGACACATACACACATATGCATATACACAAACACACATACATGTTGACACACATACTTCTGCTTATCTGATCTGAGTTGTGATTATATGAGGACATTCTAAGTTTTGGGAGATGTCACAACACCTGTGTTGTTGGTTGAATACTTTCCTGTCACATATAAAAAAATCTGAACTAAACTTTTTTTTAAAACAAAAAGGTTGACAGAACATTTATTAATAAGTTTTGTGATTAATTTTATTTTAATAAACTGTCTGAGGTTATTTAGTTATTAATACTCATAAGAAGAACTCTGGAAGTCAATCCGCACATCTTTATTAAGAAGTCAAACACAAGTCTGTGGCCATAAGAATACGGTGTCGCATAAGTAAGCCTAATTCCTCTTACCCTTGAGGCCACCAAGCTGCATTTTCAAATGTATATATTTCTACATTTGTAACGATCACCCTTCCAAATGTAGTGAGTCAGGGAGAAGGATGAATCAAGGATGACTAAATAATAAGAAAGATGGGGGAGGAAAGTGTCCATAACAGAGATGTGGCAAAGATGAGGAAGAAAAAGAGCAGATTTTATTAACACTATTGCCTTGGCTATTTTAGCAGAACACAGAGAAGAATCCAAAAAGGACATGTCTGTTGGCAAACAACTTGGGAGAGAACCAGAAGTGAACCCAGTTGCTTGTGTCATTATTTTGCCTTAGCCTCCAAGAGCCTGAACAGCCCAAGGAGGACAAGACAGTCTTGACCTAAGGGAAAGATATGCTTTATTTACAAGAAAACATTAAAAAATCTGTTTTGTACAGGAAACTGTCTAGTTCTTTTCCTATTCACTGCCCCCAAAGATGACCTATGAAGCTGGAGAAACTGGATTATCGGGAGCCTTGAGCAGCCTTAAGCCCAGGGTGCTAAGGTCACAAAATGGATCACTCTCCCTTTGCTGGCTGGGCTCCAGCCACAGCAGGCTTTTTTGAGCTTATCAAATATACTAAGCTCATTTCAGCTTAGCCCCTGCACTTGGTAATCCCACTGCCTGCGATACTCTGCCCCTCATTGTGTGCATGGCTAGCACCTTTTCATTCAAGTCTCAGTTTAAATGTCATCTTCTTAAATAAACCTCGTATCTAAAGTATCTAACTCATCCAACCCTCCCCTGCTGCCTGTTAGTCTGTATCACATGATCTAGTGATATTTTCTTCATAGAGTTTATCACTAGCTTCAAGTTTCATTTTATTTAGTTGCATATTTGCTTGTTGTCTATCTCTCCCCACTAGCATTTAAATTCCATGAGAATTAGTATAGAATCTGTCTTGTTCGCTATTGTGCCCTCAACAAAAGGCACTGCCACTAGTACATGAAAGATGTTCCCTAAATATTTGTTGCATGAAATAATATATTTTCATTTCACTAAACCTCAACATCCTCATCTATAAATAGGACTGATATCACTACTTATAAAGATTATAAAATAAGTGATAAGCAGTAAACACAAATTATGCAGACAATATTCAAGAAGTATTAACTTTTATTATCACCATGAATTACAATTTCTACATTATTAACACTGAGAACTAAGTGCCTGGCACAGAGTAGGTTTTCACCAAATGAATGAATGAATGAAAGAATTAATAAGAATTATACTGAGAGATTACAAACAACATGGTTGTCATAAGCTCTCAGAACTAACTCAAAGAAAATACTGCCACAGCCTCTGGGGTACTTTAGATAGATTAATGTCTTCTAAAGCCCCCCTCCTTTTATTTATCTTTTTTTTTTTTTTTTGAGACGGAGTCTCACTCTGTTGCCCAGGCTGGAGTACAGTGGCGTGATCTCGGCTCACTGCAGCCTCCGCCTCCTGGGTTCAAGCAATTCTCCTGCCTCAGCCTCCTGAGTAGCTGGGACTACAGGCGTGCGCCCCCACGCCTGGCTAATTTTTTTTTTGTATTTTTAGTAGAGATGGGGTTTCACCATGTTGGCCGGTATGGTCTTGATCTCCTGACCTCGTGATCTGCCCACTTCAACCTCCCAAAGTGCTGGGATTACAGGTGTGAGCCGCTGTGCCCGTCCCCCGCCCCCCAGCTCCTTTTATGATTCCCTGGACCGTGAATTTCCTGTACCGGATGTCGCAATGCCAAGCCCTGCCAATTCTGGAAGGCTCTGCTCCTTACACATGTGCCGTTTCAGATTCTTACTATTACTGTATGTTCTGATATCCAGGCTCAGCACTGACAGCTGTCCTTCTACCCAGGCCATCTGAAGGAGGCTCAAGTGTAGGGCACCTCACTTTATGGCCACCTTTTTTCCCAGCAGTTTTATCCTTGTGACAAGGACCTAAAACTGAGCATCAACAGCAGCGGTTGAAAGAGAAGCAAACAAAAGTCAGTGCCATATAGAGGTAACGTGCAGCATAAGAAAAGAAAGTTGGGAAAGGAAATGTGGTTGCCACACAGTCAGCCACATCTTCCCTATTCCTCTGTAGCAGCTAATTGTATAAGACGTTGATATCTTTTTTATGCCACCTTCTCCCCCGATTTCTCCACTGGAGCCTCCTGGTGGTGGCAGACCCTGCAGTTTGGGGCAGTCTTGAGTATATGTAACCACAGGAGCAGCTCTTATGTGGGAAGACAGAACACATAGCCTGGGCAAATGGGGGAGGGCAGATTAGATAAAAACAAGTCCATATCACTAAAACCAACTATTCTGAAAGACAATGACTCGATTGTGTTTTCCCTCTAAGAAGAAAACAAATACAAAACCTGGCAAATAAACAGTCTAATTATTAAATTCTCTTAGATTTGAGAACCAAGAAGGCCTCTGAAGCCTATTTACCTTTGTTCTTGTATGTCTGGCACTATTTCTTTTCCTTTTATGAATAAAGAAAATCTGAAATAACACAACATTACCCTTAATCATGTTTGTGCTACAGAAATAACATCTCCTTGAAATACCAGCCTTTGATTCTATGATGCCCTCACCAAACACCACTTCTTGCCAATAGCTGGATCTTTTCTTTATCAAGGGAGTGTTTGAGGGTTGGGGATTATTTCTTTGCTCTTCCTTCCAGTCTCCCTTTCTCTTCCTCTAGCCTTGGGATTTGAGATCTGGATATGTAGAGAATATATTTCCTTTTGCTCTCCAATCTCACAGCAGAGCTGGGATAATAAGAAATGTTTATAAAACTGGCACAAACAAACAAACTGGTTTCTAAAAACTAGAATGTAGGTACCAAGTTGAGCCCATCATAAGATGATTCTGAATAGTATCACCTTCATGCTACATGATATTTGGTCTTATAAATCTTACATGGCATGCAAACATTCCCAAACTCCTTACTCCAAATAATATTTTTATAATTTTATATTTTATAATTTTATAATTTATAATTTATAATATTTTTATAATAGTTTTGGTCATATAGAGTATTGATCATGGATATATATATGTCCATATTGATATCCATATATATATCTCCATATATATGTATCCATATATATATCTCCATATATATGTATCCATATATATATCTCCATATATATGTATCCATATATATATCTCCATATATATGTATCCATATATATGTATCCATATATATATATGTATCCATATATATCCATATCTATCTATCTGTATGTATGTATAGCTGCACCATTTAGAGCACACACAGACACAATCACATTTCTAACAATTGTTTTACTTCTTAAGGAATTTTTTTAGGCCTTTTTAATACACTGAACTGTTTATATTGTCTTCTGATAGGAACTGTTTAGACTGGATTCAAATCGTGGTCAAATTTATACTCTATATTCTTACTCATGTTTGGTCTCTTTAGGAAAAAAATATATACCAAATGCATTGGGTTACAACATCAATGTTTTTCCGTAGTATTACATAGTCTTCAAACATTGTTTAAATGATTGCATTGTGCCGTATATGCTAATAAATACTTTAACAATTCCTTTATAAGTATGTGTTTCGAGTTATCTCTTTTATTAATTATACCGAAATGAAACTCTTCCTATATCTTTTATAATAAATTCTCAGAAATTCAGTAGTCTCATTTATTAGGAGGTGACTTACACCCTTTCTTTACCTTTACTTCATTATTTCTTCCTGTCTTTTCTCAGAGTTGTGTACCTAACTTAAAAGAAGTCAAGGACATGAGAGCTGTTAGTGGGAAATTACAGTGGCAATGTGCTCCTTTGCCACTCGCCCTTGATAATGACCTTCTAATCACATACTGTTTTCAGTCTGCACCCCTCCGCCTCAGAAAACAGGCATTTCTTGTTTCAGCCTTAATGTCTCACATCTTTATTACATTATCTTTTATTGTGTCAGCCTCTACTTCTTATCTGTAGTCACTCAAGATCTTACCTCAAAGAACCCCCTAATGCTAAAAGGACTTGATATTGTCTGGACTTGGTGACATACAATTTAGAGTATACACAGACACAAACACATCTCTAACAGTGCTTTACTTCTTAAGGAAAACTGTAAAGCCTTTCTTTAATTCAACTATTTGTACTGTCTTCTGGTAGGAATTGTTTAGACTGGATTTAAATTGTGGTCAAATTTGCATTCTATATTCCTACTCATGTTTGGTCTCTTAAGGAAAAAAGAAGTAACGACATGACAACCAGTAATTTTCTAATGATCCTAAGTTGAGATCAAAACAAAACAAAGAATAATAATAAACTCTGCCATTTATTGTATTACACTTACTAGAATTATATGTTTAACTTGAGAGTTACCACCAGTTCACAGAAGATTGCAAATAATTTTTTTTTAAATTGCCTACTTACAAGTTACTTATTTTTCTACAAACCAAACAAATACTTTGCAAGTGAATGATGCCAAGATTAGATCATGAAAGTCATAAATTTTGTACAACACAAAGAAAGGATGGCTGCGAGCTGGCTCAATTGCAGTGTCAGACCAGGCAAATCAAGAAGAAATATTAGAACCATTTTGTTTCTGCACTGAACTTGGAAGAGTCATTTCAAATCAAATGAGCAAACATGCATTGAACACCTGCAATGCAACAGGAAATTTGCTAAACACTATGATAGATGTAAAAATAAATATGACTACTTCTGGCCCCAATAAACTCAAACCCAATAAATTTGTGAATGTTTTCAAAAAAATGGTCCTTGCCTTTAGGAACTTTAAATGAAAACTTCTGGCCAATCCTGCCAAAGAGACTGTTATTCCACTTTTCCATTATTTGTTTCTAACAGTCAATGTGCTTGAATTACAGGAGATATGGGTTAACTGGATTAGCTTCTTGGTCATAAAAGTGTTTCTATTATTATTACTAGTTTAGGCAATGGTCATCACACTTATGAGGTGAAAGAAGGGCTTTTAATCTCCCAGTGTGAGTAGGCTTTGATTCTCAGTACAATAAAAATCACCTATATTCTGCACCTTAAAATATGACAAACTAGAGTTTAAAAAAAAATTCTCCCATAAGATACAAATATGTTTTTCAAATATTTATTTTTTAAAATGCACCGCTGAGCTGGTAAGAACATAAGGGCAATTTTCAAGGGTCAAAACCAAACCAAGGAGCAGACAGAATCCAGGTGGGTAAGCCAGACCTGAAGCCTTGGAGGTTCTGATGATATTTACTGATACAAAAATCTAGGACTTTTGAGTTTTTTTAGATACACAGTAGAAAGGTCTGGGCCTAACCAAGCAGTATTCACATAAAGCTAAGACCCACATGCTGTACTATACTATAGCCCAGTGAAACTGAGGCTTCCATACCCCAAAAGAAGTTTTCAAAGCAACTTGTCTGTCTTGGCCTTAGCTCTTGATTGGGATGGGGGAAGAGAGGGAGTAGGCATTTTTTTTTTTTAATTATTTATTATTATTTTTTTGAGATGGAGTTTCGCTCTTGTTGCCCAGGCTGGAGTGCAATGGCGCGATCTCGGCTCACCGCAACCTCCGCCTCACCAGTAGCTGGGATTATAGGTATGCACCACCATGCTCGGCTAATTTTGCATTTTTAGTAGAGACAGGGTTTCTCCATGTTGGTCAGGCTGGTGGAGTAGGCATTATTTTTGATGGAAAAAGAGAAGTAACTAATTAAGAAAGACACTTCTACTGTGGTCTTTAATTGTACTGCGAATATTTTATTTCTTTACCTGTATGATGAATAGGAGGGTGATTATTATATTTGTGTGTCTCTAATATCTCTGAATCAAATAAAAAAGCATAAGTAGCCTGTTACAAATACAGTACTTAACCCTTATTTGCAGTTTTGCCTTCCGCAATTTCAGTTACCCATGCTCAATCACAGCCCAAAAATGTTAAATGGAAAATTCCAGAAATAAACAACTTATAAGTTTTAAATTGTGCACCATTCTGAGTAGCATGATGAAATCTCCTGCTGTCCTGCCAGGGACATGAGTCATCCCTTTGTCCAGTGTATTCACACAGTCTACACTACCCACTCCTTAGTCATTTAGAAACCATCTCAGTTATCAGATCAACTGTCAAGGTGTCACTGGGCTTGTGTTTAAATAACTCTTATTTTATGCGATAATGGCCTGAAAGCTCATGAATAATGATGCTGGTATATTGTTATAATTGTTCCATTTTATTATTAGTTGTTAATTTCTTATTGTGTCTCATTTATAAATTAAACTTTATCACAGGGATGTAGGTATAGGAAAAAACATACTATATGTAGGGTTTGGTACTATTCATAATTTCAAGCATCCACTGGGGATCTTGGAATGTATCCCCTATGGAAAAGGGGATGCTATTGTAAAACCAAAGACATAGATTATTTTTAGATTAAAAAATTCAAGGTATAGCTAATTAAATGACAGGTGAGATTAGAATTCCAGCCTCTCAACACCGAATCCCCTGCTCTTTCTGTACTTTTTAAAAAGAGTGTTTCAAGACCTCCCAGAAGTTTTGTATTTTACTGTGGGATGTGGCTGAGCTCAGTCTCAAGGGTAAGTCATTTTCAGGAAACCTTGTCCCAGACTGGCAAATACTCTGTGTGCTCTTTGGAATAGCTCCAAAACAGGCCATCCACTTTGGTACATCTTTGAATACAATAGTCATCCTGGATCTAGATTAGAAAATCCACTAAGAAATGACTCTCTTGTGTTGGGGTGAAATTTATTGACAGATCCATATGTTTCCTCTGACTATTTAGTTCACAATGACGTTGCCCATTTCTGAATTCTTAGAGCACTTATTATGCATCCTAATCACTTAGATACTTAGTTCCATTCTGCATTTAGTAGGTAAATAGGTTATATCTTCAATGTGACTCAAAGTTCCCCCAAAAAAGAGATTTATTTTGCAGTCCCTACATTGCCAAGAAAATTTAGAATAGGAAGGGATATTATTATCTGCTTGAAACTTCTTATACTACATTTGAGGTAATTTGCCCCTATAAAGTGATTTGCCCCAAATCACACAGTGTATCTGTCAAAGTGTTAAAACATGACACAACCCAATTAGGATAATTCAAGGAGAGTTTATAATGGAACTGTGTGGATAGGATGTAGGGAAACTACATATTATAATGTAGTGCCTCAAGGCTAGTAACAGGTAACTGTGGCCACTCTTAACTGATAAGAATCAGGAGTGTTACCAGAAACTGGAAGGAGAGGGCTATAATGAAGATGCCTTGAGAGGAAAAAGGATCTTCAGTAAGGAAACTCAGCCATCCCCAAACAAGCTCAAAGAGGGAGATTAGGAGGAATAAATAACCTGACATCACTTTTCCATATCCACTCTGGGTACTTCCATTGGTCAAACCCAACTGTAACCTTGAGAACAAAGAAGCCCATTGATAAATCCTATAATAGTTACCCTTCTGGAGCCAAGGGCAAGATGAAGGAGGGTGAGGAGATCTAGAAGGAAAAAGCGACAGTATCTAGGACATTTAGCTTTGGCTGGAATAGAGGTTTCCTAACTCCAACTTTACTTTCAACCAGGACATAACTCACATTGCTCAAAAAATGCTTAATGAATTGAGCTAAGTTTAACTGACTGAAAGCTGCCAAACCAGAAGGAAGGTCTGTGTACCTAATGTTGAGTCAGGGCCCAGTGAGGGTGGGTCTCAGACCATCTCCTACTTTCAGAATTGGAATCAGATCCCGGAACTGTACTCAGAAGCAGATGGGAAACCAGTGTAGTGCCCAGGGCCAAGTGAGTAAATGTTCCAAGCAACCAGACCCACTCAGCATCCTCTTTTGCTAAACAGTGACACAGCCCAGCATATGGCAGGCTGGACACTGTGTGATGTGTAGGACCAGAGCCAAAGATAGAGCTGGGCTGGTTAAAAGAGACATGTTAGTTTTCAGAATTTGAGAGTTACAGATGTGGCAGGTTGAGAACATTCAAGAACCATCATATCCTTTTGCCTATGCCCCAGTTAGATGTGAAACTGAACTTCAGAAGGCAAGAGTGGGATTGAAGGCAGCTTTTCTACACCTCCACTGTAGCAGAGCCCCAGAGTACAAAAGATGAGGAATTCACCTTTTGGGACGGTGAAAAGTTTGCAACCAGGAATGAGATACCAATTAATCCAATATGAACAAAAGATTCTTCCCCAGACCAATCATCAGACTGAAAACACTGGCATTCATGGACCAAGACAAGAACAATGGTGGGGACATTTAAGGTTGATCTAGTAGATGTTTCTCTTTTCTTCTCAAATCTGTGGCCAACACTAACATGTCTATTATTCCTCTTACATATCCCTTGCTGAGCTATTACGATAATCAAGTGAAACACTGAAATAGCACTTTGTAAATCATAGGGCTCCCTACATGACACTTATTACTATTACCCATTGAGGGCTGCCTAAGGGTCCCAGGAAGGGAGACCTATTTCCACCCCTCACTTTGGCTACTATCCTGGAGGAAGGTTCCATTGCTGAAGTCTACATTACAAAGAGAGTTTTGCCATTGCCATTGGGTGGATAAGGTGATGGTGAGTGTCTTCTCAGGAGCCCCAGCTGATTTTTGGGTCAGCCTCCTCCTTTTCATTCCAGGAACTAGGAGCCAGAAGCAGATGAAACTTGACTAATGACCAAGAGAGGTTAGAGAAGGCTGGGAAAAAGTATTTTCTTGCTGCTTCTTCTACCCAGCAAGGCAAGAAGATAGACCCTGTTACTGAAGAATCAGTAGAAGCAGGACAATCAGGACTCTGGGAAATCCTTGGAGAAATCTCAAGGGAGGAAAGAAAATCCTGGAACAGAATAACACATTGATATTAACTACTCTCTGATTAACAGCTAATTATTGCAAATGAGTTTACTGACCTTTTCCCTGATGATTAGGAGAGTGCTGCCATCACAAAGCTGTTAAGCCATGGTATAGGGCTGCGCTGAGCAAACCTGGAGGGTAGGACTTTCCCAAGGAACCAGGGATACCTGGGCAAAATGACCAAGGATATCCCAGGAGGGCAGCCAGAGAAACGTGCCCACTGTGGGCCTGAGGGGGTGTCTATGTTGGACTGGCCAAGCTGACTGAGCAGGTTGTTGGAGATTTGGATACATGGGCCAAAGAAAATAGAATATCCTCATGTGTTATCTTATTTCACTACCTACTAACAGTATGGAATTATCTATATGTTAGTTTTAAGAATTCAAATGTCATATTAAGTTTTCTGAAATCAAATTCTATCAAATAATCCAACAAAACATGTAATTGCCTCTTTGTTAGGGGAAAAAAATTGTCCAGGATGGCTTAGGATATGGTTTTCAAACTGCAATATATAGGTATGTGGCAGTGCAGTGATCTAGAAGCCAATGCAGTGTGTGTGGCATATATTTTTAGAATATAAATTTTATCTAATATTTGAAAGAGGAAGAAATTATTTTCATTTAAAACACACACACACAAGTGCATTAATAAGAGGAGGTCAAAATTCTCTTTTGTTTTTAAGATAAAACATGAGGCTTCAAAGACTTTTTTCTTCCTTGTAGCAAGCTACTTTAAATAACACACAGACCCACACACCCTGGGGTCTGCTCTCCATATGCAGCTACTGTGAGTACTTGGGTAAGAAATTCTGGTGACACACAGCCTTATGTGAAAGCAGAGGGATAAGAAGTAGAAACAGCTGTAAGGTCTTTTACAAATCTAGAAACTGAAGACTAAAAAACACATGTCATATTAATTTTTTTGGTACACTTTATTTAATATTTAACATTTGTATGGCAATATCCTAGATACTAAGGCAAAGTTAAAACTGAATGGTATGTAATTCAGTTGCAAGTCTTCCAGTTTATGAATCAAACCACATTAAGCGGAGTAGTATAGGTTCTTGCTTCCCTCTCTTCTTCCTGCCACACTGCCTCCCCACACTGCCTTCCATCCCAGATACCAACTGAAAAAACTTTCACTCATAAACTATCCTAATTGTTTGTTATTCCAGCAATGACACTGAATCAGTCATCATTTTGGAGAAGAGTGTGACTCCCAAATATTTTGTCATTTCCTATGATTTACAATGAAATTATGATCTGTTCCACCTCAGAAGGTTACATTGTTCATCACAAAAGGCACCTTGTAAATGGAAAGCAGTAGGAGTCAGAGAGAGGCCAAGGCTGAGCAGCAGGCAGCTGGGTGCTCTGCATTCCACTATCTTGGAGGAGTGACTGAGGCCACAGCCCTCGATTGTAGACAGTAGGTTTTACTTTATGTTATTATTAGTTCCCTCTTCTCACTTGGTATATGTTAGAAACATGAAAGTTGAAAATTTGGCAGAGGCAGGGGGTGGGGGAAGAAAGGTAATAATGTTAAGGAAAAATGCCTTCTAACAGAATTTCCAGAGAGAAAATAGGAAGATGTAGCCAGCAGCAAGAGAATCCTTCCCTTCCCAGTTCGGCTCAAGATTTTGTAGCCACAAATCTTCCTCAAATCAAAGCTTCCTATCATCAGGAATTCCAAGGCTTCGTGATAATAAAAAGGACCTCACAAAAAAATACTATACAAGACGTTCTTTCTTTGGAATAATTTCCTGGAGTATTCAAATCAAAGTGCTAGGGGAACATTTCAGAGATTTCCTAGGATATGATAGTGTTTTTCCAATAGAAAACAACATATCATATAGCAAGTCAGTCACATCTTCATGATGCCAAGACATGGTTGAAGTTTTTGGGAAAACAGTAGATAGTATTTCTGCTCCATGTTAACCATGAAGCAATTAAAAAAAATACTGAGGTTTTTCCCCCAGAGATAGCCAAGCAAAATCTTATTTCTTAGAATGATATAATTCTATTGTTCACTGAATCATTTCACACCAATGGCCATACTGGAGAAAATGACATGTATTCTAGAATTAGATTGCCCCAGTCCCACTACTTCTTAGTTATGTGACAACAGATTAAATTTTTTAATCTATTTGTGCCTGAGTTTGTTTAGCTGTAAAATAGGGAAAAGACCATAGACCAACCTCACTCAATAGGTTGTTGTGATGATTAAATGAGGTAATACATGGAAAACACTTAGCACTGTGCTTAAGTGCCAAATAATTAATTATTATGATTATGATTATTGTTAGAAAATTATTTCTCTGAGATTTCACAGTAAGCACCTTTAGTAGCTAAATAATTCCATGTTAGAGGTACATAGTCTTTCCTTTTTCCCATTTCCCATAATTACTCATCTATTTTTATTTTTAAATTTTAATTATTCTCTGTCAAATGTGTTGTTGCTATAATATGCTTCCAACCTTTTCAAAAAGTTTACAGGGTATAAATTATAAATAAAGACAATGATTGCACCTATATCAAGTATCTCATCTATGAGCTTTTAAATGGACTACTTTTACGTCTATATCCCACCCACAGAACAAGAAAGAACTCCTAAATATATATTAACTAGAGAGTAAAACAAAAGGGAATAGAAGAAAACTGATACATGTCATTAAATTGGTCTTATTTGAGATGAATATATTGTGCTCGTTTAACTTTTCCTCAGCCCAGAAATGCACATTTTTTAGAGTCACAGTTATTATAGAAATCCTAGTCCAAGCTAGGCAAAAACCCATGATCTCTAGTGGCATAAATTCAGTGTTCCTCATCCCTCCAAAACAACCAACTTTAGATGCTGCATAAAACAAGATTATAATAATCACGTTTTCTTTTAGGAATGTAACAGTGACATGAAAGATGCAAAGGAATCAAACTGTCAGGGTCTACCTCCAAACCCCTTCCCCTCTTAGCTAGAAAACATGTTACATCTCTCAGACTGGGCTTCTGCCAAATCTGCCATGCTTAGCAGTCTTAATTTCTTCTGCTTCTCAGTGACAAGTGACTGGCACCTCCAATGCTTGCAGAGAGAATTTATCTTTGCATGGCAGGATAATTGTATACAATAAGCCAGGACATGAAACACAGATACAAAATGGCGTTGTGTCAGCATTTTTAGTCTTTCCTCCAACCCTAACTTTGTCACATCACCTTTGCATTGTCTGCAAGTTCTTGGTTGCCGTCACTACGCTAATTCTGGGCAGCTTCTCTCTGCAATCATGTGACCATATAACTCCATTATGTGAGGCTACAGATAATAAAATGCTACTATTTATTAATACTCAGGGATACTTTTCCCCTGCATTTCCTGCATTCTTTCAGTGGAATCTTACCCACAAGTAGATCCCTGATATCCTTTTACTCTCCTAAGGTAAAGGGAACATCATTCCAGTGATAATATCTGATCTCTCAAGCCCTAAAGAAGTTATTTTCTGGTAACATAAAAATGGAAAGATATGCCTAATATAAAATGTTAGGCATATTTTAGGATAATATTAGGCATAATATCCAAACATCAAAACAGAGTGTATTAAATTCTCACTGAGTCATATTTCTGTTTGTGCAACAGTTTTATAAAATTTATTGTCAACTATACATTATTCAATCCCTAATTCTTTTTTAATTGTCTTCTGGACCATATTGCTCTAATATATAAGTAATTTGAGGGTAGGTAGGGTCCATGAATTATATTTCTTATAATAGCCTATAGAGTATTATTCCGTTAGATGTTTAGCAGATCCTTAAAAAATACTCTTTGGAGCTGGGCGCGGTGGCTCACGCCTGTAATCCCAGCACTTTGGGAGGCCGAGGCGGGCTGATCACAAGGTCAGGATATTGAGACCATCCTGGCTAACACGGTGAAACCCCGTCTCTACTAAAAATACAAAAAATTAACCGGGCGCGGTGGCGGGGGCCTGTAGTCCCAGCTACTCGGGAGGCTGAGGCAGGAGAATGGCGTGAACCCGAGAGGCGAAGCTTGCAGTGAGCCGAGATTGCGCTACTGCAGTCAGGCCTGGGCGAAAGAGCGAGACTCCTTCTCAAAAAAACAAAACAAAACAAACAAACAAACAAAAAAGCTCTTTGGTAGAATTTAGATGAATGGAAAGCTTAAATATACGCACATTTTAATTTCAGCTGATTTGAAAGAATATTCAAACATAAGTCAACTCAGGTGTGCTAAAAAACTTTTTTTAGGTGACAAAGCAGTGAGATTCCAAGTCCTGGTTACCCGTTAATAAAACAAGCATTATGTAACAACATGCTTTTCTTCATATATTTACTATAATTCTCGATATCACTCAGAAATATAAACAACCTAGGTATTTCCATATATATATATATATTGCTAATGCATAGGAAGATATCAACCTACCTTTAAGAGTTACTTACATATGTATTAATTTAAACACACTTACTGTATTTTTATCTTTATTCTTAGTCTTTATAGACAATAGAAAGTATATATTATTGTAAAGGGCTATTGGAACTCCATATTTCTGAATTATTACTCACCTACAGCCAAATTAATCAGCTTGCTCTTTCCTATAAATAACTTCCTTATCCCTGACTGTTTTTTCACATACGCCTTCTCCGTTTTATCAGTCCTGGAAATGGCTTCAAAACATGACTGAAATCTCCTTGAGGAGCATAATGTGGAGGTAAGAATGTGGACTTGGCAGCAATATGAACCAGGGTTTAATCTTACCTTTGACTTTTACAAGGCTCTGTAGCCTTGGGAAATTTATCAACCACCATCTTTTCATATCTGGGTAGGATGGGTCTCATCCTTCCTTTTTACTACCTTAGTCCAAATTGCCTTGGCCAATCTTGGAGTTTCATTCTTTCATTTGAATTTTAGACTATATTAATCAGATATATTAAAAAATTGAAAAATTTGTTAGGATTGCATTAATTGATAGAAAAATTGCGAGACAATTGTCATCTTTATGATATTGACTCCTCCCACCTTCCAACATTATATTTCTCTTCATTTCCTCAGATCTTCTTTTAAAGAGTCTTCAATAAAGTTTTACACATTTATCTAAAAAGTTCCTATGCTCCTTTTGTCAGATTTATTTCCAGGTATCTTTTACTTCGTTTGCTATAAAAGTGGCATTTTTTTCCAGTATGTGTGTTTTTCTTTTGCTTTTTTTGATACTGTACTAGCTGGTCCTCCAACCCAGTGCTAAATAGCAGTAATAAAAACAGGCATCTTTGCCTTCTTTGTGAATTTAGAGAGTCCTTTTCATTGTGAAATAGAATACTAGGTTAGGTAGTTGATAGATATACTTTATCAGCTTAAGGAATCTCTCTTCTATTCTTAATTTTCTAAAAAGTATTAATTTTTTAAAAAAAATTATGAATGGGTGTTGAATATTATCAAATGCCTTTTCTATATTTGTGAGGTGATCAAATTATTTTTTCTTTTTTTATCTGTTAATATGGTAACATTAATAGATATTCTAATTTTAAACTATTCTTGCAT
Source organism: Homo sapiens (assembly GCF_000001405.40). Taxonomy (NCBI): domain Eukaryota; kingdom Metazoa; phylum Chordata; class Mammalia; order Primates; family Hominidae; genus Homo; species Homo sapiens. Next base: position 41,423,147 of record NC_000005.10, read on the forward strand.
TCTTCGCAGAAGCCCTATCTGACTTTGATTTATTATTTTATTTTTATCTTCTCCCAGAACAGTTTATATGAAAAATGGGTTATATGTTCTTTGATGGTTTGGTAGATTATGCTGGAAATATACTTTGGTCTAAATGCTGTGTTTTGTGGTTAGAATAAAGTTTTTTTATGCTTAATTATTATAAGGCTTTTGAATTTTCTGCTTCTAGTTGAGTCATTTTCAGTTAAGTTCTATTTTTTAAAAATATTAAGTTTTTCAAGTATATTGGCACAAAGTAGTTCATGGAATTCTCATAAAATTCTGCTGCATCAATAGTTATGGCCTTCATTTCTAGAATGATTATTTTTATATTCTCCTTTTTTCATCAATTTTTCCACAGATTAGTCTATTTTATTAGAAGAAATAGATTTTAATTTTGTTGACTCCATATTTTCTGATTTGATTTGTATCAGATGATTATATTATTACTTTATATATTTTTCTTTTCTAATATATACATAAAAGGTTGTGAATTTCTGGCCGGGCGTGGTGGATCACGCCTGTAATCCCAGCACTTTGGGAGGCCGAGGCGGACGGATCACCTGAGGTCAGGAGTTCGAGACCAGCCTGGATCCATTTTTGCTCTCATCATTTTTTTTCTCCTTTATTGAGTTTTGATCTTTCCCTACCTTTGTTGAGATATATTTGAAAAATAAAAACTGTATATATTTAAGGTGTACAACTTGATGTTTTGATACATTGTGAAATAATCACAAACTAATTAAAATACCCATCACCTCACATAGTTACCATTATCTTTCTTTTGTATGTGTTTTGTGAGAATACTTAAGACCAACTCTTCAAGCACTTTTCAAATATACAATATAGTATGTTAACTATAGTCACACTGCTATACATTAGATCTCCAGAAATTATTTGTCTTGCAAAATTCAAACTTTCTACCCTTTGACCAACATCTCTCCATTCCCCTTCCCCCAGCCCCCAGCAACTATTCACAATAGCCAATATATGGGTTTAATTTCCTTTTTATTTTTCTAACTTTTGGGTTAGATGATTATATTATTACTTTATATATTTTTCTTTTCTAATATATACATAAAAGGTTGTGAATTTCTGGCTGGGCGCGGTGGCTCACGCCTGTAATCCCAGCACTTTGAGAGGCCGAGGCGGGCAGATCACCTGAGGTCAGGAGTTCGAGACCAGCCTCAACATGGATAAACCCCGTCTCTACTAAAAATACAAAATTAGCCGGGTGTGGTGGTGCATGCCTGTAATCCCAGCTACTCGGGAGGCTGGGGCAGGAGAATTGCTTGAACCTGGGAGGCGGAGGTTGTGGTGAGCCAAGATCGTGCCACTGCACTCCAGCCTGGGCAACAAGAGCAAAACTCCATTTCAAAAAAAAAATAGGTTGTGAATTTCACTCTAAGAACCAGTTTAGTTTCATCACACATGTTTTGATATCTACTTTTGCTGTCCATTACTTTTTCTTTGATGCAAGAAATATTGCAATTTTTGACTTCCTTCATTTTTATTTTTCTGTATTTTATTTATTCTATTTTTTCACATTATAAATAAGGAATTTGTTGTGTATAATATGTGTTACTTAGTATTTGTTGAGATTTGCTATGTGACATAACATGCAATCAATATTTAAATATGCTTCAAGTGTTTTGAGAAAAATGAGTGTCTTGATTTGGGGAAGCAGGATTTTGTATTCTATATTATCATCAAGCTTGTTTATTGTCTTGTCAAATCATACATACCCTTACTAATTTTCTAACTTTATGATCTAGCACACAATATGAGAATTAAGGTAGAAATAGTTCTCAACTAAAATTGTGGATTTAGTTATTAAAATGCAATAAGCTTTTACTTTATATATTTTGGGGCTATTTTGGTGGTTGTATGCAGCTTTGGAGTTCTTAGAGCTATTAAATACTTGGTAAATCTTTCTTTTAATCATTGTATAGTAATCATCTTTCTCTTGTTATAATGCTTTTTGCATCACAGTTTGTGTGATATTAATATAACCACACCAAATTTCTGTTAGTATTTACTTAGTATATCTTTCCCTCCCTTTACTTTCAACCTTTTTGTGTTTTCATGACTCCAGTGTGTCTCATATAATATAAAAGTGAATCTGTCTCTTGTCTTTTTTTTTTCTTTCTGGAATAGACTTTCAGAACAGTTTTAAGTTTCCAGGAAAATTAAGCATAAGGTGCACAGATTTCCCATATACCTGCTTCCCCAGTACATGCACACTCTTTCCCATTATCAATATCCCCACCAGAGTGGCACATTTGTTACAAGTGATGAACCTGTATTGACACCTTATTATCACCCAAAGTCCATAGTTCACATTAGCATTTTCTCTTTGTATTATACATTCTATGGGTTTGGACAAATGTATAATGACATTTATCTACCACTATAGTATCATACAGAGTAGTTTTACTGCCCTAAAAATCCTCTGTGCTCTGTCTATTCATCCGTTTCTCCTTTCTAACCCCTGGCCAACACTGATCTTTTTACTGTTTTCATAATTTTGTCGTTTTTAGAATGTCACATAGTTGGAATTAAAAAGTATGGAGGCTTTTTGTACTGGCTTCTTTCCCTTAGTAATATGCATCTAAGTTTCTTCGATGTGTTTTCATAGCTTGATAGCTCATTTCATTTTAGCACTGAATAATATTTTATTGTCTGGATGTACCACAGTTTACTTTGTTGCTTCCAAGTTTGGACAACTATGAATAAAGCTGCTATAAACATCCATGTGCAGGTTTTCATGTAGACATAAGTTTTCAATATCTTTGGGTAAATGCCGAGGAATGTGATTGCTGGATTGTATGATAAGAGTATGCTTAGTTTTGGGAGAAACTGCCCAGCTGTCTTTCAAAGTGGCTGTTCCATTTTACATTCCCACGAGCAATGAATGAGAGCTCCTGTTGCTCCACATCTTCAATATTTGGTATTGTCAGTGTTCTGGATTTGGGTCATTCTAATAGGTATGTAGTGGTATCTCATTGTTGTTTTAGTTTACATTTTTCTGACTTATGATGTGGAGCATCTTTTCATATGCTTATTTTTCATCTGTATAGTTTCTTTGGTGAGGGGTGGGTTAAGGCCTTTGGCTCATTTATTTTAATAGAGTTGTTTCTTAATTGTATTTTAATTTGTTTATATTAATTATATCAATGAATTTGAATTTATTCTTACCATCTCATTTATGCTTTCCAATTGCCATATGTTTTTCTTTCTTATTTTATTCTTTTCTGCCTACTTCTGTATTAATCATGCCTGCTTTATTTCTCTTTTTTACTTCTAGTGGCTTGGGAAGGTATACATTCTAGTTCTATTTTTAGTCTTTATCCTTCATATGTTAACAAAGCTACTTAGTTTGACAGTCTAAATATAATGTTTTTACCCTTTTCTTGAAAAACATAATGATATGATTAAAATAATTATCCCTTTCCACTGCCATGTTATTACTGTCTAGAATTTTATTTCTACTTTGCTTTTAATTCTCTGCCCAAATGAATTATCAAGCTTTACAGTTCATATTCATTTAGATTTACATACATATTTATTAATTCATTTGCTTACCATTACTTCTTGCATCCCATTCCTTCTTAGTTTTCTTCTTTTTAAGGTAGTTTATTTGAGGAGGATTGCTGAGTGATCAGTTCTCTCAGTTTTTATTTTTTCTGAAAATGTCTATATTTTGTGCTCATTTAATAATAATCTATCTAAATAGAGAATTCTAGAATGACTATTATTGGTATCAGTATTTCACAGGTATATTTTACTCTTTTCTGATCACTAATGATTTTGAGAATTCTGCTAATTGATTTTATTCTTTATAAATTATCAATCTCTCCTTTCTTGTTGCTATTAAGACTTTTCCCTTTGCTGATTTGCAATTACACTACAATGTTTCCATGTGGATAAATTTTTTGTTTTCCTTCTCAGTGTCCATGGGAGTTATTCAATATGACAATTCATGTTTCTAATTAAATCTGGAAAATTTTCAGACATGATTTCTTTCAATATTTCCCACTCCCTATCTTCTGTTTCTTTCTTGCAAATCCTATTAGCTCTACTCATGACTCTTATCCTCTAGTTTGTATTCCATCCCTTTCCCTCAGAGTTAGAGTCTGGTTAGTTTTCTCAGCTCTGTTTTCTAGTTCATTAAATTCCTTCAACTGTGTCTAATCTGCTATTTACCCAGTCCACTGTATTTTAAATTCAGTGAAGACTTGCATATATAGAAGTTTCAAAAAATATTTTTAGTATTTTCTTTATCCTTTCAAGTGACACTTTACTCTTTCCTTTGGCTTCTAAACATTATTTTACTCTCCTTAATAATTTTATGTACACTTATGTGAATGTCTGTATTAGATGTTTTATCTATTAATTCAAGTTTTGTGGTTGCTAATGTTCCAGCAGACTTATCAGTCTGCTGCCTAATATTCACAGAACATAGTTTCCACATATGTTCTGGAACTTTTTGCTGGGAGGTCATTTTAAGTAAGCATTGCTTTTAAGGAAATCTTGACTTCCTTTTCTGCCAGACTCTGGGTGGTTGAACTGTCGCTTCCAAACAGTGTGACATTTCCTTCTTCCATTCACTCCACAAGTATCATTCACATGGGAACAACTCTTATGGTGATTTCTCAGCCTACAATTGAAGCACCACTAGCAAGAATAAATTTGAGCCCCAACACCATCAAAGGCACATGGGAAACATATTTTTTAATGTAATCAAAATCAGAACAGAAACAAACACCTTGCATTTCTACCAAAACAGGTGAATACATTTAGTCCCTCTTAGGGGAGCCACCCTGTAAATTTCCCATCTCTAGTGAGGGATCTCAGTTCCCATTTCCCACTTTCTTTGGGACTTCTTTGAGTCCCTCAACTTGTGCTGTCGCCCTGGGAAGGCATTAAAACCTAAACTTTGTCTCTCTCCCCACACCTTGTACCCCAACTATCATGGCATAAATGAAAGCCAGTTCCTCTGGCATTCAGATCCCTTTCTGCCTCTAGCACACAGGAATTTCTTTATCTTTCTTATAAGCTCAGACATGTATTAAAAATATTATTTCAACCAGTATCCCTTGGTATTTATTATGTACTGAATTGTATTCCCCCTCAAATTCATATGTTGAAGCCCTAACCCCCAGTACCTCAGAATAGGGTCTTTAAAGAGGTGATTAAGTTAAAATGAGTTTTTTTGTTTTTGTTTTTGTTTTTTTTAGGGTGGGCCCTAATCCAATCTGTCATTATAAGAAGAGGAAATTTGGACACAAAAAGAGACACCAGGGGCGTATGTACACAGAGAAAAGATCACGTGAGGACACAGAGAGGTCTGCAAACCAAGAAGAGAAGCCTCAGAAGAAACAAAACCAGCCAACCCCTTGATCTTGGACTTGTAGCTTCCAGAATTGTGAGGAAATAAATTTCTGTTTTAAAGCCACTCCATTTTTGTTATTTTGTTATGGCAGCCCTAGCACACTAATAGTGTTTTACCACAGGAGTCTCCAACTTAAAATTTTTCAAAACCTTTTTCAACTTTTAAAATCAGTCCCTTCATCTTCCCTATTTCCACCTCATTAACATTTAGTGCATTTTTCCACACAGAGAAAATGTTTTAGAGACGCTTCATGCACTGTTAAAAAACAAATAGATGCTGAGGAAAGGTGGTTTAACAAAATAGTTTCACAGTAAAATAAATGGGATGAGGTAAAATAACTGCCAGTTTTAACCATAGACTATTTCAAAGACTCCCTGAGTCCAGATTATTTCCAGATACTGGAATAGTCAGACTACGGACTGACTTGGAGGAACTGGAAGACACGGCATCTATTTTGAAGACGTGTTGCTTCCTGGAAGTTTTCGCAATATTTATACTGCCCAGGATGTATCCAAGAAGCCAAACTTTGGGAGTACTAAACTCTCAAAGGAGAAATCACCCATCCTCTCAGGTTAAGCATATTGTCAATCACTAAAACAAAAATGAGATGTTACTTAGTGAAAATTTATACCACCAAGAGAAGTCAATGGCTCCATGATCAGTTTCATTCCAATGTTTGCTTACAAAGGACAAAGTGATCTTCCAATAAAGTCAGAAATGGATGAGACTGAAAACTCAACAGAATAGGACAAAGACAACACTGCTACTGGGGATGGGGGAAGGGCACATTCAGTATCAGGAGATTCTCTGCTATGAGGGGAATCAGGGGAGGGAGGGAGAGAAGGCGGAGGAGAGAGAGAGAGAGACATTAATAATGTTATGTTGTATTACCTTAGCAATGTACTTGATCCAATTGAGTTGCAAAGATTGATTAAACAGGACTATAGGCCAAATTAAGGAAAACCTTATGGATTTGTGTCTTATAGGACTGGGATTTCTACGTCACTGAATTCATGTTCAAAATCATCTTGAATGTGGATATGTATTAATATGATTTCAAATAAAAAGGCACAGTTGGTTTATTGGAAATGGATGCTATGCTTTAGGAAGTAAATGCTCTTGAAAGAGAAAAAGAAAGAAATATAGAAATATGATAAGGAGGGAGGATGGAAAAAGAGAAAAAGGAATGACGAAGGTAGGAATTCAGATCTGAGACAGTTTTATAAGGGATAACATCTATTCACACCCAAACTAATTTAAAATCTATAGGTCATTTGAAGAGTCAGATAAGGTATAGTTTTAACTTATGTTTAGTGTTCTTATTTAGCACCAATTAAAATATTATATTTTTAGAAAAATATTCAGCTTCTAACCAACCTTGATGCCCCTGGAAACACCTATTTATATAGCAGAGCAAAGCAAATGCCAAAGATGAAGCCTAATGCCAAGTTACCAAGGCATCTCCCAATGATCTAAAACAAAAGGGCAAATTGAGTTTGAACCCTACTTTGCTGCTTGCTAGATGTGCAAGCTTGAACAAGTTGCTTAACCTCTCTGTGCTTTAGTTGCGTCAACTCCATCATAGTAACAATAATAGCACCTATCCCACAGGGTAGTTATTAATTGAATGAGTTTTATTTGTAAAGCACTTCTAACAGTTCCTAGTATATAGAAAATGCTATATAACTGTATGTAAATATAGTAAATACATACATTTTATTAATTTGCTTTCCATGAGAGAGGAATGAGTTCAAGAAAAGGGGAATTGAATAGTTGCTTGGAACCCTGATAGGGTTAGATTATAAAGCCAAAATAGTAAAATCATAAAGAATTGACCTGTCTGTAGTTTTCCAGGGTTAAATATGAAACAGCACTAATTCAATTTATTGAAAATAGGTGTAGCTTGAAGGAACAAAAATTTCCACATCTTCTTCTGAGATCAGGGCTTAATGAGGCCGAGAATATTTAGGAAAGATACAAAATGCTTCACAAGCATGGTTGGAGTTTCGCTTGCCTCTCTACTTGGGCCTTCATCTGTCCAGAATCAACTTAAAAAACCTGGAAGGGAATTCTGTGACCCAGTGTAAGCACTCATGCCCAGGGAACTTATTATTTAGTGTCATTCCCTAGTTTCTCTTCTGAATCCCTTCCAGGGGTCAGAGTAGTAATTAGCGCTGGCATAATTTGAGGATATAAATTATTCGAAAGCTTTTGGGGGAAATAAAACTTTTACATTATAAATATTATTCTTTAAAAGTTATTGCCAATTATAAAGAAAATAGAAAAGTCACAAGGAAAAACAGGAGAATTTGATTCCTGAAACTTCTGTAGCCACAGCCCATCAAAATGTTTCCATCTGCTGCTTAACCAAACTAATTTGGAAAAGTATTCTTTCCCAGCTTTGAGCTGACCAATTGGTCATCCTCTAATGGGGTATTTGACAAAATTGTCTTGGAAACATGTGAGAAAGGAATTCTTTACTGAGAAACTTATTATACAATGAGCACAAATCACCTAGCAGATGCACAGAACGTCAGAGTTAGAGAGGATCCATGCCAATTTTCTGGGCTGACCTCATCAGTCTCCTTCCATAGAGGGATTTTATCTCTAACTGTCGATGTTTCTAAATTCCAAGCACTAGATTTTGGATTATCGCTTAAAATTTTGTTTAATTAAAAAGTGGTTATAGATAGAACCACTGGCCTATTCTCTGTTTTGAATAGGAATGAGACTTTGCTTTTAATTTACACTCCTCTGAATATACATTAGAGGTTATGCTAAGGGTTTGCAAAGTTAAAAGACACACTAAGTATACAAAATTTTTGATATTTTGACTTACACATTCTTATGTATTACTTACTGATGACTTTTGTGTTAGGTTACAGATTTATTCATACAACACAATCACTTTCATGATGAATTTATCCTACATTTTCATGCCAAAGTGGATCACTTCACGGACAGGTTCTAGAAATTATCAGCATGAATTGGGAGGGAAAATACTCACTAGATATTACATTATATAGCTGTTTGCTTATGTATATATATCACCTTTTTGTTCTTCATTCAAAAATAAAAGTAGCATAACAAGTCCAATTATCTGTTTTATTTGATTGTTTTCAGATTAAATGTGGAGTATTTTACATTAAATCCCACAGAGGGAGGTCTCATTGACCTGGCTGTCTTGCTGAGCCATTACTCATAAATCTCTAATCAAGACAAGTTTTTAAAGTGAGACACAGTTAATTTCAGAATTCAAATCACACTTTATTTTTAGAAATGTAGGAGGGGAAATGGTGGTGTGATTACCTCCAATTTCAAGCCATTCTCCTGCAACTTGTCCATGATAGGTGCTAGGCCCATGAGGTTTGCTGGACCTACAAGAGCCCCAGGCAGCCATGTGGGACCTTGAGCAAGAGGACCACGCAGGAGAAGCTAGTTAGGGAATGAGAAGAATGGAGGAGACAGAAGACCAAGCAGAGGTGAGAGGCCTTCCATCTTGGAGACAAGAGAGCCTTTTTCCAACTCTCTAATGTCCACGACAAGGGACCCAGCTTTTTCTGGTTTCTTGCCCTCAGATACTGGGAAATTGTTTAAATAGACTTTACAATCCAGGATAAATTACGACTTAAAGAAGCCTCCCATCTTGAATAATATTACTGTCCTCCCTCTCCCTACTACGTAATTCAAAATAAGCTTAATGCACAAATTGCAATTATCATACTTGTGCTAATCGAGCTTCTTTCTAAATGCACTATTTGTGAAATTCAGGTAAGTTTATCGAAGCTTTAAAAACCCTGTATTTCTTTGGCTATCACTGTTTTTCTGCTGTCCAGCATGGGTTTATTCAGCAGATAAAGGAAAGTAAGAAGGGGATGAAAGTGGATGGGGGGATGGAGAAGATGTACTGCATTGAGGTTGTTCATTCCTTATTTGATAGGGTCTTAAAACGTTTAGTGATAAACTGCATGTTATTCTTTTAATGTCTTCCCTAAAAGTTATGTTAAAACTGTCTTTTCCAAAGTACAACCTGCCAGAGAAAAGCACATAAGAGAGCCAGCTTCCAAGAGGAAGGGCACCATGTTGTAATGCCTGAGCACCCAGAGGAACATGCCAATCAATGTGTAAGAGATATTTGCTGAGTAAATAAATAGGAGCAAGAACATTCTGTTTATTTAATAATGCAACTAACAGATAAAAGAAAAAAGTGAGGTCAACCAATCTTTTGCCTCAAATAAATAGCCATTCTTGACAGGTTTTCTGGATATGTTCGTTGAACTGACCTATTTACAGGTTGAATAGACTGATGGACCTTTTCTTTTCCTGGGAAAGGACAAAAAGGGCCTATACACTCTGTCCACATCTCAGTCTGTCTTGTCTGCTGTTTTCTTTTGGCCCAGAACCAGTTTCTTATGTCACGAAGAACTTGACCTTAATTTCAAGGTCCTGGAACAGCGAGCAGGTGAGGTCAGAATGCTGCACACCTGGAGCTCTGTTCAATTAGCCGGTGCAGAGGCCAGCTTTCTCCACCACATGGCAGAGGAGCTCAGAAGTAGCATTCAGGGCACAAGCTGCCTTTCTTGCCTTTGTGGCTACTCATCTGCTGGAGTCAGACCAGGATGAGAATTTGGACTGCTACTTACCAACTGGGTAGCCTTGGGCAAGTCTTAGACTCTCTGAGCCTCAAAGCCTACACTCTAAGTGAAAATAATGACACTAACCTCATCTCCTGTTTGAGGATTTTATGATAATAAGTTCCTAGTGCTCATAATGTGAAATGCAATCAGTGTTCATTAAATGATATTTATGACTTTCCCTCTTGCCCCTTTTTTTTCTATTCACCAGGTACCTAAGGAGTGCTGAAGAATAAAAGCCATGAACAGATGGATATTGGCTCCCCTAAACCTCCCTATTGTAAAGTATTCCCCTCAATCATTGCCTAAACACCCCTTTCCACCATCCCAAGATGGAAGCAGCCAGATTAATTTCTCAGTAACCTCTGAGAGCAATTGTATAGATTTTTCCATGTTTGCTCAGGCACAGGAGAAATGAGACCTGAGCCCTTGGTGCCAAAGTGTTTCTTCTATTACTGACTCACAAAAATGACAGTAGAAATCAGGAAATAAAATGCTCATTCTAAGAATGATTAAAGTGCATGGATGCAGCCTTGCTCATCTCAGCTGATCTAAACAGCGCCCTCACAGGAGGGAGAGAAAACTGCTGCCGTATCAAGTAATCCATTAAAACCTTGTGAATTGATTCTTTAAACGCACAGAAACAAAAACATAAAATGACTCCTCTCCCTTGAAGTGATATGATTTTTCCCCCTCCTCTAATCTTGTTCCATCAAAAGCCTACAGGTGGGAAGGGAAAAAGCACAGGTTACTTGTATAGCTGTGACGTAATATCACCTGATGGGAGCCAATGGGATGGAGACTTTCAGCAGGGATGGCCCAGGCATTGCAAACACATTCAGCAGCAGGAGCCATTCACTTCTAACCCACTGTTCAGGGGAAAAGCAGGAAATGCCCACACAGCTGCTGACAAAGATCCTGGGGGCTATTTGCCAATAACTGTGGATCCTTGTGGCTTTTCTATATATCTTTGTTTATCCTAGTTTGCCCTGTTGGCTGCTACGCAAGTTGCTGTATCACAAAGCACCCTGGGTTTGACTTCTGCGTGTGATTTTGGCCAAGTCACTTGACCTCTCATTCATTTATTAATTCATTCAATGAATACTGAGTGCTAGATACTGTACTAGGTGCTGGGGATGTGATGTGAACAAAAGCAAACCTGTTCTCTCACTGCATTGGAAAGCGAGGAGATGAGCATTAAAAATGTACAATTGCAACTGGGAGAATGGCTAATACCAGAAAGATCTGACCTAGCTAGGGAGGTTCATGGAGCTCCACTTGGTGACTAGATTGAGGCCTGGATTTCAGTCTGTACTCACACCCCCAGGTACTTGCCTTTTTTGTAGGGCACAATTGGTATAGGAGCCCTGAATCCAACCCTGTAATATGAAATCTTGTATAAGCAGAATAAGAGCACAATCAGTGGAATTATTTCAATAGCATTAGGGGTATAAATTATAAAGGGGGAAGCTTGGAATGGGTTCTTGAAAGATGGAAGGAATTTTGATGGATGGAGATAATATGTTGGAAAGGAAGGGACAGGCATTGTGTAGAAAAGTGGGAAACACATGAATAAGACTTGGGTGCAAGTGAGCCTGGTGAGAGTAGGGGTGGGAGGGATTGTTTTCACAGGGCTGCTATGCTTGTGCCTGGAGCTGGCATTACTGTGGAGGCACAAATTGTGGAGGACCAGGAGAAAGGAGATAGGGTTGGAATTGACAGAAAGGAAAGGGATATAATTTTTGTTCTCCTTAATTTTAATGCTAGCACACGCTCATAAAAATTTTCAGTAGTATAAAAGCAACATGAAGAAAATTTTAAAATTACATATAGTGTCACCATTCAAAGCAAGTATCAGTATTTCAGCATATAGAATTTTAGCTATTTTTCTTTGCATACACATGTGCATCTATGTGTACAAAGGCACAAAGGATTTTAAATGGTATCGTAGTGAGAATACTATTTTGTAACCTGCTTTTACCACTTGTTCAATATGCCCTGGGCATTTCTCCAATTCAAAAAATGTACAACTCTGTCATCATTTTTATGAAGATGGTGGAGGCCACTGTATGGTTCTACCACAATTTGTATAACTACTAATCCCATGTGGAGGAAATTTGTTTTCCCCTTTTGGCTCTGTAAGTAATCTTCTGATAAACATACTTAGATAACTCAGAGTATGCAAAAAAAAGTCAACCTGCCCTTGAAACCTAAGATTAGTGTCTGGCTGCATTGTGTGATAGCTGAGGTTCACGGAGCACCACCCACATGGACACTGGCAGCTGTGGGGTGTGGGCAGAGGCATGTGGTGCACAGTGCACTGGGCTAGATGGGAAAGGTTTTGAGTTTGAGTCCCAGCTCTTGCCCTGAGCAATCTTGGAAAAGTCTGCTGGCCTCTCTGACTCTGAATTTCCTCATAGGTAAGAATGGGGGTAGTGGAAAACAGGTGGAGAAGCCATGGTGGATTTGATAGAACTTCCCAAAACACTAATTCTGAGGAAACCTAATAGGCATTCCTTGGTAAAAATAATGGTTCTGTTGCAAAGTAAGTTTTGAAACACTAGATAATGTTTAGAAAATAAGATTTGTGGAGACTAAAGATGTTAAGCTTCTTCTTCAGAGTTTAGCAAAGAATGGAGTTTCTCCTTCTCCCGTAAAGAAACAGGGCCCACCATTCAGCATCATTTGAGATAGAAACCTCTGTGGCCTCATAGCCCTTGAAGTCACTCTATACCACCTACTGAATAGTGCCTCTGCACCTGCCAGCCTGGCCTGCCCTGAGGATACCACTCAACCCTAACACATTGGTTGGGGGTAAGAGGTTATTAGTGTATCCTCTGAGAAGGGACAAATATTGAAAGAGAAGTTGGAATTGGGCTGATATTTAAGAAGCACACACCAGGTGAGATATACTGGCCACCCACATTTGGATGGGTTAGGCATCCATTCTGACTAAATGTCTGATGCAGAGTTGAATATTACATGTGGTTCAACTCATAAATGTCAACCCTTAAAAGTATCTTAGCAATTATCTAGTATAGCAGTTTTAAAGCTATGTATCACTGAATGCCATCCCTATAAATATGTATTGATACAAAGCAAGTTAGCATTGCTTAAGAGAATGAAATCTAACACATAGTTAGGTTTACATCCTGGATTCACCTCTTACTAGCTGTGTGATTATTTGCAAGTTACTTAATGTCTCTAAGCCTTGGTTGCCTGATCTCCAGGCAGATACTGTTGAAAATAGTTATATTATACCCACAAGACTAGTTCAGAGTTTGCTACTTAATATGTTCAGTAAATGTTAGCTGTTGCTATTGCTGAGTCACTTGAAAAGTTCTTATTAGGCACCTCTTTGTAATGGCATTAGCAGGCATTCTACTAAGAAATTCCAACTATTGCAGCCCTCCGATACTTCCCACCATGGTAAGTGGCCCTGAAGTCTTTCAATGCAACAAAACCACCACCTACTAAGCACTTAGCAGGTGCACAACAACAGTGTGTAAAGGGCCAAATCCAGAGCTTGAAGAAATCAAAAACTACTTCATACATCTATGGGCTACTGGACAAAAGATATAAACCTACTTCAGAATAGGTTTTTCCAAAGAAAATTTAAAAGTATTGAAAGCCAAAATAATTTATCTATAGAATTCAACTAAAGTTCAGTTATTTAATTTCATGTATTCTATACTTTTAGATACTTAATATAGTCAAGGAAAACATATATACTTAAATGAAAGTACCCCCTTCATTCTTTCTAAAAGCTCTTTTACTTAAGCTTCACCTGAACAAGACTGTCACAGAATCTCATGGGGTTAGAGAGGAGACCAATGTAAAATCTGAACTTGTGATTGAAATGTTAGCTCCCATGCCCATTCTCACATTAAAGACTCTGTACTTATTTCCTCTTATCTTTTATTTAATAAAATTATCCTAGTTGGAATGTAAAGATATGAGTAAATCAGAAGACATCACACCTGTCTTTGGGGAGCTTACAATCTAAACACAGTGACAAGACATCATACATGAAACAACAGAGAGATGGAATACTGAGACTTCAGGCCCACTGGAAAGGGCTATGGATTTGAGAAAAATGATGAAGCTCTGGCCACAATGATCTTTCATTCAAATACGTGGTGATAGACATTTAGCAAGTAAACACTGAAAGTGAATGCATAAAATACAGCAATTTCAGGAACTATTAAGTATTTACAAAGACTATAATAATGCAGCCCTGTGATAGTGACTTGTGATTGTGGGAAGAGGTGAGGGAAGACCTTCTTGCAGAGGTGATGTTTGAGGAGCAAATAGAATGATGAAAAGGAAGGAGCAATGGATCTCAGTTTTCTTTCTTCTAGACCCATTACACAGCAAATTCACAAACTTTAAAGTAGGAAGGAGCTTGGCAAGTTCAAGAAATACAAATAAGCCAGTGTGGCAGAACCCCATTGGTGCAAGAATAAAGACAGGAGTTTGAAGAAGAGTCGTAGGTCAGATAGATACCATGTCTGGTACGTACTGGCAAAAAGTTTGGACTTGATATTCAAGCATTGGGGCAGCCACTGGAGAGGTTGGATTGAAAGAGTGGTATCACCTAATTAAGTTTTTCTACAGATCTCTTTGGTATGGGAAGAAATTGGATTATAAGGTGCAGAGGCTGGAAAAAGGGAGGCTAACTACTGTCCATCAACATGTGATAAATACTGCTAGCTATTGACCAAAATCCAGGTTTCCTTCTTCCTGGACATGGACTATAGTACATTCCCCAGCCCCTCTTGGAGCCATGTGTAATGCTTATCATTGGAATATGACAAAAGTAATGCCTGCAATTTCTTCCTCACTTACTTGGGAAAAAATTCCTATCCCTGGGCTTTGGTTTGTTCTGCCTTAAGTTGTTTGGAAAGGTGACCACTAGCGAAATTGTTACTGAATCCCTGAATGCCTAAGTAGAGAAAAACTGCCACCAACTTAGAACAGCCCCGACAGACTTATGTGAGAAGAAAATTAAATTGCTCACTTTTAAGTGAAAAAGTATTGTGCTTCTTATTTTAGCACTTTAATCAATTTTCCTTAGTTAATGATGAAAAGGCAATAAGAATAACATGCTAATGATAGAGACAGGAGACAGACAAGGGTCCCCTGCGAAACCCCACTTTCAAGCCTAAAATAGCCTGAAGTCTGAAAAACCGGACTGCTGGCCCTGGATGAAGCCTGCCCTTTCCCCGACTAGTTCTCTCTGAATAATGCCCACCTGCACGCTGGGAGAATGGGGTGGAACCAGGGGAAGTTTGCCCCATTTGCAGAGAGGAGAAGCCTGGCTTCTTCAGTTCCTGTGTGGTGTCCTGGGCTTCAATCTGTAAGACGGGAGCCTGTTAGCAAGACTCTCTCTCCCTTTGCTGAGAGTTCCTCTTTCCTTTTTCCCTTTTCACCCAATAAACCCTGCCCTAATCACCCTACAATATGTCTGTGTGCCTAAATTTTCCTTGTCATGTGACAAGAACCCACTTTTTTCTACAACACTAACATGTGAAAGTCTCTCTTCTAGAAATATCCAAGAATAGCTAGTCCTTTGGAGCTTATTATTTAGTCCTTACCCTGTCATTAGGAAAAAAAAAAAAAAAACTTTACAAACTATCTATATTGACTAAAGTCAGAGCATAAAAAAGCTAAGCGAACAGCCAAACGTTTCTCTCTGTGGAAAAGAGTTAAAGAAAGCAGAGCTTTACATGTATTTTTTCCTATGACTATAAAAATACATTTATCAAGGTGAATTTCAAGACCTGTTGTTTGTTTTAATGTAGGAGAGCCCCGGTCTTTAGCAATCTAAGCAAGTGAAAACAAACAAACACTGTCGTAGTTTACGGTGGAGCTCACGGACACTTCCTGATATTCCTGATATTTCCATTGAAGGGAGACCAAGCTGTCCTCCAGGTATCCTGCGCCTCCTCTGAACCATCCAAAGCACATTTTAATTTCCTGCATGGGTCATGAATGGAAAATTTGTCCATAAAAAAATAGAAGGTTTCTAAGAAGAAACTGAGAGAGATTATTTTCATTACTCTCTGTGGCAAAGCCTACTACTTGCCTATCCAACATTTATTTTTCTCCTTCCAACTTAGTACTAGAACCTTGACTTTTAGGAGGGCATATTAATGTGCTAAATGAAAGACTGCATTTCCCAATGCATCCAGAAGTAGCCATTTTAAAAGTTCCATCCAATGAGATGTAAGCCAAAGTATTATGTATTATTTGGGATTTTCAGGAAGTCTTTTTAAATGTTTTTTTTTTCTCCATTGAGGAGTACCCTTTCTCCTCCCTGTTGTCTGGAATGCGGGTGTCATATTGAACCAAGAGGTGGCCTTGAGAATAGTCTCCAAGTTCTAAGAGTTGCAAAGCCCAAAGATAGGAGCCTGGGTTCCTGAAGACATCATATACCATTTCAGCTCTGGACTAACCTCTTCCAAATGTCTTTCAGGTGAGAGAAAAAATTCATCTTGTTTAAGTTACTACTATTTGGATATTTTCCTGTTATATGCAATGAAACTGACTCCAAAACTGATAGTCCCCCATATATTAAAACCTAATATCTAAAACATTCAATATCTCAAGATTCTGTTGACTTGATTATTGGTCACTTATCAAGTACTAGATTCTCCAGGGACACAAATGAACTATATTCAACTGTCTCTTTTCATGTATTTTCTCAGGCTAATTGGGCAGGTGGAATCTGCAGAATAAAAAGGGAAAAATAATAGTAATGTGTTAAATTAGATGTCAGTGACTGTGAGTTTTAGAAATGGAAAGAAGTCAGTTGGGACAATGATAGAAGAGGAAGGATTCGCACACAGGTGGAACATGGGCCTGACTTGTATGATGGCCATTTATAGAGTAGTTGAGTATAGTGAATAAGTCCCTAGATTCAGGAGCCAGACCACATGGGTTCAGATCTTAGCTCCGTCAGATCTTAGCTCCGTTACTTATTAGCTATACAGTTCTGAGCAAATTACATAATCTCTCAATTTTTTTTTTTTTTTTTTTTTTTTTTTTTTTTTTTTAGTCAGAGTCTCACTGTGTCACCCAGGCTGGAGTGCAGTGGCACGATCTTGGCTCACTGCAACCTCTGCCTCCCGGGTTCAAATGATTCTCCTGCCTCAGCCTCCCGAGTAGTTGGGATTACAGGTGCCTGCCTCCATGCCTGGCTAATTTTTGTATTTTTAGTAGAGACGGGGTTTCACCATGTTGGCCAGGCTGGTCTTGAACTCCTGACCTCAGATGATCCACCTGCCTTGGCCTCCCAAAGTGCTGGGATTACAGGTGTGAGCCGCCAGGCCCAGCAAAATACATAATCTCTAATGGCTCAGTTTTTGAATCCATAAAATAGAGAAAATAATATCTATCTTATAGAGTTGTCTTACTGATTCTATAAGTCTATGTATATATGTACATAGAGGAGTGTGTGGCATATAATAAGTACTCTATGGGTGTTAGCTATTATGATTCTGATTTGGACCCTTTTCTGATAACATCACTCTTTTCATTTTAGAAACCTGTTATACCTCACGATAACCGTGTTATTTCTTTCTCCAACCAACCCACAGGTGAATGAAAAGACCCAAGCTGGACCAAAGAATACCTTACCTTGTGGCCATTTTGTTTATTTCAACAAGTGCAGTTGTGACTTTAACCTAAGGCAGAAAGGATGTTCTCTTGAACTTTTAGAACCATGAGATCAGGCTATCAGAATGAGCTACCTAGGAGTCTCGGAAAGTTAGTGTATAATGCAGACAAAAACAGACAGAGTGGACTTCAGGCCCACAGAATCAGTTTTCTGGTTCTTGCAGTCCTTCCTCTAACCTTATAAACTACTCTCCAACATCTTGCCACCAAATCCTGTTCATTTGCCTATTCATTCATTCATTTCATTTTTCTTTAAGATAGTTCAACTGGGCTTTCGGTACCTGAAAAGACAGCAACCTGAAAAGACAGCAAACCTGAAAATACAGTCTTAAGAAGACTTGTAATGAAAAGGAAGTGGATACCTGGCAAAAAGGATACACCAGCCAAGAGATGCAGAAAAGAATTTCTTTAGAAGACGCACTCATGCAATGTCAATACTAACTGAGATGCGACTCTAACAGAGACAAGACATCCTCTCCACCACAGTTTTCAAGATCATTTTGCATGGAAAAGAAGAAATGCATTGGGAATACGTTCGTTCTGCTCAGATTTTTACTCCTCTCCTCATTCTAATGGAAAGCTAATTTCTCATTTTATGGCCAAAATTAGTTTCTCACCTGGGAAAGCTTCTCTAAACAGTCTCCTGAAGAAACCTCCCTCCAGGAGGGAGTACAAGGTGCATCCAAGAGACTGCTCCAGAACATCTGCATTTGCCCACACGAGCCACCACTTCATTATGTAGATTTCTATATGTTGGACCTCACTATGCACTTTTAAGGTAGCTTTTTGATTCTTTTGTCACTGCATGTCTTACATGTGACCTGTAGGAAAAGTAGACAACGTCTTGGGGATAAACTCAATTCTGCCAAGTGAACATAAAGGGATTATCCCAACTCTGTGTATTTCATGTCCCCTGCCTATAGAATGAAAATAACAATATGATCTATGATAAATGTGGAGACCCAGGTTGTCTCCACACATGGGATACAAATGCTTGTTTTGATCATCTCTAAACATCAGAAAAAATTTTAACTCTTTATGAAGTTTAAGTTTTGTAGAGGTCTCAATTGTTGGGATTAAATTCTTCTCTTTAAAAACTCTGTTTGTAAAAGCAAAATTTAGATTTTCAGTATCAGACCATTTTAGATTCTCCACTATGTCAACCTAATTGTTGACGTCCATTGAAGAACATGGAGATCAGCAAAAGATTCTAGACTCTTATTGAGATGATTATGTTGCAATTTAAATCATCCCATATATGGGAAGAAGGTAATTTTTATTAAAAAGAGTAAGCCCTCTCTATGCCATGATAATAGTGAATTCTCCTTCTAAATCTGTATGTAACAATGAATAAACAACTCAGAAGGTGTTGATCTGACAAGGAGGCAAAAACACAAAGTATGCACATGTGACTTAGTTAACAATATTCCACAATCTTCCAAATTCACTGGACAGTTTTCAGTGCCAAAGAAGTTCACTAACATTTTCTGAAATGTTAATGTATCCCAACAGTTTATGTATCATACACATTAAAGTAATAATAAACATATGTTAAGACCAGAGTACTGCTAACCTGCCCCAAACACCACATTTCTAAGCCACAGTTTTGTTACCTGTAAAGTGGGAGAAAAATAAAAGACAACCTCAGAGGAGTATTACAAGGATTAAATGAAATAATGAATGTGTAAATCACAAGACATTATTGAGGTGTTTTATGATTTACTTTAGCAGACTTACATTGAGAAGTAACTTTTCCAACATCCAAAAGTAAGCAAACTAAGCAAGGTTAAAAATTGTGTTGTGATGGTAGAACAATGTCTAAGGAAAGTTTCATTTACCACACAGGGGAAAGTCCGTAAAGTTTTCTTTTTCTGTCTCATTAGCTAGCCCTTAATCCCTTCCCTCACCCAAACACTTCAAATCAAATCTGATTGCATTACTCTTGTCTTCCTTGTTCTTCTTCCTCTATCCATATTTTCCAGTGTGACTCAACCAACTTGTTATGGTTTATTTCTGTCCTTCCCTTGACTTTACTCCAACTTACCCAGGTGACAAAAATAAAGACAGGAAAGACAGAGTTCTCCTTATAATATATGAAGAGAAGGAGAAGGAGGAGATGCAGGGATTTTCACAAATTAACATTTGTCCATATATATGTATTATTGTATACATATATAATAATAATATATAATTATACATATCCAGAGGCTGTATAATTATAATATATATAATTATATATGTATATAATTCATATATACCCAATAGTCATGCACTACACAACAACGATTCCATCAACAACAGACTGCACATACCACAATGGTCACATGAGATTATAATACCATATTTTTACTGTACCTTTACTATGTTTAGATACCCAAAGACTTACCATTGTGTTACAACTGCCTACAGCATTCAATACTTGAAGCACTCAGTACAGGTTTGTAGGGTCGGTGCAATGTATGCCATACCATATAGCCTAGGTGCGTAGTGGGCATACCATCTAGGTTAGTACACTCCATGATGTTTACACCATAATGAAATTGCCTAACAATGTATTTCTCAGAACATCTCCTCATCGTTAAGCAACACATGACTGTATATATATTAGTTGATATAAATGAAATAACATGTTATTATTGTCTATATACATATAACATGTAATCAGTCATTACAAAACCTGAGACCTGGTAAGCATCCATTATATTGTTATTACTATGATTATTATTAGGAGAGACAGAGCATGGAGGGTGAAAAGAAGGAGAGACTGTGCTGACCTTTTGCAGGAACGCAGAGGTGGTTAGCAGTCTGAGGGAGAGAATCTGAACTGAGTCTTTCCTTTAAGGAAACTTGGGATGTGTTGATAAAATAAAATGATTATCCTTTTTGACAAGCATTTCAGGGCAGGCTGGGTGAAGTACAGACAGACCATACCTAAGTATAAGCACCAGGACAGCCTGTAATTTTACTTAAAATAGCAAATTGGTCTGAGATTCTGTATATACTGTTTTGTACCTTTTAGTTTTTCTTTTAATCCTGCTCTATGTAGATACTTTCCCTGAGCTATTTTGATGGTAAATGTTGGACTCTGCTTTTCTCATAGTTAAAATAGTATTCTTTTAAATGGGAAAATTAGTGAAGTACAAATCAATCTGTGGATATACTTTCTTCTCAGGTGTTTTTTTTCTCACCTCTAGGCCAGTATCTTTAATTAAATTTCACCCTATAATTGGTGGCCTTTATTAGGGGTGAGCAGTGGTGACAATCATATTTCTCACAGAATAGTCATTCTATTGTTTGTCTAGTATTTTAAATATGATGTTACCTAGTCTTACCCTGGGTGTCTCCCACAGATTAGGGTTTGTTGACACTTGTCCCCAAGATTCCTCAAGCTTTCTTAGGAGGGTTAATATTATCATCAATTCTGTCTGAGGATGGCAAAGTTAGAATCAAAGGGAGTAAATTATAATGATAGCACTTCAAGTACCAGAATAAACACATAGAGTCACATTTTTGGGTTGGGCTAGAGGGGCTCATTCAGTGCTCCTCAGCTAGCATCAGCCAACATCTTCTACCTGGGCAGTAACATCAACTTTGTCTGCCAAGAACAACCTACTTATCTGTAATTGATTTAAATTCCTCCTGCTGAAATATAATCCCAATTCTTATTTTGTCCCCACCACTTAAACAAATGATTCAGGTCCTGTAATGCCAGTTAAGCTGCAATACATGCTGGAAAGCTAATAATACATGAATTAATAAAAGATGACACATTTTAAGCAGCAGTTTCATAATTACAGATAATGATGTTAATAGAAATGCATTGTCAAATGGCCAATCCCACTTTAAATGGGTACCATAGGCTGAATCCCACTAATTGTGCAAGCAGAGACACAAGAAAATTACTCATAGCAAAGCCGTGCCTAAGTTATTTTGTTAGCACCTGGTAGGCCTTTCGATTATGGTAGCATATAGTAAGTTCTGTATAATAGTTTTCTATTAGTATGAGTGTTCATGTTGACAATAAATTATTAGAATATTTTGGGGGTATTCTACTTTAAAACGTAAGGAAGGGAAATAGTTGGTTTATATTCTTGAAGTAAAAGTAAGAGCTTATTAGATGCTCTTTTGTCAACATATACAGCTATTCACAAAGTGTAAATATGACATGCTTTCTCTGAACACAGCTCCAGAAAAAATAATTCTCTATTGATGAGAATCAGAGTCCATGGCCCTGAAGAGAAACTTGTTTTTTAATATTATAGTGCTGAGCACAGTCAACAAGGGAGAAAGTCAATTTTGATTTGTGACTTTAAGGATCCTGCCAACTGAATTCATAACAAGTCTGGTTTATTGGATTGTGGAGAATCATTCCTGGTGACAGAGTATTTTCAAGTACCAATTTGTTATGTCCAGTGCTCAGGTTCTCTCATTAAGGAAGGGCACATAAGTCAGATCTTCCTGGCTTCAAAATCAGAAATTATGCTGATTAGGATGTACTTATTGTACCACCTTTTACTCAGTGAGTCAAATAAAACGAGTATCATTCTCAAAAGCATGACAGTATTTCAAAAAGTGGGGCATTCAGAAGGTAAAGAATTTGTCTCATCTATGAGTCTCCTATGGAAATATGGCAACTATGCCACCAATTCTCCTCACTAGGAAGAGAGGCTTGAAAATCAGTGATATAAGACTTCCACAACTCCCTCTCTGAAATGGATTATCAGAATTTTCTTTGAGGAAGAGAACAATGAAATAAGGTCTCCAAAAAGTAAGATGCAAGAGAAAGTATATTTGAGAAAGAGGGAACAAGGTAAAATTACAATTCAGAACAATCAGGAATTTCGAAGTAGTTACATTTGCCTATTTTTGCTTCTGTTGCCTGTGCTTTTGAGGTCTTATTTAAAAAAATATTTGCCCAGCCCAAGGTCACAAAACATCGTCCCTATGTTTTCTTAAATAATCATGATAAGTAATTAATTAAAAAGTAACAAAAAGTTAACAGTAAGTATTTAAATTAAAAAAAGAACAACGAGGCCGGGCGCGGTGGCTCACGCCTGTAATCCCAGCACTTTGGGAGGCCGAGGCGGACGAATCACGAGGTCAGGGGATCGAGACTATCCTGGCTAACATGGTGAAACCCCGTGTCTACTAAAAATACAAAAAAATTAGCTGGGCGTAGTGGCGGGCGCCTGTAGTCCCAGCTTCTTGGGAGGCTGAGGCAGGAGAATGACGTGAACCCGGGAGGCGGAGCTTGCAGTGCGCCACAGCACTCCAGTCTGGGCGACGGAGCCAGACTCCTTCTCAAAAAAAAAAAAAAAAAAAAAAAAAGAACAACGAGAGAATAGTGAGGGTTGGGGTTTGGTGGGGCAGGGGCAGATAAGGAGTATTGTTGCTTGGCTCCTTCCTACCAGGGAATTTTCATCCAGAGGCTGTTTTAAACTACCCTTGGCTTTGGAGAATGGATTGGCCAATCACATTCATACCAAAGCCATTAACCAGTAATGGAAAGCATGGCTTCAATCCAGCTGGCTGTTCATTCTAAAACTGATTGGGCTGTGATCTGACTCAACTAGTCAATTCCAAAAAAGAGCTTCACATGGGTGTTTCATACTGGCAAATGTAGCCTATGTAAAAATCCCCATGGAATGAATAAGTGCTAGTTTCTTTTTTTTTTTTTCATTTTCATGTCTATATTTCACATTGTCTTCAAAACAACTCTAAGAAATAAATCATGCCCATCTTTGGAGACAAGGAACTGATACTCAAGGAGAAGGGAAGATGCAAACAGAGCCATTCAGTCATGTGGTGAGCCTGGAACCCAGGCTCAGCTGTCATAGAACAGTTTTTTCTGCTGGGTGTTTGAAGCCCAGGGGTGTATGGCAGTGCACCCGGATAACAATTTTTATTTCTATGAACGTTGGGATAGAGTTGATGCTTTGGGGAGACATATCACATCTGCACTGTGGCCATAAGTGCTAGTTTCAACTGAACAAGCTTTTTAATTTAGATACCCGTCTTCTAGACAAATGCTAAATTAACTATATAATTGCTTTATACTGAACCTAGCTGGGGCTACCTATTGGGATGCTGTAATAATTGTTCAATAGCTGCAAAGGCTATTAATGTTCAGAAATAACATCCACCTACATTCCACCCATGCCAAAAGCTCTTCTCTAATAGCTGTATTTCTGGGGGTGGAGGTCAGAAAGCGTCATGAAGGTTGGCTTGGAAAATAGGTTGGAGAATGGTTCTATTAACCTTTAGTGCTTGTAAAACTCTTATCCAGTTCCTGATTCATGTCTGATTATGATCAATTTGGTCATGTTAATAGAGTTGTTGCCCTTTTTTACTCATTGCTAAGCATTAATAAGTTAACAGAAAGGCAGATAGGAAAGAGGTGGTTGTTAGCCAGGGTAAAAGACTCAGTGGTAATTGAAATGAAATGAAAAAAATAATTTGAGAGAAAAAAAGACAAGGCCAAGATATTTAAGGAGCTGAGACCAAGCATCTTGTCAATTTCTCTTTGGAAAATGTTAGGTTTTCATGTTATTTTCAATATCAAATCATGTGGGATTAAAAGAGAGAAGGAAGGAGGGAAAAGAGGCAGAAGGGTGAGAGAGAGAGATTTGTTCAGAGAGACAGAACCAGTACACTCACAGGCCCTGTTTGATAACAGCATATTGGAATTCAGATGTGACTCCATGGAGTACAGGCACCTTGAATAGCCTCTTCATCTAAATCACATGTGTGAGCCCCAGAGGATATTGCATTTAATTGCCAAGATTGGGACGGAGGCCTTAAAATGGCCCAAAGAACAGAGCAGGAGGAGGAAGCCATTACAGCTATCCCTCTCTGCAAATAGAATGGATAATATGTTGGCATAAAGTTACAATTTCTT
This sequence comes from Homo sapiens, assembly GCF_000001405.40. Taxonomy (NCBI): domain Eukaryota; kingdom Metazoa; phylum Chordata; class Mammalia; order Primates; family Hominidae; genus Homo; species Homo sapiens. The sequence continues at coordinate 41,447,772 of NC_000005.10, forward strand.
CCTGTATCTGCTTAGGTAAGGCTGACAAATAAAACTAGCGTAAACCTTCAAACCTGGGAGGCAAACAGTTATCTCATTAAGGCAAAGGCCATTAACTTGCCATCATCATCTGGTTACATGCTGTGCTGTGAATAAATTAAATTCAGATTTAGAAGCATTCTGGCTATTGTTGGCTGACATGCAATATAACAGTACAAATGCCACCAATCATTCATAGACCAAAATTATGGGGGACAAAGAAGGAGGAAAGAGAGAAGCCTATTCTCAGGCTCTGGTGCAGCTGTAACTGAAAGCCTCATAACAGCTCTTAAACACCATAAAGAGTTAAGACATAGGCTATAATTTTTCCCTGATCTCTAGGACCAAAACAGACATAGAAGGTGTTGTGAAATCAATGCATCTGACAAGATGCTCTTGACTGGGACCTGAACCCCACCTCTCCCATCATTCCTGGATCCTGCAGAGTTGATACAAACCAGAAACCCAGTTGACTTCAGCATGCTGAGAAGGATGAAAAAGCCACCTGCTCTTGAATAGGAGATGTCTGAGGCCAAGCTCAAGGCAGATTTACTTGGGCTGAAGCCATCTTTCTTCCCACATCCCAAACTGGCATCTAGCCAATATGGCAATCATCTGAAAAATGCCTCGGAAATTGGTGCCAATTAGGTTTTCCAAAAGTAACTAAGAAAATTGATAGAATTAGAGAGCAAAATAAATCTTACAAAATACCTCTTGTATTGTAAAATCATATAGAACTAGCATACTGGTTGCATGTAGCCTGCCTTAACTCTTTTTGGAAAAGTTAGCAAATAAATAAATACATAATTTATCTAAAACGGAACAACTCAATTCTCCTTTCTAACTTTCCTAACTTCTCAATCATACAAGTTTTGAGTCATCCTTTTCTTCTTTCCCTACCTCTTTTTTCACCAAGTAACAAAATCTAATGTATGCCTTTAAATAGAGGAGAAGCTCAGTATAGTTAATGAATGGATGAGTGAAATAAATGAATGCTATTACTGTGTTTAAAACCCAACAACAAAGAAAGATAATACTCACTTCCCAAACTTCTTAGTATGACATTTATAATCTTCTTAACCTTGGTCCAATACATGTACATACACATTTTTAACTTCTCTTCTCCCCTAAAAGAATCTTCCATTTCAGTCAGACCCAAATGCTAAACATGCACACCTTTCCCTTTCTGCACCTGCAAAACTTTCTGTACCCACACTATGGTTCCTTGCCCATGATTTTTCCAGAAAACTTTCTATATCCATGACTTCACTGGACTCCTACGATATATATAGTCTCTATTTTCACATTACATTTCACCATTTACTCCTTGGCATTTCTGTATATTATTTTATCTATTATCATTTAACTTTGTAATGAATGTTCTCATTCTCCTCAAAAGTACAATCTAATATTCTTTCAAATAGAAAAAGATATTACACTCACTGATATCCTCATAGCAATTTGCATTAATGCATTTTATACCAAAGCTCAGAAAAAAATTTTAATGAATGACTAAACAAGATTGATTTTGCTGAGAATGTAAAGCTGAAATTGTAAAGTATAGCTTAGAGCATAGTCAGTGGTCAAATTTCATAATAACTTTCTAATTTTCTAAACTATACAGACTTTTCTACCATTTTCGGTGACACCATAGATTTTCACATTCAAAAATTGAAATGCATTCTCTCTGTGTGTAGCTTAATTTTTATTGCCCAAAAGCAGACTATGAGACTAAGATTTTAGTGCAAGTAGTTTATTTGAAAGGTGATCATAAAAGGACCATAGAGGAGGTGGGCAGTGAGATAGGGAAGGGAAAAAGCCAGTGTAAAGTACACTGATAAGCAGAATAACATTGTGAGAAGTGGGGTTCCATCCTACTGGGAATACCTAGGACATACTATAGGAGTGCCTCAGAGTTATCTCACCTGGAGATTGAGGAGACTGGGATATTCATCTACCAATTTCCTGTTACTGGTTAAGGCCCTTTTCTGCCCTTACTCTCCAACCACAGGACCTTGCATTAAAAAGCCATTGGTGGGCATAGGAATGGGGGGCGAGGAAGGGCATATAAGCAGTACACTAATAGTGTCTGCTATATCTTAAAGCATAAATATTGAAGACACCACCTATTACCTCCCCTAACAGGTAGATGGGGAGGTATACTGAATACCATTATAATTTTAATGCTAAAGAAGACATCAATGGCTTTCTCTGGAGTAGTACACAAGAGAACAGCAATACAGTAAATACATCTACACACTGGAAACAAACTGAAAGAAAAAGTGATTCTGTCCTATGAAGCTCTATTCCTTGTTCTATCTTCAAAGCTGCCCTTGGTTTTGGCTTGATTTCACCAGAAACAAGATCATGAGGAGCCTGGTGAAAGTAAGAAGGAAGAACAGAACTGGGAGGGTGCTGTATAAAGACTGATACAAGAAGAGTGGAAAACCTGCTGATTTTCTTGCAAGTCTGAATTGATAGGAAACTAACATTCACAGCATCTTAGACACAAAAGCTTCCAGCCAGGTGATAGTTATTTTATCTCTAAACAAGCTTCTCTGCTCTGTTTTTCAAAGGTCTCCAAGATAAAGGACATGGATTTTAATTAGCAAGTTTCAATTGACAGAGAATTAAAATTTAATGTTCTATTCATCAATAGTTTAAGGATGAAGTTTCCCAGTAGTGCCTGGGAAATGTGGCTGTCAGAGCTGCTTACAGTTTACAAATACTTTACAAAACTTACAATGCTGATAGAAGCAGCTTGAAAGTTTCCTCCAAGTACACCTGAATTTAGGTCTCTCTAGTAGTAAAGAAAGAGGCAAGCTTACTCTTTTCCAATTTCACTCTCATCTTCCCAAGAACACTTTACTTGTTAAGACTGTCTGTGGAAGTTTCTTATCAGTGACACATTTTCTAAATGCAGGTCTCCTAAGTCCCCGGGCTGCCTCAGATACCACCTGCAGGTCCTTCTCCATGATGTATATAGTGAGGGGTCACACAACCCCATTCTCTCCTCTACATTCAAGGGATTCTATACGCAGAGATGGACAAAAGAGAAGTAGGAAAGGGGAAAAGAAGGAGATGGATTGCAGCACAGATAATGGGAATAATGGAAGCAGAAAAAAAGGAGGAAGAGGAATAGGAGGCTGATTATCAAAGTTGGAGGTTGAGCTTCCTGCTATCTCTATGCCTAACTGAGAAGACACTGGAGTGTCATGCTGTATCTTCATCTCTGGTTTGGAGGAGTTCTCCAAGCCAGGAGCAGTTTCCCCTGGTGTATGTGTCAGAGGAAATAAATGGATTCTGGGAAAACAATGTTCTTTTGGTACATATTGAACAATTTTTACTCTAGAGTGGACTCTTCAAAAAATACCAAAGGTTCAAGGGCTTCATACACCTCAACGTAACCTGAGACATCTTAGTCAAAAGCAGAAATGGACAAGTAAATTTGTCTTTTCTTTTTTGACTCCTGAAGTACAAAAGTAGAATGTTTTATAAGCCAGTGAATTTCCTGCTACCAGGAATGTTTGGAATATTTGTCATAAGATGGTATTTGAGGAATATTTTAAAAGATCTCTGCTTGAGGAGGGAGATGGGATTCTATTTACAATTCAACTCGATAGACATTTAAGTGCCTCTGATTGCAAAAGTGAACACAAAGCTGTTGCTGATGTCAACAAGGCAACACTCTAGCAGAAAAGATGGGTATAGATGACTGTGGTAACAAAAGTGTTATGCCTAAATGTATATGCAGAGAGGAAAAGCATTGACTTTTCAAGAATATTTAAAAGCAGCCCCAAAGAGAAATAGAGTGATTATTTTGTCTGGTAGATCTGAGATCTTTCCTCTCTCTTTTTTTTTTTTATGTTGGATGTCCACCCCTAATCCTTGGTCTCAGCAAAGAACATGATGAACTCACCTACTGAAAGACATTGAAGGGAAACTGGACCCTAAGAACTAGCTCTCCATGAGGTTCTTCCTTTCTTCACATTTGTCACTTTTTTGCTAGCCTTCAGAGAGCAATTTTCTTTAAACAATATAATCAGCTGATTCACTGAGCAGTAAGAGAAAATATCATCTTCTTGTTGGATTGGAGGCTTCCCAAGGCCTACTTGACCCTTGGAGTGTAATATTTACCCAATTCTCAAATGAGGGGAATTTTGTGTGCATGTTGAGAAACAGGTATCTTGATTGCCATACTTTCAGCTAAGTCTTGTTTTCTGCTCAAGGGATTGCTTTCCTTACTGAAATAAAATCAAGGACCCCAAGGTATTGGTGCCAGAAGGAGGAGCTTCATGGTGAAAGCAGACTGAACAGCCCTGATTCTGTCTCCCAAATTTGCTCCTTCTTTGCTATCCTCACCTTTCAAATTTAGCTGATGTTGTCTGCTCTTAAATTGCTTGTATAAGTTTGGATCAGACCATCTTCTTTTCATTCTCCTTAGTCCTATACCATCAGGATTTCAAATGTGCAGAACCTTACTGAATACTAAGGAATGGCAAAGGGGAACTGATTCAAGAAAAATCTGTATACATAAAGGAATACTAGTTAGATTTTCACAAATTTTGAAGGAATGTTTCAAAAGGAATGTTTGAAGTGATCTAAACTTTATAAGCAGAGACTATAAGGCTTTCATCCAGGGAAGCCCCTAAAATGAACAGTCAATGATCCCTCAGAGCAGGTGCAACTTGGTACCAGAGACCTATGTGCGTGCTGTTAAGTAGGCATACCTTAGACTCCAAACAAAACAAAACAAACAACAAAAGTGTAAAAATTCTGTCAAATATGACCTCCAAATGAAAAATCACAAAAGCAGATGCAAAGGCAGGGCTACAATACACTCAAGTTGCCCCTCTGCACCCATGAGCATTTCTGTATAATCTACTTCAAGGTCAGTGTGGGCAGAGACATATTTACTTGAACAATGGTTAATGATTTTTTTGTGCAATGCTGGCAAGCTCAGCTAGTATCAGAAATTTGAAAGCATTTCCATTTAAAAGAACACACTTCTGAGGCTCCCATAGCTAACTCTAGTCTCAAAAACGGTACCACATTCCATTATCTTTCTTTCTTGTTTTTCTTCGTTTTATTTTTAATTTACAAATAAAAATTGTGTATATTTGTGAGGTACAATGTGATGTTTTAAAATATGTATACATTGTGGAATAGATAAATAACCTAATTAACATATTCATATTTCACATATTTGTCATTCATTTGTAATGAGAATATTTAAAATCTACCCTCAGCACTTTTCAAGTATACAACACACTGTAATTAACTATAGTCACCATGTTGTACAATAGATCTCTTGAGATTATTCCTCGTTTAACCAAAATTTTGTATCCTTTGTCCAACAATCCCCAATCCCACCCAATCTCCCAGGCCCTGGTAATCACCATTCTATTCTTCTCCTTCCATGACTTTGACATTTTTAGATGCCACATATATGCCATTCCATTTTCTGCCAGAAAGCCTATCATATTCTTATGCCAAAGAGATGATTCCAATGTCACAAACTATTGGCTGTATGTTTTGCTACTATGCTCTGTACCCATTCTCTGTCTTTTTTTTTTTTTAATGACCGCATGGCAATTGGTTTCCTCAATATCTTTATTCTTTCATAGGCCTTCATTCAGCCACTCACCTGAAGTTTCTCCACTTTGTTTTGCTTCTGTTTTATGATACAAGAATAGGCAGATGTGAGTTCAAATCCTGGCTCAATGACTCACTATATAAACATTTATCGTGGTCAAGTTATTCACCTTTCTTAATATCTTTACCTCATCGGTAAAATTGGACTAAAATAAGTGTTTTACAAAGTTGTTTTGAGAAATAAAATAGTTACTTATGTTTTATAGAGAGGCCAGCACGGCATCTAGCATGTGGTAAGTACAAAATATATTTCCTCAATGGAATTTATAAGCTTTCTCTGCCTAGGGTTGTGCAAACTTAGACTCCAATGCTTGGTCAGGATAATAAATTCATGCACTGGAAAGTTTTGTCCCTGTCACTTTTCCCCAGAATGGTATAGCCAGTGATTTGCCCAGAGTCACTCAGTCCCTGGTGTTCTTGAGGGCCATGGTTCAACTATGTGTCCTTTTTAGACTCTCCAAAATAATGGCCATGACTTTTAGGCTTCTATATTTCAATTTTCCAAACATCCAACTCTGCAGAATTTATATTCATCAACAAGAGAAAAATACCTTTTTTTGGCATGGATTTAGACCTCCCAGGAATCTATTAAGTCACACAAGAACACCTCAAAACACCAGAACTCCTTTGAAAGTTAGAAATAGATCACAATGTATACTGAGTTAAATAAAGTCCTCCCAAATATTAATGTCCATTCACAACCTCAGAATGTTATCCTTATTTGGAAATAGGGTCTTTGCAGATATAATTAGCTTAGATACAGTCACACTGTAGTGGAATGGGCCCTAGATCCAATGACTGGTGTCCTGTCTTAGTTCATTCAGGCTACTATAACAAAATACCATAAACCAGGTAGCTTTTAAACAACAGGAATTTATTTTTCATAGTTCTTGAGGCTGGGTTGCCTAAGATCTAAGTGCTGGCAGATTTGGTATTTGGTGAGGGCCTACTTTCTGGTTCACAGATGGCACCTCCAGCTGTGTCCTCACAAGATGGCAGGTGCTAGCTAACTCCCTGGAGTCTCTTTTATAAGAGTGCTAATCCCATTCTTGTGGACAGAGCCCTAATGACCTAATTACCTTCCAAAGGCCCCACCTTCTAATACTTTCACCCTGGTGATGAGTTTTAACGTGAACTTTTGGGGGGATGCAAACATTCGGACCATGCCTATCCTTCTAAGGAAGCCATGAGAAGACAGAGAAACACACACAGATTGAAGCAGGTCATGTAGTGATGGAAGCAGAGACTAGAGTTATGTATCCACAAGCCAAGGAACACCAAAAATTGCTGACAACCACCGGAACTTAAGAGACAAATGAGACATATTCTCTCTCCAAGTTTACAAAAGAAACCAATTGTATTAGTCTGTTTTCATACTGCTATGAAGACCTGCCTTCATAGACTGGGTAATTAATAAGAAAAGAAGTTTAATTGACTCACATTTCAGCATGGCTGGAGTGGCCTTAGGAAACTTACAATCATAGTGGAAGGCGAAGGGGAAACAAGGCACCTTCTTCACAAGGCAGCAGGAAGGAGAAAAGCTGAGCAAAGGGAAAAGCCCCTTATAAAACCATGAGACCACATGAGAACTCACTCACTATCACCAGAACAGCATGGGGGAAACCACTCCCATGATTCAACCACCTCCACCTGGTCTCTCCCTTGGTACATGAGGATCATGGTGATTACAATTTAAGATGAGATTTAGGTGGGGACACAAAGCCTAACCATATCACCAATCCTGCCAGCAACTTGATTTTAGACTTCAGGCTTCCGGAAATATGAAAGCATACATTTCTGTTGTTTTGAGGCATGTAGCTCATGGTAATTTGTTACAGCAGTTCTAGGAAACTCATAACTGAGGATAATTGAGGACTTTCATTTATTTATTCTTCCGTTAACCTGACTCTCCCTATTTCCAGTTTCAGCAGCTGAAACCATCATTTTCTCAGTTTAAATATGATTGACAAGTTTAAATGACACAAAAGAATGCTCATGCTGTCTCAGAGGGATGATGGGGTCAGATAGCAGGCTAGGAGGCAGCCAGAGCAAAGGGGTAAGCCTTAAGCTCACAGGCAATGGCTGAACAGCACTAAAGAACCCAGAAACTGAAGAGAAAGGGAGTACATAAACTCTGATGGAATGAGAAAATGGGAAGTATAAAGTTAGGTGTAAGCCATATAAAGTGAAGTGCAGAAACATGCCTTCAGAAAATAAAACTAAACATGAAAGGGCAATCCTACCATGTGAGAGCCAATGCATGCATTCTGAAAAGGTACACTGCCTGTCCTTAAAGAACTGCATATAGTTCAAGGATATTTGTTTTAGTGTATTCTGAAAAGGCTTTAGGATCATTATCAATCCTGTAATAAGCCCAAGAGGAAATTTCAGGAAGCTGCAGTTCTCCTACCACATTTTCAAGTATGATAATGCAGGTCTTGAGAGAACAAGAAACACAGTTATTGTCCCATATCACCATTGTGTTAAAAACAATGCATGTAAGATTGTCGCAAAGAATAGAATCATTTAAAATACAAGGTGTTACTACTGCTGGTAGTATGGTACAGTGATAGATGGAGTCTGGAGTAAAAAAAAATAGGGGTCAAAATTCTACTATGCACTCACTAAGCTATGTAGGGTGTGATAAAGGGAACTGGTAATGAGGAGGGAGAGCGGTTCAATTTTAAATGAGATAGTCAGAGTAAGCATCATAATGAAAGTGACCTTTAAACAGAGATCTGAAGTGTGTGATTTATTCATGTAGATAGATAACGGAAGTTGTTTATTACCCTCAAGAATTCTGGAACTCTCCTGGCATCTTGGATTCTGACTAGTTCTGTGGAAATTATCTGAATCCTGTTTGTAATCTTTGTACAATCACTTAGCAAATAAAAACATAAATATCCATCATACTTCTTTAAAACCTATTGTTACAAAACATTCTGTGTTCTGCTAAGTATAAAATATGTATGTACAATGGCTAACTTTTTTCTAAAAGAGATAAATTCAGGATAGAAAAATATTTATAAGGATAAATGAAAAATAAAATATACATTTATGTTGAAAAAAAAAGAAAAACAAGTTCTTAATCTCTAGACTTACCCATTTTATTAATGCTGGAAAGTAGATGTTTGTGTCCCCCCTGACACTCCAAATTCATATGTTGAAATCTGTTCCCTAATGTGAGGGTATTTGGAGGTTGGGCCTTTGGAAGATGATTAGGTCCTGAAGGTGGAGCTCTTATGAATAAGGTAAGTGCCCTTAGAAAGGAAATCCTAGAGAGATCCCTTGTCCCTTCCACCATATGAGGACATAGCAAAAAGACAGCCATCTATCAAACAGGAAGCAGCCTCTCACCCTCTCACCAAACACCAAATCTGCCAGCACCTTGATCTAAGATTTCTCAGCCCCCCAAACTGTGAGAAATAAATTTCTGTTGTTTAAAAGCCACTCAGTTTATTGTAGTTTGTTACAGCAGCCCAAATGGACCAAGACCATTAAGAAAGATCATTTCCCTACTGTCTTCTTACTCTTTTTAAAAAGGGTTGGGGTTTTATGAGAATACATTAGCACTAACAGGAAAACATACATACCCAACCCATATGAGTCAATGGGGCATAAGAGCTTTCTGCAAAAATAAATCTTGAAAATGTTTTTGCTACTTTATAAGTCTGAAAAATAATTCAAGCCACTCTAAACCCTTGAAATTCTGTTGGATAATGAACTTAAGGAGCTGTTGACATCCATGTCGCCTGGTGTCCACACTTGGCCTCATATCAGACAGCCACTGGAAAGCGATTTGCATGAACATGTATCTGAGAACCCTCTGTTTTATTTTTAAATGATAACAAAAGTAAGTACAACCATGATAGTAGCCTACTAATAATAAAGGGAGCTATTTATACATTTTTAAGTGACTGTGGTAGATATAGTTAGCTATCAACATGAAGTTCTTGTACCTTAGAGATGGCATGTCACTGAAAGAAACAGACTCCAGGTCATGGGAGTTCCAAATCTCCTCTCAGATGATTGGAACCCAGGAGTACACCCTTCCCCAGCATAACCTGCATGTAGATGCATAGCCCACTGCTGAGGGACATGTACCTGTGACCAGCGCCTCAGATACAATACTGGGAGGACATCTGTACTTAAGCTGTCTATATTCAAGTGACCTTTGCTCTCAGAGAAGTGGGACTATATTCAGAATGGTGCCCCTTAACATATTTCACATAAACCCCTTTCACCTGCTTTGTTTTGAAACTTTCCCATGGGACTAGGGTTCTTAAAGCTGATGAGGTACATGAAAACTCATACCATAACAGGTCACCCGTTAGAACAGGTCAATGGAGAAAGATGAGCACTGAGAAAATGCGGAAAGACTGGGCCTTCCCTATCCTCTGTACACCATTGTGTTTCAGCTCACTCTCCACAAAAATGATGTCCTGGAGTTCTAAGAAAGAAAACAGTCATAGAGCACAGAAATACAGGGCTGCGTGTTACTGGATGTGAGGGAAAACTGTAGACATGGGGACAAAGAAAAAAATAGAAGCACCAAGTTTAACTTAGGGGAGAATCAACCATCATTATGGTTGCTTGAGACAGAACAATGATTTAAAAGGGAGAAACTAAATAGGAGTTGTTACTGGAACAGTGTTTAACCTGCATGTGTTTTCCCTACTCCCTCATCCCACGCCTGCTAATGTCAATAGTGATAAAAATGAGCTAGATGGAAGAGGGTTGAAGGTGGTCAGTGTAATACTTTAGAAAACAGATTCATGTATGACTCAAATACCTGAAGCTTTAGGGATTCCATAATTAAAGAACAGAATATAGAAGGAATAAAAAACATACTGAACAGCCCAAGAATCTCTAGTAAAAGTGAAAGATTAGACAGAGAAACAGAAAACTGGAAAATAAAACCAGAATTAGTGAAAATGTAATTCTGAGAGATAGAAGGGATGGAGAAATGTGACCAGGCTGAATAGGAGATATAAAAAGCCATTCGTTTACCTTGATAAGCAAAAGTGTGTCAATGACAAGGAAAGTTGGGGCCAAAATTAAAAAGTTAAATTATTTTCATTCAATAAATGTTCATTGAATTGTCACCCTGTGCCAGGAACTGTGTTAAGTGTTGGGACCAAGTGGTGAACAAAACAGCGGATTTAAAGTGAGTGGCCAGGGCAAAGGGTCAGGTCATTTGACACTAATGCTAAAATCCCATGGAAATCTGAATGCTTTTCTTAGCACCTTGAGGTCACAGAAAACTAAAGCAGAAGAAATGAGCTGAAATGAAAAATAAGAGTTCAGAAGAAAAACACTAAAAGGCATCTGTTTAAGTAAATTACATTTATTTCAGGTGCTACATACACATTTGAAAGGGAAAAGTCCTTGTGAGACCCTGTAAAATAATTTACACAGAAATATTGAGTGATATTCTGTAAACATATGCAATCTACGCTACATTTTAGCTGTACATTTTTAAATTAAGAGATACATTTATTTTTCTTAGAGTATCTATTCCTATAACTTATTTCCTTATGAAAAGCATGTTTTATTTAGACATTCCTATAGAATATTGCTTGATTTTCTTTTTCTCTCTTGTCTGTTTTTCTAAGAAAAATATTTTCCTTCAATGCCAAGTACTCTTTCAAGGGTCTAAATAGAAAAATAGTAGAGTTATCGATCAAAGAATCCCTTCTCTTTCTGAGTGTCTTCATCTACATTTAAGGTTTGAGAAGACAAATGACAAACATATTTTTAGACATTTTCATGTTTGAACAGGTTAGGTGGGGTTCATATTTTGATTCTTCCTAATATAAATGTCATTCAGGCTAGACAAAAGGAAAAAAATAGTCTCCAGGATTTCAGAAATGTTATTTTAAAAAATCATCCAAATCAATGTGGCAGAGTGGCCTGCTTAAAAGCCCTTCAATTAGATTTCATTGCTATAAATGGAGGTGAAAAATCAATCAAGACAACCTGGGACCAAATATAATGCCACAATGAATAAATACTTCATTATGGGTCCAGCCTAATCTTGCTAATTTTTAAAGATTTGTACATTCATGTGACATGTCAAACTAGCATCACACTGCTCAAGTCCCTTTAGGATATCAATACCAAATTAATATTCCTAAAATAACACACACAGAATATTAATAAAATTTCATAGCTCTGGCCTCAGAACTGCCAACTAGATAGCCAGCATTGTCTCTTACTTCTTCCTAACACATTCCACTCAGTTCCATCAGAGACACATCCCTGCAACAACTTCTCAATCAACCATTAAGTTATTTCTCTGCCAACATCTTCAGTCAACACTGTCAATCTACTTGTCAGATTTATATCACTTCTTGCAAACTTTCTTTTGTACCCAACTTAAGGATTGCTGCCATTAAGTGTACAATCAAGCAAGCGATAAGGATTTACTGAGCATCTATTCTGTGCTTGTCATTGGGCTAAGGAGAGGGAAAGGAGAAATTATTAGATAAAGATAAATCCTGCAAGGAGCTAATACTAGCGTTCAAGATAAAGCACCAAGAAACAACCACAGATTAAGATCATGTGTAACAAAGGGCACAGCTATGCCTTGCAGAGAGAAAAGGAACTACAATTTAGGAGACCTTTTAAACCTATGTTTTCCACACAAAGATATGCGTATATAGAATATAACATAATGGTTCCCAGTCTCCTCTGGGATATGATTTTATGGATGCTAGTGTTCCCATTTGTGTTGCAAACCTTTCAGAGGCAGGAAATGTTCATTCCTAGCACTCCAGTGTCTATCATATTGGTGACTATGCTGTTAATTCTCAATGGTGTTGGCTGAATTTTAATATCCTTTACCTTTGATCCTGTTGAACTGTACATAATTCACAGCATGTATAAACAGAGGTGCTTAGATGTACGGTCTAATTTGGATGTGTGCAGTTAATACAAATGTGTTCCTCATCTTCTGTAAGTATATGGGCATTATCATATCTATATTTTTTAAAGTCAGAGAAACTTTAGAGTGAGGGCTGTCAAATACCAGTGTGAAAATTCCAGAGTTTATCACAGCTCATCAACATTTATAGCAGAGTACCTGGCATACTGAAAGACACCAAGCAGTTTATGTATGACATCTACTTTTGTGCTATTGTACCCTTGGTGAGCAGGAAATTAAGTGTGTTTGCACACAAATAACTTTATCTAGTGAGCACTCATTATTCTACAAGAATTGCAAGATTCATTGCCCTTTTTACAACGTCATTATGAATTTATAAAATGCAATTTTACTTGAAATCTTTGATACTTAGATTTCACATATTTTCACCAAGTGGCTTACAGTTTACATTCTGTAAGTATTTTAAAATTCTTGCTTACGAATGTGCAAAATTATTGGAACTATTCTTTCATTGTTTGGGAATTGTGAATTTTTTTTCTTATTACTATTGTTGCCTAAGTGTTTCATGTCTCTGAAGCTATAACTTGTTATAAATTATAACAAATTTGGTATAAGATTACATTTTTATATTTTAGAAATCAACAATACATTCAGAATATTCTCAGTAGTGTTGAATCTTTGTCTTGCAACAATTTATTATTTTCTGATAGGACCCAAAAGTTATCTGGACTACATGTGGAAAATAGAATAAATAATCAAAACATATAATACATTTTGGTATTACATTGGTTTATTGGTAAATAAACTAAAAAATTATTTCTAAGAATTGGAACAGGTTTTTCTATGTAATCTATAAACTGACACAGCAGAGAAAATCAACAGGGGTACATCAGTGTAATATGCACTGGAAATAAAAGGAAGAGAATCCTAAGTTTAAAAAAATTTCTACAGGAACAATGTAAAGCATGACTGAAACATTTTTTCTTTCTTTCTTTTTTTGGTATCCTACTAAAGATCAGAAAATTATCCCTCCTACCTTAAAAACCTATAAAAGGGGAGAAAGTGTAATATGATTTTTTGAAGCAACAATTCTCCACTGAGTCACTGCAATCTGTTTCATGTACACTTGGAATTTTATTTTTCTCTCCTCCATAAAGTGTGCTACAAAACCATGGTGGTTTCCTTCTTTCTAAAATGCTGGGTTACAGGAGCATTTGTCATCACTGCCTCACTTGTTAACCTGCACTGATATTTCTACATTTAGCCTTGTTTTTACAGTATTTCAGAGGTGTCTGATCATCTTTCAAATGATTAGGTGAGAAGAAAATCAAGAGAGAGAAAGGGGTGGTAACACCATATAAGGAGTCACCACAGCTACTTGAATGTGAGCAAATGAAGCAGCTTATTCTGCTCCCAAATCGTAGCAGCAGACCAAAGCAGTATCACGGTCAGAACTCAATCAGACTCTGCGTTGACACCTCAGCCCCCTCACTCCCATCCCAGGGAAAACACATTAGAAATTGAGTTGTGATAATTTAGTCCTATATTCCTATGTTTCCATTAAGAGACTCAATTTTAATTTAGGTATCAAATCTACTCAACAAGCATGTGCCCTGTAATTGACACCTTGGTTCTACCCACAGTCCTGAAGAAATAACTGTATGAAAACCTCTCCCAGTAGCCTGAAAGAGCCGGAAGCTCACACGTGCACTCAGGCTAGGTTTTAGAAAGGCGTTTAATCTAGGCAGCAGATGTCATACCTCTGTAAGAAACATACATAGTTACAAGAGTTGCCATATTCAGGAAAGCCTAAAACTATGCCACATCATATAGTTGCATATAGGGTTGCTCCTAGTCCAGATTCAGTTTAGAAATCCAGGGTCATTTTATCACAAGCAATTCAGCCTAAAAACATAGCTAACATTTTACACTTATCAGATTGCCAAGAGAACAGAACTAGTGAGCTAACGAAAGGTCAGATTCTGCTGCAGCAAGGGAAATGGGTACCAACAGAAGTTTAAACGTATTTGCAACACCTGTGAGACAATCCAATGGAGATGGTATGTTGGCATTTGGGTAGTCCTGGAACTGAGATAATTAATCTTGGCTGGAAATATACACTTGGGACTTATTTTCATATAAGTATTTTTCAATACTATAGGAGTAATTACCTCATCTAAAGTGAGTAGAGGGCCCAGGATAAAGCCTAACTCTAACATTTTGAAATCTGATAGAAGAAGAGTGGCTCAAGAGCTAGGAGAAACATCCATGAGAGTTCCATGTAGCAGAAGCCTGTAGAATAAAGTGTCTTCTTAAAGAAAAATAATGGCTATAATCCCAGCTACTCGGAAGCCTGAGGCAGGAGAATCACTTGAACCTGGGGGGCAGAGGTTGCAGTGAGCTGAGATCGCATCATTTCACTCCAGCCTGGGCAAAAGAATGAAACTCTGTCTCAAAAAGAAAAAAAAAAGAAAAAGAAAAAGAATGGGCCCAACTTTGAAAAATGATGCTGAGATGAGAATTAAAACTGCCCATTTTCTTTGTCTTGGCCAACCTAGAATTATCAGTGACTTAGAAAGAACATTTTTAGTAGAATGAGAGGGCACCAGCTAGACTGATTTGAGTAGAAGAATTAATGAAAAGTAAGAAAATGGAAATAGCAGATGCAGGACTGACAGTGGGAGGGCACCAGCTAGACTGATTTGAGTAGGAAAATGAATGAAAAGTAAGAAACTAGAAATAGCATTATGTAGGACTCTGAGCAAATTATTCTTTGAGTAAAGTGACTGTATCTTTTATAATCAATTGTATACAACAGGGTAATCTCACCTAACCATTGATTCCACCTGTATTCATCAGTTCTGGCTACTATAACAAAGTACCACAGACTTGGTACCTTCTAGACAATAAAAATTTATCTCTCACAGTTCTGAAGGCAGGAAGTCTGAGGGTGCCAGCATGACTGGGTTCTGCTGAGAGCCGTATTCTGGGTTACACATGACCATCTTGTTGTATCCTTACGTGGCTGAAAGTGGGCAAGGGAGCTCTCTGGGGTCTCTATTATAAGAACACTAATCCCATTTGTGAGGGTCCCACACTCATGACCTAATTACCTTCCAAAGGCTTCATCTTTTACTACCATCACATTGAGTGTTGGGATTTCAACATATAAATTTTGGGGGGACACAAACGTTCAATCCATAACACCACTTTAAAAAGAATATAACTGTTTCTCATGTAAGAGATTCATATTTCTGGTCTTTGATTATTTTCTTTCCATTACTAATTCATGTTTACAACTTCTTAGGGATCTTCCCAGACCTTGCAGAGTTGGGTCAGAGGCTCCACATCTTCCCCAGCACTAAATTACCATAATATAAGGGCTAGGAGTTCTCACTGTGGCAGTTGTCCTCATATTGCTGCGGCACTATTTTTTTTAAGCTTCTTTGTGTCATGCATTGGAATTCACTACGAATGGCCTTTACCTTCCTTGTTTCCTTCTTTTCTGCCAATCATAGCATCACTTTCAGGGCTACCTTTCCTCTTTGAAAACTTATCCTCTCAAAGGGAATTTGGTCTCCTACATCCTTGGGAGCTCAACAAAATCATAACAGCACTTTTTAATGTAAATATTATATTAACAATTATGCTACAGGCATTACTAGACACTTTCTGTCAGTTTTTTGCTGACTACCTTAGCTACCATAATTGTACTGTCTAATTTATCTAATTGCCACTCACAGACCACTCCAACCTCATACCCACTACTGATTATAAAATTATCCTTATTCAATCATTTAGTGTGATGGAATCCCTCAGTCTGCCCTGACTGTTCATTTACTAGTCTGCTTTAATCTGAAGAGCTCTGTAATCTATAGCCTCAGGACAGATGAGGAGCCATTTATTGAGTTCTCCCAATTTTGGTTGATCTCAATTACCTACTTAGTTAAGCTCTTCAAAGATTATATTCCTAAGAAATAAACATCAGTGAGTTCCAAACTCTTTTGACTGTGCACCGCTATCGGTAGACAAAAATGTACTTACATGCACTATTGCCTTGTGCACTGAGAACGGTAGAATGCATATGCTGAAAATAGAGATCAGATAATAAGATAAAATTAATATGGGCATTAGGAGAAATACCTAATGTAGATGATGGGTTGATGGGTGTGGCAAACCACCATGGCACATGTATACCTATGTAACAAACCTGCATATTCTGCACATGTATCCCAGAACTTAAAGTATAATAAAAAAATTGAAAAAATATCTATGGTAAAGTTTTCTTCACTTTCAAAAGCTGTTTCTGTTTTTCCTGGTTATTGTTTACCTTACTCAGTAGAGGTGTTTCTAATCTGAAGACTTATGTCTTCTTCATGGTGAATTCTCATCCATTATCTCATTAAATACTGTTATATACCATTCTCTGTATTTTCTCCTTTCTGAATTCATAGCATATGCGTGCTGGACTTTCTGAATCTATCTTCCAAATCTCCTCTTTCATAGTTTTCATTTCTATATCTTTGTGTTGTGTTCTTCCATTTCATCATTCCTTCTTCAGCTGTTTCTGATCTTCTATTCAATGTATATTATGTTTTTATTTCAATAACTACTTTATTAAATTCTAAAAAATGTAGTGGTCATTTTCAAAATATCTGCTTCTTGTTTCATCATCCCTTGTTCTTATTTTGTTATCAACTGTACATTTTTTGGGGGTGTTCTCATTCCATTCTTTCTTTTAAAAATTATTAAAAGCATTTATTGTAAAATTGTTTCTGATTGTTTAATTATCCATATTTTGGGGAGTTGGATTCCTAAGCTTGCTAAACGTATGACATGTTTTTCATTATTTTGGCCTTCGCAGTTATTCTGGGTTTCTTGCATGTAAAGACATCTGTGTAAATCCACAGTAGTTTCATGGAGGCCTCAGCATTGGCTATGTAGCACTGTAGGGAAATTCAGCTTAGGAATATCACTCTATGTCTCTAATCTTCAGTTCCTACTTTCCCCACTAGTTCTTGTCTTTTTTTTTTTTTTTTTTTTTTTTTTTTTTTTTGCATTTCTACTTGTATTCTCCAGAGATTTCTCTTTCTTAGGATTTAACAATAATTGTGTGTTAATTATTATAAGTATGTGCCCAGTCTTTTTCATGAATTTAAAGCAGATGGAAGATAATTCAGCATGTGCTCAATGTTCAATGCATTCTCTTGAATCAGAAGCCTTTCCTTGGTTCTTGTCTCAGCTTTGCTATCAGTCTAATAATGAACCAAGGGAATAAAAGAACTTGAGGTTGAGTAGTGAAGTGACTCAGAGTCTCTTTAGAGATCTCCAACTACTGCATATTCTAAGATGATGCTCTAAGCAGGCATGGGGGCCAGGGAGCATGTGTCTGCGGTCTGAAAACTGGATTGGCCATTATGAACATCTATTCTTAGCTCTGCTCTTGACTTTTGAAATAGTCTGAAGTAAAAGCTGCTGTCTCAGCTCCCTTATTGATGCTTCTTACTAACCTCAAAAGACCTTTCCCCTCAGTTCAATTTCAGAATATAATCTGCTATGAAATTAAATGAGTTTTTAAGCCCCAATTTTCTTAACTCACAAAACAAGATCTTAGCTAAGAAAAGAAACTATCTAATTACGTCATTTTTACCTTTTCTCACTTTATCCTTTGCAAACACAAAGAGAAACACATTTCGTTTATCATTTTCCCCTAGATCTCATTAACCAACAGTGGAAAAAAGTATTGCTTTCTTTTATGCTCTCTTTTCCAATCTCCTGAAGTGTTGTAGTCTCCAAATAGATTAAAAATTTTATTTAATCTTTACCTTAAAATACAACTGCTTAATAAAAACAGACTTTAAGGGTTAAAAATTGTTTTTAAAGATTTAATTAAAACAATTTTTCAAATATGTAAGAAAATTGAGCCCTGAACAGAAAAAGTACATTAAAATGCTTATAAAGTTAATAATTGAATCTAGTTAGCAATGTAGGGAGAAAAATCATATGTACTATAAAAATGTGAGTATTACATATTCATAAAACAGGAGAAATGTTTTTCTTTTCTTAGTTTATTTAAAAAATTATTATTTTATTGAAAAATCATAATTGTATTTACTTATGAGATACAATGTGATGTTTTTATATATGTATACAATGTGGCATAATTAAGTCAAGCTAATCAACATATCCATCATCTCACTTAGCTATCATTTCTACGGTGAGACATTTGAGATTTATTCTTAGTCATTCTGAAATATGTAATACATTATTGTCTACAGTAACTCTGCTTGCAATAGATCTCAAAATCTATTTTTCTTGTCTATCTAAAATTTTGTCCCTTTGATCAACAACTCCCATTCCCTCACTCCTCCCCACCAACTCCCTGCCTCCCTCAGCCTCTGGTAATCATAGTTCTACCCTCTAACTTCTATGAATTCAACTTTATTAGATTCCTCATATAAGTGAGACCATGTGGTATTTGTCTTTCTATGTTTGGCTTGTTTCACTTAGCATTATATCCTCAAGATCCATCCATACTGTCACGAGTGACAGAAATCTTCTCTTTTTTAAGGCTAAATAGTATTCTAATGCATATATATACCACATTTTCTTTATCTATTCATACATTGATAGACACTTAGGTTGATTCTATATCTTCGCTATTGTGAATGGTGCTGCAATGAACATAGGAGTGCAGACATTCCTTTGACATGTTGGTTTCAGTTTCTTTGAATACACATATAAAAATAGACTACTGGATTGTATGATAATTGGAATTTTAGCTTTTTGAGTAACCTCCATACAATTTTCCATAATGGCTACACTAATTTACATTTCCACCAACAATGTTTAAAAATTCCCTGTTTTCCACATCCTCTCCAACACTTAACTTTCATCATTTTTGTTAAAGCCATTCTAATAGGTGTGACGTGATATGTCAATGAGGTTTAAGTTGAATTTCCTGAATGATTAGTGATGATGAGCATTTTCTCATATTCCTGTTGGCCATTCATATGATTTCTTTTGAGAAATGTGTGTTCAAGTCCTTTGTCCATTTTTTAAAGTGGTTATTTGTTTTCTTGCTATTGAGTTGTTTGAGTTTCTTATTTTTTTGGATATTAACCTCTTAACAGATTTATGATTTGCAAGTATTTTCTCCCATTCTGTGGGTCATCACTTCACTTTGTTATTTGTTTCCTCTGCTGTGCAGAAGCTTGTTAGTTTGATGCAATCCCATTTGTATATCTTTGCTTTTGTTGCCTATGCTTTTGGGGTCATATTTAAAAAGAAAAAAGCATTGCTTAAATCAATGTCATGAATATTTTCTCCTATGTTTTCTTCTGGTAGCTTTACAGTTTCAGGTTTTATATGTAAGTCTTTAATCCATTTTGATTGATTTTTGTATGTAGTATAAGATTAGAGTCTAATTGTATTCTTCTAGATGTGGATATTCAGTTTTCCCGACACCATTAATTGAAGAAATAGTCCTGTTCCCATTGTGTGTTCTTGGCAGCTTTGCCAAAAATCAGTTGACTGTAAATGCATGGGTTAGGACCTTGGTTTTCTATTGTGTTCCATGGGTTGATGTCTCTGTTTTTATGCAGGCAACATGATGTTTTGATTACAATGACTTTATAATATGTTTTGAAATCAGGAGTGTGATACTACCAGCTTTATTCTTTTTTTTTTTTTTTTTTTTTTTTTTTTTGACAGAGTTTTACTTGTCACCCAGGCTGGAGTGCAATTGCATGATCTTGGTTCACTACAACCTCTGCCTCCTGGGTTGAAGCAATTCTCCTGCCTCAGCCTCCTGAGTAGCTGGGATAACAGGCACCTGCCACCTGGCCCAGCTGATTTTTGTATTTTTAGTAGAGACAGGGTTTTACTATGTTGGCTAGGTTAGTCTCAAATTCCTGACCTCAGGTGATTCACCCACCTTGGCCTCCCAAAGTGCTGAGATTACAGGCATGAGCCACTGTACCTGGCCCAGCTTTGTTCTTTTTGCTTAAGATTGGTTTGGCTATATGGGTTTTTTTGTGGTTCCATGCAAATTTAAGGACATTTCTCCATTTCTATGAAAAATCACATGGAAACTTTGATGAGAATTTCTTTGCATCTGTAGATTGCTTTTGGTGGTATGACTATTTTCACAAAATTAATTCTTCTAGTTCATGAACACAGGAGATCTCTTCATTTATCTTTGTCTTTTTCAATTACTTTCATCAATGTTTTATAGTTTTCAGCATTCAGGTCATTTACCTCCTTGGTTAAATTTACAACTAAGTATTTAAATTTTTTGTTGCTATTGTAAATGGGATTATTTTATTTTTCTTTCAGATAGTCTGTTATTAGTATATAGAAATGCTATTTAGTTTTCTATGTTGATTCTATGTCCTGTAACTTTACTGATTTCATTTACCAGTTCTAACAGTTTTGTGATAGAGTCTTTAGGATTTTTTATATGTAAGGTTATGTAATCTTACATATAAAATATAGAGACAATTTCACTTCCTCTATTGCTATGAGTATGACTTTTATTTCTTTCTTTTGCCTAATTCTTCTGGCTAGGACTTCCAGTACTAAGTTGAAAAGAAGTGTTGAAGAGAGTATCATTATCTTGTCTCTGATCTTCGAGGAAAAGCTTTCAAATTTTCACCATTGGGAATGATGTCAGCTACAGGTTTGTTATATATGGCCTAACGGTGTTGAGGTGCATTCCCTTTATAGCTAATCTGCTGAGAGGTTTTATCATGAATAGTTGTTAAATTTTATCAAATGTTTTTTCTGCATCTACTGAGATGATCATAGGATAGTTATCTCTAACTTTGTTAATGTGGTATATCACATTTATTGATATGCATATATTGAACCATTTTTGCTTCTTAGAAATAAACACAATATGATCATGATGAATCATTCTTTTAATGTATTTTTAAATTTGGTTTGATAATATTTTGTTGAGGATTTTTGTTTCTACATTTATCAAGGATATTGGCCTATAATTTTCTTTTCTTGTAGTCTAGCTTTGGTCTCGGGTCATGCTATCTAAAATGAGTTTGGAAATATTTCCTCCACGAGTTTTCTGGAAGAGCTTCAAAACATTTAATATTAGTTCTTCTTTAAATGTTTGGTAGAATTCAACCATGAATCCATCTGGTTGTGAGCTGCTTTTTTTTTTTCTCTCAAGTGTTTCAATCCCTTATTTGTTATTGGTCTGTTCAGATTTTCTATTTTTCATGATTCAGTCTTAGTAAGTTGTATTGTGTCTAGGAATATATCTACTTCCTCTAGTTATCCAATCTATTGATCTATAATTGTTTGTAGTAGTTTTATGATCCTTAGAAGTAATTAGTTTTTTAAAAAATGCCATCAATTAAATAATAAATGGGAAAAAACTAAAGTGTATTTATATGTGTGTTATGCTTATATACCATTGTGGTAGGCAGGCATTCTTTCTGTATTATAACATGCTAGTGGTGTTTTCTTTACTTTTTAAATGGTGTGAGCAATAAATTCACCTAGCATATTCTTTCACCCAAATTAAAGTTCTTAGGTACCAATAAAGGTTATCCACACATTTGTCATGTATGGTTTTAAACACCTTGCCTCTCGTGAGTGAGATGGAGAATGAGAACAGTGGGGTCAAAAGTGATATTGGGCTGATAAGAGCTAGTTTAGAAAGAACTCAACAAAAGCCTCTGAAGTGTGATCCAGACCAGCAGCTCTGTCCAGTGATTTTGCCAGCTAAGGCATTATATAAAAACACACAGTGTGGAATAAACTTAGAAAACACAGCAGATTAAATATGCATGTTTATCTCTATCTCCTTCCCAAACAAAGGGGGGTGGCAGTTAAAAAACCATAAGAATTATGATATTTTGAAAGAAGACAAAGATACATCAATGAATATCTGAAACATAAAGAGTAGATGAACAAATGAATGGTAAATGACTTAGAAGAGCAGTAGAAGCTGTTCTACTGCTCTCCAGAAGGGTCTGGAAAGGAGAATACTGATGAAAAGAAAGACAATCATTTCAGACAGAAATCTGAAAAAAACATAAGGTTTAGAAGCACCAAGTATCATGGAAGATGCAATGAGGAGACAAGGTGGAAATTAGTAGAGCATCAGTCTATGATTCAGATCAGTTAGATCCACATGGCTCTTCCTCCAGCCCATACAACTGGGCAGGAATTTTTCCCCCTAAAACTGAAAGGAGAACTAAGGTTTTCCTACAGAGAAGTTGATCCAGAAGGGGCAGGCATACCATGGAAATTGAAGGTGGACAAATGCCACTAAACAGTAAAAATGTCTGCTCTTCTATTGGCTGAGTTCCTAGTAAAAATGTCTACTCTTCTATTGGCTGAGTTCCTTTAATGCTAGAAGCTAAACAGGAAAAAGACTAGAATATTATTTTCTGGGTAGTCCAAAGAACTCCTGAGAAAAAAGAAAAGAAAAAGAAAAAAATACCTTCCACCAAACAACTGGGGAGATGTCTACCTTAGTAAGCAGATACATTTGCCACCTGATCTGCCGGCAGTGAGTCCCAAGAGTTAATAAACTGCATTCCCAAGTGCACCCTATCAAAGCAAGCCAGAAATGAATAGTAGTTAAAGTGATGAAAACAAATTTTACTCAGGAACTATTGCAACTGGGGAAAAGAGACCTCAGTATAGAACTTGGCTCAATTCTAAATTTATCATAGATAACTGATGACTTATAGTCAAGGAGCAGGGCAGGGGTCAGTGTATAAAAAATTATGAAGAGGGGAGAGGGGTAGAACAAGATGGAATAATAGAAGGCTCCACTGATAGTACCCTCTGCAAGGACACCAATTTAACAACTATCTACACAAACAAAGCACCTTCATAAGAACCAAAAATCAGGTGAGCCATCACAGTAACTGGTTTTAACATCATATTGTTGAAAGAGGCACTGATAGTCTTGAATTGCCAATGCCACCTTTCCTTCATCCCCAGCAGCATCTGGGTTGGTGCTGCAGAGAGAAAACCCATGCACTAGTGATAAAGAGAGTGCAACAACTGTGAGACATTGCACTGAATGCACTGCAGCCCTGTCACAGCAGAAAGCAAAACTCGGTTTCCCTCAGCTGATGCCCACCCACAGAAGGAGTATTTAAACCAGTCCTAGCCAGAGGAGAATCGCCCATCCCAGTGGTCAGAACTTGATTTCTGGCAAGTCTTGCCAATTCAGGCTAAAGTGCTCCTGTCCTGCAAGAAATGTGAAAGAGGACTACTCCAATTAGAAGGAAAGGATGTTAATGAGCAATAAGAAATCATCTGAAGGTACAAAACTCACTGTAATAGTAAGTACACAGAAAAACACAGGATATTAGAACACTGTAACTCTGGTTGGTAAACTACTGTCATCTTACATATAAAGGCTAAATGATTAACCAAACAAAAATAATAACTACAACATCTTTTCAAGACCTTCCCTTCCCTTCCCTTCCCTTCCCCTCCCCTCCCGTCCCCTCCCCTCCCCTCCCCTCCCCTCCCCTCCCCTCCCTTCCCTTCCCTTCCCTTCCCCTCCCTTCCCCTCCCCTCCCTTCCCTTCCCTTCCCTTCCCTTCCCTTCCCCTCCCTTCCCCTCCCCTCCCTTCCCTTCCCTTCCCTTCCCTTTCTCCCTCCCTCCCTCCCTTCCTCCCTCCCTTTCTTCCTTTTTCTTTCTTTTCTTCTCTTCTTCTCTCCTACTTTGACAACCAAGACTCCAAGCACCTGGCTCAATTCCAGAAAAATGCCACATAATTTAAATCTGGATATATTTCCTACCTAAAATGTTAATTGACAAATGTAATGAGTTCACAATTTAAAGCTACAAATGGAATGATATACTTAGGCCTATGACAAGATTCTTTGTTGAAGCATGTATGTCTTAATTTGTTAGACTGTGATGCTTCTGCCATCCCTTAAATTTTAGAAACAGGCAGTTAACTCTTCAAGTAACAATGGCTACATCTGATCTGCCTTGACTGGTTTCTGGACCATTTGGAGAGTATGGCCTAAGAATTGGGAAAAACATCTATTTTCTTCATTCTCTAACTATACTGTTTTTCTCATGACTTTAGATTTCCTGGCTACAAAACCCAGCAAGAGATTTTAAGGGGACAAAGAAGAAGATAAACTGTGTTAAATTGTATGTGATAGCATTGGAAATGGCTATTATTATTAAATTTTCATCCAAGTGGATTTCTTTTAAAGTCCTTGAATAATTAAAGTAGGCACTTAAAAAATAATTGAACAATCTATACCATCATCTCTACATAATAAAATAACATCTCATCTCAGAATAGGCTTGTCATGTTGTTCTATTTCAGAGATGACATTGAAGTACCTTAAGGATCTGCTTTTTAAGAAGCAATGATGGTTTGAAGGTGATGGTATTTGTTAGCAACGTGCTGGATCTTTAGGTTGGCCTAAATTGCTCAATACTCAGGGGATTCATTAGTTGACCAACGAAAGAAAGACAGATCATTGTAGGTACTAATATAAATCTTAAGTTATAGCTCCAATGTAAAAAAGATAACTGTTTTACCTCATATAAGGAACAATTTTTTTTTGCTTTTTCTAGAGAACACATGATTTAGAAAAAACTCATGGTTGATTCAAACAACCACATCAAGTTTGTGGCTAATCCAAAATAATAAATAAAATTATAAGCCTCTCCTATCTATATTCTTAACATTTTATATATTTTATGAAGAGATTTAAGTGTTCTACTTTCTAGAGCACTTTTATTGCCTAAAAAAATCTGCAAGTAAAGAAATATTCTTGGTGGTTAGGGAGACCTTGCCTGGTATTAAAAATTAGCATCTAAATTAGCCACCAAGTGGAAAATCCATAGGCAGATAATTGAGGATTAACAGTATTTCAAAATAATAAAGGAGAAATTCTAACATCTTGGGCCTTTAATGAATCAATTTGCAATCACTTTTGTGCTAAGATTTCTATAGCACAAAACAAAGTAATGACTTTCTCCCTCATACAAAGTGATAGCACATGTATATCCTTTCTTGGTGCCAATTCTGAGAAATGCAATAAGTAAACTGGTAGTATTAGGTTAGTGCAAAAGTAATTGCAGTTTTGCCATTACTTTTTTAATTAATTAATTAATTAATAATAATTATTATTATTTTTTGAGACGAGTCTTTCTCTGTTGCCCAGGCTGGAGCGCAGGCTCCGCCTCCCAGGTTCACGCCATTCTCCTGCCTCAGCCTCCCGAGTACCTGGGACTAGCTGGGACTAGAGGCGCTCACCACCACGCCCCGCTAATTTTTTTTTTGTATTTTTAATAGATACGGGGTTTCACCATGTTGGCCAGGATGGTCTTGATCTCCTGACCTCGTGATCTGCTGGCCTCGGCCTCCCAAAGTGTTGGGATCACAGGCGTGAGCCACCACACCCAGCCGCCATTAGTTTTTATGGATAGAACCATTCATTTTCAAGCGTCCTCAGTACAGAGAAGGGCACATAGTGAAGCAGCCCACAGAGGTAACCCCATTAATTACCATTACACAATGACTTGGGTTCCCCTCCCCCATCCCCATCCTTCCATGTAAATTTATGAGAGGCCCCTTCCTCTTTTTAAATTTCAAACTAATCTACAAACCCTCAGGAAACCCATGAGAATTGTGGCTTGGGACAGTCACTACAACAGTTACTACTTGAGACCATCATTACAACCGTTACTACTGTTACTACTTGAGACCATCGTTACGAGACTGAACAAAGGGATGAAGGTAGAAATGAAAACTTAAGACAAAGGAAACTGTTTTAAAGGAAGGGTCCAGGGGAAGAAGAGAGCTCCCTGCTTCTAGTGAGCAAAGGCAGCCCCTGAGCTTCCACAGCCCTTTGTATTTATTGGGTAGAAAGGGCAGGGAGGAGGAGGTAACTGGTAGGCTTCTTAATTGATAACAGGTTCATATTATTACTAACAGGCTTCAGATGTACCTAATCACAAGAAACACTGTGCTTGGGGTGTGACTGCCCTCTGCATTCCTACTGGGTGGCAGACACAGTTTGTCAGTTTGCCAACATTCTGCATTTATGAGAAACAGTTTGCTGTTTACTCAGATAGCTTCCAATGGTATACTGAATTGATCATGACCCTCATTCTTTCAGCCTCTAACATTTCTCCCTTTTTGTTTTTGAATTAATTGAGAAAGGCAATTGAAAAATGTGCAGCCTTCAATTTGTACGGTACAGGTGGGTCCACTAAACGCCATGGGTTGTGACAGATAAATCTCTCTCCTAGTTGTACTTCCAAATCCCTGATTCTCTCACTTCTCCTTTCATGAAGAAGGGTGCAATTTACAAGGAATAAGCAACAGTTGAGCAACATATTTTCCCAGTTCAAAAACCCAAAGATCTTGTGACATTACCACTACTACCTGAATTTCTCCTTCACAATCAAAATCAACAACTCCTGGGACTACAGTAATTCCCTGTAAATTGACTTTTACCCAGAATTAATCCCATGTATCCTGTTGGCAAAGGTCCCCAAATACCAGTGGAAATCTTAGTGAGTGTGTCTCCTCCAACTAACGCAACCCGTTCTCTGACTGGGAGATCTAATCCTGTGCTTCCAGGTGTTCTGCAATCCGCATTTGCATTCTCAAAAGCTAGAGCCAAAGTCAAAGCTAGCATTTCTGCAGCCACAGAAGAAGACAGTACAAGCCAATTTTCATCCTCCCTTTCCTGTTCACCACCCTCCAAAGGTGCTGTAGGTGGGGCAAAAAATTCCCTCAAACCCTGAAATAGTAACAAAAAGATGGTATGTACCAAACTCCAAACAAAAAAGAGAAAAGAAATAACAAAATTATTCCCCATGTTACCCTGATTCAAAAACTTCCCCTTCTTTGTATCTCTAGGGCACTGACCAGTACCTTTTTAGAGCACTGAACTTATGTTGCTGCCAGCAGACTTGTAACGGGGTTTGTCATTCATCTGGTTGATTTTAGTTTTTTCTGTTCCAGCAAACCTTCCTCGTTCAAGTCCCTATAGGACCCTATCTGTCCCTGTCTGTCCCTGCAAGTTTCTGCTGGCTTCTGCTAGTCTCTACTAGTCTTTGCTAGTCTCTGCTAGTCTTTATCTATCCCTATCTGTCCGTATGGTCCCTGTTAGTTCCTGTGAATTCCTGCAAATCCCTGTCTTTCCCTACCTATCTCTATTTGTCTCTATCTCTATTTATCTCTACTTATTTCTATTTATCCCTACTTATCTCTGTTTATCCCTGTAGGCCTCTTCAGGTCCCTTCAGGTCTCTTCAGGTCTCTGTTTGTCCCTGATGTCCCTGTTTGTCCCTGTTCAGGCGCCACCTGTGGCTGTCTGCCACAAGTACTATTTGAGACCATCACTACGACAGTTACTACTTGAGACTGTCATTACAAGAGTTACTTCTGTTACTACTTGAGACCATCATTACAGCAGTTACTGCTGTTACTACTTGAGACCATCATTATGAGACTGAATGAAGGGATGAACATAGAAATGAAAACTTAAGACAAAAGAAACTGTTTTAAAGGAAGGGTCCAGGGGAAGGAAAAGAGAGTTCTCTGCTTCTAGTGAGCAAAGGCAGCCCCTGAGCTTTCATAGCCCTTTGTATTTATTGGGTAGCAAGAGCAAGGAGGAGGAGGTAACAATTGGTCAGCTGCTTAAC
This sequence comes from Homo sapiens, assembly GCF_000001405.40. NCBI lineage: Eukaryota > Metazoa > Chordata > Mammalia > Primates > Hominidae > Homo > Homo sapiens. The sequence goes on from NC_000005.10 coordinate 41,476,005, forward strand.
TTATAACAGGCTCATATTATTACTAAAGGGCTTCAGATTACACATGAATAATATCTGTACATAACCCCATCATAAATCCAGGCAAGTACTGAATGCATATCACTTTCACATCATCATAAAATAGAGAAATCATAAGTTGAACCATCCTAAGCTGAACCATTGTAAGTTGGGAACAGTCTGTACATTATCTCATTTGATTCTCACCACTTTGGGAGAGTGGGCAGAAAAAAGTTTACATAGCAGGCCTGATTGCTATCCTTAGAAAGGCTTTATTACAAGGTTTACCTTTGGCTGGCATCTAAAAACTTGAATTTCAGGCATGTCCTCACCATTCCCAGAATTAATAAGAATGCCTCAATGTGCCTCAACTATTTAGACAAATAATATGGTTTATGATGAATATCTTCTTAACCATCTAGGTGTCTAGAATTTGATACATGCCAGGTAGAGTATGCCTCCCTCATCAGTCCCTAATAAAAACTGGGTGCTGAGAATCTAATGAGCTTTTCTGGTTGGCAACATCTTATACATGTTGTCTCCATTTGTTGCTGAGAGGATTAAACATGTTCTATGTGACTCCACTGGGAAAGGACTCTTGGAAGCTTGCACCTGTCTTCTCCCAGACTTTGTTCATGTGCTTTTTTCCCCCTGATTTTTCTTTGTATTCTTTCACTGTAGTTAAATCTTAGCTGTGAATGTGACCATATGCTGAGTCCTGTGAGTCCCCCTAGCAAACTGTTGAACCTGAGGTTGGTCTTGAGGACACCAACACAAAGAGCAATTACTTTCATTATCCACATTTTACAGAAAAGAAAACTGAAGTACAGAAAGGTTAGGGAGGTCCTAGTGTTTCCATCAAGGCTTCAAGGCTTTTATAGGCGTCAAGAATGATTCTGGAGAGACATGGTGCTTAACACCTTAATCTTCCACTGCCTTTGAGATGTTTACAAAATGTAGTTTCCATAGATAGTCATGTTTTTCTGTCAATGACAATGTTCTTCCCATTTCCTGCTGCAACTGTATATTTATACATAAAATATGTAAATATAAATTGTTTTTCTAGCCCTGTGATCCTGAAAAAATTCCCTTAATCTCCTAAAATCTGGAGCCCATGTTATATGTTTCTGGCCCTCTGAACTAGGAGAAAATTTACTTCTTTTCTCTGGGCCTCAGTTCTCCTATCTGAAAAATGGGAATAATATGTTACCCTAACAGTATAGAAATGGTACTTACTACTAGTAGTCATTGTAGTTTCTATAATACCCAGTATTTACTTTTATCTTCTAGTATAGAGTTTATTGTAGATTGTCAATAAACATTTAAAAACAAAAACAAGTTTATTAGCATGGTACAAAAGAAAGTAATCAGGATTCTGGAATCAGAAGACTTAGATCCTATCCCCATACCTGTCGCTCCTGGTTCAAAAAATTTGGGCCAATTTCTTACCTTCTCTGTGTGCCAGCATCCTTGTTGCAAATAGGCCTGTGACATTTGCCTGGGTTCCATTTAAAGAGTACATCAAAGAATCAGGTGCATATTTTCACAGCTCCTTGGTCTGAACTGGTACCCAGGATCAAGATGTCCCTCCCATGATTCTAATCTCCAGCCCCCTTACACCATAGTCACTTCCAAACTCTGGATTTCTTAACATTGCAGTTTGCTTCCAAAAAAAAATTAAAAAAAAAACCTCATCTGGGCATTAGAAGTCATTCTGAAGAGGCTGTCCTATATCTCAGTGCAATTTCCTACTTATCCACTCCCGACTATACCCTGCTTTCATCAGATTGCAACTGACCTAATTTGTAAAGACTTCAGTGAAAAGAGCCTCATTAAAAGCCTTCATCTCTTTTGCAGCCTCTCTTTCCTCCCTCAAATGATCCAGGTCAGAATGGCCCAATAAAAATAGCTGGGAAAATTACAAAGTCACTCAAGACTCTGCCAGGAGTAGAGATTTTAAGAATTAGTGACAGACATATACTGTCTAGGAGTAGGGTGGGAGTGGGTTGCATGGCTTAGGGACATAGAAAATGCCTGACAAAGTATAGCAATGGCTAACTACTATTCCACCCTCATCTCATGATAGGCTGGCCATGTTTTTCTGTTTCAGAGATGACACTGCAGTGACTTAACACTTTGCCTTTTAAGATGCAATGTTGGTTTAAAGATGATGGTATCTGTTACCAAAGCGCTGGGTTGTTAGAGAGTTGATCTTTAGCTTGGTCTCAATTCCTCAATTCTCAGAGGATTTGTTAGCTGAGCAACAAAGGGCTTGACATAGATACTAAATAAGCAACCATAAGTAATAATAATTCATGAGTTTAAAGCTAAAAGGTTTTACTATGGATATCATCAAATATTTGGTCCCTTACCAGAACATATAATCATACAGAGTTAACATCTAGATTTTAAAATCTTAATTTAAATAACTGTGTCACTTTTCTAGAAGCCATCACTCCTATAATATTAATTATCTAAAACATCATTAATAAGTTGAAAGTATATGAAATAGGAAGGCCTTTCAGTGATTAAAACATGTCATAAAATGTATTTACTAAAGCTGATGTACTTTACTTAAACGTTTCTCAAAGCCTCACTCAGAGACTATTTACTTCTGTTTTAAGAATGATTACAATCAACTTAGCTAAATCACTCTTCAGCTAATGGAAAACAAACAGCAAAGTGTAAAGAGGTGTGTATTAGTCTATTATCTTACTGCTATGAAGAACTACTGGAGACTGGGTAATTTATGAAGAAAAGAGATTTAATTGACTCACAGTTACACAGGCTGTACAGGAAGCATGGTTGGGGAGACCTCAGGAAACTTACAATAGTGGCAGAAGGGCGAAGGGGAAGCAAGCACCTTCTTCACATGGCAGAGCAGCAGAAAGGGAATAAAGGGCAAAGTGCTACACACTTTGAAACAAACAGATCTCGTGAGAACTCACTATCATGAGAACAGCAAGGGGGAAGTCTGCCCCCATGATTCAATCACATCTGACAAGGCCCCTCCCCTAACACGTGGGGATTACAATTTGAGATAAGATTTGGGTGAGGACACAGAGCCAAATCATATCACCAAATGTTCATTGACAGAAGAATGGGTAAACAAAATGTGGTATATTCATATAATACTATATTATTCAGTCTTAAAAAATAAGAAAATTCTGATACATGATACAGTATAAATGAAAGCTCCAGACCCATGCAAAGTGAAATAAGCCAGTCACAAAAAACAAATATTACATGATTCAATTTATATGAGGTGCCTAGAGTAATCAAATTTATAGAGCCAGAAAGTAGAGTGATGGTTGCCAGGGTCTAGGAGAGGGAAGAATGAGGAGGAGTTAGTGTTTGATTGGTATAGAGTTTTAGTTGAGGAAGATGAAAAAATTCTTGAGATAGAGAGTGGTGATGTTTGCATAATAATGTGAATGTACTTAATGCCACAGAATTGTATGCCTAAAATCGTTTAAAATGGTAAATTTTATGTTGTGTATATTTTACCTTGATAAAAAAAACTGTAACACTCAAACACAAAAGCTTAAAAACATAGATGTATAGTTTAGTGAGTATAGTCATAAACAGCTGTGCACATACCAAAAGCGTCTTCAAAATATCTCTTTGTGATATACAGTTCAATATGCTAATAATAATTTTGCATTATAAAATTGATTAAATTGTATTGGTCCTTAGTACTCTGCTGAGAGGGAGAGAGAGAGAGAGAAAGAGAGAGAGAGAGAGAGAGTAGGCATAGACTTTAAAAACATTTATTTGAAATCATTGAAATTAATCACGGTATTACCTCAAAGAGGCAAATTCTATATTTTAGAAAAGAACCCTATAGGTTCATTACATATAAGTATTTGCCAATACTTGTCAAAACAACTAATACATCACCTAGAATATAGAAACTAATTATTAAATGTTGGTTACATTTGTTACATTTTTAATGGAGAAAAGAATCTAGTAGAATTTATTTCTTTCATTTAATTTTCTATTAAAGCATTGTCTCAAAGTTTGGGAAAATGCATTTGTTATGATTATCAGTTGATATTATAATGAAACCAAACTGTTTTAGAGGGATACGAGCTGAAGCTTTTCTGTTCTGAATTTTGGTGAAAACCTTCCTTTCAATAGGAATAAAAATGATTTTTGCCCAAATATTAGCCAAGAAAAATGCCCTGAAAGCAATATACTGAGAAAGGTTCTAAACTCTTGATAAAAAAGCAATCAAAATCAAAATGCCATCTCCTAGGGTCAAGGACCAATGAGTCACCCATTGAGAGGCTCTCTGAGCTCCAGGACACAGCAATGTCCTTTTGAGTATAACATCAGGATTTAAAGCTCCACTTGGGTACTTGTGCAGCTCTTGTAGCTGTAACAAAGTTGTTTTTTTTTTTTTTTTCATTTATAACATTTGCTTTTTTTCTCTTCTAATAAAAATTGGTATGATGACATTTTGCAGCCAGGGGTTGGGTACAGAGAAAAAACACAATTCAGGGTTTAAGGCATTAAGAAAACTTTTTTTTTTTAATCTCACTCTTGTGGAAATTCAGTACTGTTTAGTTTGCTCCTTTACTTGTTTAAGGATTTAAGACAATGTCTAGGTCCATTGTTAAAAGTATAGCATAGTGGGCCAGGAGCAGTGGCTCACTCCTGTAATCCTAGCACTTTGGGAGGCCAAGGCAGGTGGATCACCTGAGGTCAGGATTTCAAGACCAGCCTGGCCAACACGGTGAAACCCCGTCTCTACTAAAAATACAAAAATTAGCCAGGTGTGGTGGCGGGCACCTGTAGTCCCAGCTACTCAGGAGGCTGAGGCTTGAACCCGGGAGGTGGAGGTTGAAGTGAGCTGAGATCACACCACTGCACTCCAGCCTGCATGACAGAGCAAGACTCCATCTCAAAATAAATAAATAAACAAACAAACAAAGTTATAGCATAGTGGAAATATCAGTTGAAGCATTAAAGTATACTAACACTGTTTCTGAAAGGGGTCAAATTAGTATGCACTTAATGAGTTAGTCAGAAAAATACCTACCAAATTTATAATTGTCAATGGAGAGAGTCCTGAAGAAATAATGAAGACCTAATTTGTAAAAAAAAAAAAAAAAAAAAAAAAAGAAAGGAAGGGAAAAAAAGCTTGGACATGGAAATCCAACAGCTCTCTCTCTGTCTGCCTCACCTAATACTTCCTGAATATTTAGTCTCTCCATTTGTATATCTGTAAAATGGGAATGATATTGACTATACAGAGTTGTTATAAGTATTAGAGTTAATACATGTAAGTGACTTTCAGACAGCAGCCTTTAACAAATGGTCACAATTACTGTGATCTCTTCCTATGAACATAATGCTATAATACATAAGCTAGATCTCCCAGAACTGGACTTCTGCCTGCATAAGAGCTACCCAGCATACTTGAGATGAGTCAGATAACACTTTTGGAATCACACATATGGAGCAAAACCAACAATTATCTTTTCATCACCTCTGAAACAACTTCCTTTAGGATCCTAAGGTGCAGGGGGACCCTAAAACTCAGCAAGTACTCTCCAACAGCTTCTGAAAAAAGCCAGTCAAAAGCAGAGATGCTGTCTTCTGAAATTATCCCAGTCAGGGTCTGAAATGGAAGGTGCAAGTAAATAACAAGTATGATATGATTCAAGTAACTGCCACCACACCTGAAAGAAAACTGTGAAAGGAACTGAGCTGTGTCTGGAGCAAGGTCAAAAGAAGGGAGAGAAGCTTCTGGGGCACTGCTTTGCCCTCTGGGATGAGCCCCTTAGCCACAGCCTCCTTCCCTTCTCCCACCTCCTGGCATGGACAGCAGGGCTTAGGCCCTGTGAAACGTGAATTAGGTCAGGCCTTCATCTGAGTATTTGCCCCTACCAAAATCAAAGACTGAATTTTTCACTCTTTAATTAGATATTCAGAGCCCAAGCCACAAGAATAAGGACCTAAGTAACAGCATTTACAGTGTAAGGACGTATGATGGGCTATCAGTTATTATGCCCATTTTCTAAATTTTGATGTGAAAATGAAAAGTGAAGTTCTTCAAGATAACTTTTTTTTTTAACCTAGAACTCAGATATGTCAGTAAAAAAAGATATGCTTCTTTTGGCTTAGGTGAATTCTTTCAATGGGTCTTTTTCTCTGCAGTTGTTTACAGTCTCCTTCCTAACATTAGAATGGAAATGCCTAATCTAGCTTGTTTATCTCCATTTCCAGCTCCCAGCATAACCTGGAACACACTCACTGTTTAGTGTGTAATTTCTGGATGAATGAGTCCCAAATCCAAGTTGCATTATGGTGCTACCGACCCTATCCATGAAGAGAAATTGTCTTTGTAGGGCTTTGTAGTCACGTGTCTGGGCCACGTGACTCGTAACGTACTTACAAATCTAGGAAGAGAGTTTCAATATAAAGAATTTGAAAGCTTCCCATATATTATTCCATTAACCCTTATCAGCAGGATACTTAAGAGCACGAAGTATAATACATTAGTCTGATATCACACTAAAGAAGGAGAGACCTAAGAAAGTAATGTGATTTGGCCACCTTTAATCAGTGAAACCATGAATGAAATAACAAGAGGAGCAAACAAACTTATTGGCCATGTAGCTGGAAGCAAAGTTAAAGAGGATGCCCTTTCTTGCTGTTAGAGCCTCAGAAAATTAGGAACACTGCAGAAAACTACAGGGCAAAAGGTGTTTATGTCAAAAAACATTTTTAAAAATCTGACTAGGCTATTTCTTTTCTTGTTTTCTTTAATTTAGGTTTAAAAAATACCTCACATTTACCATCTTAACAATTTTTAAGTGTACCATTCAGTAGTGTTAATAATATCACATTGTGTATGAGCAATCACCAGAACTTTTTCATCTTGTAAAACTGAAACTCTACAAATTAAACAACTCCCATTTCCCCTCCACCCTAGCACTGGCAACGGCCATTCTAGTTTCTATTTCTTCAAATGTAACTATTTGAGATATCTTATATAAGTGGAATCATACAGTATTTGTTTTTTGTGACTGGTTTATTTCACTTAGCGTAATATTCTCAAGGTTCATTCATTGGACAAGTTCATTTTAAGATCAGTTTCTACCTACATCACTTAAAGCTTTAAGGATGTCAATTAAAGTGAACCTGACATGATCTTAATCTCATCAGAACAAAATACAAATCCCAAATACTTAGGATTAAAGGAGAACTTGCAAAGGAAGCACAAAGTTTACAGTAGATTAACAAAATTTAAAAAAATCCCAGTTACTTGAGAGATCAGGTGAAACAGAGAATGAGTGAGTTTTGCATTACCTATGAGATTAAGCAGGAAAGAATATTGGACCGGATGCGAAATGACCTAAGTTCAAGTTCTGGTTCTCCAATTAACCAGAAGGGTGAGATTTAGCAAGTTATTGAATGTTTCTGAGCCTTGAGACCCCATCTTAAAAGGTTGTCGCTGTAAAAATAAGATAAAATATATGCTATATCTTCGTAATACATAAAGTGCTTTATAAGTGAAATAAAAATTATTTTTAAAGTAATTTTTAAATATTATTGCTTAAGCTTAATGAGTACAGAATTTCAGTTTTGCAAGATGAAAAATGTTCTGTGGATGAATGACAGTGATGGCTGTACAACAATGTGAATGTACATAATGCCACTGACCTGCACACTTAAAAATGATTAAAATGGTAAATTTTACATTATGTATATTTACAACTATTAAAAAACAAATGTTTAAAAAATATGACAATATTTCAGTCTTAAAAGGAATTGCTGAATCAGATGAAATATTTTAGAAGTAGCAATTCACATTCTTTTTCTATTTAGATTTTGAATTGCCATTTTTGGCCCTCCCCTATCCAAAATACTGTCAACACCACTAACACACACAAAATTAAATGGCCTAATTTTACTGATCTTGGTATTCTCATACATATTTTTAAAGGCTCCAAATGCATTAATGTAGAATTCCTCTCATTTTGAGGAGGCAATTATTGATCTCACCTTCTAATATGTAAGAAAATGGAAGCAAAAAGGCATTAAGTGACTTGCTCCACTTTAGGAATCAAGACTGCCAGTTATGACCCCAAAAATCTAATACCCATTTTAATATAAACATTAGGGGTATAGGGGGCCGCAGCTATATGTATGATTTTCAAAACTTAAGCAGATTGACTTGGTTAAGTAAATTCTTGTACTCATAAAGTCTGTGACTTAAGATCCTGGAACATGCACACACACACACACACACACACACACTAACTGTATTCTAAAATATTTTTGCACATATTCATTGAACAATTTGGACCAAAATAGGTAAGCCATGTTTAAGTTACTGTATGCATTAGTCACACACCTTTAGTTTTGAGCAACTTTTTGCAAAGTGTTTATCCTTGCATTTCTAGGCTTTGAAGTCCAGCAGCTTTTTCTTTTTCCAAATCGTTTATTTGATCAACATTTAGTAAGCAAATACTGTTGCCAAATATTACTGTATGCCCTATTACATTGCTTAAATGGCCCTTAGATGAATTGTTCATTAATATAAAATATCTAAATGGTAAGATTGCTTTTGGGAGAAACATATTGCTCATAAAATTTTAAGAACTCTGTCCTGAGGGTCATTTTAGCATCTTGACTTCAGAAACTGCCCAGGTAATCCCAACCTGTGTATAGGTAACGGAATGATCATAGCCTGCAGTCTGCACATCTTCTATTGCAGAAGTCTCTATAATTACATTGACATATGAGAAAAATAAATTCCATCTACTGTCATGTTAAAATATTGTTCTTAATCCAATAGCCTTGGAAATAACATTCAGGTGCTAAATTGAGATTTGTTCCTGCTGTATTCAATTTTCAGTTTCATGTCCCACCTGCTAAGAAACTGCTAAATCCTTGTAGGCAATTAAATAATAAATAAATAAAACTTTATAAGAAATGAAAGTGAAGACCAGAACCATGTTATTGACAGAGGATAGTAAGGTATAAACAGGGATAGGTGAGATTTTATTTATTCAGTTGGTCAAGAATTTGCTAGATTAACTCATAACTCATTCATTGAGAACTTAGTAGGTGTTAAGCATTGTCCTAAATGTTTCACACCAATTATTTCATTTCATTCACACATAATCTTATGAAGACGGACACTATTCTACTTCCATTTTTAGGTAATAAAAAAGACATTCAAAGAGGCCAAGTAACACACCCAAAATCACACAGTATCTTAGAGTGAAAAAATGTCTTAATGGTCATTGGGCTCAAATCCTGTGTCAATGCAGATGTTTGGAAGATAGCCATAAGCCTCTCTTTATACACTTCTACCAAAGAGGATGAGTTTACTACTTAAAAAATCACACTGATGAAAGTTTCTTTCCTTACTTTCAGTTTGCCAAAACCTTCAACCTTCTAAATTGTATTCTTTGGTTGCTTTAATTTAGAACTCCAGAGACCCCCTCCTTCATGTATTTGAAGAAAGAAGGCTATATTCCATTTGCGGTGGCTTCCAGAACCTTCAGAGTTATGACCTGGTAGTGTCCTCCTGCACAATCCCAATCCTTCAGTCCCAGCCCCCTCTCTAAAACACACTGAAGCTTTCCTGAGTTTTTGTGGAAATTTGAACGCCAGAACAAAGCACCATGCTGCAGATAGGCTCTTCCTGGAATAGAATCAGCAGGACTATCACACTGCTTACTCTACAAACTATATCTGGTTATGCAGCCCGGTATGCATTACACATTTTCGCTGCCATGTCACACTACTGACTTACAGTCAGTTATCACCAGTTGGTTACTTGCCCTAGGTCTTTTTCTCACAAACCATAGTTAAGTCAGGTTTCTACTGACCTGCTCTTACATAGTTCATTTTTTGATGTTCCAAATTTTTTTTAGTATGAGTCTTGTTGAAGCTCATCAGAATAGGTCCAATTAATCTTCAAGTTACAATCAAGTTACAAGAGGTTACAATCAGCCTTGTAACAACGGGAAGTTTTCTCCACAGTGAGAGATAGCTCAGTTAGTATGAGGCATCAGGAGCCTGGGCAGGAAGAATTCCATGGAACCCTTCTCATTCTAGGATATGAGTACAATCCAGGGCTGAAGAACTTAAGCCTAGAGAGAAAAGTCTGGTGATACAAGCTTGTCCAAAGCTTAGACTTGGGTGAGTAGATATCATACAATGAAGTCCAATCTGGGTGAATCTTCCCTGTGTTTCTGGGAAATCTGCTTTTGGATTTCCTATTATCTCTGTCAATATATATTAGACTCTGTTTCCTCTGCTGGGGAAAAACTCTTGGTGGTCATCGTCCCCCCTGGATAAGGATATTCTCCCAATCACGTGTCACTATGTCTGTCTGGCTAACATCTCCACCAATGGGAAGATTCTATCACTCTCTCTGGGTACCTCATGTCTGCCCCTCCCACAACAGTCCATTTTTCTATGTCCAGCTGCATCAGAGAAGTTCAGTGCTAGACACAATAAGTTAACTTTTAAAATAGCTTTCTTTACTCTCCATCTTCACAGTCTATGGTTGGACTGCTTCTGGAGGCTAAGCAGAGCTGAGCCTCAAATGGAAAGACAGAAAATTTGAGAGTCTTCAACTGAGGTGAGACAAGAAACAAAGGAGCTTAGAGAGGCAGAGAAAAAGGCAGTCCCTACCAGAGACCCTGTTAGCAAAGTAAATGAGGTTAGTTAGATATGATGTAATGGTCGAAAGAGCTACGTTTATTGACTACTAACTCTGTGATACACATACTATGTATATTATCCTCTTGAATTCTGACAACAAAGAATATGAGGTTAATACTGTACTCATCTCAATTTTAGAGCTGAGAAAATAGCACCTCAGAGGGTATTTAGTGATTCCCCTGGAGCTATTGTAAGTAGCAGAGCCACAGTTTAAACCAAGACTGACCATGGCATGAATCCCCCAACCGTTTTACAGATGTAACACCTGATCCTACTTGAATTACCAACTTACAGATAATTAGAATGCGAATTTAAAAACCAAAGCAGTGTTAAAAATAACATACTTTTTTTTCTGAAGGCACGGTCCAATCTAAAATTTCTTCAAAGCCTTTATTATGATTAGTAATCATTAAGTATATAAATATAGAAATAAGAAATGTGATTGCACTTGTAGTGCCATAATGGCTAAAAATTGTTCCTTGAAACAAAATCTTATTTTATTTTATTCAATTATCATGTGCCTCATTCAAAAAATATTGAAGGCCAGGATAGTCTTTATTGAAATGTAACAAGATCATTCCTTGGCTTGAATTAACTTGTTTCAGTGTGGGCTTCTTGAAAGATTTTGAAAAAAAGGAGCTCACTTGACTACTCTTTTTGGGTTCTCTTTCTCTTAGATCAACAGAGCAGAAGCCTTTGTGCAAGGGCAGAGTCTTTCTATGCTTATTTTGTCATTTGATAGGCAACAAATATTAATTGGACATTGACTATAGGCCAGGGAACCAGAAAAGATCCAGACAAGGTCCTGAATTTGAAGAGCTTATATTCTACTCATTTGAGAAATAAAAACATATAAACAAATAAAGTAGTTATTCATAAGCACTAGATAATGTATAAGCACTATGAATAAGACAAAGTAATTGTTAGAAAAATGATAAAAATGGAGTAGACTAAATTAGCTAGCATGGTCAGGGAATGTCTCCTCAGGAGGTGTCACACCGGAGACTAGAGGAGGAAAAGAAGGAAGCCTAGTGATGATCTGGAGGAAGATGCCAACGAAATTTTTAAGACAAGAAGCCTGGAGGGTATGAGGGCAAGAAAGAATGGATTGGATTAGTGAGAAAGGAAAAGGTGAAAGGAGTTGAGGTCAGAAAAATAGACAAGAACCAATAAGTTTAGTAAGTTACAATGGAGGGTTTTATTTATTTTATTTTATTTTTTAATTTTATTATTATTATACTTCAAGTTTTAGGGTACATGTGCACAATGTGCAGGTTAGTTACATATGTATACATGTGGCATGCTGGTGTACTGCACCCATTAACTCGTCATTTAGCATTAGGTATATCTCCTAAAGCTATCCCTCCCCCCTCCCCCCTCCCCCCACGCCACAACAGTCCCCAGAGTGTGATGTTCCCCTTCCTGTGTCCATGTGTTCTCATTGTTCAATTCCCACCTATGAGTGAGAATATGCGGTGTTTGTTTGGTTTTTTGTTCTTGCGATAGTTTACTGAGAATGATGATTTCCAATTTCATCCATGTCCCTACAAAGGACATGAACTCATCATTTTTTATGGCTGCATAGTATTCCATGGTGTATATGTGCCACATTTTCTTAATCCAGTCTATCATTGTTGGACATTTGGGTTGGTTCCAAGTCTTTGCTATTGTGAATAGTGCTGCAATAAACATACGTGTGCATGTGTCTTTATAGCAGCATGATTTATAGTCCTTTGGGTATATACCCAGTAATGGGATGGCTGGGTCAAATGGTATTTCTAGCTCTAGATCCCTGAGGAATCGCCACACTGACTTCCACAAGGGTTGAACTAGTTTACAGTCCCACCAACAGTGTAAAAGTATTCCTATTTCTCCACATCCTCTCCAGCACCTGTTGTTTCCTGACTTTTTAATGATTGCCATTCTAACTGGTGTGAGCTGGTATCTCATTGTGGTTTTGATTTGCATTTCTCTGATGGCCAGTGATGGTGAGCATTTTTTCATGTGGTTTTTGGCTGCATAAATGTCTTCTTTTGAGAAGTGTCTGTTCATGTCCTTTGCCCACTTTTTGATGGGGTTGTTTGTTTTTTTCTTGTAAATTTGTTTGAGTTCATTGTAGATTCTGGATATTAGCCCTTTGTCAGATGAGTAGGTTGTGAAAATTTTCTCCCATTTTGTAGGTTGCCTGTTCACTCTGATGGTAGTTTCTTTTGCTGTGCAGAAGCTCTTTAGTTGAATTAGATCCCATTTGTCAATTTTGTCTTTTGTTGCCATTGCTTTTGGTGTTTTAGACATGAAGTCCTTGCCCATGCCTATGTCCTGAATGGTAATGTCTAGGTTTTCTTCTAGGGTTTTTATGGTTTTAGGTCTAACGTTTAAGTCTTTAACCCACCTTGAATTGATTTTTGTATAAGGTGTAAGGAAGGGATCCAGTTTCAGCTTTCTACATATGGCTAGCCAGTTTTCCCAGCACCATTTATTAAATAGGGAATCCTTTCCCCATTGCTTGTTTTTCTCAGGTTTGTCAAAGATCAGATAGCTGTAGATAAGCGGCATTATTTCTGAGGGCTCTGTTCTGTTCCATTGATCTATATCTCTGTTTTGGTACCAGTACCATGCTGTTTTGGTTACTGTAGCCTTGTAGTATAGCTTGAAGTCAGGTAGTGTGATGCCTCCAGCTTTGTTCTTTTGGCTTAGGATTGACTTGGCGATGCGGGCTCTTTTTTGGTTCCATATGAACTTTAAAGTAGTTTTTTCCAATTCTGTGATGAAAGGCATTGGTAGCTTGATGGGGATGGCCTTGAATCTGTAAATTACCTTGGGCAGTATGGCAATTTTCACAATATTGATTCTTCCTACCCATGAGCATGGAATGTTCTTCCATTTGTTTGTATCCTCTTTTATTTCCTTGAGCAGTGGTTTGTAGTTCTCCTTGAAGAGGTCCTTCACATCCCTTGTAAGTTGGATTCCTAGGTATTTTATTCTCTTTGAAGCAATTGTGTGTGAATGGGAGTTCACTCATGATTTGGCTCTCTGTTTGTCTGTTATTGGTGTATAAGAATGCTTGTGATTTTTGTACATTGATTTTGTATCCTGAGACTTTGCTGAAGTTGCTTATCAGCTTAAGGAGATTTTGGGCTGAGACAGTGGGGTTTTCTAGATATACAATCATGTCGTCTGCAAACAGGGACAATTTGACTTCCTCTTTTCCTAATTGAATACCCTTGATTTCCTTCTCCTGCCTAATTGCCCTGGCCAGAACTTCCAACACTATGTTGAATAGGAGCGGTGAGAGAGGGCATCCCTGTCTTGTGCCAGTTTTCAAAGGGAATGCTTCCAGTTTTTGCCCATTCAGTATGATATTGGCTGTGGGTTTGTCATAGATAGCTCTTATTATCTTGAGATATGTCCCATCAATACCTAATTTATTGAGAGTTTTTAGCATGAAGTGTTGTTGAATTTTGTCAAAGGCCTTTTCTGCATCTATTGAGATAATCACGTGGTTTTTGTCTTTGGTTCTGTTTATATGCTGGATTACATTTATTGATTTGTGTATATTGAACCAGCCTTGCATCCCAGGGATGAAGCCCACTTGATCATGGTGGATAAGCTTTTTGACATGCTGCTGGATTCAGTTTGCCAGTATTTTATTGAGGATTTTTGCTTCAATGTTCATCAAGGATATTGGTCTAAAATTCTCTTTTTTGGTTGTGTCTCTGCCAGGCTTTGGTATCAGGATGATGCTGGCCTCATAAAATGAGTTAGGGAGGATTCCCTCTTTTTCTATTGTTTGGAATAGTTTCAGAAGGAATGGTACCAGTTCCTCCTTGTACCTCTGGTAGAATTTGGCTGTGAATCCATCTGGTCCTGGACTATTTTTGTTGGTAAGCTATTGATTATTGCCACAATTTCAGATCCTGTTATTGGTCTATTCAGAGATTCAACTTCTTCCTTGTTTAGTCTTGGGAGGGTGTATGTGTCGAGGAATTTATCCATTTCTTCTAGATTTTCTAGTTTATTTGCATAGAGGTGATTGTAGTATTCTCTGATGGTAGTTTGTATTTCTGTGGGATCGGTGGTGATATCCCCTTTGTCATTTTTTACTGCATCTATTTGATTCTTCTCTCTTTTCTTCTTTATTAGTCTTGCTAGAAGTCTATCAATTTTGTTGATCCTTTCAAGAAACCAGCTCCTGGATTCATTAATTTTTTGAAGGGTTTTTTGTGTCTCTATTTCCTTCAGTTCTGCTCTGATTTTAGTTATTTCTTGCCTTCTGCTAGCTTTTGAATGTGTTTGCTCTTGCTTTTCTAGTTCTTTTAATTGTGATGTTAGGTTGTCAATTTTGGATCTTTCCTGCTTTCTCTTGTGGGCATTTAGTGCTATAAATTTCCCTCTACACACTGCTTTGAATGTGTCCCAGAGATTGTGGCATGTTGTGTCTTTGTTCTCATTGGTTTCAAAGAATATCTTTCTTTCTGCCTTCATTTCCTTATGTACCCAGTAGTCATTCAGGAGCAGGTTGTTCAGTTTCCATGTAGTTGAGTGGTTTGAGTGAGTTTCTTAATCCTGAGTTATAGTTTGATTGCACTGTGGTCTGAGAGATAGTTTGTTATAATTTCTGATCTTTTACATTTGCTGAGGAGAGCTTTACTTCCAACTATATGGTCAATTTTGGAATAGGTGTGGTGTGGTGCTGAAAAGAATGTATATTCTGTTGATTTGAGGTGGAGAGTTCTGTAGATGTCTATTAGGTCCACTTGGTGCAGAGCTGAGTTCAATTCCTGGGTATCCTTGTTAACTTTCTGTCTGGTTGATCTGTCTAACGTCGACAGTGGGGTGTTAAAGTCTCCCATTATTATTGTGTGGGAGTCTAAGTCTCTTTGTAGGTCTGTAAGGACTTACTTTATGAATCTGGGTGCTCCTGTGTTGGGTGCATATATATTTAGGATAGTTAGCTCTTCTTGTTGAATTCATCCCTTTAGCATTATGTAATGTCCTTCTTTGTCTCTTTTGATCTTTGTTGGTTTAAAGTCTGTTTTATCAGAGACTAGGATTGCAACCCCTGCCTTTTTTTGTTTTCCATTTGCTTGGTAGATCTTCCTTCATCCTTTTATTTTGAGCCTATGTGTGTCTCTGCACATGAGATGGGTTTCCTGAATACAGCACACTGATGGGTCTTGACTCTTTATCGCATTTGCCAGTCTGTGTCTTTTAATTGGAGTATTTAGTCCATTTACATTTAAAGTTAATATTGTTATGTATGAATTTGATCCTGTCATTATGATGTTAGCTGGTTATTTTGCTCATTAGTTGATGCACTTTCTTCCTAGCCTCGATGGTCTTTACAATTTGGCATGATTTTGCAGTGGCTGGTACTGGTTGTTCCTTTCCATGTTTAGTGCTTCCTTCAGGAGCTCTTTTAGGGCAGTCCTGGTGGTGACAAAATCTCTCAGCATTTGCTTGTCTGTAAAGTATTTTATTTCTCCTTCACTTATGAAGCTTAGTTTGGCTGGATATGAAATTCTGGGTTGAAAATTATTTTCTTTAAGAATGTTGAATATTGGCCCCCACTCTCTTCTGGCTTGTAGAGTTTCTGCCGAGAGATCCGCTGTTAGTCTGATGGGCTTCCCTTTGTGGGTAACCCGACCTTTCTCTCTGGCTGCCCTTAACATTTTTTCCTTCATTTCAACTTTGGTGAATCTGACAATTATGTGTCTTGGAGTTGCTCTTCTTGAGGAGTATCTTTGTGGCGTTCTCTGTATTTCCTGAATCTGAATGTTGGCCTGCCTTGCTAGATTGGGGAAGTTCTCCTGGATAATATCCTGCAGAGTGTTTTCCAATTTGTTTCCATTCTCCCCGTCACTTTCAGGTACACCAATCAGACGTAGATTTGATCTTTTCACATAGTCCCATATTTCTTGGAGGCTTTGTTCGTTTCTTTTTATTCTTTTTTTCTCTAAACTTCCCTTCTCGCTTCATTTCATTCATCTTCCGTCACTGATACCCTTTCTTCCAGTTGACCGCATCAGCTCCTGAGCCTTCTGCATTCTTCACGTAGTTCTCGAGCCTTGGCTTTCAGCCCCATCAGCTCCTTTAAGCACTTCTCTGTATTGGTTATTCTAGTTTACATTCTTCTAAACTTTTTCCAAAGTTTTCAACTTCTTTGCCTTTGGTTTGAATTTCCTCCTGTAGCTCAGAGTAGTTTGATCATCTGAAGCCTTCTTCTCTCAACTCGTCAAAGTCATTCTCCCTCCAGCTTTGTTCCATTGCTGGTGAGGAACTGCGTTCCTTTGGAGGAGGAGAGGCGCTCTGCTTTTTAGAGTTTCCAGTTTTTCTACTCTGTTTTTTTCCCCATCTTTGTGGTTTTATCTACTTTTGGTCTTTGATGATGGTGATGTACAGATGGGTTTTTGGTGTGGATGTCCTTTCTGTTTGTTAGTTTTCCTTCTAACAGACAGAACCCTCAGCTGCAGGTCTGTTGGAGTTTGCTGGAGGTCCACTCCAGACCCTGTTTGCCTGGGTACCAGCAGGGGTGGCTGCAGAACAGCAGATTTTCATGAACCGCGAATGCTGCTGTCTGATCGTTCCTCTGGGAGTTTTGTCTCAGAGGAGTACCTGGCCGTGTGAGGTGTCAGTCTGCCCCTACTGGGGGGTGCCTCCCAGTTAGGCTGCTCAGGGGTCAGGGGTCAGGGACCCACTTGAGGAGGCAGTCTGCCCGTTCTCAGATCTCCAGCTGCATACTGGGAGAACCACTGCTCTCTTCAAAGCTGTCAGACAGGGACATTTAAGTCTGCAGAGGTTACTGCTGTCTTTTTGTTTGTCTGTGCCTTGCCCCCAGAGGTGGAGCCTGCAGAGGCAGGCAGGCCTCCTTGAGCTGTGGTGGGCTCCACCCAGTTCGAGCTTTCTGGCTGCTTTGTTTATCTAAGCAAGCCTGGGCAATGGTGGGCACCCCTCCCCCAGCCTAGCTGCCGCCTTGCAGTTTGATCTCAGACTGCTGTGCTAGCAATCAGCGAGACTCCGTGGGCATTTAGGACCCTCCGAGCCAGGTGCCGGGTATAATCTCCTGGTGCGCCGTTTTTTAAGCCCGTCGGAAAAGCGCAGTATTGGGGTGGGAGTGACCCGATTTTCCAGGTGCCGTCTGTCACCCCTTTCTTTGACTAGGAAAGGGAACTC
Source organism: Homo sapiens (assembly GCF_000001405.40). Taxonomy (NCBI): domain Eukaryota; kingdom Metazoa; phylum Chordata; class Mammalia; order Primates; family Hominidae; genus Homo; species Homo sapiens. The sequence continues at coordinate 41,493,870 of NC_000005.10, forward strand.
CCTGACCCCTTGCACTTCCTGAGTCAGACAATGCCTCGCCCTGCTTCGGCTCGCGCACAGTGCGCTGCACCCACTGTCCTGCGCCCACTGTCTGGCACTCCCTAGTGAGATGAACCTCGTACCTCAGATGGAAATGCAGAAATCACCCGTGTTCTGCGTTGCTCACGCTGGGAGCTGTAGACCAGAGCTGTTCCTATTCAGCCATCTTGGCTCCCTCCCGGGTTTTATTTTTTACTTATTTATTGTTAAGACAGGGTCTTGCTCTAATGCCCAGGCTGAAGTGCAGTGGTGTGATCAGAGCTCACTGGAGCCTTGAACTGGGCTCAAGCAATCATTCTGCCTCAGCCTCCTAAGTAGCTGGGACTGCAGGTGTGGAGGGTTTTATATAAGCAAATTATGTACCTAACTTACACTTCTGAAAGATACTCTGTATTGAGGGTCAAAAATGAGGGCAGGAAAACTGGTTTGAAGAACAGTAGAAATATTCATATGGGAGATGGCAGTGGCCACATTAGGACTGTAATAGTGGCAGCAGAGAAAAGTGGAAGGATTGTAGATACATTTTAGAGAAATATTCCACAGAATTTATTCCTTGAGTGGTTTTAGGATTTAAGTAAAAAATAAAAATGAAGAATCACTCCTAGATTTTGGGCTTGGGAAACTAATAGGTAATGATCCAAAATACTTAGATGGGGAAAGCTTGAGGAGGAGCACATTTGGCAATGGATGATGATATTAATAGCACTATTTGGGTCATGTTAAGTTTAAGATTTCTATAGGAAATTCAAATGCATATGATGGGAAGGTAGTGGGATATATGAGGATAGAGTCCAGCAAAGAGGTCTGGGCTAATGATTTAAACTTGGCAGTCATTAGCATACTGATGTTATTTCAAGTGATTGGATTACATATTTTCACCTAAGGTAAAAATGTAACAATAGAAAAAAGGAGTCAAGGTCTGAGCCCAAGGTAATCTAAGATTTCCTTAGATGGCAATAAAAGAGGCTACAGCTCACAAAGATAACCTTACGGAAGCATGTAGTGAAGGAAGTGAAGGAAGAAAAACAAGGTAAGTGTGGTTAGGAGTAATGTCAGCAAGATGGCAGAATAGGATGCTCCAGACTCTCCTTTCTGTCATGGAGACACTGATTCAACAATACATGGATTAATTTCCTCTATGATAAATCCTGCACTCCAGATGAGCAAGAAATGTGCCACATCAAAGCCAGAAGGCAGATTTTTGGCATCCTCTCACCAGAGTCCCTCCTTCCAGCAGAGTCATGCAATTGGGAAGAAACTTTGAGCTCCCAGATTCTCCGTAGGGAGAGAAAGAGGAGACTAGACTGCACGTCCAACATTCTGACTTTTGGAGAAGCCTGCCTAAGGGACTGGCTTTTGTCTCACCTGTAGAAGAGAGCTAATGAGACCCAGAGTATTCTAAATGTCTGGTGGTCACTGAAAACAAAATTTTTGGGCAACTTGCTGCCCCTCCAGAGGGCCTGAGGTAAGCTGACAGAAGCCGACACAGTTCAGCAGCCTCTCCCTCAGGAAGGAAAGGGAAAAGTAAAGTATGCATCCAATTTCTTGCTTTTTGATGGGATACCCAAGGGGTTAGTTTCTGAATATCCTGGCTTTGGGGACTGATAGGACCTGGCATATTCTAGATGCCTGGGAAGCTCTGAGAATATAAAATAGCAGGTGGTGTGCTGCTTCTTCAGAGGACTCACAGTACAGCAGTCAGGCATCAGTCAGGCATCATTCATTAAAAGCTCCTGAAAAAATCTAATAAATCTTTCTAATTAGAAATCTATATGCACAGGCCTAGAGAAGACACATCACAGAGAAGGTTTGAGAGTCTTCCAGAATCCCTAGTTGGGCTGATTGATGAATGCCTTTCCCTTTACAAATCCAGTTTATAAAGATTATGAGAGGTGGATTTTTTTCAAGTGCATAAATACCAACACAAAGGTACAAGAAATATGAATAAATGAGAAAATAATCAAGTCAAAGGAATAAAATAAGTTTCTAGAAACCAACCTCAAAGAAACAGAGATATGTGAATTACCTGACAAATAATTAAAAATAACCATCATAAAGTTGTCATTAGTTCAGGACAACAATATATACAAAAAATAAAAACTTCATCAAACAGAAAATATTTTAAAATAACAGAAATTTTGGAGCTGAAGAATGCAATAACTGAACTGAAAAAATCCACTGGAGATATTCAAGAGCAGACTTGATCAAGCAGAAAAATATTGCTAACTTGAGGATAGATCATTCGAAATTATCCAGTCAGAGGAACAAAAAGAAAAAAGAATAAAACAGAAGAAATCCTTAAGGATTTATGGAAAATAATTAAGCAGACCAATATACACATTATGAAATTTTAAAGAGGAGAAATGAGAAACAAAGGGGAAAGAAAGCTTATTTAAAGGAATAATGGCCAAAACTTCCCAAATATGAGGAAAGAAATAGGCTTTCAGATTCAAGAAGCCCAAATCTGAGGAACTCAAATAAGTCAATACCAAGACAAATTATAATAAAATTGCCAAAATCAAAGACAAAGAAGGAATTTTTAAAATAACAGGAGAAAAGTGACTAGTCACATACAAGGAAAATTCCAGACTATAAGTAGATTTCTCAGCAGAAAAATTGTGAGACAGAAGGAAGTAGAATAATAACAACCAACCGAGAGCACAATATCTGACAAAACTGTCTTTTAAACATAAAGGAAAGGTAAAGCTTTTCCCAGACCAAAAAAAAAAAAAAAAGCCTAGAAAGTTTATCACCATTAGACCTACCTTACAAGAAATGCTAAAGGGATTCCATTAAGTTGAAATGAAAATATGTTAAATAATAATGTAAAAGCGTAGGTAACTATGTAACTTAATGGTAAAGATAAATATAGAGATAAATACAGAATACTATAATACTATAATGATATGTAAATCATTTTCAATTCAGGTATAAGAGTTAAAAGACAAGAATGTTAAAAATAACTTATAGCTAGAAAAATATATTAAAGGATAGAAAATATGAAAAATATAACTTATGACATTGGTAACATAAAGTATGTGGAGGGAGAAGTAGGGGTTTTTGTATGTGATTTAAGTTATTTTTTAATTTAAATAATGTGTTGTAAGATATTTCATGTAAAACTAATGGTAGCCACGAAGAAAAAATCTACAGAAGATACAAGAAAAGAAGAAAAAAAAATCAGAGTATTACTACAAAAATAAATCAATAAACCCAAATAAAGATAACAATGGTGAAAAAAAGGTATGAAAAAGTCAAAAGACAATAAGAAAAACATAACTAACAAGACAGCAATAGTAAGTCTTTTACTATACAATTTTTTAAAAATGTAATTAAATAGCAAGAATAACAATTCATAAGACATATGTGCTGTCTACAAGACTTGCTTTAGACTTGAGAACATACATAGGCTGAAAGTGAATAGAAAAATATATTCCAGGCAAATGGTAACCAAAAGAGAATGGAATGGCCATATTTATATCAGACAAAATAGATTTTAAGTCAAATATTGCTGCAAGAGACAAAGAAGGGCATTATATGATGATATAATTGGATGAGTCAAGTCAACCAGGAAGATAAAGCAATTATAAATATATGCACACCCAATATCAGAACACCCAAATATATAAAGCAGTGACAGAACTGAAGGAAGAGATAGGCAACATACAGTAATAGGAAAAAATTTAATATCCCACATTTAATACTGGATTAATCATCCAGACAGAAAATCATGAAGGAATTGGACTTCAACTACAGTTTAGACAAAATGAACCTAACAAACATATACAGAACATTTCATTTAACAACAGCAGAATACACATTCTTCTCAAGCACACATGGAATGTTCTCCAAGGTTGATCACACGATAGGCCCCAAAACAAATCTTAACAAATTTAAGAGTATTGAAATTATACCAAGTATCCTTCAAGTATCTTCTTCAAGTATCTTCTTCAACCACAACTAGAAATCAATATCAGAAGGAAAGCTGGAAAACTCACAAATGTGTGGAAATTAAACAATGCATCCTTTAACAACCAATTGGTCAAACAAGAAATCAAAAGGGAATTTTAAAAAATTATCTTGAGACAAAAAAGATGAGATGAAAACACAACATTCCAAAACGTATGAAATGCAGCAAAAGCAGTACCGAGAGATTTACAGTAATAAATGCCTATATTAAAAAAGATAAAAACCTTAACCTAATTCTATACCTCAAGGAATTAGAAAAAGAATGGCAATCTAAGACAAAATTTAGTAGAATTAAGGAAATCATAAAGATTAGAGCAGAAATAAATAAAATAGAGAATAGAAACAGCAATAGAAAAAATCAACAACCCTAGGAATTTTTTGAAAAGATAAACATAAGTGACATTTAGCTAAAGAAAGAAAGAGAGAACACTCAAATAAACAAAATCAAAATTGAAAGAGAAGACATTACAACTAATTCCACATAAAGGATTATAAGATGCTACTATAAACAATTATATACCAAAAAAATGGGATAAACCAGAGGAAATGAATAAATTCTTAGAAACATACAACCTGTTGAGACTGAATCATGAGGAAATAGAAAATGTGAACAACCCTATAATAGTAAGGAGATTGATTCAGTTGCTAAAATCTCTCAACAAAGAAAAGCCCAGAACCAGATGGTTTAAAGGTGAATTCTATTAGAATTAATGCCAATTCTTCTCACACTCTTCCAAAAAAACTGAAGAGAAGTGTACACTTCCAAATTCATTCTGTGAGATCAGCATTACACTGATACCAAAGGCAGACAAAGACACTACAAGGAGAGAACACTATAGACCAATATCCCTAATAAACATAAATGAATAAATCCTCAATAAAATACTAGCAAACCGAGTTCAACAGCACATTAGAAGAATCATACACCACGATTAAGTGGGATTTATCCATTGGAGGTAAAGATGATTCAACATATAAAAATCAATTAATGTGATATACCATGTAAACAGAATGAAGGATAAAAATAACATGATCATATCAATAGATGCAGGAGAAGCATTTGATAAAATTCAACATCTTTTCATGATAAAAAACGCTCAACAAATTAGATATAAGAGAAATATACCTTGACACAATAAAAGCCACATATGACAAGCCCATAGTCATACTCAATAGTGAAAGTTTAAGGCTTTCCCTCTAAGACCAGGAAGAAGGCAAGGATGGCCATTCTTACTGCTTGTATTTAACATAATACTATACACCCTAGTGAGAGCAGTTAGGTTAGAAAAAACAAAAAAGAAAGAAAATGTATCTAAATAGAAAAGGAAGTAGCAAAATTATCTCTGTAGATAACATTTTATATGTAAAAAACTAGATTCCAATAAATAAATAAATTTGTTAGAATTAAGCAAATCTAGTACATTGCAGAATACAAAATCAACATTAAAAATCAGTTGTGTTTTTATACACTAAAAATGAGCAGTCTGAAAAGAAAATTAAGAAAACAATCCCACTTACAATATTATCAAAAGGAACAAAATACTTTGGAATAAACTTAACAAAGGAGACAAAAGATTTCACTGAAAATTGCAAAACGTTGCAGAAAGAAATTAAAGAACACGCAAACAAATGAAAAGTCATCATACGTTCATGGACTGGAAGACTTAATATTGCTCAAATGTTACCACTCCCCAAAGGAATCTATAGATTCAATGCAATCTTTATCAAAACCTGCTGGCCTTTCACAGAAAGAGAAAAAATAATCCTAAATTTATACGGAACCACATAGGACTCCAAAAACCCTCATAATTTTGAGAAAGAAAAACAAAGCTGGAGGCCTCACACCTTCTGATATGAAAACATACTACAAAGCACAGTAATCAAAACAGTATAGTTCTGGCATAAAGACCAACATATAGACCAATAAAACAGAATAGAGACCAGAAATAAAACCTCACATATACCATTAACTTATCTTTGACAAAATACTAAGAATACACAATGGGGAAAGGATAGTCTCTTTGATAAAGATGTTGGGAAACTAGATATCCACATGAGAAATAATGATTTTGAGTCCTTATCTTATGACATATGTATGTAAATTAGTACAGCCTCTATGGGAAATAGTATGGCTATTTCTCAAAGAACTAAAAATAGAACTTCCATTTGATCCAGCAATCCCATACTGGTCATCTACCCAAATGAAAAGAATTCAATACATCAAAAAAACACCTGCACTCATATGTTTATCTCCGCACTATTCATAATAGCAAAGATATGGAATCAAACTTAGTGCCCAACAATAGATGATTGGATAAAGAAAATGTGGCATGTATACACAATAGAATACTATAATATTCAGCCACAAAAAATAATAAGGTCGCTTCTTTTGCAGCAACATGAATGGAAGTAGAGGTCACATTATCGTAAGTGAAACAAGCCAGACACAGAAAGACAAATATTGCATGTGCTCACTCATAAGTGGATGCTAAAATACATGTACATACGAATGTAGCGAGTGGAATAATAGACAATGGATACTCAGAAGGGTGAGGGGATAAAAAGGGAGAGATAATGAGAAATTAATGGGTACAATGTATATTATTTGAGTGACAGATACCCTAAAAGCCTGACTTGACTATTATGCAATCTATGCACATTTATCCCCTAAACATATATATTATATGCACACACACACACACAAACACGCAACTTAAACCTAAGACCTGAAACTGTAAAACTCCTGGAAGAAAATGTAGGGGGAAAGCTTTATGAAGTTGGGTTTGGCAATGAGTTTTTGGATATGAAATCAAAGCCACAGGCACCAAAAGCAAAAATAAACAAGTGGAACTACATCTAACTAAAAAGCCTCTCTGCAGGAAAAGAAATAATCAACAGAATGAAATAGGAGAAAATACTTGCAAATCATATATATGATAAGGGGTTAATTTCCAAAAATATATAAGGAATTCCTACAACTCGATAGCAAAAACTAAATAACCTTATTAAAACTATACAAAGAACAAGTATAGACATTTCTCTAAAGAAGACATGAAATAGCTAAGAGGTATGAAAGAGTGCTCAAAATCACTAATCACCAGGGAAATGAAAATCAAAACCACGGTAAGATATCACCTAATACCTGTTAGGATGGTTACTATCAAAAATATATAAAATAATGTGTTAGCAAGGATGTATAGAAATTGCAATTCTTGTACACTGTTGGTGGAAGTGTAAAATTGTGCAGCCTCTATGGAGAACAGAATGGAATTACGTCGAAATTTTAAAGATAGAACTACCACATGATCCAACAGTCCCACTTTGGGGTATTTATCCAAAAGAAATGAAATTGAGATCTTGAATCGAGATCTCTATTCTCATTGCAATAAGCTTCAGTATCGTTCACAATCAAAATGTATATCAATGGATGAATGGATTAATAAATATGGTATATACATACAAATGTACTATTATTCAGTCATAAAAAGAAGAAAATCCTGTCATATGCTACCACATGGGTAAACCTTGAAGACATTATGCGAACTGAAATAAACCAGTCACAAAAGGACAAATACTGCATGATTCCACTTAGATGAGGTATCTAATAGTCAAACTCACTGAAGCAGAGAGTGGAATGCTGGTTGCCAGAGGCTGGGAAAGAGGGGGAAAAGGGAAGTTTCTATTCAACAGGTATCAAGTTTTAGTCATGCAAGATGAAAAAGTTCTAGAGGTCTGCTGTGCAATATTGTACTTACAGGTAGCAACACTGTATTATATACTTAAAATTTTAAGATAGTAAATTTCACGTTATGGATGTCATAGTTTTTACCACAATAAAAAAAATAAGGTGTGCTAAGAAGCCAAAGGAAGAACATGTTTCACGAAGAGAGGTGTGGCGAACCACATCAATGTTGCTGAAATGTCAAATAAGATGATAGAGAATTAACCATTACCTTTGGCAAAATACAGATCATTGGCTACCTTGATAAGAACAATTTTAGGGAAGTGATGGGGAAATGAGATTAGTATGGACTAGGAAGAGAAAGAGATATAACAACCTGAAGGTAGGGAAGATATTTTTACAAGAATAAGAGAAATAGTTTACTGATTGAGAGGCAGGTGTGGTAACAAATTTTTTTTTGCAAGGAGCATTATTACATATATTTGTGTGCTGACTGGAATGATCCCATAGAGGTGGAGAAAACTGATGACACAGGAAAGAGAGAGTGGATAAATTCAAAAGTAAGCTTTGAACAGATTTGAGTGGATGGGATCCAGAACACAAGTGGAAAAACTTAGCTTATGTATGAGCAGGTCTAGATCTTCCTCTTATTTAAAGGAAATCCAAAGTATAAGAAATAGATGCATTGTGGGTTCAATGGTGGGAAACTGAGGAAGATCTTGTCTGTTTGCATCAAGTTTTTAAATATAAAATCAGAGGTGAAGTAATCAGTTTAGGTGAGGTGGGAAAGAGTAATTAATAGGATAAAATTATGTGTCTGTGTGTATGTGTATGTGTGCGGTGTGTGTGATTTAACCTTTTCTTGATGGGTCAGAGCACATCAATTAACTGTTAATGTGCTTTAATACAATGGAGCCCTTTCTTTAATATAAAATAAGATGTGATGTAATCAGTACAGATGAAGTAGGAAGAAGGTGTTGATTTGAGAATCAAGAAGAGGTAAAAAATTCTCATCTTAGAGAACAAGAAATGAATTTACTAAGGAAGTGTAGTAAGTCTCTCTGCCTGTATTGAACACCCATTTAAAATTTATGGTCAGAAATTTCCAGTGAGTCCAGTCACCCAAACCGCGTAATTTCTCTCCAACAATGTTCATCCATTGAAGTTTTCTGGGATCTGAATAGTTAGAAAGTTGAGTTTAACTGAATTGGGGTTTTCCAGGTACGTAGGACAGAAAAAGTGAGACGAGAACATTAAGATCATCTCCAAAGGTGTGAATCTCATGCTGGACCAAGAAATTTGGCTTTATCAGCAGAGAAATGAGGACATGAAAGGGTGATGAAGACTAAACAAAACTTCACATTCTGCAGCCTTCTTCTCTAGCAGCATTCATGGCAGGAGCTTTACATCCCCTGACAACCTTTCTTTTCTTGAGAAAGGGCCAGGACGGGTCACATAGGTGTGTGTTTAGGGCTAACTTCCCTCTAAGGCAGCTATGGTTATCTTCCTCCTACTCTTCTTCCTCCTCTAAATGGCAGCATGGGTGTATAGCCTGAGACATGCATTGAAGATAAGTCCTATCTGCCCACTAGGACTGCAAGTGCAGTCCACTTTCTCTCCACTAGCTAACAAGCCATAGGGGAGTTCCAGGAAAGCATAGCAGGAAATTAATATGACCATTTATCATAATCCACTTTGCCTCATGAAATAAAAATTTTTCAAGTGAATGAAGGAACCAAATTTTCATTTATAATGATAATTATGGATAAATGTGACTGCTTCATAAAAATTAACTCACAGAAATAATTCTATGTAAAACATAACATTAGCTCGCATTTAAGATAGAGTGTTGTAAGAGCTGTCCACTTCCAGGATCTGTAATGAAATATAGGAACATAACAAGAGTGCATCTAACAGATCCATGGGCCATCTGTTTCAGTACCTGACCTCCGGAGGTGACTAATCCTGGCTGCTTAGCAAGAATATTTAACCATCTCCTCCTACCCCTCTGTTACTGACCTATCTTCCTGTCTTAATAGAGCATAATAAAAACATATGGTGCTGTAAAAAGCTTCTGGCAGCAAAATTCCACCTGAACCATGATTAAATTTTTCACTCACTTTTCCCTTCCTTCTGGAATATATGATATAGACAATTTTTTGGTCCCCACTCTCCTAAGATTGATTTGAACCCTATACAAACCAGAAGACATGAGAGGAGTCTATAAACTTCTTGAGGACATTAATTTCAATGACTACGTCTAGGACTTCCTTGAGTGCTCATCATGGTGGCATGTTCTCTGGTTTCCAAAAACTAATATTTTTGGGCAAGAGGCATCCTCACTGGTGGTAATAGTTAAATTTTCCAGAAAACACAGCTTTCCCCTTTAAGCAACAGGAATTAAAATGTGTGTGTGTGTGTGTGCACTTGTGTGTGTGTGTGTGTGTGTGTGACTGATTTAACCTTTTCTTGATGGGTCAGAGCACATCAATTAGCTACTAATGTGCTTTCATACAATGGAGCCCTTAGGGATTACTTTAGGGATATGGGATTAATTGGCTCTGTTTACATTATCCCAGCCTGCTCAGTGGGAAAAATATAGACCCTAGCTGTGTTTCCACTCTAGATTTGTCTAAAGGAATGATTACATTGCACCCACTGGAAGTTTACTTATAGGAAAAATCAAGAAGATTCCTGAAAAAGAAGTTTTTTTAAGAGGAAGTCAATACAAACACATAGGTGCAGATGCAGAGAGTGAGCTAACATTGAGCATAATGCAGAGTATAGGATAAAATTTGTCCCACATATTTTCCTCTGCCCAGCCACATAAAATCATACCTTAGTCCCCGAGCAATGGAGCAACAACAAAATAATCAATATAAACCAGGCAAAAAGATGCCTGGTTTTGGCAGTGCCAGCACTCAGGGCTTCAGCAGTGATGGCAGAGTCAGCAATAGGAGATGTTGGCATCAGCAGCTTCCACAATGGGTGACCAAGCTCTGGGAGCCTTTGACTCTTGTTAGACATTAACATGCTCAATGTTGGGCCTCTGCAGACACAGAATAAGCTCTGGAGGAGCTATTAGTAATACTAGTGATATTTTGGGGATAAAACTATGGAAGCACAGTTTCTCTATATGTCAAAGGAGCAAAGGTGACAACTCTCCAAAGCTTTCCCAAAACAGGAAAGAAGGAAAATGGCAGATACCATGTTGTAGCCCAGAGGACTAGTTTATCAATCCAGCCCAAATGACTGGCTTATAGATCATACTTAAGAATCCATCCAGATTTTTAGAACTATTTGGAAGTTCGTTAAGGAGGTATTTGGGAGGAGTTGAAGAACTGACAGTTGCTATGACTCTGATTTTACTTTTGGACTGGTAAAGTGTAGAGAACACTATGTTTTGTGTCAGTGTATCTCCATTTGTTAGTCTTCCCTCATAAATATTCCCTATTTTCATTACTGATTTATGGCACTCAACAGTTTTCATCTTCTTTATAATTTGCTCTTTCTGTTCTCATTGGGTGGAGTTGGAATTAAATATGAGTAAATAAACTCTAAGTCAGGGTATAATAAATTTTTACACGAGTAAAGCTTATGGGCCTTAACGTATGAACATTGTGGTATCCATTTAAGCAATTGGAGAGCTGTGTGTGAGTGTGTGTGCATGTGTGTGTGTGTGTGAAGTTTAACTATTTTAGAACAATTATAGTATCAAACAACTGACATTCAATCTAGTGGATTATAAACTGTTATATATGCTTGTACTCCATGTAAGCTATGCTTCAAATAAATGAGATGTGACTTGCAAATACAAACAAGATAGGTCATTTTCTATTGAAAACCAATTTACTGTTTACCTTTGATGTTGATGCTTTTGATGGCTTTCTGATGCTACATTTTGCATTATTTCATGATGCCACTTTTGCTCGATAACAATATTGCAAAGTTCTAGCTTATAAATAAAATGAATCAACCTGCAACTTATAACAGAAGGAGCTGGTCCTGTGCACCACAAAGAGTGACTTAAATGGACAAAGAACCAATATAGAGATGTTTCCTAAACTGGCATTAGAGATCACTAGCATTACCAGATGAGCTGATTTTAAGTGCTATCGATGGCCAATAAGAAGCAGCAGGACTTTAAGGAAATGAGGGGAAAGGTTTTACATTTATCACAGTGACCTAATGTGAACAGTTAAGTAGCAATTAAGTCACATTTATTGCTCAAGGTACATGATGACCTGTAATGTCAGTTATCAGAAATGTCCCTAACTTGGGCAATTAGCTTTGAGTCAAATATGGTGTTCTGGCTTTAAGCCTGATTATAAAATTGGAAACATGTATAGACTGCATGGTGCAATAGAAAGGGCCTAGTAAAAAATGTATATTTAAATTTGCCTCTGACATTTACATAAAAGCCCTCTTTAGAGATACACTAAAGCAGTTTTCTCAAACTTTAAATGTGTATATAAATCATCTAGGGATTGTGTTAAAATGTAGATTGTAATTAAATAGATCTGATGTGTGATGTGCAGAGTCTGAGATGCAGCATTTCTACCAAGCCCACATGTATGCTGATGATGTTGGTCCCTGAACCAACTCTGAGTCCCAAGGCCTTAGAAGATTATTGTTAGAATGTGGGAAAAGCATATGTGTGCATAGGAAGACACTTTGTGAATGGTAAAATAGCATATATAACACTTTACATTGAATAACAATAGTCGAGGATTTGATTCATCAAGAAAAGTCCTAGTAGAACAAATTATGTTTCAGATACTGTTCAATTTTTCCTTGTTCGCAAAACCAAAAACAAAACTGAGAATTAGAGAGGCAGAACAAGAGAGATATTCATCCTAAACAATGTTGTTGCTTTTTTACTGTCTTGAAAGATTCACTTCTGTATCACTATCCACTAATAAATGGGGTAGGAGGTGAGAACTGCTCTTGTTTTGTTCTTTAGAAATTTGCACAATTAGACCCAGTCCCAGATACATCCTAGACATTGACTCCTTCCAAGTAAAATAGAAATAGGAAATTACAAAGAGGAGGAAGATGGTTGGCTCCAGGAACACAGGCAGCAACAAAAAGGGATGACTGTTAGGGGAAGAAATTAAAAACTAGTAGGTCAGACACAAGAACAGAGACTCAGAGCTGTTTAAACACTTAGCTTCCCTTAGTGAACCTGTTGTTTTTCATTGGTGTTTGCATTTTCTAAAGGAAATGAACAAAATTCACAGGCACAATCATTGATTTATAAAGCGTTTCTGTGTTCCTTATCTAAAAAGTACAGTCAACAATTCCCTGTTGAAGAAAACATGGATTCTTTCTGAGTTTCCAGTCCCACAACATTGTGGCCAATATTTTATTATTTCATGGTCAGTTTGCTACACTATATGAAAAAGATTTTTACATATTAGAGAATGCAAAGCAGACCCCTCCCATGGGCTAAACCCTTCCCAATCTTTTAGATTTTGGACAGAATGACTCTCTGTCACACATGCAGATTACCAGCACCTTATGTGTTCCCATGATGCATCTCTTTACAATAGTTCTGGAGCCACCATGATTACAGAGTTAGAACTCTGTTTCAGAGAAACTGAATTTTCATCAGTCTCACTTTTACCTAAATTTTATACTTTGTCTTCCTGCTTTCATCTCTGTTTATCCTCTCTCACCTGCTTATAGTGAAGGGCAGTATCATTCATAATCCAAAATGCCAGTATTCAACAAATATGCACGAATTAAAACTTAAGTTTAGGGCCATCAGAGAGAGAAGGAAATAATAAACAAGGCTGAAATTGGAGTAACTGTCAATGTGTTCTGGCTGTGTCATTTCTTTAAAAAATAAATTGAAAGTGAAATACTAATACCAATTACTAACTTAATTCCTCAGCCCAGTCAATATCATATCATGAAGCCATTTAAATGCCAAACAGCTATTGCGAGATTACTCTGAAACCATTCAAACTGCAGAGATTTGAGAAATATTTAAAGACACCGGAACTGTGCTCTGGTGGGGAATATCACACAGTTGCACATTGTTTTTTGCTGTAACTCTGGGCAATCTGGGTCAGCTGCCCCAGTTGGGTAGCCTTATAATTAGGCAGCTCTTTATTTTCCAGCCGCTTTACCTAAGACAACCTGAAGCTTTGAGGATGACTGAGCAGCAGTTTCCCTCAACAGAAACACTTGTGTGGTGCACCAGGAGTGGTTTTAAATGATGGAGATAATTACTTAATTTGAGCTGTAGCAACTGGCCAAGTAAACATGTAGCAGCCAGGAAGCTATTAGCATGATTTTAAGGCAATTATTCCATTAGTGTTTAATAGTCTCCAATTAGTCTTCTCTGACTATCAAAGTTTGAATATCTTTTTTTCCTCCAAAAATTCTTAGTGCTGAGTAATGCAAAAAGGTGCCAAACCTGTTTTTAAACCTGGTTTTTTATATATGTGGATCTTCCAAACAAATTTACAGAAACATGCGAGTATTCAGGAGTATAGATTTGATGAAAAATGTTGGTCTATTTTTTCTCACAAGTATTGGAGTGAGAAGGGGAAGCTTTACAGGAGATCCATTTGAGTATAATACCAACAGGAGCTGGGAAAACAATATAAATTCCCATGGAAGCCCAATGTCATCATCTTTATGTCTGTACTCTAAGATCACCCAGATACCAAAATCTCTCACCTCAGGTTTTTATTTTGTCCCAGGGCAGGAAAGGAAAATTACTGTGTTCCCACTAATGCTTAGTTCCTTTTTTCTTAACCCTGGTTAGTCACAGTTGCTGCTGAATCATCCAGATACAAATCACAAAGCCTTTCCCTCCAAAATTCATAGGGTATCTTCCCAAAGGTCCAAGTAAGGGGTCAGATCCCTGAACTGATAGGGATAAATAGTAAGTCATTTGTCTTCACTTAGCTTCAGTTTTTTCATCTGTGACATGGAGGTAATAGTGCCAGCACTCCCTGCTTCATGGGGTTTTAGAAGGATTTTGTGAGCTGGTGTACATAACAGGGCTTTGAAAAGTGAAATATTACAGAAATGTAAGGTAGACTCAAAAAGATATCATACCATCTCAGAACTAGATAAACAAACATAGGCTTTTAATCCTGTAGCTCTAGAGAGTCACCTGCCAGAAGGTTTGCATCACAGTGATTGCCCTTCTTACCTTCTATGCATATAAAAACATTCAGGGGAAACCATGTGAAAGAAGCTGTCTAAAATCCAAATAAAAATGAAGGAAGAAAAGGAATGGGAATGCCTGTGGAAGTGAGAATGGAGTTATGCCAAAGTTGTGCTTTCTACTGTCTCCTTGAAAAGAGCAATCTCCAGGCTTGCCTAGGTAGCAGAATAAGTGCTGCATGGAGAAGCTGGGGTTGGTTCTTTTCCTTGGAGATTCCTGGCCGGTAGCAAGCTATCTGTTGAAGAAGGACGAAAGGAGACAGCCCCTTCTGTGGATAGCACTTGTAGTAGCCTGTGCCTGCCATTGCTGCCAAACATCCACTTGACTAACAACCATTGATTTGAGGGACTGATCAATGGCAGCACTCTTGGTTGGAGCATCTAGTGATTTTCAAAATAACCCTTCTTTTGTTTTTGTTTTTGTTGTTTTTTTCTTTATTATGTTTTCCTCCAACAGCTGAGAGGGGGCGCTGGATGGGGCAGATCAAGAGGAGGTAGACCATAACGTTGAGTTTAATAGCCCAGCTCAGCTCAGGGCCAGAAGTGAACTGTTCATGAGTAATTTGCCCTCCAGCCCAGCTCTGAAAAGATCAAGTGTGTGCTCCCCCAGCCCAACTGCATAGCCAAATTGACAATAAAGTATGGCCGTGTCCCAGCTGTCATTGTTGTAAACTGTCCTGAAACGACCCTCACTCCTGGATACCTGATCTAGGGGGTTGTTAGGAGCTGCCACCCTAGAAACCTGCCCAGTCTCTGGTCCAAGTCGCACACATCAAGCTGAAGCTTCTTGATCCCTCAGGTCTCTTCCTCGCTTTGTCCACGCTTCTTTCCTTCTAGACTGTCTGGACACATTCTCAGTCACCTTTTCCGTACTATTTGCCTATTAATCCCACCCCTCCGCTCAGGTCACGCAGGTTCCCCTGCCCAGCTTCTGTCCCGAGCAGTAAACATACGGTCCGCAAGGGTTTGCTTTTTTGACCTGGGCGAAGTGTGTTGCCAACACGCACTTGGACCAGACTCGAGACAGCGGCCACTCGGCCAGGTCCCCCGGGGTCCAAACCGATACGAAATGGTGCCCTCTGCCCGTCGCCCCCTTGGGCTCCTTTTCAAGGGCAGCTATCACGCCGCCTCTGGTCCCTGAACTTTCATCACTCTTCGGGAAGCGCTTTGTCTTTTTAAAGGAGATTGGGGACGAATATTAATGACTGTAGCCGAGAATCTATCAAATCCGCCCAATTCCATGCCAGGGATAGACTCAGGTCCTTGCACCGAAGGCGAGCCCCTGACACTAGCTCGCGTTCTTCACACACGGTCACCCCGCAGACCCAGAGATTTCTCCCACTTCCCCAAATCTGCAGGAGAAACCATAGGAGGGGGTCACGAGGCACCATCCTGGAGCCCAGCTTCTCCTCTGCCCCAGTCCTCCGCATACAACCTGCTTCAAAAGCCCAGGAGAAAAGCAGTCACCTTGACTCTAGCGCCTCGGTCCTTAGGGGTTTGGAAAACGCCAGGAAGCCCAAGGCTACCCGGCACGCGCTCGCCTGGCCTGAGACCCACCCTGGAAGACGAGTTTCCCTCCCGCGGGCATCGTGGCAAGTTACCACTTAGTGGCAGATAAAGCAGGGCGGGGCAGGTGGAGCGGGCGCCGAGCGCCTAGCCCGCAGCCCCTGCGCGCCTACCTGGAATGGCTAAATTGGTGAGGGGGATGCTGTGCATGCTCTCCGGCAGAGTTGCCATCCAGTCGGCTAATTTCAGCTCGTTTTTCCCCTGAGACGAGGCCATCGTGCCAGTCGGCGTGCAGCGCGCTGGTCCCAGCACTCCTCGGGCAGGCTGGCAGGCTGCTGCCGCTAATCCAATGTTTGCTCTAGCCCCGCTAGAGTTTACACTCCTCTCTGCGCCACACCCACAGGATGGCGCAGACACATGCTAATTTTAATAATTATTCAAAACACCCCGTGCTCCCTTAGTGCCTCCGCCAGACTCCGCTGGAGCTTTTGTTCCTGACGTCCGTGCTCAGCTCTCTCCGCTCTCCCCTCCCTCCCCAACCCCCTCCTCCCGTCTTATCCTTCCTAGGCGTCTCTGCCTTTCCTCGCCATTCTGCAGCTTTCCCTGGTTTCTTATTTTTCTTTTCTATTCATTTTTTTCCAACTGCTTTGCCCATGGCTTGCTCGATCCTTTGCTGTGACTTTCTCGTCCTGTTTGTATGAAAGACAGTCTTGCACTTGAACCTAAAATCCTAGCAGACTTTGGGATGTTATTGCCTCCTGAGGAACAGACTTCTCATGCTGGGTTTCAGGGCTTTCCGTCCTTATCAAAGAGCTTTCCTTTTTGTAATCTACAACAGGTTATACCTTTCCTCAGCCAGAGACCACAACCCTGTTTATTAAAAAATGATTATCTTTATTCACTCTTTTGCCTACTTTGTGAAATAGCTGGTAAGTATGAGTCAGTGAAGGGCATGGTAAATTCTAGGTGGTTCCTACTTAATCCTGGGTACCTTGCTCCAGACATTTCAAAGTCAAGAAATGCTACTCCCCCTTCTTTTCTCAGATCATGAGAAGTCTACATTATTTCCATGGAGAACACTGCCTCTGTCCTGTCAGTTTCATGGCACTCAGGGTAAGACTGGAGCCTTATGCTGGAAGAAAATCGCCACATCTCCCAGTGACATGCTCTAATTATTGCCAGTAGCATTTGGTGGAATGTATTTGGCACCATTCAAAGTGATCTATGTGACTGTCTGCATTTTCATTCCTTTGCAGACTGGAAAGATGTGCCTCTCTCAAGAGAAATCACTCACTGGGCCTCCAAAGAACTGTCTGGGTCCACCTGCTCTCAGATGAGTAAAAGGAGAGAGATGAAGTTTTACAAATGTAATGAGAGCAGCAGTGGCCTGAATAGGAATTATAAGAGATGAACTGAAAGTGTGCTGGGCTTTTGCAACCCAGGAAATGGAAATGCAATAAACAGACCTCTGTTCTTTCATGCCAGGGTTGTGTAAATTTTTATTTTTCTATGGGAAATGCTATTAGATTGCGGAAATGACAATCAACATAGGAGACAAAGAGAGCCATGAAACATGAGAATAATTATTCAAGGTTAGTAAATCCATTTAATCCCAAATAGCATTAAAAAATAAGAAAAAACCTAGAGCCTACCTTATTTTCTACAATGATGCTAAGTCCTAAGAATATTCACCCCCAAATGGGGAGCACTATGGGAAAGATAGAGGAGAGGCAACGCCTTATTTTGGTTATCAAATTTTCCATGCCCCTTGTAAAATAAATTCATACCTTCAAGAGGACATGGTACAGTTATCTTTAGTGATGAGGAAGAGATATACTGAAAATTTTCCCCAAATAAATCTTAATATACATGCTAGTACAATAGAACCCACATATCCTTTTAATTAGGATGATAGTTTAGCTTACTATAGGACTCTTGGTCAAGAGATCTACAAACACCACCCTTCTGTAAGAAACCTACAAACACCACCTAATGCTGGTGGTCTCAGGGCATGATTGCAAGGCAATGAGGAAAATTCAAATCTAGTGGTCAGCTGCTCTGTCTCTGAGTAGTTTGGGCAAGTCCTCTAGTCTCTGCTAGCCCCAGTTTTCTCCATTATAAAGTGGTAATAAGAACTCAGAGATTTGTGGTGAAGCTTCCAGAAGAGAGTGCATACATGTTTAAGATAACAGGATATGTGTATTTACCACTCTTTGTCTTTTCTATACTTATGAAGTATTTTTTTCAAAAGCATGAAATAATTATTGAATCTGGGGTACATTTTTAATAAGACACATTTTAGAAACATGCCCTGTTAAAGTATATTGAGCTTATGTGGCCCTAAAAATTTACAAAGCATTTTTTACAAAATGAAACCACCTTAACTGGTGAGGAAAGTTCCCCTCTATAAAGAATCATACTATCTTTTGGCAAAACAAACTAACAGTCCCTTCTCTGTTTCATCTGATTTGCATTTCAGGATTTTAAATGTCTTGGTTTAATATAAGTTATTATCATTTTCTACATGCAACCCATGAAAAAAGATAGGCCTGAAAGTTGATAGTTGTGAATTTCTTTCCCAGCCTTATAATCAATATTTTGGGCAATTATATGACCCAGTTTCTCCATCTTTCTATCACCAACCCTGCTACCACTTACTAAAACACATTGGGACAATCATGTAATTTCTCTGGGCTTTAATTTTGTCACTGGATTAATCAAGGTTCTCCAGAGAAACAGAACCAGTAGTATATATATAGAGAGAAAGAGATTTATTTTAGAGAAATTGTCTCATATGATTGTGAGAGCTGGCAAGTTCAATATATGTAGGGCAAACTGGAAGCCTGGAACATGAGATAAGAATTGTTCTTGCAGTCTTGAGTTCAAAATCTGCAGAGCAGGCCAGCAGGCCAGGAACTCAGGAAGGACTTCTATGCTGCAGTTTTGAGGCAGAATTGCTGCTGCTTCAGATAGCTTTAGTCTTTGTTCTTAAGGCCTTCAACTGATTTAATAAGGCCTACCCACATTATAACAGGTAATGCACTTTACTCAAAGTTAAATGATTATAAATGTTAATCACATTGACAAACATCTTCACAGCAACATCTACACTAGTGTTTGACCAAGCAATTGGGCATCACAGCCTAGCCAAGTTGACATATAAAATAAACCATCACACCCACTTGCAAATTAACTAGAAGTTACTGCCAAACTCTATGGCCCCCTTTGACTCTATTATTCTATAATTTTATTTTTTTATGATTCTTTCTTATTTATATAGCTGCTCAAAATAGCAAAAGGAGGCATGTAATATTTACTTTCTTTTTTTTTTTTCCAGGCTGGAGAGCAGTGGTGCGATCTTGACTCACTGCAAGCTCCGCCTCCTAGGTTCACGTCATTCTCCTGCCTCAGCCTCCTGAGTAGCTGGGACTACAGGTGCCCGCCAACACGCCCGGCTAATTTTTTTGTATTTTTAGTAGAGACGGGGTTTCACCATGTTAGCCAGAATGGTCTCGATCTCCTGACCTCGTGATCTGCCGGCCTTGGCCTCCCAAAGTGCTGGGATTATAGGCGTGAGCCACCGCGCCCAGCCTACTTTCAATTTTTAATTCATGCAGACAGCTCAAGATATAGACCAACATTTTTTTCCCCACAAAACAGATGAGAAAATACCAATGGTTTTTAGTTACGGCATTAATAGTAGCCTGCCTCTGAAAATCAAATGCTTTTAGGCATAAATGAAAAGAGAAAAATGACCAATTGCAGTGGCTTCGTGCTACCACCAAAAGTTGTTTGTGTAATGCTCTGCTGTCCATCAAATTCATATAACACACAAAGCTGATGAACAAGGATACTCATCTGGAGCATTTTCTCACTTCATATCCTCTTCCACCCATAAAAATACATAACTCTTTGCTATGTATTTTCTTCCATTAGTTCATAATCTTTCTTAATCATTGGAGATATATATTTTATTTTTGTCACTGAATTGATTTTGAATTATGTTCTGAAAAGCAAGGGTTTTTATAGATCAGAAAACTTTAGAACACATTTTTGTCAAATAATATTTTAAAAGAGGAACTTTTTCTAAAACAATTCTGCCAAATTATTTTTTTAAACACAGTGTTCTAAAACAAACACTTACAGAGTCAGACTTAAAACATGTCCAAAAGGGCAATAAAGAACCTTTGTGAAATTAACTATTAATAATAAATTTTTTTTTACCATTCTCTACAACTTTTATGTAGGTATTCCACCCAAAGAATTTTTCTGTGTTTTAAGGACAAAAATACTTTTGTACTTAAATTCAGAGTAGAAAAAAAGTGATGACCCTCTCTTTCCACCACCAGTTTAGCCCTGCAGAGTTGTCTGTCTTATCCCTCTTGTCCTCCCCTAGTCTACCTTTTATATGTCAACCCTAAACAAGCTAATTTACACTCACTGAATGTAATCTATTGGCTGGAATCACCAGCTATGGAATGCGGTGATTCAAATCCAGGTCTCCCCAGTCAATTACTGTGCGTTTCTTGGTATCTTTTTCTGAAGGATAAAGAATGATTATTTTCTCCTGGAGGTGGGGAAATGGAAGATGCTATGAAGCTTAATAAAGTAAGGAATTTAAAGTTTATTGAACAGACTGGAAGATTAAAAATTATACTTTTATGCTTCTTGCTCCCACCATGACTTTGCTCATGCACATGAAATAAATGTACTTCATGCTTTCATCTATCAAAATTCTTTCCATTCTAACCAACTCCTCTTTTCAATTTCCCTTACTATCCATAAGTAGAAGTAATCTTTCTTATCTCTGTACACTCATTGCGGTTTGTTTATAGTATTGTGTCTCTCATTCCCTAGCTAGTCTTAAAGCATTATGTAGGCAGGGATGGTGTCATTTGACACTCTCTAATGTCTTTCACAGAGCCCAAGACATAATAAGGGCTCATTCTAATCATTCATTTTACTCACTTATTTCATAAATATTTATTGAGTGTCTATAATGTGGTCTGTCTCAGAGAGAAAAAATAGAGCAGCAAGTCCCTGAACTCTTTGAGTTGATGCTCCAGGCAGAAAGTGGCAAATGATAGCTTTATGGCTCAATACATAAATGACTTGGCTGTATCTCTTATCTCAATGGCAAAACCCAAATTTTGCATCCCTATTTTTAGCACTTGGGTAAGTAGCAAAGCACCAAAGACTTACACCTTAGTTTTGAAAATACATTTTAAAATAAAAATTGGTTTAGAATTGTTTTGTCTCTCTACACTCTTTCCCTTAATCTTTCCCACTCTATTGCTATCTTCCCTAATACAATAGGGAAGAAATCTGAAAATAACATGATAAACTCATCTAGATCTCCAGGGGTCATTACTACAAAATGTTTGATTTCTCAGAGCTTGGGGATTGGTGGAGGTGGGAGTAGCCTGGGAAGGGAGAGGGAAACTGTTTTAAATTCATGTGCAGAGTAAAAAAAATCCTGGAACTATTCTACCCATCACTGCCAAAAGCTTAGGACCATTGTACACCAATACTTCTAGAAGCATTATTCACAATTCCCAAAAGGTGGAAACAATACAAATGTTCATTGACAGATGAATGGATAAACAAAATGTGGTATATACATACAATGGGATATCATTCAGCCTTAAAAAGAAATGAAATTCTAACACCTGCCACAACATGGATAAAACTTGAAGACATTATGCTATGTGAAATAAGCCAGACACAAAAGGACAAATATCTTATAATTCCACTTATATGAGATACCCAAAATAATCAAGTTCATAAAGGCAGAAAGTAGAATAGCAGTTATTAGGGTCTGGGGCAGGGAGAAACAAAGACTTTTTGTTTAACAGGTACAGAGTTTCAGTTTGGGATCCTGAAAAGTTTCTGGAGATAGATAGTGGTGGTTGCACAACAATGTGAATGTTCTTAATGCCACTGGACTGTACCCAAAATGGTTAAGATGGTCAATTGTATATTATGTGTACTTCACTAAAATAAAAAAAATGACCAGTGACTCTGTTGGGCAAATTTACCCTATTTCTTTTATCAGTTATAAAGTAGCCATTGTAACCACTTAGTTTTAATAATAGTTTATTCTCCACCTGATGACTACCAAGAGCGCATCTCAAGTTGAACAAATTGAACTTATCACTTGTTGCGCTGAGTGAGAATGTGCATCATGGGAACCTGGGACACCTTAGAAAGAGGATGTTAGAAAGAACTTAAAATATTTGAGCTTGCCTTAGGTGATTTGGAAGAGAGTTTAAGAAAGTGGAGCTTCATTCTGATTTGGATGGTGTCAAAAAGTAAGGAGAAGGTAATTCTATAATTAGGTATCATGATAAACCTTATCTAGAATGAAGAAACACTGGACTAAGGCTAAATCTGTAATGGTAAAGAAATAGGAGTCATTCATTAGAATAGAATAGTGGGTCATTTTTGTGGTGTAAGACAGTATTAATATTTTATTTTCAGGCATGATTACAAAGACTTCATATTCTTTTCTTTTCTTGATTTACCAAGGTCACAGAGTGGACCTGTATGATGCTAATGATCCAGAGCATGTTTTTGTTCAACAGGTGGACACCAAGGCCTAGCTGATAGTACCAGGAGAGCTCCTAGATGCCAGGGACTATTTTGCACTTTCTCATAAATAAATAGAAGGACACAGTCCGGTCTAATTTACCTGGGGTTCCAAGAGTCCTAGTCTAGTGGACCTTTGTCAATGATAGACACTACTGGCAACTTTGACATGTACTTCCCATCAATGACATTTTAACTTACATTTTACAGCAAAAGCAAATTGATGCAACAAAGTAAATTATATTCCTGTGTGTGCAAGCTGATTGTTGTTCTTCCACAGGTATGCCCTGCAAGACTTTTTGTATATTTCTGTCATTCTCAAATAGTCTCTCAGCTACACAGAAGCAAAGACAATCCCTGTTGCAGGGTAACTCATTCAATTTGCATTTCTTTCCAGCCTCTTCTTGCAAACCCCAAAGGCAATCATCTATATCTAGGGCTGTCTGACAGACACAGGTAATGCTGTGGGACACTCTAGCACCTTGGGGAAAGAGATTCTGAGAAGAAAAGTTAGATAATGAGCTCTCCATCTAGCTCTAGTCCTAGAACTGCAGTTCAGCCTCTGGAAGAGTGTGTCAGAAATATGGACATGGTGTGAGAGGCAGGACAGATGTCTTGCTGTTCAGAGAACTCAGAGCAATCTCAGCACTTGGAAAAAGAATAATTAGAGACTGATTTTTTTATAATTATTGATTTTTTCTGGCTGTCAGTTTAGCAACATTTAAGACTACAGCTTTGCCTAATAAAGGTTTACTCTAAAGAACAGTCACCTCCATTCAGTACTGAACCCTTCTTTACAGCTTTATGTAACTGCTAATCCATAAGTATGATTTTTTCTTTTTGTTTTCATCTTATAAAGAATTTAAAAATTGGAGCTATTTCTTTTCATACTTGAGCTCAATGGCTCAAATGTAACCAAGCATTAAGGAAATGTTACCATATCCCATTAAATTGAAGAGGTTAATTCCACATAATTTATAGCACCTTGATTTTATTAATCAACACTGTAATATTTGGGCATATCACTCCTATCAAAGAGATTTTAAGGATAAGAGCAGCATGGGGGAAAATAAAGCAGAATGCATTTAATTTTTTCTTCATCCCATGAAAAAAAAAGTTGTATTTAAAAAGTTATTTATATTTTCAAAAACATAAGAAAAAATATAAAATGCCCAGGTCCTGCTTTTTTTTATTTTTATTTTTTGGAAACACAGAAATTTGAGGGATTTTACAAGTCATAAGCTACAGAAACTGAGTAGCTGTCCACAACTTTAGTGCTGAATACAAACAGATTCATAATTTGCTCTTGGCATGTGTTTGTCCTGGCTTGTATTGTAAGCCTTTAACTACATCAGTATGGTGATAAATACCAAACTTTTTTGTGGTTCACAACCAAATCTTCCTTTTGGCCCTGTCTTTGAAAACATTTTGTGATGAAAAAGTTCAAACAAAAAAGTAGAAAATATAGTTAATAAACCTCCACATCTCCCTCACTGGTCTCAGTAATTATCAGCTTATGGGCAATTTTAATTATTTCACATACTTCCCTTCCAAGCTGGATTATTTTGAAGTAAAGTCCATATATGATAACAACATTTCATCCATATTTCAATATATTAAATTAATAACTATTGTATTTACAAACAGTCCATTCAGATTTAAAAATCACCAATGATTGGCTGAATTAACTGATTAAATTTTTCTGACTTAACAGATTAGTCACCTGGATACAATATAAATGTGAAGCTTTAAGCTTTAAGTTCTCTCCTTTTTTTTTTTTTCTTTTTTTGTCGCCCAGGAGACAAAAAAAAATCTGCTGCCCATTGCAACCTCTGCCTCCTGGAAGACGGGGTTTCACCATGTCGGCCAGGCTAGTCCCAAACTCCTGACCTCAGGTGATGCACCCACCTCGGCCTCCCAAAGTGCTGGGATTACAGGCGTGAGCCACTGTGCCCAGCCAGTCCTCTCTTTTTATTAACTTAATCGTATCTAGATAAATGCATAGATAAATGCATCGTAGGGAAATTATGAAAAGTGAAATTAAAGCTTCATGAACATAGATCATCCTAAATTCAAAGTAACCACAA
Organism: Homo sapiens; assembly: GCF_000001405.40. Taxonomy (NCBI): domain Eukaryota; kingdom Metazoa; phylum Chordata; class Mammalia; order Primates; family Hominidae; genus Homo; species Homo sapiens. The sequence goes on from NC_000005.10 coordinate 41,518,926, forward strand.
ACTCCGGTTGTGTAATCACTATGGACATACATCGTTAAAAAGATAATTAGTTTCCCTGTATCCATGTATGTCATCACTGCAATTACAGTGTAGTGTAATCATTGCCTTTATTCCAAATAATGTAAAGCCTTTTATATTAAAATGATTGAAGTTTGTGTATTTTTATCACAATGTTGGTCCCTTTTTTTTAAAAAAAAGCAAAATAAAATACATCCATCTCTAATAAACAAATGGATCTAGTCCTCATCTTGTTCACTATACTATATATATTTTACATATGGGCAATAATATAATTTTACTTAATTACTGTATTTAGCTTGAAAATAGCATTTGACAAAATATTTAAAAAGTTTGTAGATTTCCTTATAAATATATAAAGACATTTTTACTGTTATAGAGAAATGGCATATTTCTAAGAAATAGGAATACATTATCTAATAATTATATAATAACAACATTTCAACTGAGTGCTAAAATGCTATATTTGGAATCAAAGTATCTTTGAAAGGTTATATAAAGAGCTTGTTAATAAACTTGCCTTTACACACACTGCAGAAAGTGTTATAAAATTCATACTACATTAAATAAGAACAAATTATGAATACAAAATGGCTTAGGAGCAGCTTCCTCGGCTTCAGAAAAGACAATTGTGGGCCCAGATAAGGTGAAGGCCAAAATTTATTTTAAATCATACAACAGCTGACAGAAAGGTCCAAAAGGAGAACTGCAAATAGCACAATGCCTTATTTCCCTGGCTGAATGATTCGAATTTATAAAGCATAGTAGAAGAGAATAGGACAGATGAAAAAATATAACTCAAGAAGAAATCCCTGCATATACATCATGGTGGGATGAGGAAGTTATAGAGATACCTTCATAAAATTAGTAAGCATTCATCCTCCAAATTAATGAGTTTAGTAGAAAGCCCACATAGGGCACTGAAAAATGGCATACTTCTCAAAGTGAATAATGCTGGTTTGCAGACACAAAGGGTCATAAGACTAATCTTGATTTTGCATGGGAATTTGAAAATACAATACTCAAATTTATGGTTAGGTAATGTGGCCACCTGCAGGCTGTTAAGCAACAGAGGAAGAATATCCCGTTCTTATGGTTAAGAATGGGAAGTGATTTTCTCTTTAAAACAATTTATAGTCCGGGTGCGGTGGCTCATGCCCGTGATCCCAGCCCTTTGGGAGGCCGAGGTGGGTGGATCATCTGAAGTCAGGAGTTCAAGACCAGCCTGAGATAGTGAAACTCCATCTCTACGAAAAACCCAAAAGTTAGCCAGGTGTGGTCGCACGCACTTGTAATTCCTGCTACTTGGGAGGCTGAGGCAGAAAAATCGCTTGAACCCGGGAGGCAGTGGCTGCAGTGAGCCGTGATTGCGCCACTGTACTCCAGCCGGGGTGACAGAGTGAGACTCTGCCTCAAAAAAAAAAAAAATTATAGCAAAAAAATTACAACACAGCATTATCATATACTTTGTGTAATTATAAAACTTAAATTCTTCACACATGACAATTGTGGATATAATTTTCAACAAAGATACTACTTATTATACCTCATTAACTTTGATTACTGATATTGAAAAAGAATAGATTTACTATTATTGCTTTTCATCTTATTCTTGCCTTCTTTAACAAGCATTGAAAAATCTGAGATGTTGCTTTTGGCTAAGAGACATAGGGTTAGGTAAATTCGGCATTAGAAAAAGAGTGGGCCTGAGTTGACTGCAGTTCATTACAATGGCTACAAAGGGGATTGGGAGACCTGCGCCTAGTCAAAAACCATTGTGAAATAAAATATATTAAATAGCTGTTGGAAATAATCATAAGTCAATTTGAAGGAAGTGCATTTCAGTATGTAATATGTTTAATGAAGTGATTTGATAGTAGGACATATGTTAAGTTAATAATCATGGGAGAAATTAAAATATAAACAGTTTTTAAATTATGTGGACAGATTTCATTTAAAGCAAATATTAGCAGGTCAACTAATGAGTAGTGTAATGCAATGGTTTCAGAACAAGAACCAATCATTTCAAGTGTCTGTCACTGGTAAGTATTAACTATTTTAATGTTAGCATATAGATTAGCCTGTATAATCTGTGCTGGAAGCAATGGACTGGAGAAGGAAGTCAAGGAGAGGAAAGAATAATTAGAGGGAAATTGTGATAAAGGGTGAAATGGAATGACTATGAAATTAATCATGAACATTTTTGACCGTTCTTTACAACAAAAAGTAAAATAGAAATTTGTAAATTATTTAGCTAATATAACTATTGCAGAAAATTTCACTGACTAATTTAAATCAAGATACCAAATCTCACTCTAAAGACTCTTATTTGATAACACTAATTAGTTTGTCCCTCTTCCCTTAACCTTCTGTTGCATGGATACTCCCTACAGCTAACTTCTAAGAAAACACCAAGATTAAAATGGGGGTAATTCATTCAATTATTTAGATATTTTGCTTACATAAGTAAAGCCTGAGGTTCTCTTCTTCTTCATTTAGATATTTTGGCAGTAAATATTATTTTAATAGAAATCAATCTGAGGTAGTAATTTTTGTTTTGTCAGGGACATATGGCAGCCCAAAAGAGGGTGAAAAATAACATATTAAAAATAAACTTAAATATTTTAAAAATAGTATTAAAATATATCTTCATCTGACATAATAACTAAAATAGAAATTAATCAGACATACTCAGTGACACATACTTGCTGCCATTTGAAAAAATAACTACAGGATGGAAGCCAGGCCAACTAATAATATTAGGTAACAATTACTGTGTCCTGAATATATGCTGTAGGCACCAGAGCAGTGCATTATGTATATGATTCTGTTATATCCTCACATGGGGATTAAGATGCATTAACCTATCAGTGCTCATGGCCCCATCTCCAGGCTCGAACTTGCAATTGAGTCTGAGAAATGTAAAGGTCTCAATGATATTCTCTCAAAATGTATTTCTCATTTGGTTAACTGTAGCCATGGTCTACATGTTTCTTTTGCTAATGTACTAAATATGCCAAAACTTTCCCTCTACAACCATAGGTCTTTTTTCAATCTCTTAGTATATTTTTCTAATAATTTCATTTCTCCTGTGCTCACTATCTTGTGATATTAAGGGGTAAGGGTGTGGAAGAGTCCAGGCATAGCACCCTGGTTGCCAGTTAGATGTTCATCCATGGTTTTGAATCATGAGTATGATTGATAAACCTGAAATTCGTTTTCAGGTGGGTTTTGCTGTTAATTTTTAGCTCCTTGTCTGATCTTCAATCCAATCTAGATATCTATGTTTGATATTATTCTTCAATGATTTAAAATTCAAGGACAAGATTTGTGTACCTCTAGTTCATCTTTATTTTTTTCGAATCTAAATTAATATTTTCCCCCTTCTCTCTTTTTCTTTCTTTTCTAACTAGCATACATCCTAAGTCTTTTATATTGCACAATAATCCAGACCAAGACTATTTCTATGATTGGTCAAAATATTAAACAGTAGCATAAATATCTCATCGTAAGCCCTTATTAAGTTATTAGTAAACTAACCTCTTCTATGGGTGTAGAAGAGCTCTGTACTGACTCCCAGGCTCTGTGTTTGAGAAGGAGGCTACAGCAGATGAATTGACAATAACACAGGAAGCAGCAGGAGGGAGAGAGTGTGGTGGGTCTCCAGCTGCTTCTACACAACAGAACTTCTTTGGGTTACTTATCACTGACACCAAACTTCAGATTGGAATACAATAATGTTATTTACCTTCTATAACCCCCCTTCTCCCCTGCCCCCACACTCCTATACTTCAGTTTTTCCTTTTCCTTTTGTGAATCATTTTTCCCTTCACAATGCCATTGTTTATTTTAACCAAACTTCAGATATATGGTAACCTTCAGTGTGAATTGCTCTGTCCCCAATTCCTCCCACCCATCCTCCAAGGTGTTATGTTTTAATGTGTATGTGCTTGATTGCCATGGCTTTTGATAGATTTACTCTACATCACCTCTTCCCAGGGTCCCAAAGACCTGAAAGAGTTATATAGGTCAAATTGAAGTTGGGTAGAAAGTTGGGGAGAGGAGGAGAGGAGAAGGAGGATCTGAATATTTTTTAAATGATCATATTAAGTCCATTAAGATAAGTGCACTCCTAGACAAACATTATTCCTATCTGATGAATAACTTCCTCAAAGACTGGGTGTGTAGGTTAGAAAGGGTTCTGGGTTACTAATTAAGGTTAGAGTATAAAAAGCAGGATTAAATATGATTAAGAGCACATTTCTATGATTGAAACATTATTATTTTATGTTGAATGCATTTGTCACTGGCAAGAGTGTAGTCCAAAGGATGTTCAAATCTGTAATAAATGTTCATACATTTTGAGTGTTGTTCCACTATAGCATGCATCTAGAAATTCAAATGGACAGTTTCTTTTGTAGCTTATTTGAAGGCTATAAAGCTATTTGATTTATAAATCTCTTCCCTTTTGCATCCCCCTATACAGTGTGTGTGTGTGTGTGTGTGTGTGTGTGTGTGTGTGTGTGTGTGAAATTGTATTAAGATCTTTACTGAGATGGACTATGAAATTACTGATATTCAAAAAATCCACAAATATTAAATTAAATTTAGTCAATCTAAATAAGTTTTCAGCACAGTTTTAACTTTAGCTGGATTAAACTTTGTGATAATCCTGTATTGCATTCCTCTAAATAATTTTTCAGTTTTAAAATAATCAAAGCCAGTATGAGTGACTTTTAGAATTTGGCTGCTCCACATTAAAAAGAAAATTTGACCCTGTAGCCCTGTGAAATGATTTTTTGGGGAAGATAGACATGTCTTTCTATGCCATGATGCTTCCTGAAAAAGAATTAGACTTGATAAAATTTCTCCTTGCTCACAGCTACTACCACCTATTTCTTCTTGGGCTATGATTCTTTAGTTTTGTCTCCACGTATTGGGAGAGTTGAATAACTAATCGTAGTGTAAATGTAACAGGAGAACAAAAGTACACTAGATATTTTCAACCAAGAGATTCCAATAAAAGGAAACTGTTAAATAGATGTTGGAGAACTGAAAAGAAAACCTAAAAATGAACACTACAGTAATCATTGCAAGAACCTGCTGTCATCTCTAGAGCTGAGGAAGCAAAGACAACAATTTGAGGTTATCAGAACCCAGATGCTTGGAGCAGTGGTTCTGAAGAGCAGTATCTCTGAAAGACTGACATTGCCCAGCTTATTTGGGCACCTCTTAGGGAGATGAGACTCATTCTAGAAGTGTGACCATTCTGGAAATTTAGAAAAATAGCTGGGATCTTTCCCCTCTGCTGCTGCCAGTGAGAAAGAATTGCTAGGGCAATGCCAATAAAACCATCAACCTAAACAAAAAAGATTGAAGTCCCTCCTTCCACTTCCTGCCTTCCAGTATCTCTTAGTGCCCCCTATTGGCAGAACCTGACAAAGAACCAGCTGGCAAAACAGAAGTATAATTTGCAGAGTTCCATTATCTCAGATCAGAGATATGGAAGAGTGGATTTGTCACCAAGGAAGAACAGCCTAGTAACTGGCAGGTGTGGTAGACAAAATAATGATACCTCCAACAGTATCCACATCTGAATCTTTGAAACCTGTGAAAATGTTACCTTACATGGCAAAAGAGACTTTGCAGATTTAAATAAGTTAAGGCTCTTGAAATGGAGAGACTATTCTAAACTATTTGAATGGGCTCGATAGAATTATAAATGTCCTTATAAGAGGAAGGCAGGAAAGTCAGAGTCAGAGAAAGAGATGTGAGGTCAGAAGCGAAAAGAAGCAGGAGGGAGAGAGGGAAAGAAGGAAGGAGGGAAAATGAGAGGGAGATGTAAATGTGCCATTCCACTGGCTTTGGGGATGGAGGAAAGGGCATGAGCCAAGGCATGCACATGCAGGAAGCCTCTAGAAGCTGGAAAAGGCAGAGAAATAGATTTCCTTCTAGGGCCTTCAGAGGAAATGCAGTTCTGCCAATACCTTGGTTTTAGTCTCATAAGACCCGTTTTGAAATTCCGACCTCCTCCTTTTGTTATTTTAAGCCACTATTTTTGTGGTAAGTTTTTATAGAAGCATAGCACTGAATTATAACATTTTGAAGGTAGAGAAGTAAAGAACATCTTTGCCCCCAAAAAGGCCATTCTTAGGCATGGGCTTCTGCCATGTCTGATATGAGCAGACATATCACAAAAGAAAATATACGAATGGCCAACAAACACATGAAAATGTATTTATCATTCTTAGTCATCATAGAAATGAAAATTAAAGCCAAATGAGATATCAGTATATACCTACTAGAATGACAATAATTCAAAAGACGACAATATCAATTCTTTTTTTGTTGTTTGTTTTGAGGTGGAGTTCCGCTCTTGTTGCCCAGGCTGGAGTGGAGTGGTGCGATCTCAGCTCACTGCAACCTCCACCTTCTGGTTTCAAGTGATTCTCCTGCCTCAGCTTCCCCAGGAGCTGGGATTACAGGCACCCACCACTACGCCTGGATAATTTTTTGTATTTTTAGTAGAGACAGGGTTTCACCATGTTGGCCAGGCTGGTCTTGAACTCCTGACCTCATGATCTGCCACCTCGGGCTCCCAAAATGCTGGGATTATAGGTGTGAGCTACTGGGCCCGGCCCCCAACAGTATCAATTCTTAGCAAGAAAGTGGAATCATTGGAACTCTCATGAATTTCTGATATATGTGTAAAATGATACAACCTCTTTAAAACTCTTTGGTAGCTTCCAATAAAGTTAAACATACACTTTACCTATTACTCACTCCAGGGTATATATCTCAAAATAATTCAGTATATTACCACAAAGAGAATTATACAAGTATGTTTGTAACAACTTTACTTATAGTAGCTCCATTATGGGTCAAATTATAGCCTTCCAAAAAGATATGTTAAAATCCTAACCCTGGGTAACTCAGAATGTCACTTTATGTGGAAATAGGATCACTACAGAGGTCATCAAGTAGAAACGAGGTCATTAGGATAGACTTTAATCCAATATGACTGCTGTCCTAAAAGGGAAATATGTCCAAAGAAACACACAGAGTGAAGATGATGTGAAGACACGCAGGGAGAAAAGTCATATGACTGGAGTGATGATACACCTGCAAGCCAAAGAATGCCAAAGGTTGCTGGCAAACACCTGTCAACGAAGAGTCAAACTCTGTAAAATATTTGAAGAGATTTACTCTAAGCTAAATATGAATGACTATGGCCTGTGACACAGCCATCAGGAGATCCTAAGAGCGTGTGCCCAAAGTGGTTAGGGAAGAGCCGGGTTTTATACATTTTGGGGAGACATGAAACATCAACCAAATACATTTAAGATGTACTTTGGTTTGGTTCAAAAAGGCAAGACAACTTGAGGAGGTGGCTTTCAGGCTAAGGTAAATTTCAACATTTTTTGTTTGACAATTGGTTGAGTTTATATAAAGGCCTGAGATCAATAGAAAAGAAATGTTTGGGTTAGGATAAGGGATTGTGGAGGTCAAAGTTTTATTGTGCAGAGGAAGCCTTAACATAGTAGACTTCAGGGAAAATAGGTTATAAAATGTTTCTTATCAGACATAAAAGGGCACCTGGCTCTTAGCTGATTATCTCCTGGATCTGGAAAGTGAAAAAAAAAAAGAGAAAAGGGGATTCTCTACAGAATGTAGGTTTTTCCCACAAGAGACGACTTTGCAGGCCAATTTCAAGATAAGACAATAAAATATATTTGGGGTTGCTTATTTGTTGTGTGATGTTATGCCAAAGTCAGGTTCGAAAGTAGGACATGTTATACAGGGTTAAATAAAACTCCTCTGATGAGACTTTAGGGTTTGTAGGGCGTGCTCACCAAACCCCTTAAGAAGGAATTTGAGCAAGATAAGATTAAGAAAAAAAGGTCAGAGTTTAGTCTTCACACCAAAGCTAGAAGAGGACAGGAAGTATTCTCTCCTAGAGCCGATGGAGAGAGCATGGCCTTGCCAACACCTTGATTTCAGACTTCCAGTCCCTAGAACCATGAGATAATACATTTCTGTTGTTTTAAATCACTCTGACTTAACAATATGGATAACCCTCAAAAATTTTATGTTAGCAGAAAAAAACGCCAGAAGACACAAAAGAGCACATGCCATATTATCCCCTTTATATAAAGATAATAGTAAAAATGACCATATAACTCTTTTTCACATCCACACGTTTTGCAATTTTTTTTTAACCATCCATCAAGAGGTGGCCAATTGTCCACTTCTTCAATCTGGACTGGAATGTGACTTTTGTCAATAGAATGCAGTGGGAGTAATCGTGCCCCAGTTCTCAGACAAGATTCTTCACATACCCAACTCTGTCTCTGAACCATATCCAGGCACCATGTGAGCAGTCCCAAAATAGTCTGCTGACGTGTCAGAGGCACTCAAACCAGAGTGATTCCATCTTAAATAGGGGCTGGGTAAAATAAGACTGAGACCTGCTTGGCTGCATTCCCAGGAAGTTAGGCATTCTTAGTCACAGGATGAGATAGAGGTTGGCTCAAGATACAGGCCACAAAGACCTTGCTGATAAAACAGTTTGCGGTAAAGAAGCCAGCCAAAACCTACCAAAACCAAGATGGTGATGAAAGTGATCTCTGGTCGTCCTCACTGCTCATTATATGCTAACTATAATGCATTCACATGCTAAAAGACACTCCCACGAGTGTCATGACAGTTTACAAATGCCATAGCAATGTCAGGAAGTTACTTTATTTGGCCTAAAAAGGGAGGAACCCTCAGTTCTGGGAACTGCCCACTCCTTTCTGAGAAAACTCATGAATTATTCACCCCTTGTGATATGGTTTGACTGTGTCCCCACCCAAATCTCATCTTGAATTGAACCTCCCATAATTCCCATGTGTTGTGGGAGGGACCAGGTGGGAGATAATTGAATCATGAGGGCAGTTTACACCATACTGTTCTTATGGTAGTGAATACGTCTCATAAGATCTGATGGTTTTATAAATGGAAACTCCTTTTGCTTTGTTCCCATTATCTCTTGTCTGCTGCCATTCAAGACATGCCTTTCGCCTTTTGCAGTGATTGTGAGGCCTCCCCAGCCATAGGGAACTGTGAGTCCCTTAAATCTCTTTTTCTTTATAAATTACCCAGTCTCGGGTATGTCTTTATCAGCAGCATGAAAACAGACTAATACATCTTGTTTAGCATATAATCAAGAAGTAACTATAAGTATACTCAGTCGAGCAGACCATGCCACTGCTCTGCCTATGGAGTAGCCATTGTTTTGCTTCTTTACTTTCTTAATAAACTTGCTTTCACTTTACTCTGTAGACTCATCCTGAATTATTTCTTGCATGAGATCCAAGACCCTCTCTTGAGGTCTGGATCAGGACCTCTTTCCAATAATAGAAGGATGAGAAACCATATAAAGTAGAGATAAAATGTCATAACCAAGGCCATCCTGGAGCTGCAGACTTAGCAGTTAATCACAAATACTTGAGTGAGCCCAAAAGAAACAAGAACCACACAAACGAATTCAGACCAAATTGCTGATCCATTTATTTGTGAATTAAATAAGGAGTTGTTTTAAGTTATTGAGTTTTGAGGTTTGTATGTAGCAGCAATTAACTAATGAAGTAAAGAAACAAGCCAAGTAAAATCTGACAATAAACATCATAAAAGTGAATAGTTAAAGCAGTCTTGAGCAAAATAAAACAAAAGAACAAGAAAACAAAGCTAAATGCATTACACTATCTGATTTCAAAATATACTACAAAGCCATAGTAATCAAAACAGCATGATACTGGCTTAAAAACAGACATATAGACAAATGGAACATAATGTAAGGCCAGAAATAAATCCATGTTATGGGTAATTAATCTTTGATAAATATGCCAAGAACACACAATGGGGAAAGTCTCTTCAATGAATACTGATGTGAAAACTGGATATCTACCTGTAGAAGAATAAAATTGGACTTTTATCTCATATCTCACAAAAAATTAACTCAAAATGAATTAAAGACTTAAATGTAAGTCCTGAAACTTTAAAACTACTAGAAGAAAGTGTAAACCAAAAATAAAATTCAAAGGGCCCCCTGCAACCATCTGAATGGACTCCCTCCTCAACCAGTGCACTCTAAAATTTAACCTGAAAGACTGGTTCAGGCCATGATGGAAGCTGAGGTCAGACATGCCTTATTATGCCCCTCCAGCATTAGCATCAACAGAGACCTTAAGTCTGATAAGAAACATTTACAATATATTTTCTCTAAAGCCTGCTACCTGGAAGCTTCACCTGCATAATAAAACCTTGGTCTTCACATCCCCTTATCTTAACCCAGACATTCCTTTCTACTGGTAATAACTCAACCAATTGCCAGTCAGAATATGTTTAAATCTACCTATTACGTAGAAGTGCCCCCAAAGTTGTTTCACTCTTCCAGATTGAACTAATGTATTAGGTTGGTGCAAAAGTAATTGCAATTTTATCATTACTTTTGATTACTTAGGTTACTGCTAAGTCTGTTGAGATCCCACATATAAGAGACATAATGTGGTATGTCACATTATTTTACACAGAACAAGTAAAATTAATTTTAATTGCAAAAACCACAATTACTTTTGCATCAACACAATACATCTTACCTGTATTGATTGATGTATTATGTCTGCCTAAAATGTATAAAACCAAGCTGCATACAAACCACCTTGGGCACATGTCATCAGGGCATCTTTAAGCTGTGTCACAGGCACATCCTTAACCTTGGCAAAATAAACTTTCTAAATTGACTGAGACTTTCTCAGATATTTTAGGTTCACAAAAGCATAGGAGAAGAAGCTTTTTGAGATCAATCTGACCAGTAATTTTGTTTTCTATATGATCCAAAAAGCACAAACAAATAAAGCAAAAACATGAGAATGGGATTGCATCAAACTAAAAAACTTCTGTACAGCAAAGGAAACAACAATGTGAAGAGGCAAACTACAGAGTGGGAGAAAATAGTTGTAAGCCATGCATCTGACAGGCAATTAATATCCAAAATATGTTTAGAAAGTCAAACAACTCAATAGCAAGAAAACAAATAACCTGATTTTAAAAATGAGCAAAGGACCTGAATAGACATTTCTCAAAAGGAGAGATACATAAATGGCCAACAAGTATATGAAAGAATGCTCTACATCATTAATCATCAGATAAATGCAAATTGAAACACTAAGCTATCACCTCACACCTATTAGAAGAGCTATTTTCAAAAAGACAAAAGATAACTGTTGGCAAGGATATGGACAAAAGGAAACTCTTGCACATTGTTGGTGGGAGTGTAAATTAGTATAGCCTTTATGGAAACAGTATGAAGCTTCCTCAAAAAATTAAAAATAGAATTACCACATGATCCAGCAATTCCACTACTGGATGTATATCCAAAGAACATGAAATCAGTATGTTGAAGGGATAACTGCACTCCCATGTTCATTTCAGCATTATTCACAATAGCCAAGATATGGTGTTAACATAAGTCTCCACCAGTGGATGAACAGATAAAGAAAATATAGCATATACACAATGAAATAATATCCAGTTTTAAAAACAAAGAAAATATTGTCATTTGAAACAACATTAATAAACCTGGAGGACATTGTGTTAAGTGAAACAAGCCAGGCATAGAAAGAAAAATACCACATTATGTCACTTATATGTGGGATCTAAAAATGTCAAACTCATAGAAGAAAAGAACAGAATGATGGTCACCAGGAGATTGAGATTTGGGGAGAACTGAGGGGGTGTTGGTCAAAGGGCACAAAGTTTCAGTTAGATGGACTGAGATAAGTTTAAGACACAAAACTCAGAAAAATGATTACCTTGGAGAAAGATTAACTGTAAAAAGTTGAGAAACTTTTCTGAGATAAGTTTTTAGTTCTGTATCTTGATTTGGGTGATAGTTATATCATCATTAAAATGTAACATACATTTGTGAAAACTTATCAAACTGCACTTTGAAGAGCTGTATATATCACAGTATGAAAGTTATAGCTCAATTGTAAAGACAAAGAAGACATTGGGTGTCTTCTTGTCAGGATTAGATTACTGCTAAGTCTATTTATCAAGAGTCCCCCTACCCTTGATGTCACCTCTTAGTGATTTTTTATTCTACTGATCCCTTGATTATAAATCCTCATTGGTGTAGCTGTATTCAAAGTTGAGCCCAGTGCAGTATTTTATTCCAATAGTTTTAAATAATCTTATGTATCATTTTAACAAGAGTCACAATAATTTTTTTCTACATTTATGAAATATGATGGCTGGCACTTTTTATCAATCAAAGCTTTTCAGTTTTTTGAGAATTACTAGTGATACTGTCTAGAAAACTTTTATAATAAGTAAAAATGTTCCTAATTATCTAGATATGTTTGGAGGTATATAATTTATTCATTTTATATAAACTAAAACAATAAGCTTAAATAAAATTTATGGTAGAGAATGACTTGTGTTAGATAATAGTGCCTTTTGGCTAGTCTTAATATTGCAGCTTAGACCTACTGCATGTTCCAAGTAAATATTATTATGAGATAATGTATTGAATACCTATCATTCTTAAGGTGCCTGTTAGATATGGACTTTTTAATTCCTTATGGCATCTTATTTTTGAACTTCAAGTGTCAGAAAAGTAAGTGTTGAGACTTCATGCTAGAAAGAATGAATTATGAAAAAACATGATCTGGTTTTGGACAACTGACATTGGCCTAATAAATCTAACCAATGGGGTTAACTTTTCCCAGTCAATATATATATTTTGGAATATACTGTACTGCACCTGGATAAACAAAATTTGAAGTAGTTGCTTATTAAATAGAGCTGATTTTCTTCTCTAAAGGCATACCGCATCTCTGATTTTCATAGTCTTCTTCTCAGAGAAGCATTATTCATTTTCATAGGAAGAAGGATATGAGGCTAGGAATGTTTATTGAGACTTGATTAAATGCCAGTCTAAGAAGTTTACTTTTAAAGAACTGGTTATTAAATCCTGGAGGTGTCTCCTTGCACTTCACCTCTGATTTGAGTATTGTAGTAGATAGGTATAGGGTTGGATTTCATACTTCTGATAGCAAATAAACTTTTTATTATTCTTTTAAAAATATGTTTACTCTACTGGCAGTTTCCCTAATACTTTTGTTAGCCACCAGAGCTTTAACTCAAGACAATTTAGAAAATGAGCACTCTCCACATTGCTCTGTAAAGACAGGGAGAATGAAGCCAAGAGCCAATTGTACAGACATTGTGTTCTGCCCATAAATGCTCAGTAAATATCGTGAAATAAATAGTATCTTCGTTTACATTCCTATTATTTTCTCTAAGAAGTTTGAGTTAAATAGATTATTTACCAGAAAAGTTCTCCCCTCTAAACTCAACAATATTGTTCTTTGATACTGAGAGAGCACAAACATTTTCATAATCTCCTGAGTTCTGTAGCCTATGCAGGCTGATTCTTGGGAGAACTCCAGAATTGAGTCAGTTCTTAAAGGGAAAGGGGGGAAAAAGGCATGTAATGGCCTTTACATTTGGAGAAAAAAAGTGCTTGTGTAGAAAGTGAGGGAAGTGAGAGAAGTTAAAAAACATGCATTGATAAATATAATTGAGGAGCTGACTGATTTGTCAGTGGTCTGCATCTTTTAAAGAATATGGCATTTCCTGTTGTGGGTCTTATGCTACTTTCAGGCAAAGCCAAAAAATGAAAGCAAGACATAGAGTGAGATGCTCCCACACCACAAACACACCCCGTCAACCCTCTACAAATAAAACAAAAGGAAGGACTCTTGCTTCATTTTTTATTTTCTCCCTCTCCATTCATGTACCCCACCACTGAAATTTCTCAGTAACATTTTACCTGAATATTATGTCAATTTTTGAAATCTGATATGGACCATTTGTGGTCTAAGAGAAAATGGGCTTTACCACACTCATTTAGGTCTCCTTTTGTATTTTTAACTAGTTTTATAATGGAGACTTCACCATATAGGTTTAATTAAATACCTATAAATTAGCTCATCTGGTCTCCCAAGGCTGAATAACCTAGTGACTTAAATGTGTCCTATAATTGCAAATGAGATGAGTTTGAATTCTTTTGAGTTTTATTTTTATTATAAATTTCCCTATCTTCTTGTTCTCTTAATATCCAATGGGTAACTATAATTTTTATTTAATTATTATTATCATGTCAATGATGGATCTAATGAAAATATTTAAGTATTTTCCAGGAAGAAAAATACCCACATGATATTAAGTAAAATTTTCAGGAAAGTGTACTGCATTTTTTAATAAACAAGGGACTGCACTTCTTTAGTACTTTATAGCATTTTATTAACTATTGTACAGTATACTTTTCTTTGAATTCTCAGCATGTCTTTACAGTTTTGGGAAACAAAAGCAGGTCCCACAGTAGCAATCCTTTAAAAGGGAAATTTTATTGACTAACATTCATTCAAGATGAGTGTTCCCAGCATGTTAAAATATAATGATGCTTGCTATATACACAGTTGGATGATGCTAAGAGAAGCAAATTTTTACTTGTCTTATTAATCATCCCCTCTTCCTCTGTGGGGTTTCAATTCAGGATAGCTTGCCCATTGATAAAACTAATCGTCTTGTATGGTCAAATTGCAGCTAGAATCATAGAACTGTTGAATTAATCATTTCTACAAGTACAGCACAGTTCTATAAATTCAATTCAAATGTCTGCTGTAAGATCAGAGCAGTATTCACACAGGAGAAAACTCACACTGGGAAAAGTAAAAAATTATTGATGAAGAAGCATTTGTGTGGTGAAAGAAAAAAGATGACCAAAACCTTTATTGTATAACCAGGGAGTTGTAGTCTATCTCCAGCAGGTTATACTTTTCTGACTGAGGGTACTACTTTTTTTTTTTTTATGGAGTCCAGGTGGTTTTTATTGACTTTGATGCTTTTCTATGTCTTTCTAATTTTCTTTTTATTATTATTATTATAATTTAAGTTTTAGGGTACATGTGCACAATGTGCAGGTTTGTTACATATGTATACATGTGCCATGTTGGTGGGCTGCACCCATTAACTCATCATTTAGCATTAGTTATATCTCCTAATGCTATACTACCCCCTCCCCCCACCCCACAACAGTCCACAGTGTGTGATGTTCCCCTTCATGTGTCCATGTGTTCTCTTTGTTCAATTCCCACCTATGAGTGAGAACATGTGGTGTTTGGTTTTTTGTCCTTGTGATAGTTTGCTGAGAATGATGGTTTCCAGCTTCATCCTTGTCCCTACAAAGGACATGAACTCATCATTTTTTATGGCTGCATAGTATTCCATGGTATATATGTGCCACATTTTCTTAATCCAGTCTATCATTGTTGGACATTTGTGTTGGTTCCAAGTCTTTGCTATTGTGAATAGTGCCACAATAAACATACGTGTGCATGTGTCTTTATAGCAGCATGATTTATAATCCTTTGGGTATATACCCAGTAATGGGATGGCCCGGTCAAGTGGTATTTCTAGTTCTGGATCCCTGAGGAATCGCCACACCAACTTCCACAATGGTTGAACTAGTTTACAGTCCCACCAACAGTGTAAAACTGTTCCTATTTCTCCACATCCTCTCCAGCACCTGTTGTTTCCTGACTTTTTAATGATCACTATTCTAACTGGTGTGAGATGGTATCTCATTGCGGTTTTGATTTGCATTTCTGTGATGGCCAGTGATGGTGAGCATTTTTTCATGTGTCTGTTGGCTGCATAAATGTCTTCTTTTGAGAAGTGTCTGTTCATATCCTTTGCCCACTTTTTGATGTGGTTGTTTTTTTATTGTAAATTTGTTTGAGTTCATTGTAGATTCTGGATATTAGCCCTTTGTCAGATGAGTAGGTTACGAAAATTTTGTCCCATTCTGTAGGTTGCCTGTTCACTCTGATGGTGATTTCTTTTGCTGTGCAGAAGCTCTTTAGTTTAATTAGATCCCATTTGTCAATTTTGGCTTTTGTTGCCATTGCTTTTGGTGTTTTCATCATGAAGTCCTTGCCCGTGCCTATGGCCTGGATGGTATTGCCTAGGTTTTCTTCTAGGGTTTTTATGGTTTTGGGTCTAACATGTAAGTCTTTAATCCATCTTGAATTAATTTTTGTATAAGGTGCAAGGAAGGGATCCACTTTCAGCTTTCTACATATGGCTAGCCAGTTTTCCCAGCACCATTTATTAAATAGGGAATCCTTTCCCCATTGCTTGTTTTTGTCAGGTTTGTCAAATATCAGATGGTTGTAGATATGCGGCATTATTTCTGAGGGCTCTGTTCTGTGCCATTGGTCTATATCTCTGTTTTGGTACCAGTACCATGCTGTTTTGGTGACTGTAGCCTTTTAGTACAGTTTGAAGTCAGGTAGCATGATGCCTCCAGCTTTGTTCTTTTGGCTTAGGATTGACTTGGCAATGCTGGCTCTTTTTAGGTTCCATATGAACTTTAAAGTAGTTTTTTCCAATTCTGTGAAGAAAGTGATTGATAGCTTGATGGGGATAGCACTGAATCAACAAATTACCTTGAGCAGTAAGGCCATTTTCACGATATTGATTCTTCCTACACATGAGCATGGAATGTTCTTCCATTTGTGTGTATCCTCTTTTATTTCATTGAGCAGTGGTTTGTAGTTCTCCTTGAAGAGGTCCTTCACATCCCTTGTAAGTTGGATTCCTAGGTATTTTATTCTCTTTGAAGCAATTGTGAATGGGAGTTCACTCATGATTTGGCTCTCTGTTTGTCTGTTATTGGTGTATAAGAATGTTTCTGATTTTCGTACATTGATTTTGTATCCTAAGACTTTGCTGAAGTTGCTTATCAGCTTAAGGAGATTTTGGGCTGAGACGATGGGGCTTTCTAGATATACAATCATGTCATCTGCAAACAGGGACAATTTGACTTACTCTTTTCCTAATTGAATGCCGTTTATTTCCTTCCACTGCCTGATTGCCCTTGCCAGAGCTTACAACACTATGTTGAATAGGAGTGGTGAGAGAGGGCATCCCTGTCTTGTGCCAGTTTTCAAAGGGAATGCTTCCAGTTTTTGCCCATTCAGTATGATATTGGCTGTGGGTTTGTCATAGATAGCTCTTATTATTTTGAGATATGTCCCATCAATACCTAATTTAATGAGAGTTTTTAGCATGAAGGGTTGTTGAATTTTGCCAAAGGCCTTTTCTGCATCTATTGAGATAATCATGTGGTTTTTGTCTTTGGTTCTGTTTATATGCTGGATTACGTTTATTAATTTGCGTATGTTGAACTAGCCTCGCATCCCAGGGATGAAGCCCACTTGATCATGGTGGATAAGCTTTTTGATGTGTTGTTGGATTCGGTTTGCCAGTATTTTATTGAGGATTTTTGCATCAATGTTCATCAAGGATATTGGTCTAAAATTCTCTTTTTTTGTTATGTCTCTGCCAGGCTTTGGTATCAGGATGATGCTGGCCTCATAAAATGAGTTAGGGAGTATTCCCTCTTTTTCTATTGATTGGAATAGTTTCAGAAGGAATGGTACCAGCTCCTCTTTGTACCTCTGGTAGAATTCGGCTGTGAATCCATCTGGTCCTGGACTTTTTTTGGTTGGTAAGCTATTCATTATTGCCTCAATTTCAGAGCCTGTTATTGGTCTATTCAGAGATTCAACTTCTTCCTGGTTTAGTCTTGGGAGAGTGCATGTGTCGAGGAATTTATCCATTTCTTCTAGATTTTCTAGTTTATTTGTGTAGAGGCGTTTATAGTATTCTCTGATGGTAATTTGTATTTCTGTGGGATCAGTGGTGATATCCCCTTTGTCATTTTTTATTGGGTCTATTTGATTATTCTCTCTTTTCTTCTTTATTAGTCTTGCCAGCGGCCTATCAATTTTGTTGATCTTTTCAAAAAACCAGCTCCTGGATTCATTGATTTTTTGAAGGGTTTTTGTGTCTCTATTTCCTTCAGTTCTGCTCTGATCTTAGTTAGTTATTTCTTGCCTTCTGCTAGCTTTTGAATGTGTTTGCTCTTGCTTCTCTAGTTCTTTTAATTGTGATGTTAGGGTGTCAATTTTTGATCTTTCCTGCTTTCTCTTGTGGGCATTTAGTGCTATAAATTTCCTGACTGAGGGTATTTCTTAGCTCCATCTACATAAAATAGTATAGCCCTTAGATTTGTATATCCAGATCTTAATCGTGCATACCCTGGATAAGCAGGGTAGTGATAAGAGTTCAGTAGTTAGACATGCTTTCAACCATGGCTCTACCACTCAGACAAATTATTTACATCTGTATCAGTCCGTGTTGGCTGCTATAACAAAATACCATAGCCTGAGTGATTTAGAGAAAACAGATATTTATTTCTCATGGTTCTGGAGGCTGGGAAGTCCAAAATCATGGTGTGGTAGATTGTGGTGAGGACCTACTTTCTGGTTCATAGATGGTGCCTTGTCACTGTGTCTTCACAACATAGCAGAAGAGAAAGAGGACTTCTCTGTGGTCTCTTTTTTTTTTTTTTTTTTTTTTTGAGACAGAGTCTTGCTCTGTCACCCAGGCTGGAGTGCAGTGGCATGATTGCAGCTCACTGCAAGCTCCGCCTCCCAGTTTCATGCCATTCTCCTGCCTCAGCCTCCCAAGTAGCTGGTACTACAGGTGCCCGCCACCATGCTTGGCTAATTTTTTGTATTGTTAGTACAGTCAGGTTTTCACTGTGTTAGCCAGGATTGTCTTGATCTCCTGACCTCATGATCCACCCATCTCAGCCTCCTAAAGTGCTGGAATTACAGGCATGAACCACCACACCCGGCCATCTGTGGCCTCTTTTATAAAGGCCCTCATCATATTCATGACAACTCATGACTTAGTCACTCCACCTCCTAATACCATCACATCGGAGATTACGTTCAACATATGAATTCATGGGGGAGGGAGGGACATAGCCACTGCAACCTCCCTTGACCTCAATTTTCCAATCTGTAAATTTAGTATAAATAATGCCCAAATATACACATATTTGGCATATACAAACTTAACTTCTATGTGTGTGGATGTTGTGGTTTGTAAATACATTTTAGATAATTGTATAAAGTCATAAAACATGGGTGGTATAGAATTTGGAGTAGTAATGGGACTGTTCTACTTATTAATTTTGTTGGTAGTTATATAACTGTATGTGTTATATGTCTTAATAAAACAACAGAAACAAATAACATAGACAGGGCAAAAAATAGTGATAGTTCATGAATTATATCCATTATTAATCACTTCAGATGCTGAATGAACTTACAAAGAACTTAATTTTTCTATTTCATTTTCTTCTTAGAGTTAGGTTCTATATTTTACACCTTATAAAAAAATTGGTCTCACTTTCCAGGTGTTAGAGACAGGAGCTATGATTTCATAAATGTTTTTCTGACACTCTCTAATCCTAAAGCAAAATGTGGAGCTTTGTTTATGCTTACTTTTTTTTTTAACCAGCTCCCTATTTTGATCACTAATGTCTAATAATTTAGGAAAATATAACAAGATCTCCATGTAGTCCATGTTCCTTATAAAACTTACTTCATAGGATAGAGTGATAAACACCTTCTGTATAACTGTCAGCGGTTACAAAGTTCTGAGCTGATATGAGATAGAAAAGGAAAAGGGCACTAGCTTGTTCAAACTCTTAGACTTGAGAGAGCAACAGCAGATTTAACTCATGAAACTTCAGCCCCGCTAGCCACAGAAATTGGAGTATAGTGACTAAAACATCTGGGTTCTAGTCCCAACTCCTTCACTTACTGGGTGACCTTGAGTGGACCTCCAACCAATATGGTACCTATTTTATGGAAATTTTTGAGAATCAAATGAGACAATGTATGCAGAAGCATGTTGACATTGAGAAGTCCAATACGTATATAATATACATTAGTAAGTATGAATGTTTGCTGAGCTAAGAGCTACAATTAGAATGCTCTATCATTCTTTACAGTGCCTCATTCCTAAAAATCACTTATTGACGTGCTTTTGAAAGCAATCTGAGGTTTTGACAGGCCAATATGTGACCAGAAATACTAATGTGTCTCCCTTTTCAACTTGTGATAAGAGTTTGAGATGACCACCATCAAACAGAGCTATTATTTTAGTTATTAAAGTTTATGACATCAAAGACTGTAAGTTTATGATTGTGTTCTTTGTTCAGCTCAGAATCTGGGCCAGCATCTACACTGAGCAAGACTAGAGCAACAGAAAGCAGTGGTTTAGACCGGGCTCCTTGGCTGGTAATTTCATTCATTTTCTATAGTAAAGCTTGATGATGTGTTAAAAAATCCAAACATCCAGTTCAAAATACTTTTTCCATTTTTAAACAACATTTTTCATCAGAATGCATTGCAAATAGTTGTATAATGTCCTTAAATAGATTACCTAGTGGTGGTCTACTGACCATGCCCTGAAAACTCACCATCAAAAAGAAGGTCTACACAGAATAGAACTGCTTTTTTGTGGGTAATGGACAAAAGGTAAATGTCATGTATTAGTCCATGCCAGAAGCATTCTCTGGAGGTCTAGTGGTGGGGAAAGGGAAAAATTAATTCCCAAAGCTCATTTCTGGTTGCTAGAGGCTGCTGGACTATAGAGAGTTAAGCTGGGCTGCCTAAGGCTACTGGCGCTCTTCTCTTTTTGAAATATTAATGCCTATCTGGTATCAGCTGAGCCTTTGACAAGAGCTGAAGGGTTGTTGCCACTGAAGCTTGCTGTCTAGGAGATTTGCTGACCTCTAGTGAATCTAAATTCTGCACAGATTTCAGTACATGCTGCCTGCTGTTTCAGCACAATGTTGCAATTTGGTGGTCTGTGCATGCCTGCGTGAGAAGTGAAAATTTGGAATTTGTGTTCATCCACTTGTTGATTTATCTGTATGATTTTATACTGTTTGATTATTCTTTTAACTGAAACTACTTTCACTAAATTCAAATATTTAGTTTTTCTTACTTTTTAATTGAAGCAAAACATACTTCCAGTAAAGCACAGAGTACATTAATTTTGACGTGCAGCTGCACGTGTTTATTTATTTGTTATACTTATGGATTTATGTGTACAAATGCAGTTGTGTTCCACAGATATTTGCATAGTGGTGAAGTCTGGAAGTCTGGGCTTTTAGCGTGCCCATCATCCAAATATCGTACTTGTACACAATAAGTAGTGTTTCATTCCTAACCTCTTCCCATCCTCCTGTATATCTGTCAGCAGTTACAAAGTTCTGAGTCAATATGAGATAGAAAAGGAAAAGGGAACTAGCTTGTTCAAACTCTTAGACTTGAGAGAGCAACAGCAGATTTAACTTGTGAAACTTCAGCTCTGCTAGCCACAGAAATTGGAGTGGGTGTTTTGGAGTCTCCAGTGTCTATTTGCAACGTATCTCCTAGGAGTTCTTTGAGCTTCTTGTATCTGGATGTCTAGATCTCTAGAAAGACCAGGGAAGTTTTCCTGAATTACTCTCTCAAATAGTTTTCCATACTTTTTACTTTTTCTTCTTCTCCCCCTGGAATACGTATAACTCGTAGGTTTAGATACTACATAATCCCATATTTCTCAAAGGCTTTGTTCATTAAATTTTTTTTTTATCTGACTGGGTTAATTTGAAAGACCTTTCTTCCTGCTCTGAAATTATTTATTCTGCTTGGTCAAGTGTATTGTTGAAGCTTCCAACTGTATTTTATAATTCCTTTATTAAATTTTTCATTTCTGGAAGTTCTGTTTAAATTTTTAAAATAATCTCTCTCTTATTTTATATTGTGTATTTTTTTTCTGATTTCTTTACATTTGTTTTCAACTTTCTCTTGGATCTCATTGAGCGTCATTAAAATCAATATTTTTAATTCTTTATTTGATATTTTTAAGATTTCAATTTTGTTAGAATCCACTGCTGGAGAGTTAGTATGATCCTTTTGGGGTGTTGTAACTTTTTTTCATACTTCTAGAATTGTTTGTCTGGTTCTTTTTCATCTGGATAAGCCATCTCTCCTTTTGTAAAAAAAAAAAAAAAATTACTTTCATTTGGATGGGATTTTCCCACTTGGGATGTGACTATAATGTGTATGATGTATGGTCCCTAGGCTTTGGTTCTGGATGTTTTCAGTGGCCAAGACTCTATAAATTCCTTGGTTATAGATAGCCTTTGTATGGTGGCATTCCCAAACGCTGGTTGTAGCAGTGATATACTGGGCATGTGAGTGGGCTCACTGCCTCCTGTGGGCCCAGCATGACAGAGGTCTCAGGAAGTTTATCTCATTCCCTAGTGCTACGCACTTATGTCAGTGGATTTTCTATTGGGTTACACAGTTCAACCTCCAGGCCAGTATACAGTGCTTATGGATAAAAGCCAGATGCATCTGATACAGATGGGTATATGCTTGATCTTTGTTTACTGTGAGAAGCTCTCTGTTTCCTCAGGCAGTAAGATGTCCTGTGGAATATCTGAGCTACCTGCTCAGACCTACAGGGAGTCTGGGAGGACCAAGCTGGACAGGGGTGCACTGGGCAGCCATGCCTACATTTCCCCAGTGACAAGCATAAGCACGAGATCCAAGTTGGAGACTGGGGGCAGTTGCCGAGCACCCAGAGATGTGCTGGGGTATGAAGTGGAGAAACTTCTGCTGTTGCACGTTCTCTGCTGGAAGGGAGGACTAGCATCAATTCCTAACCTAGAAGAGTGGGTGCTCCAAATGCCTGGAGATACTACTAGGCATCAAGTGGCAACACCAAGATCTCTGCATCTGAGGGGACAGGAAGCTTAGGCTCCTAATCTAGGTAAACGAATGCACCAAATGCCTGGAAATATTCCTGGGCATGGAGCAGACAGGGCACTGCTGCACCAAGATCTCTGCACAGAAAGGGAGGGGTGACTCAAGTTGCTCATCCACACAAGCAGTTGCACCAAATGTCTGGAAGTACGTTGCCCAGAGAACAGCAGAGTAGCCACTGCAGAGCAGAGTTACCACCATTGCAACAGGGTCTTTGTAGCGGAAGTGAAGGGCAGTTCAGGCCCCTATTCCTGGCAGTGAGTGCACCTAATGCCTGGAAATATGCCCAGGTGGTGAGTGGAGGGGGCACCATTGCATCTGGTTCTTGTAAGAGAAGGGAAGTGTGGCCCTTGCTCCCAATCCAGGCTAGCCAGAGTGGGGTCTGCCTTGCTCCTGCTCCTTGCAACTGGAACACTCCTTGGAACACTACCCTAACTGACTGAAGGAGCAAGCTGAGGCACCCAGCAATGACATATGCAGATCAGTTCTATGCCATAAGGCTGCTCCTGGTTGCAAATCACACTGCCCAGGAGAAATTACAGCTTCAGCAACTCTCCTCTTGCTCCAGTTCAGTGACAGGAAACAGCCCAATTCCAATGCCTATGTCTATGGCACACTCCACACTTATTGCTCAATTCTGGCTGTAGGAGCCCTTTCTCACTCCAAGTCAAGTGCTCCAATCTCCAGCTGGAGACATATGCCTGTGGCAGCTGCTGCTACAACAAAGTCACCAAACAATGACTGACTTTGTATGAACCCAGATTGAAAATGGGTGTCCTCTGTGAACAGACATGTCTCAAAAGAAGACATACAAGTGACCAAAATCATAGGAAAAAATGCTTATCGCTAATCATCAGAGAGATGCAAATCAAAACCACAATAAGATACTGTCTTATATCAGCCAGGATGGCTATTATTAGGAAGTAAAAAAATAACAAATATTGGTGAGGTTGCAGAGAAAAGGGAACAGTTATACACCGTTGGTGGAAATACATATTAGCTCAGCCCCTGTGCAAAGCAGTTTGAAGATTTTTCGAAGAAGTAAAGATAAAATTACTATTTGACCAAGCAATCTCATTACTGCATATATACCCAAAGGAAAATAAATTATTCTACCAAAAAGACACCTGCATTCATTTATTGCAGCACTATGCACAATAACAAAGACATGGAATCAACTCAGGTACCCGTCAATGGTGGATTGAATAAAGAAAGTGATACATATACACTATGGAATATTATGCAGCCATAAGAAACAAAAACATCATGTCATTTGCAACAACATGAATACAGCTGGAGGCCATTATTCTAAATGAATTAATGTAGAAACAGAAAACCAAATACCACATGTTCTCACTTATAAGTGGCACTTATAAGTGGGAGCTGAACGTTGAGTACACACAGACACAAAGATGAGAACAACAGACACTGGGGATTCCAAGAGAGGAGGGAAAGACGGGGGCAAGGGTGGAAAAACTACTTATCAGATATTATGCTCACTACCTGGATGATGCGACCGTTAGAAACTCAAAGCTTAGCATTACTCAAAATACCCTTGTAAGAATTCTGCATCCCCTGAATCTAAAATTTAAAAAGAGGGAAAAAAAGAAAACATCTTTATCTCCCAACCTCTCTGCCCATTAGCTCCAGGACTTGGGAGAAACACGGAGTTCCCCTGTGGTCTCTGTTGCGTAGCCATACAAATGTTAGAATGGATTTTTTTTTCTGTTTCTACAAAAAACATCATTGGGACTTTGAGAGGGGTTGCACTGAATCCATAGATCACTTTGGGTTGTATAGACATCTTAACAATAATAAATTTTCTGAAACAAAAACATGAAATATCTTTTCATTTATTTGTGTGTTATTTAACTTTATTTCAACAATATTTTATTGTTTTGCTGTACTTTTGTCTCCTGAGTTAATTTTGCTTCAAAGTATTTTTTGATGTTATTATAAATGGAATTGGTTTTTTAATTTCCTTTTTGAGTTGTTCATTGTTAGTGTACAGATGTGTAACTGACTTGTGTGTCTTAACTTTGTATTTTGGAACTTTACTGAACTTTTAAATTGCTTCTGACAGTTTTTTTTTTTTGCATGCATGCATGCATGCATGGATGCTTTAGGGTCTTCTACATATAAGATCGTGTCATCTGTGAACACAGATAATTTCCTTTCCCTCCAGTTGGATGCATTTTATTTCTTTTTCTTGTCTAGTCATTCTTGCCAAGACATCCAGTACCATGTTGAATAGAAATAATAAAAGTGGAAGTTCTTGCCCTGTTCCTGATCTTAGAGGATAAGTTTTCGGCCTTTCACCATTGACCATGATGTTGGCGATGGGGTTTTCACACTTGGCTTTTATTATGTTTCTTTTTATAGAAACAAGTTTTTTTTTTCTATTCCTAGTTTGTTGAGTGGTTTTTTTAATATCATGGAAGGGTGTTGAATGTTTTCAAATGCTTTTCTGCATCGAGATAATTATTTACTTTAATTCTTTATTTTGTTAATGTGGTGTATTACTTTGGTAGGTTTTCATATTTTGAACCACTAACTCTGCTTTTTATTACTTAATGATTTTAAGCAAATTCTTTAATTTAAATTTTAGTTTCCTTAGCTGTAAAATTCAGCCAATACTAACATGTACTTCTACTATTGAGAATATAAAATAAATAATGCATATATTGCACTTAGTACTGTGCCTAGAACATTCATGTTCAAAAATGGTAGCTATTAGTATCATCACCAAAATTATAATCATCATAATCTGATATTTTTCACTAAAGCTACCAGTAAGCAATAAATTTATTGAAATCAGACACATAAAGAAGAGTATAAATACACTCTAAAAATGCACTTAAAACGTCTATTGTTAACATTAACTGGAAAAAAAGAATAATTTATACTTAACCCCTCAACCACAGAACCTGCTGAGCCCATAACTAAAAGAACATAATGTGTTAGTTTATCTGTCCCTTTGCTCCAAACCTTACACTTTGACTTTCCCCAGAGTCATCTGCAGTCCCATTCATGAAGGCAGGATAGAAAAGAAGATATTGTTAAAGAAGAAAAGTAGAGGAGGAATAGGAGTGAGAATAGAGGGTAGAAGTCATGGAGTACAGGAGAGCAATTCACTTGCTGATGTATCAGGCTACTGTTGTTAGCCACAGTAAGAGGAGATAGAAAGCTTCAACACCTGCCATTTATCCCCAGCCCCTGCCAGCCCCAACATACCCAGTGTGCATCCTTCCCCATTTCTGTGATGTTTACCTATCTCGACTCTTTTCTTTTCTGGCTGGGGTGAGCAAAAATGATGCAAAGAACAGAAGATAGGTCATTCTGGCAGAGAAGTTAAACTATTGGCTAAGTTCAATAGGTTTTTAGGAGTAGATAGTGATTATTCCTCCTTCTCATCACCTGACTAAAATAAATTAGACTCTTATAAGATGAGTCAGGTTTTCATAAAATTTTTGAAACTGGCCTAATAACCTTCAGACTAGCTCATGGGAAACATTTTCTTATTTTACATTGCCTTTAACTCTGCCTTTCTACCATCTCCTTCAAAGCCATTCAACTTTCATTCAACAGCTATTGACCAAGGATAGAGCAGTAACCAGCTCAAGTCCTTGCTCTCATAAAATTCACATTCCAGTAGGGGAAACAGACAATAAACATAAAAAAAATGATCTTGCAATGGCAAGGTTATTTATGACATAAGCCACAAAGGAAGGAACATTTGAGTAGAGATTTAAACAAAGTGAGAAGCATGCCACATTCTTGGGATGTGGATTCCCTGCATAGGGTATGGCAATGATTTCACATTCTTCTTCCAAAAATAAATATTCTGAAGAGTGACAATTTTTCTGCAATATCAAATAATCTGGTTTCTAAGCCACTGTGCAAGGAAAGTAAGGCAGCACATTTTGTTTCTCATCGTCTTCTGGAACAGCAAAAGTCAGATTTTGTAAGAGACCTATGGCAGGAAAGACTTATTAAGCACCTAAAGTACAACCTCCAGACCCACACTTTTGTCGTGTGCTGTTGAGATGTAACAAAAAATCTTAATTAAAACATGCCTCATTTGTTGACAGTCAAGCTCCCTGTTCACATTGCCAGCTAAAGTTCAGATCCAATCAGGTTCCTGGTTCATTTACAAGTTGATATTTTCCCTTAGCCAGATAGTTTTAAATGTATAGTTATCCAGTAGCCATTCCTACTTAGTTAAAGGGAAAATTGAATGCTCAGCTAGGTAACCTTTTGCCATGGCATAAAATCAGAGAGATGAAGGTAATGCAGGGGAATCAGAATGTATGATATCAGGTCTAAAAAGCAAAATAATTAAAATAGGGAAACCACAGTTTCAAGAGGGACTAATTGTCATATCATAGACTGTGGTCATTCAGGCAGTTGGTGAAAGTTTTTCAAGAGAACTTGCAAATAAATAAAATTAACAAGGCAACAGTAAAAATTTTTAACTCCTGGAATAACCTTTTCCCTCCTCTTCAAGATGCTTTAAAATTTGTGAGGCTGCCTCTCTTTCTTTGCTAGAAAATCAGGGACAGTTTCCTCTTCCCCCAAGCTAAGTTTCTCAATGGTACAGTCTAGAAAAATGGGCAGATCTGCCTAATTAATTAATGACTGGAAAACACTTTGAAAATATCATTATCAAAGAAACTATTTCAGTGAAAGGCTCATTAAATTATATATTTATAGTCAAGTAAGATGAAAAGGATGATGATCAGAAGTGATACAGTAGTTAATCAGAAAGACTGAATGGGCTGGGCATGGTGGCTCACGCCTGTAATCCCAGTACTTTGGGAGGCTGAGGCAGGTGTATCACGAGGTCAGGAGATCGAGACCATCCTGGCTAACACAGCGAAACCCCGTCTCTACTAAAAATCAAAAAAAAAAAAAATTATCCGGGCGTGGTAGCGGATGCCTGTAGTCCCAGCTACTCGAGAGGCTGAGGCAGGAGAATGGCGTGAACCCAGGAGGCAGAGGTTGCAGTGAGCCGAGATTGCACCACTGCACTACAGCCTGGGTGACAGAGTGAGACTCCATCTCAAAAAAATTAAAAAAAAAAAAGAAAAAGAAAGATTGTGAATGATTTCTTTCCCACAATAGCAGTTACTGTCAACAAACACACTCAGATCATTTCCTGAAAGGAGGTTCTGAGCAGCTCTACAGCAGTGAGCTGAGTCTTTTTTTCATTATATTGTTCTTTCACAATACATTAAAATAAGTCTCACTTATAGGTAGAAATTTCATTGTGTGACATAACAATGATGGATACCATTTGCTGAGCACTGAGCTATTTTCCATGTATGTTTTCTCTACAGCCCACAGTAACACTTTGAGGTAGATATTGTTCCTGGGAAATATAACTGATAGTGACCATCCACAGCTACTAAGTCTTGAAACGAAAGTTCAAGTCCAGTTCTGTTTAACACCAATATCTATTCCTCCAACCACAATAGACTGTATTGCCCCAAGAGTTCTCATTTTCCTACTTTTTCTTCCCCTAACATTTTCCATTTATATTTACAGACCAGGAACAATATAAAGGATATCTCCTAAGTGTTGGACATTTCATTTTAGTATCATTCCAAGTGCTGCTATGCAATCTAGAGACTATTCTGTACAATTCACATTGCTTTTCTAACATGTTTTGCTTCAGAATTCAATAGTGCATAGAATATTGTGTTACAGAATTAATACATTTCCCTCTGAGGCATAGTGTTATTGAGACACTGAGTACTGTGAAAAAATCAAAAGCTATTAAAACTGACGGTTTGAGAAAGTACAAAAGATGAATGGTATATGTATTCCTTTTGTATCTAACTGATCCATTAGTATTTTCTTTATCTAATTCACAGACAATTACTTGGTACTTTCACCAGTTGGTCTGGGCTCATGGTCATCATTAGATGGAGTCCAAATAGACAACTTACTATGTGGTAGCACCAAAGTCTATAATTGCCAAGGTTCTATCTAATCCAAAATTACTCTTCCATTCTTCTAGGGAAATAGTTGGAATTTTTCACTTCTTGCCTTGAGTTCAGTTCTTATCATCAGGACATTCATTTGCAGGTTCACCCATGAAGCATTAGGACCAATCAATCTTTAGGCAGAAGTCAATTAGTAGAACGCAGTAGAGTTCGTGGCAGTGTGACACAAAGGGCCGGGACTCTTGTGCTCCTTTTGAAGCTTACATTACAACACTGGGGAGATAGACAATCAATAAACAAACAAAAATAAATTAGTAAAATGTGTAGTGTTTCGGAGTGATACATGCTGTGTTAGTTTCCTAGGGCTCCATAACAAAGTACCACAAACTGGGTAGCTTAAAACAATAAAAAATTAGAAGTCTGAAATCAAGCTGTCAGCAGATCTATGCTCTCTCTGGAGCTCTGAGTAGAATTCTTTCTTGCTTCTTCATAGCTTCTGGCAGTGACCCTCACTCCTGGCTGTCTTTTGCTTGCAGCTGCATCTTTCCAATCTCTTCTTCTGTCATCACATATATTCTCTCTGTGTATCTCCATCTTCACTTGGTATTTCCCTCTTGTTGCAAAGACATAGTCATATTGGATTAGGGCTCACCCTAATAACATAATCTTAACTTGATTAAATCTACAAAGCCTGTATTTCCAAATAAGATCACCTTCACAAGTACCTCAGGTTAAGACTTTAACATATCCTTTCGAGAGACACAACTCTACCTATACCACACACTATGAGAAAAATTAAGCAGGAAAACTCAAGAGGATATGTGTGTAGGTAGGAGGTGGAGGTCAGAAGTAGTATAAATAGAGTAGCTGAAAGAAGACTGACTGAAAATAATACATTTGCACGAAGACCCGAAGATGAAGGAGCCAGTGGATGGTTGGACAAGAGTAGACGCAAAGGTTCATAGAATATACCATACGTGTTCAAAGAACAGCAAATGAGCTGGTATAGCTGAACCAGAGTGCAAAAAAGGGTGAAATATTAGGAGACAAGTTCTGAGAAGTAACAAGAGAGCCAGATTGTAGAGACTTCAGTTTTTATTCCAAGTGAGATGGGAAGCCCTTGGAGGGTTTTGACCGGAGGATGACATGACCTCACTTACATCTTAACAAGACCTCTCTGGCAACTATTGAAATTAGAATATAGGAGAGAAGGGTGGAAGCAGGGATTCTGCTTAAAAGACTATTGAAATAATCCTGATGAAAGATAATGGTGGTTTGACAGTTGATATAATGATTAGTGGTCCATGTCCGATTTTTCTTTTTTAGTTTTTAAAGACAAGGTCATGCTCTGTTGCCCAGGCTGGAGTACAGTGGCAAGATCATGGCTCACTGCAACCTCAACCTCCCAGGCTGAGATCCTGCTATCTCAGCCTCCTGAGTAGCTAGGACTACAGGCAAAGACCAACACACCTGGCTAAATTATTTATTTAACTTTTTGTAGAGCTAGGGGTTTCACTTTGTTGCCCAGGCTAGTCTCAAACTCCTGGCTTCAAGCGATCTGCCCAGCTTGGCCTCCTAAAATTCTGGAATTATAGGCAAGATCCACTGCACCTCACCTCTGGATATTTTTTGAAGGTACAGATGATGAAACGTGTTGACAGATTTTTGTTGTGGGGTGTGAAAAAAAAACAGATGAGTCAACAATGAAACAAGATTTTGGGTACAGTAAATGAAAGAAGACAGTTGCCAATAACCTAGACATATAGAATATGGAAATAGCTGATACTAGAGAGAAAACCAAGAAATCAGTGGACATACTAAGTTTCAGATGTTTTATTTGTATACACAAATTGAGATGTTCAGTATAGAGTTAACTGTAAGAGTCTGTATGAGTGAGAACAAACATGCATACTCCATATCTCATCTTGGCAGGTGCACTGCCAAACTACCCTATGTTGTTGTGTGAACAGAAACCTGAACAAAAGTCTAGGCAATTTGTTTCTAAAAACATTCCATAGATTAAGAAAATGTGGCACATACACACCACAGAATACTATGCAGCCATAAAAAACGATGAGTTCATGTCCTTTGTAGGGACATGGATGAAGCTGGAAACCATCATTCTCAGCAAACTGTCGCAAGGACAAAAAACCAAACACCACATGTTCTCACTCATAGGTGGGAACTGAACAATGAGAACACATGGTCACAGGAAGGGGAACATCACACACCGGGGCCTGTTGTGGGGTGGGGGGAGGGGGGAGGGATAGCATTAGGAGATGTACCTAACGTTAAACGACGAGTTAATGGGTGCAGCACAGCAACATGGCACATGTATACATATGTAACTAACCTGCACGTTGTACACACGTACCCTAAAACTTAAAGTATAATAAAAAATTAAAATTAAAATTAAAATTAAAAAAAAAAATTCCATGGACACGGATAAGGGAAAATCAGTATTGATAAAATGGCCATACTACCCAAAGCAATTTACAGACTTAATGCTATTCCTATGAAACTGCTAATGACATTATTGACAGAACTAGAAAAAACTATTTTAAAATTCATATGGAACCAAAAAAGAGCCAGAATCGCTAAAGCAATCCTAAGCAAAAAGAACAAAACTGGAGGCATCATGTGACCTGA
Organism: Homo sapiens; assembly: GCF_000001405.40. NCBI lineage: Eukaryota > Metazoa > Chordata > Mammalia > Primates > Hominidae > Homo > Homo sapiens. The sequence continues at coordinate 41,550,337 of NC_000005.10, forward strand.
CTTCAAACTATACTACAGAGCTACAGTAACCAAAACAGCATGGTACTGCTACACAAACAAACACATAGATCAATGGAACAAAATAGAGGACCCTGAAATAAGGTCGCACACCTACAACCATCTGATTTTTGACAAATCTGACAAAAACAAGCAATGGGGAAGGGACTCTATATTCAATAAATGTTACTGGGATAACTGGCTGGATGTATGCAGAAGATTAAAACTGGACTCCTTCCTTACACCATATACAAAATCAACTCAAGTTGGATTGAAGACTTAAACATAAAGCCCAAAACTATAAAAACCCTGGAAGACAACCTAGGTAATGCCGTTCTGTACATAAGAACTAGCAAAGATTTCATTACAAAGAAGCTGAAGGCAATTGTAACAAAAATAAAAATTGACAAATGGTACTTAGTTAAACTAAAGACCTTCTGCACAGCAAAATAAACTATCAAAAGAGGAAACAAACAACCTGAAAAATGGGAGAAAAAATTTGAAAGCTATGCATCTGACAAAGGTCTAATATCAAGAATTTATAAGAAACTTAAATCAATGAGCAAAAACCAAACAACCCTATTAAAAAATGGGCAAAGGACATGGACAGACACTTTTCAAGAGGAGACATACATGTGGCCAACAAGCATATAAAAAAAAAGTTCAACATCACTATTCATTAGAGAAATGCAAACCAAGACCACAATGAGATACCATCTCATGCAGTCAGAATGGCTATTATTAAAAAGTCAAAAAAACAAACAAACAGATGATGGTGAGGTTGTAGAAAAAAAGAGAATGCTCAAACACTGCTGGTGGGAATATAAACTAGTCAGCTACTGTGGAAAACAGTTTGGAGATTTCTTAAAGAACTTAAAACGGAAGTACCATTCAGCCCAACAATCCCATTAATCAGTATATATCCAAAGGAATATAAATTATTCTACTATGAAAACATATGCACATATACATTCATCACAGCACTATGTACAATAGCAAAGCCATGGAATTGACCTAAATGCCCATCATCTAGTTGCAGCAACATGGATAGTGGTGAGAGTAAGAAACAAAGGGCATTCAAATAGGAAGAGAGAAGTCAAAGTATCACTGTTTGCCAATGATATAATTTTTTTCAGATGGAGTCTCACTCTATTGCCCAGACTGGAGTGCAGTGATGCAATCTCGGCTCACTGCAACCTCTGCCTCCCGGTTCAGGTGATTCTCCTGCCTCAGCCCCCTGAGTAACTGGCACTACAGGCACATGCCACTACACCTTGCTAGTTTTTGTATTTTTAGTAGACACGGGGTTTTGCCATGTTGGACAGGCTGGTCTTGAACTCCTGACCTCAGGTGATCCACCTGCCTCAGGCTCCCAAAATGTTGAGATTACAGGCATGACCCGCCATGCCCGGATGATGACATGAGTCTATATGTAGAAAACCCCAGAGTCTTGGCCCAAAAGCTTCTTCAGCTGATCAACAACTTCAGCGAAGTCTCAGTGTACAAAATCAATGTGCAAAAATCACTAGCATTTGTATACACCAACAACAGCCAAGCCAAGACCCAAATCAGGAATACAATTCCATTCACTGTTGCCACAAAAAGAATAAAACAGCTAGGAATAGAGCTATCCCAGGAAGAGAAATATGTTTACAATCAGAATTACAAAACACTGCTCAAAGAAATCAGAGATAACACAAACAGAAAATCATTTCATGTTCTTGGATAGGAAGAATCAATATCATTAAAATGACCATACTGCCCAAAGCAATTTACAGATTCAATGCTATTTATATCACACTACCAATGACATTCTTCACAGAACTAAAATAAACTATTGTAAAATTCATATGGAACCAAAAAAGAGCTTGAACAGCCAATGCAATCCTAAGCAAAAAGAACAAAGCTAGAGGCATCATGCTACCCAACTTCAAACAATACTACAGGGCTACAGTAACCAAAACAGCATGATACTTGTACAAAAATAGAAACATAGGCCAATGCAACACAATAAAGAGCTCACAAATAAGGCTGCACACCAACAACCATCTGATCTTCGACAAAGCTGACAGAAACAAGCAAGGGGAAAAGGACTTCCTATTCAATAAATGTTGCTGGGATAATTGGCTAGCCATATGCAGAAGATTGAAACTGGACCCCTTTCTTACATCATATACAAAAGTCAACCCAAGATGGATTAGAGACTTAAATATAAAAGCCAAAACTATAAAAACCCTGGAAGACAACCTAGGCAATACCATTCTGGACATAGGAACAGGCAAAGATTTCATGCCGAGGACACCAAAAGCAAAAATTGATAAATGGGATCTAATTAAACTAAAAAGCATCTGCATTGCAAAATAAACTATCAACAGAGGAAACATACAACATACAGAATGGGAGGAAATATTTGCAAACTATATATCTGACAAAGGTTTAGTATCTAGCATCTATAAGGAACTTAAATTTACAGATAAAAACAGTCTCTTTAAAAAGTGGGCATAGGACATGAATAGACACTTTTCAAAAGAAGACATACATACAAGAAAAGCTCAATACCACTAATCATTAGAGACATGCAAATCAAAATCACAATGAGATACCATCTCACACTACTCAGAATCGCTATTATTAAAAAGTAAATATATATATATATAAAGTAAATATATGTATATATTATATATCTATATATAAAACAAATCCTGGCGAGGTTGTGAAGGAAAAGGAATGCTTATACACTGCTTGTGGCTAGTTCAACCATTGTGGAAAGCAACGTGATGATTCTTCAAAAAGCTAAAAACAGAGGTATCATTTGAGCCAGTAATCCCTTTACTGGGCATATACCCAAAAGAATATAAATCATTCTACCATAAAGACATATGCACACGTATGTTCATTGAAACACTATTCACAATAGCAAACAAATGGAATCAACCTAAACGCCTATCAATGGCAGACTGGAAAATGAAACTGGTACATATGTACCATAGAATACTATGCAGTTACAAAAAAGAATGAGATCATGCCCTTTGTGAGGACATGGAAGGAGTTGGAGGCCATTATCCTTAGCAAACTAATTCAGGAATAGAAAACCAGATATCACATGTTCTCACTTATAAGTAGGAGCTAAATGATAAGAACACATGGACACAAAGAGGGGAATAACAGATGGGCCTACCTGAAGATGAAGGGTGGGAGGAGGGAAAGGATCAGAAAAAATAACTATTAGGTAGTAGGTGACAAAATAATCTGTGCAACGAATGCCTGTGACACAAGTTTACTATATAACAAACCTGCACATGTACCCTTGAACCACATGGACACAAAAAGGGGAACCACAGATGGGCCTACCTGAAAGTGGAGGGTGGGAGGAGGGAAAGGATCAGAAAAAATAACTATTAGGTACTAGGTGACAAAATAATCTGTGCAACGAACACCTGTGACACAAGTTTAGTATATAATAAACCTGCACATGTACCCCTAGACCTGAAATTAAAGTTAAAAAAGAAGTTGGAAGGAAAATAAAATCAGCAGAAAATTTAAATGGTTGATTTTTTTAGAGTACAGAGAATATGTGGGGATGCAGGGGGAGTGGCTATTAAATGTCTGGTACCGTTAAAAAATTATAAAAATAAAAATTTATTTAAAAAGAGAAAATATTCCAGTAGAAAGGATGAATAATTATAGTATTTTCTCATGATGCAAATTTGGCTTCTATTCATTTATTTAATAAAAAGGTATTTATTGTATAGTTTGGCAGTTTGTAGAACTATATATTAAAAGGAACCCCAAAGGGTGAGAAACCAAATTAACAAACCTAACATGAATGATATATCCTGAATATATGTCCCCACCAAATCTGACGTTGAATTGTAATCCCCAGAATTAGAGGTGGGGCCTGTTGGGAGTTGTTTGGATCGGGGGGAAGAACTCTCATGAATGGCTTAGCACCATCCCCTTGGTGATGAGTGAGTTCATGCAAGATCTGGTCATTCAAAAGTGTGTGACACCTACCATTCTCTCTCTCTTTTGCTTCTGTTCTGGCCCTGTGATAAGCCTGCTCCCGGTTCACCTTATGATATGAGTAAAAGCTCCCAGAGGCCTCCTTAGAAGCTGAGCAGATGCCAGTGCCATGCTTGTATGGCCTGCAGAAGCATGAGCCAATTAAACCTCCTTTGTTTATAAATTACCCAGTCTCAGTTATCCCTTTATAGCAATGCAAGGATGGCCTACTGCAATGAAGGCCATTCTTCCATTGCTATATGTATACCTTATTAGAATAAGAAGCTATAGATAAGATAACTAGCCAGAAGACAGAAGCAGATAAGCCCACGTACTCATAGAGGAGGGAGGAAGTCTGGTTTCACAGTGAGTGATGGTATAAAGCCCACCTTCATCCATTCCAAGGCAGAAGACTGCCATGGTGTCTGGCAGAGAAGGGCCCATGAAACACCTGGAAAAAACCTGATGAGGGACATGTTCTTAGTTTGGGACTGAGTGTAGGGTGTTCTATCCAACTTTGCCTGGGCTCAAGGAGCAGCAGCTTTCTCAACAAAAGGAGATGTGTTTACCAACACATACTCTTCAGCAAGATTAACTGTTCTGCAGGGAATGCATAGCACTGATGATCACATTCCTCATTCTTCCAGGAAATAGGGCTAAAAGTATATGTGTGTAGGACTGTGAGGTGAAGCTGAAATTCAAGCACTGACCCCAGAAAAAAAAACTTCAGTGGATTAGCAGGGTTCCCTCCATACTGTCATTGTTTCTTTCCCGGGATGATGATCTAGAACCAAGGTTGGAGTCCTGAAGCATTTTCAACCACTGGCTTCTGCTCCTTTTCTCTCCATTCAATCTCCATTCTCATACCAAGGAGACAAGAAAGTCATTCAGTATGGATAAACATCTCCTCTAGAATACATTTCTGGGTTGTTAAGAGAAGTTATGAAGCTTTAAGTGACTTTGAAAAAATGCAAAATATTATACAGATCTTAGTTAATTTTTCCACTTCACAGCTTAATAGAAGGTTTTTCCTTCTCTTTTAAATTGGTCATGGAGTCAGTCTGTAAAAAGTTCACTGATCATTTTATAGAGAAATAGGAGAGCAAACTGGTTAATGACTCGCTCACGGTCTTACACAGAGATAAGGGTAGAATCGAAGTCTCTTGATTTCTGAACCACTTTTTTGTGCCCTACTCAATATTTGGCTGCCAATATTATAATTGCTAATATCTCCATAACACTGGAGCATCAGCTTATACCTGTACGAGAAGCTTCAGTGGTCTTCTGCCTCCAGGCAAATTGCTATCAAATCTTCTTAAGATCTTAAAATCTTTATAGAGGCTCTGAAAGAAAGGTAACCTGATATAATGGAATGGCCACAAATTTCAGTCAGGCAGCTATTTAGAATCCAAGCTGTCACTCACTAACTCTGTGTCTCAGAGCAAATAACTAAGCTTCTGGGATCCTCAGTTTTTTATTTATAAAATGAGGATAGTAATACACCAAAGACTTGGATTTCTTAAATTAACATTATTTCTAATTGAAACATTAAAATTGAATATATTTAATGGGATACTATTTGATATTTTGCTATATGTATACACTGTGTAATGATTCAATGAAGCCAGTTAACATATCTATCACTTTGCTTACCTATCATTTTTTATGGTGAGACATTTGAAATTTATTTTTTTCATTGTGTTTGTTAGTTTGTTTTTTTGAGACAGAGTCTTGCTCTGTCGCCCAGGCTGGAGTGCAGTGGAGCAGTGGTGCAATCTCGGCTCACTGCAAGCTCCGCCTCCCGGGTTCACGCCATTCTCCTGCCTCAGCCTCCCGAGTAGCTGGGACTGCAGGGGCCCACCACCACGCCCGGCTAATTTTTTGTATTTTTAGTAGAGACGGGCTTTCACTGTGTTAGCCAGGATGGTCTCAATCTCCTGCCCTCCTGATCCGCCAGCCTCGGCCTCCCAAAGTGCTGGGATTACAGGCGTGAGCCACCGTGCCTGGCCTTTTCATTGTTTCAAAATATACATTATTACACGATAGTCATCCTGCCATGCAATAGTTCCCAAAGCTTATTTTTCCTGTCCATCTGAGACTTTGTATCCTTTGATCAGCCACTCCCTATCCCCTCCCTCCCTATTGCCCCTCCTCCCAGCCTCTGGTAACCATTATTCTATTTTCTACTTCTGTGAATTCAACTTTTTAATATTTCACATGAGTGAGATCATTCAGCATTTGTCTTTCTGTGCCTGGTTTGTTTCACTTAGCCTAATGTCTTCCAGGTCATTAATGTTGTCTACAAAATGACAGGAATTTCTTCTTTTTAAAGGCTTAGTACATTGTGTATATGTACCACATTTTCTTTATTCATTTATCACTGATAGATGCTGCAATGGACATGGAAGAGCAGATATCCTTTTAATATATTAATTTCAGTTGCCATGGATATGTATTCACAAGTAGGATTACTGGATCATATGGCAACTTGATTTTTAATTTTTGGAGAAACCTGCGTACTGTTTTCCATAATGGCTGTACTCATTTACATTCCCACTAACAATGTACCATAGTTCCCTTTTCTCTTCATTCTTCTCAACACTTTTCTTTTGTCTTTTTGATAAAGGCCATACTAACAGGTGTGAGTTCAGATCTTATTGCTGCATTGCTTTGATAATTGGTGGTGCTGAGCATTTTTTTCATGTACCTGCTATACCATTTGTATGCTTTCCTTTGAGAAATGTCTGTTCAGTTTCTTTACCCATTTTTTAATTGGGTTATTTGTTTTCTTACTATTGAGTTGTTTGAATTATCTGTTTTGAATATTAACCATTTATCAGATGTATGGTTTGCAAATATTTTCTCCCATTCTGTGGATTATCTCTTTATTTTGTTAATCATTTCCTTTGCTGTGCAGAAGGCTTTTAGTTTGATGCCATGCCATTTTTCTACTGTTGTTCTGTTGCCTGTGCTTTTGGAGTCATATTGAAAATGTCCTTGTCCAGACTAACATTGTGGAGCTGTCCTCTTACGCTTTCTTCTGGTAGCTTTACAGTTTCAGGTGTTATATGTAAGTCTTTAATTAATTTTGAATTGTATTTCTGTATATGGCATGAGATAAGAATCCAATTTTATTATTCTGCATGTGGATGTCCAGTTTTTCAACACCACTTATTGAAGAGACCATCCATTCCCCATTGTGTGTTCTTGGCACCTTTTTCAAAAATCACTTGACCTTTAATGATCTTACATATAAGAAAACCCTGACGACTCTACCAGAGGACTGTTAGAACTGATAAACCAGAGGACCTTTAGAACTAATAAACAAATTCAGTAAATGTACAGGATACAAAATCAATCAACATAACAAAAATTAGTAGCATTTCTATATATTAATAATAAAGTATCCAAATAGGAAATCTCATTTACCATAGCATCAATAACAAAAATACTTAGGTATAAATTTAACCAAGGAGATGAAAGACCTATATACTGAAAACTATAAACATTCATGAAAAAAATTGAAGAAAACACAAATAAATGAAAATATATCCCATGTTCATTGATTAGAAGAAAATGTTGAAACTACCAAAGTGATCTACATATTCAATACAATCCCAATCTAAATTGTAATGTCATTTTTCACAGAAATAGAAAAAAATCCTTAAATATATATGTAACCACAAAGACAGACCTCAATAACCAAAGTAATGTTAAGCAGAAAGAATAAAGCTGGACGGTTTATACTCTTTAATTTCACACTGTCTGATTTCAATTCTAATCAAAACAGTATGGTACTGGCATAAAAACAGACATTTCAACTAATGGAACAGGATAGAAAGCCCAGAAATAAACCAAAGCCTTGTTTTGATAATTAATTATGATGCTGTATATAGAGTGTAAGAGGTAGAGAATAAATAACTGCTGATTAATAATTATTATTATTATCAAAAGAAAGTTGCAAAATGAAGTGGCACTTAAGTTGATAAAGAGGTAAGATGAAGTTATGAACTGAAAGGTTAAAAAACAAACAAAACCCTGGATACAAATAGATATGTATATTTGATAGTGAATGGGTAACTGGAGGCTACTTTGGCTAAAATAGTTGGCAAAACCAAGTTTTGCCATTGAAAGTAATAGCAAAAACCGCAATTACTTTTGCACCAAACTAATACAACCTTGAATCTTTTTTCATGTCTTATTTTGATGTGGTATTTTTAGTAGATAGTACCAAAAATTTTGAAAATTTGTCTTCAATAAGTTAGAAAATGATAAAGAGTAGAAGGAGGAGAAAGATCAAGTTAGGGAAAGGAGGTGTAGATTGTACTCAGTATATGGAGATATATGAGCCCCTCAGAACAACTTGTACATAAGACTTTTGAAATTTAAAATGAAATACAGAAATACTGTCATGACAGTGTCCATAGCATTACCTTTTTGTCTTCTCGTCCTCGTAGAAAATATGTCTGCAAATCAGTGCCCTTGTGTAAAGGAGGATCTTAGGGAGATCATTGGAAGATCCCAGATAATACCCTGGCCAGGTACACTCACTCCCGGAGTCCAACACTCTCATCCCTATTCCACCTATGGGAAAGCTGAAGCAAAGAATGACTTCCCACCACCATATGGTCAGAATGTGGAGTAACCAAAGAATAAGTCTTCAGATCCATCATGGTCCATGCTCCACATGCAACATTTGACCACAGTAAACTTTCAAAAGCTCGTGAATACTATTTCCAAATGAACAAAGACACTTTTGGTAAAGGGGCCACTCAGGCAGTGGTTTTCTTCTAACTCCTTTTTGAAGTTTCCTTTCCATCCAATTCATGCTCCTTCCAGTAAAAGACAAATCTAGGGTTTGCCTTGAATGGCTACAATCTCCATCAAGTATGTGATACTGTTTTCCTCCACTGCAGCACAGTTGGCCTTGCTAATGAGACCCTAGAGGGAGAGTTCATGGTTACCGGTGCCTCTCTCACCCTGGTTGTTTATTACAACCCGACTTTAAAGCTTCAGAGAGTTTATTACCATATGTTCCATTTCCCTTTTTAGCACTGTTTGGGCTCTGTGTACAGAGAAAAAGTACTTCCTACAGTCAGGCTGTGGCAATTTTTAGATGACGACAAGCTATGAAAAGAACTCTGAGCTTTTTTAAAGACACTGTCTAGAGGAGATCATTCTCATTTACATGAATAGCTATGTTCCAGTACACACAGATATATACATGTTAAAAGGTCTGTCAGCTAGACTGGGCAGACTCACACTGTCAGCCTCAATAATATTAAGGCAACCTGCCTGGGTTTTGGTTGAAGGAACCTCTCAGATGGTCATAATGTTTTCTTGCAGCTGGAGAAAAGAAATAGATGCTGCAAATTAACTTCTTGTTTGTTTTTCCTGGAGATAATTTTACAGTAGAACTGACATTAGCAAAGAATTTCTCCTGCAAATCCTATTCTCTGATGTGAAAGAAAGGTTTGTAGAACCAAAATCCTTCAAATGTTATCCCTTAAAGCACCAATAATTTTATTTATAGCCTGTTTTATGAAATGTTTCACAAGAGTGACTCGTGTTTATATTTCAATATGCTGACCACCTCCACATGCCATGTAACATGATCAAACTTACTATAAAAGGCTTACATAGAAATATTTATACCACAGGCAGAAAAAGACTACAGAAGCTTATAAAAATTAACTTGCCAGTGTAGAAATAAAATTAAATAACAGCTTACATATAGTTATTCTAAAACTCATAATAATGCTTTTTTCCAGTTTGTAGTCATGAGTCTCAAAGGAAAATCCCAAAGTTTCCCCAGTTTCCTTAGCAACAGAATCAGGTATAAATTGTGCTCCTATATTTCCAAACATCTGTATCTAAGCAACACATTAAAATGTGCTTCCAACTGATGTATGTACAGTCTGTAGGTGAGCTTGACTTTACAGAAAGAAGTTAAAAGTAAGGAAATCAAGAGGCATAAAAAGGAAAAGCAAAATAAAATCATGAGGAAAAGCATTACAGTTTCCCAGCTTGTTTGTTACTCTTATTTTCTGTTCAATTAAAAAAATGATGGGCAGGCTACTATTGTTTAATAAATTACTAATTTTTAGGGGAATTTATAGATCTGGGTTAAGTGACATACTTTACTAGACTATTCCATGGCTAGCTCTTCTATTCTGAAAGGAAATTCAAGAAAGTTTCCTGGTAGTCATCCGAAGGCTATTCTTGGCAAGTAAAAGATAATTATAAAGGCCCAAAGCACTGATTGTGAGTAAGAAAGACTGTGAAATAGTGAACTCATTAGGCAGGTCTATAAGAGTAATGTGTTAACTGTTCTAAAAGAAACTCTTGTATTCTGATCTCAGATCTACTTACACTCTCAGCCCAATCTTTCTTCAACAAATCCAGGAGCTTAAGGCATTGATGGGAAATTCTGCCTAGAAATTCATATGCACTGCAGATTAAGCACTTCCAGGCCATGGCTAGACCCCAAACTTGAGGGCACGTACCAGCTCTGTGCCCTTAGACAATGTTTTTATATTCTCTAAGACTTAGCTGCCTTATCTTTAAAACAGGAATAATAGGGAGGAGGAAGAATAGGTAGTAATTGTTTAATAGGCATAGAATTTCATTTGGGAAGATAAAGAAAAAATATGGAAATAGAAGATCATCCTACAGTGTTAATGTACATAAGAATGCCACTTAAAATGAATAAAATTGCATATATTATGTTATGTATATTTTATGACAGTTTTTTAGAAAAAACACAAGAATAAGGATATTATCACATAGGATTGTTTTGAGAATTACATGGAAGAATGAACAATTTGCATGGTGCCTGGCACACAGTATGTCCTTAATAAGTGGTCATTATTACTGTTATAATCTACATTAGCATTAATAAAAATGGACTCTTGGGCCCCTACAAGAGTCACAACCATTATCAGTACCTACCATTTGCAATTTCACCACTTTCTCCTTTCCACTGCACCAGTCACCTTCACGCCTTGTTCCTAGTCCATCTTTTCACTATGTCCCTATTCTAAGTGTGTACTCTCTCAGACCTTCTAATATCAGGCACAGTCATCATAGAAGTCCAAAAGATGTGTAGGACTGTCAAGCCCTTTTACTAAAATTGCATATAAAAGCAATCCTAAAAGGAATTTTAAGTTCAGCTGCCAGTTAAAAACAAATCTTTACTGTGACTCTAAAGCTCTAATAGTTGCAAGGCCAGCCATAGGTAAAACAGCAAAATGAAATTTGATTTCGGTTTCCTCCTGTCCTTTCTCAGATGAGAATAGTGCCAAGGAGCACTTCAGGGTTTAGAGTGATTGTCACAGGTGTCGATTCATTCATTTCATCCTCCTAAGGTGATAGCCCAGGAATAGTCACTCCAAGACTGTTATTTCTGACCCTATAACTTGATGGTATCCTGTGGCCTTTTTACACCCTTGCTGCCTAGTAGGATCCATCCTCTAAGTCCTCTGCCTTTCTCCAAACACTTACAAATATAAATTGTTAGAGCCAGAAAGAATATTGGAATGTTTTTCAGTCCATGCCCTCATTTTACAAATAAAAACTTGAAGCCCAACATGGTTAAGAAAATGTTTGCCTGGTCACTGTCTTTGGCCACAGCCCCTCTATTTACAACTTATTATTCAACTTCTCAGTTCACCAGTTACCCCTATTTTCTCACTATCCATTAGCCTTCTGTTATCTTCAAGTCCTCTTCTTTTAGGGTTAGATTTCAGGACCAACATACTAGCCAATATTTCCAGTGTTCTAAACTCCCATGCCTTATATACTGCAGGGAAAACTTCAAACTTGAATGAGTCCAACCATCTGATGTCCCTAAACCTCATCCAGACGACTGGAATAAAGCCATTTAAGAATAAAATAGTGATCTCACTCAAGGTTTGGGGTCTCTCATCTCACTAGACCTTTAACACTGCCCAGAAATCTTGCTCTTCCTCTGATCAGCTCAATCTCCCTTCTTCAATTCTTGTCTCAGTCTTCGTATGTCCTCCATAAACCTTCACCCCTCTCACATTGCCAGCAAATGTCCTTGCCTCCTACTTTTCAGAGAAGATAAAAGCCATCAGACAAAATACCCACTCATTTGCATACTCTAAAATTCATGCAACAAGCAAGTATCTGCATCCATGCTGTCTTCCATTCCTCTGCAGCACTAGAAGGGCCATCTCTCCTATCCAAGCCTGCCTTCCACACATCTGCCCTAGATCCCAACATCTCCAGTCTTCTTAGAGAACTTGCACTGTCAATTATTCCCTCTCTTCTGTAACTGCATTTTTGCCTCACAACTTATTATTTCTAATTTGCATTTATTTATGTTCAAATGTCTCCCACCTTTAAAAATGAATTTCTCCCTCTATCCATGCCTCCCTTCAATTCTTAGTCTGTTTCCTCTCACAGTCCAAATTCTCAAAGGAGTTAGCTGCACTCGTTCTCTCATTTCTTACTGCTCACTCAGCTTTGCAGCCCAGTCCTATTTCATGTCTGCCCTTATTACTCTTCCAAAATTGTTCTCTCAGGCCAACAGCCAAAGCCTTACAGGGCTTTATATTCATTCTTCAGTTCCATCTTGCTTGATCTCTCCAGAGCATTTGACACTGTTGACCCCTACTTCCTTCTTAAAATACTCCTCCCTTGATTTCCTTATCACTACTCTGTCTTGTTTTGTCTGCAACTTCACTGGTCACTGGTCCCCAGTTTTCTTGGCTAGCTGCCCCACTTTACCCATACAGTAAGTGTTAGAGTGCCTCTGGGCTTTGTCCTGGACTGTTTTCCTTGAGCTGAAATCATGCTGCTGTAAAGACACATGCACACGTATGTTTATTGCAGCACTATTCCCAATAGCAAAGACTTGGAACCAACACAAATGTCCAACAATGATAGACTGGATTAAGAAAATGTGGCACATATACACCATGGAATACTATGCAGCCATAAAAAATGATGAGTTCATGTCCTCTGTTGGAACATGGATGAAGCTGGAAACCATCATTCTCAGCAAACTATTGCAAGGACAAAAAACCAAACACCGCATGTTCTCACTCATAGGTGGGAATTGAACAATGAGAACACATGAACATAGGAAGGGGAACATCACACACTAGGGCATGTTGTGGGGTGGGGGGAGGGGGGAGGGATAGCATTAGGAGATATACCTAATGTTAAATGACAAGTTAATGGGTGCAGCACACCAACATGGTACATGTATATATATGTAACAAACCCGCACGTTGTGCACATGTACCCTAAAACCCAAACTTAAAGTATAATTAAAAAAAGTGCTTCTTGTTTTTTTCCCATTTTTTAAAAAATTTTAATTAATGGTCTTATTATGCCCTCAGTTGTTCAATCAAAATTTATGGAAGGCATTCTTACTTCTCTCTCTTCTTTAATCCCATGTTAACTCCAAGTCAATCATCTATTCATTGAGACAATTGAGTATCTACTATGTTCCAGGCACAATTCCAAACAATCATCTTTAATCTATTCTGTTAACCCATTTTGTTACCTAAATAGTGATTAAATTTACCAGACTCTCTCTTCCAACACTCCCTTCATGAATACTCCAGGCCTTAGCTAAACTACTGCCAAAACCACCTAACTGACTGCCTGACATCCACCCTTTTTTAATTCCTCTCTTTAGTATTTCTCCTTGCTATGAACAACTTTTCATTATGAAAATATTTAAAGAGCTTTAACCATGAATGATGAACATGCATATTCATTCCACTTCTTTTTGTTTGTTTGTTTTTTTGAGACAGAGTCTCACTCTGTCACCAGGCTGGAGTGCAGTGGCACAGTCTCAGCTCACTGCAACCTCTGCCTCCCGGGTTCAAGCGATTTTCCTGCCTCAGCCTCTGAGTAGCTAGGACTACAGGTGTGCACCACCATGCACAGCTATTTTTTTTTTTTGTATTTTTAGTAGAGAAGGGATTTTACCATATTGGCCAGGATGATCTCGACCTCTTCAACTCATGATCAGCCTCCCAAAGTGCTGGGATTACAGGCGTGAGCCACCTTGCCCAGCCTCATTTCACTTCTATTCCACAGTTGTTAATATTTTATTATATTTGCTTCATTTTACTCCTTTTATACATCGTTTGTATATATTCACATTTTTATGTGTACTATTTAATTTTATTTTACTTATTTTTTTTCTTTTTTTTATTTTATTATTATTATACTTTAAGTTTTAGGGTACATGTGCACAATGTGCAGGTTAGTTACATATGTATACATGTGCCATGCTGGTGTGCTCCACCCATTAACTCATCATTTAGCATTAGGTATATCTCCTAAGGCTATCCCTCACCCCTCCCCCCACCCCACAACAGTCCCCAGAGTGTGATGTTCCCCTTCCTGTGTCCATGTGTTCTCATTGTTCAATTCCCACCTATGAGTGAGAACATGAGGTGTTTGGTTTTTTGTCCTTGAGATAGTTTATGGAGAATGATGGTTTCCAGCTTCATCCATGTCCCAACAAAGGACATGAACTCATCATTTTTTATGGCTGCATAGTATTCCATGGTGTATATGTGCCACATTTTCTTAATCCAGTCTATCATTGTTGGACATTTGGGTTGGTTCCAAGTCTTTACTATTGTGAATAGTGCCGCAATAAACATATGTGTGCATGTGTCTTTATAGCAGCATGATTTATAGTCCTTTGGGTATATACACAGTAATGGGATGGCTGGGTCAAATGGTATTTCTAGTTCTAGATCCCTGAGGAATTGCCACACTGACTTCTGCAATGGTTGAACTAGTTTACAGTCCCACCAACAGTGTAAAAGTGTTCCTATTTCTCCACATCCTCTCCAGCACCTGTTGTTTCCTGACTTTTTCATAATTGCCATTCTAACTGGTGTGAGATGGCATCTCACTGTGCTTTTGATTTGCATTTCTCTGATGGCCAGTGATGGTGAGCATTTTTTCATGTGTTTTTTGGCTGCATAAATGTCTTCTTTTGAGAAGTGTCTGTTCATGTCCTTTGCCCACTTTTTGATGGGGTTGTTTGTTTTTTTCTTGTAAATTTGTTTGAGTTCATTGTAGATTCTGGATACTAGCCCTTTGTCAGATGAGTAGGTTGCAAAAATTTTCTCCCATTTTGTAGGTTGCCTGTTCACTCTGATGGTAGTTTCTTTTGCTGTGCAGAAGCTCTTTAGTTTAACTAGATCCCATTTGTCAATTTTGTCTTTTGTTGCCATTGCTTTTGGTGTTTTAGACATGAAGTCCTTGCCCATGCCTGTGTTCTGAATGGTAATGCCTAGGTTTTCTTCTAGGGTTTTTATGGTTTTAGGTCTAACATGTAAGTCTTTAATCCATCTTGAATTAATTTTTGTATAAGTTGTAAGGAAGGGATCCAGTTTCAGCTTTCTACATATGGCTAGCCAGTTTTCCCAGCACCATTTATTAAATAGGGAATCCTTTCCCCATTGCTTGTTTTTCTCAGATTTGTCAAAGATCAGATAGTTGTAGATATGCAGCGTTATTTCTGAGGGCTCTGTTCTGTTCCATTGAGCTATATCTATGTTTTGGTACCAGTACCATGCTGTTTTGGTTACTGTAGCCTTTTAGTATAGTTTGAAGTCAGGTAGTGTGATGCCTCCAGCTTTGTTCTTTTGGCTTAGGATTGACCTGGCAATCAGGGCTCTTTTTTGGTTCCATATGAACTTTAAAGTAGTTTTTTCGAATTCTGTGAAGAAAGTCATTGGTAGCTTGATGGGGATAGCATTAAATCTATAAATTACCTTGGCCAGTATGGCCATTTTCATGATCTTGATTCTTCCTACCCATGAGCATGGAATATTCTTCCATTTCTTTGTATCCTCTTTTATTTCATTGAGCAGTGGTTTGTAGTTCTCCTTGAAGAGGTCCTTCACTTCCCTTGTAAGTTGGATTCCTAGGTATTTTATTCTCTTTGAAGCAATTGTGAATGGGAGTTCACTCATGATTTGGCTCTCTGTTTGTCTGTTATTGGTGTATAAGAATGCTTGTGATTTTTGTACATTGATTTTGTATCCTGAGACTTTGCTGAAGTTGCTTATCAGCTTAAGGAGATTTTGGGCTGAGACAATGGGGTTTTCTAGACATACAATCATGTCATCTGCAAACTGGGACAATTTGACTTCCTCTTTTCCTAATTGAATACCCTTGATTTCCTTCTCCTGCCTAAATGCCCTGGCCAGAACTTCCAACACTATGTTGAATAGGAGTGGTGAGTGAGGGCATCCCTGTCTTGTGCCAGTTTTCAAAGGGAATGCTTCCAGTTTTTGCCCATTCAGTATGATATTGACTGTGGGTTTGTCATAGATAGCTCTTATTATTTTGAGATATGTCCCATCAATACCTAATTTATTCAGAGTTTTTAGCATGAAGGGTTGTTGACTTTTGTCACGGTCTTTTCTGCATCTATTGAGATAATCATGTGGTTTTTGTCTTTGGTTCTGTTTATATGCTGGATTACATTTATTGATTTGTGTATATTGAACCAGCCTTGCATCCCAGGGATGAAGCCCACTTGGTCATGGTGGATAAGCTTTTTGATGTGCTGCTGGATTCGGTTTGCCAGTATTTTATTGAGGATTTTTGCATCAATGTTCATCAAGGATATTGGTCTAAAATTCTCTTTTTTTGTTATGTCTCTGCCAGGCTTTGGTATCAGGATGATGCTGGTCTCATAAAATGAGTTAGGGAGGATTCCCTCTTTTTCTATTGATTGGAAGAGTTTCAGAAGGAATGGTACCAGTTCCTCCTTGTACCTCTGGTAGAATTCGGCTGTGAGCCCATCTGGTCCTGGACTCTTTTTGGTTGGTAAGCTATTCATTATTTCCACAATTTCAGATCCTGCTATTGGTCTATTCAGAGATTCAACTTCTTCCTGGTTTAGTCTTGGGAGAGTGTATGTGTCGAGGAATTTATCCATTTCTTCTAGATTTTCTAGTTTATTTGCATAGAGGTGTTTTTAGTATTCTCTGATGGTAGTTTGTATTTCTGTGGGATCAGTGGTGATATCCCCTTTATCATTTTTTATTGGGTCTATTTGATTTTTCTCTCTTTTCTTCTTTATTAGTCTGGCTAGCAGTCTATCAATTTTGTTGATCCTTTCAAAAAACCAGCTCCTGGATTCGTTAATTTTTTAAGGGTTTTTGTGTCTTTATTTCCTTCAGTTCTGCTCTGATTTTAGTTATTTCTTGTCTTCTGCTAGCTTTTGAATGTGTTTGCTCTTGCTTTTCTAGTTCTTTTAATTGTGATGTTAGGGTGTCAATTTTGGATCTTTCCTGCTTTCTCTTGTGGGCATTTAGTGCTATAAGTTTCCCTCTACACACTACTTTAAATGTGTCCCAGAGATTCTGGTATGTTGTGTCTTTGTTCTTATTGCTTTCAAAGAACATCTTTATTTCTGCCTTCATTTCCTTATGTAACCAGTAGTCATTCAGGAGCAGGTTGTTCAGTTTCCATGTAGTTGAGAGGTTTTGAGTGAGTTTCTTAATCCTGAGTTCTAGTTTGATTACACTGTGGTCTGAGAGACAGTTTGTTATAATTTCTGATCTTTTACATTTGCTAAGGAGTGCTTTACTTCCGACTATGCGGTCAGTTTTGGAATAAGTGTGATGTGGTGCTGAGAGGAATGCATATTCCGTTGATTTGGGGTGGAAAGTTCTGTAGATGTCTATTAGGTCCACTTGGTGCAGAGCTCAGTTCAATTCCTGGATATCCTTGTTAACTGTTAACTTTCTGTCTCGTTGATCTGTCTAATGTTGACAGTGGGGTGTTAAAGTCACCCATTATTATTGTGTAGAAGTCTCAGTCTCTTTTTAGGTCTGTAAGGACTTGCTTTATGAATCTGGGTGCTCCTGTATTGGGTGCATATATATTTTGGATAGTTAGCTCTTCTTGTTGAATTCATCCCTTTAGCATTATGTAATGGCCTTCTTTGTCTCTTTTGATGTTTGTTGGTTTAAAGTCTGTTTTATCAGAGACTAGGATTGCAACCCCTGCCTTTTTTTGTTTTCCATTTGCTTGGTAGATCTTCCTCCATCCCTTTATTTTGAGCCTATGTGTGTCTCTGCACGTGAGATGGGTTTCCTGAATACAGCACACTGATGGGTCTTGACTCTATCCATTTGCCAGTCTGTGTCTTTTAATTGGAGCATTTATCCTATTTACATTTAAGGTTAATATTGTTATGTGTGAATTTGATCCTGTCATTATGATGTTAGCTGGTTATTTTGCTTGATAGTTCATGCAGTTTCTTCCTACCATCTATGGTCTTTGCAATTTGGCATGTTTTTGCAGTGGCTGGTATCAGTTGTTCCTTTCCATGTTTAATGCTTCCTTCAGGAGATCTTGTAAGGCAGGCTTGGTGGTGACAAAATCTCTCAGCATTTGCTTGTATGCAAAGGATTTTATTTATCCTTCACTTATGAAGCTTAGTTTGCCTGGATATGAAATTCTGGGTTGAAAATTATTTTCTTTAAGAATGTTGAATATTTGCCCCCACTCTCTTCTGGCTTGTAGAGTTTCTGCCGAGAGATCTGCTGTTAGTCTGATGGGCTTCCCTTTGTGGGTAACTCTACCTTTCTCTCTGGCTGCCCTTAACATTTTTTCCTTCATTTCAACTTTGGTGAATCTGCCAATTATGTGTCTTGCAGTTGCTCTTCTCGAGGAGTATCTTTGTGGCGTTCTCTGTATTTCCTGAATCTGAATGTTGGCCTGCCTTGCTAGATTGGGGAAGTTCTCCTGGATAATATCCTGCAGAGTGTTTTCAAACTTGGTTCCATTCTCCCCGTCACTCAGGTACACCAATCAGACGTAGATTTGGTCTTTTCACATAGTCCCATATTTCTTGGAGGCTTTGTTTGTTTATTTTTATTCTTTTTTCTCTAAACTTCCCTTCTCACTTCATTTCATTCATTTCATCTTCCATCACTGATACCCTTTCTTCCAGTTGATCGCACCGGCTCCTGAGGCTTCTGCATTCTTCACGTAGTTCTCGAGCCTTGGCTTTCAGCTCCATCAGCTCCTTTAAGCACTTTCTGTATTGATTATTCTAGTTATACATTCACCTAAATTTTTTTCAAAGTTTTTAACTTCTTTGCCTTTGGTTTGAATTTCCTCCTGTAGCTCAGAGTAGTTTGATTGTCTGAAGACTTCTTCTCTGAACTTGTCAAAGTCAGTCTCCGTCCAGCTTTGTTCTGTTGCTGGTGAGGAACTGCATTCCTTTGGAGGAGGAGAGGAGCTCTGCTTTTTAGAGTTTCCAGTTTTTCTGCTCGTTTTTTCCCAATCTTTGTGGTTTTATCTACTTTTGGTCTTTGATGATGGTGATGTACAGACGGGTTTTTGGTGTGGATGTCCTTTCTGTTTGTTAGCTTTCCTTCTAACAGACAGGACCCTCAGCTGCAGGTCTGTTGGAGTTTGCTAGAGGTGCACTCCAGATCCTGTTTGCCTGGGTATCAGCAGCGGTGGCTGCAGAGCAGCAGATTTTCATGAACCGTGAATGCTGCTGTCTGATCGTTCCTCTGGAAGTTTTGTCTCAGAGGAGTACCTGGCCATGTGAGATGTCAGTCTGCCCCTACTGGGGGGTGCCTCCCAGTTAGGCTGCTTGGGGGTCAGGGGTCAGGGACCCACTTGAGGAGGCAGTGTGCGTGTTCTCAGATCTCCAGCTGCATGCTGGGAGAACCACTGCTCTCTTCAAAGCTGTCAGACAGGGACATTTAAGTCTGCTGAGGTTACTGCTGTCTTTTTGTTTGTCTGTGCCCTGCCCCCAGAGGTGGAGCCTACAGAAGCAGGCAGGCCTCCTTGAGCTGTGGTGGGCTCCACCCAGTTTGAGCTTCCTGGCTGCTTTGTTTACCTAAGCAAGCCTGGGCAATGGTGGGCACCCCTCCCCCAGCCTCGCTGCCACCTTGCAGTTTGATCTCAGACTGCTGTGCTAGCAATCAGTGGGACTCCATGGGCATAGGACCCTCCGAGCCAGGTGTGGGATATAATCTCCTGGTGCACTGTTTTTTAAGTCCGTTGGAAAAGCACAGTATTAGGGTGGGAGTGACCCAATTTTCCAGGTGCCATCTGTCAGCCCTTTCTTTGACTAGGAAAGGGAACTCTCTGACCCCTTGAGCTTCCTGAGTGAGGCAATGCCTCACCCTGCTTCGGCTCGCGCATGGTGCACTGCACCCACTGTCCTGCACCCACTGTCTGGCACTCCCTAGTGAGATGAACCTGGTACCTCCGATGGAAATGCAGAAATCACCCGTCTTCTGCGTCACTCACGCTGGGAGCTGTAGACTGGAGCTGTTCCTATTTGACCATCTTGCCTGCCCCTATTTGTACTATTTTAAAGTAAATTATAGATTTATTGTATCTATCTATATCTTTCTAAACTAAGGTGAGTTTTCTCTGGTGCAGTCTTGAAGATAATTCCTTCTTTGGAAAACCTCAGTCTTTGCTCTTAAGACATTCAACTGATTGGATGATGCTTACCCATATTATGAAGGATAATCTGCCTTACTCAAACTCTACTATTTCAAATGTTAATACACCTGAAAAAAAAACACAAAACAACAAATAAAAGATCTTCATAGCAACATCTAGATGGTGTTTGACCAAACCATGAGACACCTTAGCCTATCCAGGTCGACACATGAAATCATCACAGCATCACTTAATATTATCATTTGCATCAGTTATTAAGTTGGAATGATCTTTCCATTCCAGCAGAAGTGTAATGTTATCATTGCTTCTCTAAGAAAAACCCTCATTTTCTATTACCATATATACAACAAAGTCCAAAACACTGGAAATGTCTTCAAAGTCCCTTCAAGTTCCACTTGCACCTCTAAAATAGTTTTCTCACATTTCTAACTCTATACATCCTGCCCAAAGAACTATTCTTTCAGTTTCTATGCCTAGGTACTTTACACATTTCATTCTCTTCCTTGCAACATTAATTCATCATTCAGGTCTGATTTTTCATATAATTCCATCAGGAAATTCTTCTGGACTAGAATAGCTTGCTCCACAATATGCCTCATTGTATCCCATGCTCATGATACTAATCACCTCCAGAACTCCTGTTCAATGTCAACTCTACCAGCTATTCCACAAGCTAACAGGGGATCCTAAAGGAAATATGCACATTAGGCTAAGAATATTTACATATTCTGTCTTTAGTGATGCATTTGACCTTCTCAGTATCTGCTTTTCTGTCCTTTGTGTTTATTTATTGTTTTGTGGGGGGGAACAAAACCTCATGACTTAAAGCAAAGCTGAAAGTCTCTGTAAAGCCAGATATTAATGTTTTCTTTTAAGCTAATCTCTTCTGCAAAGCTGTGAATTCCAAAGGTTCTTAGTAGACAATAGTGGGCCTGGTTCTTTGAAGGGATAAAATGCCCCAAACAGTTTCACCCTAATTCATGGGAAAGGTGGGGGAAGTCATTTGATGCACTTTCTGTATAAATGTTGTTGATAAAAATGTTTGACTTAAAATTTCTGCCCTTCTGCTTTTCCCAGAGGAAGACTAAAGGGAAGTCAAATGATAATATGCATAATATTTCTTCCAGCAACTTCAGCATCCACTAAATTTCACTTTTAAAATTCTTTTAGCTTTCTGGGATTCCTGCTGTTAACAGAAACAATAATTGCTGTTATCATTATGTCTATAACATAGAAGCTGCACTTTTATTCTGCCACCTGGAGAACACCAAAATTTTAGCAACTTATTGTTATCATTTTAGGTGAAGGAACACACCTGTAGCTCAACTGCTCTGGCAACAGTCAGAATGTGTCCCTTTGAGGCCAATGCTCTGCACCATTCAATTTTGCATACCAATGGGTAGCCTTCACTCAAATTAATACAAGTGACAATCAACTTAGGAAGTGTTTGTTAAAGATACAGTTTGAAGCAAACTTACAAGTTTTCCAAGAAGATATTAAGTCATGTCCATCCTTGTGTATTTTAACAGCAAACCAATATTTGGGACAGCAATAAGCAGGACTCTTTTCTACACACTTCTCAGAGTTACTTTTGTGTCCCGTGGATGGTTTTGCAGTCTCGAAGTTTGCTTATCTTTTCACTCCGTCATGTTTACAAAGAGGAGTTTCTCAATTCTTACCACTCCTCTTCAGTCTCACCTTTCTGTGCCTCACAGCCTTCTAGGGCAAAATATCCTAGCCAATTTTATTCATGGACCTTACACAAAATAAACCTCTGGAGTAAAAGAGACCTTTAGAGAGCCAACCAAGATAAGCTCTAGTCCGTAGATGATTGGGCTAAGCCTAGTGGAGGGCAGTCCTTCAGAGGAAGCAGGTGGAGGCCTGAGTGTAAAGGAGTCAGATGCTGACAGTCCTCTCCAGAAACCACATTTTAGGTTATTTGTCATGGTCTTGTTGAATGCGTGATCTCCACCATCTCTTTACTCCCTCCAAGCTCTTCTTGTCTCCTCAGGGGAAGCCACTCATTTACATCTGGCAGATAATAGAATATCCCTACTAACATGATGATGTTCTGGTCATTTGGACTATGAAATTAAGCAGCCACACAAAATGTACTGCGTCGATCATACTAGTTAATCAAAAACCACATGTAAAAACTCACTAAAGACAAAGCCTATAACCAGTGAGTTAAGATATTATCTTTTCTGGAATTAGAGAGGCCCAATTGCCTTCATTATACTTAGTTGAAAGTACATGGAAAACTATAGATAACCTCAGTTTAGTTGAAATGTAGAAATATTCAAAAATATTTCCTATTTAGAGAATACTTCCTAGGAGTACGCTTGACTCTCAGGATAAAATTCCTTGCCCAAAAGGGCCAACAGATAGATACATCAGCAATTTATAAATCATTAACACAGAAATAATTGTGTAATGGCCAGACCTGA
The DNA here is from genome assembly GCF_000001405.40 of Homo sapiens. Lineage (NCBI taxonomy): Eukaryota > Metazoa > Chordata > Mammalia > Primates > Hominidae > Homo > Homo sapiens. The sequence continues at coordinate 41,573,244 of NC_000005.10, forward strand.
TGGCTCACGCCTATAATCCCAGCACTTTGGGAAGCTAAGGCAGGCAGATCACTTGAGGCCAGGAATTCAAGACCAGCCTGGCCCACATTGGGAAACCCCGTCTCTACTAAACATGCAAAAATTAGCTGGGTGTGGTGACATGTATCTGTAATTCCAGCTACTTGGGAGGCTGAGGCACAAGAATCATTTGAACCTGGGACGCAGAGGTTGCAGTCAGCCAAGATGGCAACACTGCACTCTAGCCTGGACAACAGAGCGAGACTCTGAAAATGGAAGGAAGGAAGGAAGGAAAGAAGGAAGGAAGGGAGGGAGGGAGGGGAGGAAAGAAAAAATAGAAAAGAAAACTGTGTAATAAGTCATATGGTATCATAATAACAAAGAGATTATCCCTGGGGAAGATAGAAAAGAGTTCACAGTAGAGGTACAATATAAAAGGTGGCCTTAAAAAATCAGCAGGAGTCGAATAGTTGTAGCAAGAACAATGATATGTTAGGGCAAAGAGAAATGTAGGAACATTTCTCTTTACGTTTCTTAGTGATAACTCCTGTAGGCAAGATTTTCCATCTTAGTCTTGTTTCCCCAACTACATCATATATCACCTACTATATTCCGCCAAGCAATTTTGGGTAATAGGTTGCAAATGAAGAATCAGTAGTCTTCTAAATGAGATGAGATGAGATGAGAAGACAAATGTGCTATTCAAGAAAGTCAAATGTAGTTTTATCAGATTGTATATAATTGAATAAAAGCATTTAATGTGGGAAGGTTTGCAGTCCTTTCCTGACACCTTTTGCCTGATTATTTTCTGCTTCTTTCCTTCTTCATCAAGGAGAAAAAGGATAAAATCTCTTCATGTGTACTCTCTTGAGAAAACAGTGCAAAAGGGAGCACCCTACTCCCTGGGGGCCTGACTACATCTAGGGGGCTTGAAGTGTCAAGAGCATGTCATGGGGTCACAGATGACAGAGACAAAAGAGTTTGTCTTAGAACTAAGATAGGGACTGAATAGCATGGATTACGATGTTTTTGGGGAGTCAAAGAATGAGACACTCTCAGTTTAGGGGTGGGGAGAAATAGAAACAGGAGATTTTTAAAGAGTTGCCATGAAATATCTATTTGGATCTTCTTAATTGAGAGAAAAAGACAAAGATTAGAATTTCTGATCGGGCTTGATTTGTTTAGATATAACCATGCTTCAGAAGTATTTCATACATACAACATAATTCTGTAGAATTGATTTATTTTAGCAACATGGGAAAGGAATCAGGATGGGAACTTACATTTATTAAATACCTATCAGCTGCACTCACTTGGGAGGCTTTAGCTGCTGTGAACTGCTCCTGCTGCACCAGGTTTGCTGCAGTGATACTCCCACTTCAGTGCCAGATTTATCTTCCCGCTCAACACTCAGGAAGCCAGACATATGCTTACATTTTATTAATCTTTGACACAATTTACCTGTATGCCAGATTTCCTGGGAGACAGTTATCAGCTAGAGAATTAATATACAATTTTCATGTTAATATTTTCCCATATACCACTCCCCACATACATGCAATTTTTTAAAATGTGGGTGCATATAATGAGATATTCACTTGGCTAGGTTCACTCCACCCATGCAGTGTTATCTGCTGTTAGTCTCTCTCTACTAACAAATGAGATGTTTTCAATCTGAACAAGCCCACCTCTATGTAGTCAGATGCAGTGGGTTAATGCAGACTTGTGGTTGTCTCAGGCAGTTTTACAGGGTTGTTGGCTCTTTTGATCAGTTTACCAGAGCTGTCATATCAAAGTACTACAAATTCGGTGGGCTAAAACACAGAAATATATCCTCTCCCAGTTCTGGAGGCCAGTATCAGGAATCTGAAATTGAGGTATCAGCAGGGCGATGTTTGCTCTGAAGGCTCTAAGGAAGAATCCTTCCTTCTTTCTTCCAGCTTCCAGTGACTCTTGGCATTCCTTGGTGTGTGTGCAGCATAACATCAACCTCTGCTTCTGTCTTTACTTGGACTTTTTCTTCCCTGTATCTGTGTGTTCTCTCCTCTTCTCACAAAAATGCCAGTCATTGGATTTAGGACCCACCCTAAATCCAAGATAATTTTATCTCAAAATCCTTAACTACTTACAGCTGCAAAGATCCTAGTTCTAAACAAGGTCACATTTGGAGGTTCTGTTTGGGCATGAATGTAGGGGTTGGGGGACACAATTCAACCCATCATGCTCCTTTACATTGTCAAACCAAATAAAGAATGCAGGCAAAAGCAGGGCAAATGCTACCCTGGCCCCCTGGGGACTGCTTCTGGTGTTTCTGTTTGCCTGGCTCATGAAGTGGCTTTGCATCACAGCAGTTACACCTCACTGGTTGTTGTCCCTTCACAGCCTGGAAGAGAGGCAGCCTCCTCACACACAGCTCAAACTCTTTGCCTTCCTGCTGCCTCTCATCACCTGTTTTCATGAGGCTGTTTTTGAGATGTGCACACTACCCAGCCTACTAACAAATACTTCAAATTACCTTTCAGCCTGTGCCTCCTTCAGGCTGAGTGATTTGTGAGTTTCTCATCTGCTGAGTATTGCTGTTTTCAATGATTTTTCTCTAGTCCAATCTGCATTCTAATAAGCTGATTTCTAGATGTGGCTTAGGAATGAACTGTTGTGTCCATTTTAAAATTGCTCCTGGTATTGTTAACGCCACTTTTCCTTATGTGACAGTTTTCCCATTTTAGCCAATTTGAACTAAGCTTTCCAAGTAAAAATTGGAAAATTGGTAAAATCTATACAACCCTTGCTGTCTCAGTGTAATGTTCATGTTTTCTGAACATTAAGCCCAAACACATGGTCTAATATGAATGAGTGCATTCTCTGGAAATTCAATTTGTCATAAGTATAGGAGTGCTCAACAAACACCAGGCCAGCTTTTATGAGAAACATCTAACTACAGTGCCTTATCTTCTGTAAAGATACAAATACTTCCATGAAAAGAAAATTATCGCATCTCAAATATAAAATTTGCTTACCGAATTTAGAATCAAAATGAAGACAGGAAATAGAAAAGTTACTTTAGTTTTAAAATAATCTGTTAGCAAAGCAAGATCTACGTATTTGTCTTAATATGTGTAAACATATCACAATTCTAAGATTTAATAGGTGATTTCTAAAATCAGGCATTTTACCAGTGAAGATATTTAAGCTTTAGTCAATAGAATGTTAAGAATATTCTAGAAAATCAATTTAGCAATGCAATATGCAAATTTTCTAGTAAAGTAGATAGAAATATTCTAATCTGTTGCAGACTACAATATCTTTGTTTTTTAAAACCAGTTTTTGCAATGTCTCAATCCTAATTGACTTATATTAATATATGTTCATTTTATTTTATTGGTTAAAAAGATATTCTTAAATGATATAATTAGGCCATCCATTCAAAATTCTTTATTTCCTTCTTTTAAGAAGAGAATATTTTAACCTGTTTCCCTTCCTGTCATCATTTCATACAGTTATTTTAAAATAACTTCTCATTTCTTTAGCTACTTTTGCCAAAAAAAAAAATATGTTTAACTTCATTTCTATTCTAGTTCAGGTCAGAGCCCTCCTTTGTGAGTCTGCTAACAGCTCAAATTAAGCTCAGCTATTACCCTTGGGATACAATATAAGTAAACAAACACAATTCAGACAAAACAGAATTACCTGCAGGAAATAACTGTTCTATTATAGTACCAGCAAAAAATAGCTCAACCCCATTTGTCCAGTCCTCAAATGCTTATTTTTGATGTTTCTTTCACAACAAATCTCTGTAAATAGCCATAGGGTTGTCTTGGTCCATTGTTGTTGCTATAACGAAATACCACAAACTCTGTTGCTTATAAACAACTGAAATGTATTTCTCAAAGTTTTAGAAGCTGGGAAATCCAAGATCATGGTGCCGCCATATTCGAAGTCTAGTGAGGGTCCACTACCTGGTTCATAGATGGCACCTTCTTGCCATGTCTTCACATGGTGGAAGGGGCAAGGGAGCCCTTTGGAGACTCTTTTATAAGGGTAGTAGTCTCATTCAGATTAGTGCCTAATTCAGGCAAGTGCCTAGCCACATCCTAAAAGGCCCCCTCTCCTTTCAAAGAGGCTGAAAAGGTATGGCCGAAAGAGGTAAAGTAAAACCAGAAAAGGATAACATCACAGAGATAAAAAGAACCAATATTCAAGAAAAAGTAAATGAAAAGGTTAGTAGTTTAACTGCACTCCCTATGTGCCAGGCACTGATCTGGAAGGTGGGACTCAAAAATAAAGAAGATACTCTTTCTGTTCTTACAAAGATTATTTTGTTATTCCTCTGCATTTAATCTCTATCTTGGCTCCCAGGGACTGATAAATTTATTCCTCTTCCCACAATTATCCTGGAATCTGGAGTCCTGACCTAAACCCTAGTTCCCACAGCATGGTACCCAGTCATGCTAACTCTGTTACTTTTTTACGTAGCTTGACTTCCCACTGCTAAAAATTATCTTAATTCCTTTTCCTACTTAACTGAGGTCTGTTGTTTTCAGGTCCGTGTTACCATCTGGCTCATTTTGTTTCTAACTGGGTGCAAAAACACCCTTCTTCCCATGGCCCCTACCTAGCACGGGCCACCTGTTCTTATATATGGAATGATCCTGTTCTTATATACAGATGTTCATAAGACAGACAGGACCTGTATTGTTGAGGATAAAAGTTCAAGAGGAGTCTCAAGATTTGTTTTCAGCCAAGGGTTTCTTTCTTGCCTATAACTTGGGTAGCTCTTTTATGTGTTCCCTTAAGAAAGTTAACTTTGAGATTTCTTACTTCTTTCAGAGGATATTTGTTAGCAGGGTATTGACCCTACAGTGTTGTTGGACAGGCAGGTTTTATTCAGGACTCAAGCGCTCAGCTTTTCCTCCTGTTACATTCTATACATTAGACTCCCTGTCGAGTGAGGGAATCAGGGCAGACTATAGAATTATCTGTTCCTTGGTACTGCAATATCACCTGGCAGATGGAACCTTTTGGCTGGGTTGTGGAGGAAGGCATTCTTTTCTGCCATTGGCAGGAATTTAGGGCAGTTTCTTTCTGGCTCATAAAGTTGTCCTTTGTAAACACTATAATTTTGGCTGTCTAGTCCCTTTTCAATTTTCCATTCTAAAAGGAGCTGAGCCTTGGTGTAGATGAGCCTTGGTATAGATGATAATTTGCGAGCATATTATAATGGACAATTTTTTTGTAATAGATGTAATTTTTCCATCTAAGCTTTGCCTAGACTGGTATTAAATAAGCACACAGCCACTGCCAGCAGTTTTATGGGGAGCAGGAGGTGTCAAGTAAAACCCAAGCTATTAATTTTTCAAATTTGTGGTGAAAAATATTCATGTAGGGTTTATAAAGTGCTGATTGTGCTTTTGATCCAATAACACAAGAGAATTTAAAGTTCAATTTACCATATGTCAATCATTTTAGAAGAGTTGAGTCACATCATACAGGAAGGTTACCTTCAAAAGAGTATCCCATAAACACAAATTTGCATATAGTCAGAAATATTATTAAACTTTCTGAAATGTTGACAATATAGTTCACACTTTTGATAGGAACATACTTTTTAATAAGTTCAGAATAGGCACTTTTTCTTGCAGAGTTAATACAGAGCACTATTCTGCTGGAACTCCAGAGCATGTGCCAGCATTTGAATTCTCATAGTTAGCTTGTATTTTCAAGCATTTAACAAAAAACAGTAGTCTTTTAAAGATTAGAATAAAATTATCTGTGCAGCAAACTTGTACAACTTGAGATACGCATAAGTTGGCAATTCAGTGGGAGGACATGAGGAATCTCATTTCCAAGAATAAGTACACAGTAGTTTCTTTTACCCTCAGGAAACAAGACAAGGATCTCACCAGCCACTATCTTAGAGCTTTCCATTGGATGGAGGAATAATCATAACTATGCTTATCCTACTTCTAGCTGGCCCACTGGTCAAGGGATGACCTGTATCAAGGAACTAGCACTAAGGTTCCAGTTCAAAGTGCTGGTAGTACACAGTTAGAAATAATTGGAAGTTACCTTGTTTTGACCAAAACATAGTCTCTATCATACACACAATTTTGTTAAATAATTGAACAGCCTATATGGTAGGACTATATACGTTACATTCCAACAAGATACAATATGACTATAGAAGTCAACTTGGATCTCATTCATAGTAGGAGTGAATTTAAATTTGTCTACTTAAAAATTCAAAAGAGCATGCATCATGTTGATTCCAACAAGGGCTTCTGAAAAGTATCTTTAATATATCTCCTTTGTGGAAGATCACTGAAAAGAAAAATATACATTTCAGAGAAGCTCCTCCTGATTCCAAATTCTTCCCCAGTCCTGGTGACTTCAGCAGTAGCATATGACTGCTTCTCCTTAACTTATACAGCATTCCTTAAATCTCAATCCAAAATTGTCCATCTTCAGATCTTTCATTTTCAGATTTAACGTCATTAGTATTTTAGACATCTTCATGAATGGTACCAATTGAGTAATGTACTAGAATTTAATTCATATTTTTGTTTCTGCTGGTGCTGCTTGAGGCTGAATAGCATAGTGGGGAAGTGTGAGTTTTAATGTAGACAAATGTGGGTGCGAAATCTCAGACTTTCGTTTACTATCTGTATCACTTTGGGCAATTCTCCTTGCTTCTTTAAGCTTTAGTATCTCCATCTGTAAAATGGGATTAATATTTATTTCTTAAAGTTGTTGTGCAGATTACATAATATATTTTAAGTTCCTGATACCAGCTAAGCCAGTGGTTCTCAAGCACTAATTTGTAAGAGAATCAGTTTAAGAGCTTGATTTAAAAAAAAAATCACTACATTCAGAAGTGCTGATTCAAAATATCTGGAGAGGGGTCTGAGAATCCACATCTATTAACCTCAACACCTCAGGTACTACTAATTCAAGTGTTTTAAAGAACATACACGCTTTGAGAAACACTGTATTAGGCTCTTAATGGATGTTAATTTCCTTTTATTTTCCTTGCAGTAAACTTACTAACAAAGTATAGAAATTTGATGCTGGTATTAGACATTATCCCAAACCAGCAGTTATTTTAGAACTTCATCAATTATCTCAAAGCCCCAACTCTATTTCACTATTGATAGCTGACCTCACACTGCCAATACTCAGAGAAAATAGAAGCCATCAGACAGAAAATGTGCCAAACCTATATACTGATTCCTTCTTTATTCATCTGGTGAATGAATGTTTATTGAATGCCTAATAGATACCAGGCACAGCTCTAAGACAGCTGTCAGCAAACTATGCCCTATGGACCAAATTCTGTCTGCTGTCTCTATTTATAAAGTTTTATTGAAACAGAGTCATGTTTATTTGCTTACGTGGTTTATAGCTGCTTTTGTACTAATAGCAGAGCTGAGGGCTCATGATAAATACTGTGTGGCCCTCTGTCTTAGTCAAATCAGGCTGCTGTAACAAAAGTACTATAAACTGTGTGAGACTTATGAACAATAAACATTATTTCTCACAGTTCTGGAGTCTGTGAAGGCCAACATCAAGATACTAGCAGATTCAGTGTCTGTGAGGGCCTCTTCTTCATAGAAGGTGCCTTCTAGCTGTGTCCTCACATGGTGCAAGAGGCAAACAAGCTCCCTGAACCCTGTTTAATAAGGGCACTAATCCCATTCATGAGGGCAGAGCTTTCATAATCTAGTCACCTCCCAAAGGCTCTACTTAATACCATCACCTAGGGGCTTAGAATTCAACATAAGGATTTGGGCAAACATAAATATTCAGACCATCGTATCCTAAAAGCCTGAAATATTAACTCTCTGGCTCTTTCAGAAAAGTTTCTTAATCCCTAATCTAGGGACAGACTTTTGGACACGATTTCCCTTATTAGATCCTTATTTCTTACCTGATACCCCTAAACATCTAGCTTTTCCTCTTCACCTCAAGAAGTGCCAATATTGCAACCTTGAAATTTTCTCTTCTACCTTAGTAATCAACAAAAAAGTATTAAAAAACATAGTGTTTGGAGGGGAAATTTCAAATTTCTCTTTGTATTTCATTAAATAACGATTTAAGTAAATATAAAGTCATGTCAGTTTGGATACTTTACACCAAAAACTAACTTTGGCTAATGTATGCAGAAAATGGAATTGGTTGGAGGTATATTTACTAGCTAAATTCAGAATAAGCCAGAGTCCAGAGATCCAAGTCAGGAACCAGGGCAAACCCTGGAGTTTTAAACTGCAGAAATTTCTTATCCATGGAGCTCAAATATAGAGGTAATGAACAGCTGAACTGTTATATATTCAGTCCATGTATCATTCCCTTCAAAATTCAAAGTCCTAGGATAAAGTGTTTGAAGAGCATGTTGGATCCAGGTCTGTTCCCTAAAGATAAGCAGGGCACCCTGACTTCCTCCCCACAAAAAAACGCCTTTGAGGGCAAAGAGAAAATTCCCCAGAAAAGAAAGCAGGGTGTTATTTAAAAGGGTCACAATTTAAATAGACAAGAAACCGACAAATGCTGAAAAACAGTCCATTGGGAAAGGAGAGGTAGAGGCTTAAATTATGTTCCAAAATCCACTTCAGGCCTAGATTGAAAAGATCATAAGAGATCTGAAATGAAGAATTTTTCAGGAAAATTGCCCTTTACATTCAGATCACACCAGATTTCATTTAAACCTCAGCTGTTTCAGTTTTTCCTTTCCAAAAGTTCTTCTCAACAATTTCTCATATTCTCCAGCTTCTGTATGACTTTTAGAACAGTTATTTTAACCGTGAGCCTGTCATGATGTTCATTATGCTACCCCACCCCTTCATACTGACGGGGTCCTCGAAGTGATGGTCCGAATATTGACGATGTCTATCATCAACCTTTTTTTTCCTAATTCCCCTTCTGATCAAGATACATGATCCCTACCTAGGGATATTAAATATTTTAAAAGGTAAGTTTGCTTTTAATTTATTTAACAAATGCTTAGTTCCTTAATGTGTGCCAAGTATCATCCAAGCCCTTTAGCCCTTTGCAACTATTAATTCATTAGCAACACTAGGAGATAGGTACTATGATTAACCCACTTTGTAGATGAAGAAGCTAAGTATAAAAAGTTTCATGGGCCGGGCGCGGTAGCTCATGCCTGTAATCCCAGCACTTTGGGAGGCCGAGGCTGGCAGATCACCTGAGGTCAGGAGTTTGAGACCAGCCTGGCCAGCATGGTTAAACCTTGTCTCTACTAAAAATACAAAAATTAGCTGGATGTGGTGGCTCACGCCTGTAATCCCAGCTATTCGGGAGGCTGAGGCATGAGAATTGCTTGAAACTGGGAGGTGGAGGTTGCATTGAGCCGAGATCATGCCACTGTACTCCAGCCTGGGTGACAGAGCAAAACTCTGTCTAAAAAAAAAAAAAAAAAAAAAAGTAGTTTCATGTAACCTGGCCAGGCACGATGGCTCATGCATGTAATCCCAGCACTTTGAGAGGCTGAGGCAGGTGGATCACCTGAGGTCAGGAGTTTGAGACCACCCTGGCCAACCTGGTGAAACCCCATCTCTACTGAAAACACAAACATTAGTCGGGCATGGTGGTGGGCCCCTGTAATCTCAGCTACTCAGGAGGCTGAGGTGGGAGAATCTCTCGAACCCTGGAGGCTTGCGAAGTTTGCAGTGAGCCAAGACTGTGATGCTGCACTCCAGCCTGGACAACAAAGCGAGACTCTGTCTCAAAAAAAAAAAAAAAAAAAAAAGGAAATTTCATGTAACTTAACATCTTCTCTGATATGGCTAATAAGTGACAGGGCAGGTATTTTAATCCAGGCTCTGAAATTTGTTTAACCCCAAAACCATGTTTCCTTCAAACATTACAAAATTAACTTATCCACAAAGGAATTGGAGACATGACATTGACCTTATTAGCAGCTAAAGATCATTAACAGTTTAATTCTCTGGAGCTCAGCTTTGTGGAATTTTATATAGCAAATTTGCAGTACAAAAAACCATTATCTGCTAATTACCAACATCTACTCATGCCTGATCCAGTTAAGTGAGTCTGCCTCTTTATTTTTTCATTTATTTATAAAAGCGTGTGCAGAGAGTGCTGTATTCAGGCAGTCTTCAAGGTGCTGGAGATACCAACAGGCATAAGTTTATGATATCTGAGGAGGCGTGTCTAATCTGGTCCTGAGGGTCTCAAGGAGAGGTTCTTGGAAGAGAAACCTGTACGTTCCATGGAAGTGGATCATGTAGGGAGGAGGGTGGTGATTAGGGGAGAGCTGGCTCCTGGAGTGGGGATAATGTGCCTAGATCCCAAGGCAGGAAACTGCATGTTGAGTACAGCTATCACATAGGAAGCGTCTGAGACTGGAGTCTAAACTTCAACTGTCTAATTTGATACTCACCAGCCACATGTTGATATTTAAGTTTAAATTCATTAAATAAAGTACAATAAAAATTAAGGTTCTCAGTTGCACTAGCCATATTTAATTGCTCAATAGTTACCTGTGGCTAATGGACACCTTACTGGACAGTGAAGATATAGAGCAATTCCATCATCGCAGAAAGTTCTGTTTGGACAGCACTGCTCTAGGGTACTGAGCCTAGGGTACTGTTTAAAAATGTTAATTTTTAAGTTAAACCTGCAAGTAATGGAACAAAATCTCTGGGAATGGGACTTGGGAATCTGAACACTGTAACATGTCTGCACATAATTCTGATTGGAAACCAGATGTGTAAACTGTAATAGAAGGTGCACTGACTGACTAAAGTGGTAGGAGAGGCAGAGACAGTTCACAAAGAGTCTTTGAATATTAATCTAAGAGACCAGGATTTAAATATAAACATGAAGAGATCCTTTGAAAGGAAAGAAGGAAGAAATTCTATTAGATTAGCATTGTCCAAACATTTCTCCATTCTGTTGCTAGAATGGTCTTCACAAACCTCAGACCTCCTCTTGTCAATAACTTTCCCCTGGTCAGTCTTTCTATTGCTTTTAGCTAATAACCCAAATCTCTGACATGACCTGCAGACATTACTATCTCAAGGATCTTTTAGAACCCTGACTCCCCCCTTCTCCCAACTGCACCATGAACCTGGGCAGTGATCTCAAACTTCTGTCACTTTCCTTTCAAAGATCAAAAATCATTGTGCGTAGCTGTCCATCAGGCTGTAGGCTTCCTGAAGGCCAAGTCTGTGTCATTATCTGCCCAGCACCCAGCAGAATGTCTAGCTCATAATAGTTCATAACAAGTATTTCACAAATATTCAGGTATAGTCACAAAATGAATGGATCCATAGAGATTCTCAGTGAAGATCCCTCATTGGCCTTTTATTAAATCTGTGAGCTAGTTTGATTTTTCTGTCTCAAAAAGCAGAATGAAACTCATCAGGAAGCTCATTTGTCCAAAAGAAGAGCATCTGACAAACTCTGGGCTAGCTCTTCTGGAAATGTCAGTTCTCTGAAGATGAATTCTTGAAAAGATTGTCTTATACAGCTATCCCCTTTTCACCTAATTCCACTACAATGCAGCAGCTTTAATGCAGTAATATAGATTATTATTATAAATGGCATCAAATTCCAAATTCTATGTTAAATCTCTACTTTACCTTCCTTTATCACTCAGGATCTGGATGATCACTAATTACACCAGCCACTTCTTTCTCTATACTCTTGTGTCCTGGGTGAAGCACACAATTTGAATTTTGTTACAATACCCTTCATCACCCTTGGACTATCCATGTGTGTGTCTGCCTGACCTTCCCATGGTCAAGTGAGCAGGCAGGAATGCAGTAAGTCATTCCCTGATGTTAACAAATTGAACTGCTTTGCTTTCTTCAGAAAACTCTTCGATTACTAACCTCCCTGCAACAGATAGGATAGCCAAGCTCTGAAATAGCCTCAGGCTACCCTAATAATGTTCTGCTTTAGCCAAGCCAATCTTTTCACCATCTCTAAAACCTTCCACATCTTTGCTCATTGTGATGCCTACATAATTCATTCACTCCTTCCTTTTCACTTAGCTCTGTGATGAAGTTTCTTCATGAAACCTCCTAGTGACTCCAGTTACTAGGGGTGTGTCTTAACTCAGGTTTTCAAGTGTAGCATCTAAGATTGAGATTCTTGTAAAACTAATTTAATGAGGGTATGCTCTCTACAGAAGAGGAGTTAAGGAAGGAAGCAAGACAGAACAAGAGAGGAAAGGTAAACAAATATGGGTCCTGCCTAGATATTAGCTTCTACTTTATCCCACAGGGAGCTGTTGAATATGAATTTTATCACAGTACTGTTTCTTCCTTGAGGGGGGGTGGTCAATCTTTCATGCCCTAGTATCAGTGAGTTATGGGCCACTGGCTTTGGTGGGAGCCTATGGTATAAACACTTCAATTGAGATAGTTTCCTTTTACCTAAGGCAATCCTCTACAGAATTCTCCTAGAATAGTTCTCAGAGCAGCTAGGGGACATGGGAACAACCAGTGAAGAAAATCTGGGTGAGGCACCACTATAGTGTAAATTTTCTTTGACAGCTTGCTATACTTTAATGTATAATACTCAATTCAAGGTACGAGACAATTGCATCTAACATTGTTATAAATCAAAGAGACATCAGATCAGTTATCAAGGGCTTCAGAACATCAAGGGCCCCAGTTATGAGCAGCATCTTCATACCCTCCATGTTTAACATCTTTACTTTCTGGGTATAATTTAATAAGATCATCAATTTGAAGAATGGTAACTGCAGCTTCTGTTGCAAATTTCAAACTCTTAACTTTAACTGTGGTTGGTTCAAACACCCCTGCTTGTTTGTTGTGTCTAGGTTTACCATTTCTCAAATCAAGACCAATTCATTTTAGATTTTTACTTTCTGGGTTAACTTGAGCCTCATTATGAAAAGCCCTTAAACTATGCAACCAGATCTGTGGAGTTCTGGGCAGCATTAACTGTCAGTGAATAACAGGAAGAGGTCTTGCAGACTCTGCAATAGCAAGCTGTTCCTGAGACTCCATGCTGGTTTCACAGTTTTCGGGGTATATGGAAAAGGCTGCTTCTACAGCATCCCCAACTAGCATCATGGATTTTGACTCCAAAACTTTCTTCACTATGCAAAGAGCATCATGTAGAGTGCTCCATCTCATCACATACGAAATCATTTGCCCCATGTAAGATAATTGATGCAGATGCACAAGCCTTACTGGTTTTGATTAAGATCAGCTCATCATCACAAATTCTCTCCTGTACCACTTCTTCCACCTGTCCCGACACTGCAGTTTCAAAAGTTTCTTCACCCTTCAAATTGGCCAGGGTTGACAGAACAGTCCCTCCAGAAGTTTCAGCAATGCATTTAAGGTCCCTTTTTAAAGCTCTTCTAATTGCCATAGCCCCAACCTCTACAAAATACTTTGACACATATCATCAATTCCACCAGCTATTAGAATAATATTGGCATCAGTTGCCAGGATCTTCGGAATTCTCTCCTTGATAATATCTGATTCTTTCTGTCTAATTTGGTCCAGTTTTTCAGGGTCTGTAATGACCACCTGTACATCAAGTATATTAGTCCATTCTCACACTGTTATAAAGAACTGCCTAGACTGGGTAATTAGTAAAGGAAAGAGGTTTAATTGACTCACAGTTTTACAGGGCTTGGGAGGTCTCAGGAACTTACAATCCTGGCCGAAGAGGAAGGAAACATGTCCTTCACATGGCAGCAGAAAGGAGAAGTGCAGAGGGAGAAGGGAACAGCTCCTTATAAAACCATCAGATCTTGTCAGAACTCAGTATCATGAGAACAGCATAGAGTCCCTCCCCCAACATATGGGAATTACAATTTGGATTACAATTCAAGATGAGATTTGGGTGGGGACACAGAGCCAGACAATATGGCAAAGCTTCATTTTTGTTTTTTTACAGGCTAGAGTTAAGTCAAGCAATTTCCGCATTAACAATTATTTTGGGCATGCCCTGGGATCCCACCACACAGCTGAGTGCATACCCACTGATCAGCATACTCTCTATCTGACTTCTCGCATGGGCTTTCAGAATATTAACAGAATTGGCTGGATAGCGAGGCTGGCCTCTTAATATCTGTGTATGTAGTAACAAGTACAGTATCTGCTACTATATTAGCAAATAAATCACCATTTATTCCAATGATTTTGGAAGACATCCATGTCTCAGTGGAATTAATCAGGCAATCTCTTCCCAGTTCATCTGTGTAGATAATTAAGTTTTAACGGATATAACGCAGGGCTTCGCATTGAGGTAGTTCCATCTCCAACTTCTTTGTCTTGCAGGTCAGCCAGCTCACAAAGAACTTCAGCTGCAGGATTGTTCTACCTCCGGTAACCTCAGAATGGCTGCACCATCATTAGTAATGGTTACATCACCAACATCATCCACCAACATTTTATCCAAGCCAACTGGACCAAGAGAACTTTTCACAGTATTGGCAATTGAAGCTTAAGCCATAACGTTCTGGGAGCGGACCACCTCCCCAGTGCTGCGGTCTTGGTCCCCGAACACGGACAAAGGCCCCTCCATCTTCAACGCAGGGGTATACGTCGACTTCCACTCACACACACCGCGGGCAACCAGTATCATCTCACCTCAGCCAACCAGCGACCAGAGCAGTGATGCGTGGAGCCGACCCGCATGACGCCACAGGGGCTGCTGGGTAACACCCCTACACCAGCTTCCCAGCTCCCCCAACGCTTGGCCGCAGGACATGGCAGGAAAGCTAGTGTGAATTTTTAACTTGGGCAAAAATTTGTTTTTGGAGGGCATGGGAGGGAGGAAACTTAGACATTGCAATGCTTCATGGCTCTCCAAAGGACCAGTGTATAAAGAGATGTGCAATGTATCAACGTTTTATGGGAGGAGGGAATAAATAGGGGGAAAAAGTCTGAAAGCTCCTTAGGGGGGTAATGATAGAAAAAAAAAGGTTGAGAAACACTGCAATATGGGGTGCAGTCTGTTTGTTCTCTGAAGTCCTAATGCATTGATTTTCACATCAATTGATTGTACATGTGCTATTTGTTTTGTATTCCCCTCAGTGCATAGTACATCAGCATATAACAGTTAATAGTAGTGGTCCCCTGCTTCTGGAATTTATACACAGCAGCTTCCCAGGCCATGGAAGAAATTCCACCTGGATCTGTTTATTTCCTTCTTGAATAGAAGATGAGATTTTCCCTTCATGTTCTCATCTCCGTCTAAAGTGTTTAAGTTCAAAACTCTCAATTCCTGAAGTTGGAGGTTACAGTGCGCTATGATCACTCCACTGCACTCCAGCGTGGGCAACAGAGTAAGGCTCTGTCTCTAAAAAATAAAAATAAATAAAAAATAGAAAATAAACATAAAACTCTCAGTTTAGGGTTTAAAAATATTTGATGTTGGTGATCAATAAACTTTATCCATTCTAATATACTTCCTGAAAAGTCAGTCTTTCTTGCCTTTCCCACTTCCTCTGCGTGTTTCTCTCCAGTTCTCATTAGTTTCCCCATTTCCCCTCTTTCTACCAGCTTTCAGTGTGAGTTAATCTTTCCAATCTGAAAATCTGGCCCTGTAAATTTGCATCTGCTGATTATTGAGATATATCTTTCAGCTTCAAACCCACCTTTCCACATTTGCATTGCGATGCTGGGTCTGGGACTCTTCCAACCATTGTCTCCCCTTTGCTGGATGTCTCCCAGTTCAGCTCTCCCTAAAGAAGGTACAAAAAGGGATGCTGAGGGTAGGCAGAAGGAAAAGACATGTGTTCCTTGCTAAGTGGACACTGCTCCCACCAGGTTCACCACAGCAAAGCAGTTCACCTGAGCAGTGGCAGTGGATCTGGCTTCCAATTTTTCCACACTCATAGAACTAGCTTCATTGTACCCTTTAAAGACACCAGCACTGATGGCCCCATGTTACCTCCAATAGGGGTCTGAGTCCCAACTCTGTTAAGCCCCTTTCCCAAGTACCTATTCCAACCACTTCCCTTTGTTCCTCCAGCATTTACTAGATCTGGGTCACCTCCATGCTTCTTTTTTGCCTTTTCAGCTCCCAATTCCTTAAATTCTCTCAGTTAAAATAACTGCTAAGATTTCTGTTTTTTTGACTAGACTCTAGGCCCCAAATGCTAATATGCTGCTCTTGGTCCAAGATTTCTCTGATTCTTTGTTTTTTACTTTGTAAAAACTAGAGGATGAGGGGACACTTGCTTCAGGGTACCTGAGAGAGAAAGCTGATGAGAATGGAAATACACAAAAAGCAGAGTCATACTTTTGGGATCTAGACCACAGAATTATGTAAATAACTAATAGTATAATATTTCTACTGAATTTCTGTACTGGTTGAATTGTGTCCACCAAAACATATGATCAAGTGATAATCTTTGGTACCTATGAATATGACATTTTTTGGAAATAGGGTCTCTGCAGATGAATCATGTTAAGGTGAGGTCATACTGTATTAGGGTGGGCCCTAATATAATGACGAGTATTCTCATGACAGGATGGAAATTGAGACACAAGACAGAGGCATATAAAGAGATGGCCATATGACAGTCAAGGCAGAGACTGATTTCATCTAAAAGCCAAGGAACACCAAGAATTATCAGCAGCCACCAGAAGGTAGGAGAAGGGCAAGGAAGAATCCTCCCTTGGAGCCTTGGGAGAAAGCATGGCCCTGCCAACAACTTGATTTCAAAACTGTGAGAGAATAAATTTCCATGGTTGGAAGACACCAACTTTCTGATAATATGTTACATGAGCCATATTAAACTAATACAATTTCCAACTTCCAAAAAGAAAGAAACATCATTAAAACATTTGTTTCTTATGTATATGTGTGGTTTCAACATGTGTCTGCAAATAAACTACTTTGTTTAATTTAGGAAACAATTTTCACTTCCACAAGAATGACAGTGAGGATGACAAGGCCTGCCTTTGTCTTGGTTTTGAATGAATGATTCCTAATCATTATAAAACTTAAACATAGCTTTTTTTGGTCTAAGCTTTTACAACTTGGCATTATGGACTCTTATGTAATTCCTTAAGCATTAATACTGAAAAGGTACTGAACTGTTTATTCACAACCCACAGAAACAATATAATGTATTATTTACACCAGGCAGACAGACACAAACTCTTTTTTTATTTTGCCAGTTACTTATATTTCTTTTTAAACAAATTATCAGAAAAATCACAATTAATATGGCAATGACCTCCTATTACTTTTGCTATTTTCCCTTACCTAATGGACTCTTTTGGCAATAATAAGGCAAGAAGAATTTTGATCTTAAAAGCCAGAGAGAAGCTATGATCTCAAAGTACTTTGCCATGTTAATTAATGGCAAAACTTTGGGAATTTTCATTTCAGTCCAAGCAAACTTAAAATATCTAAAAGCCAATTATTTCAATCAGATCCTTAATTAAACTGGGACAAACATGTATCCCACTCAGTATACCTAGGTTATTATGTGGTCAGTCAACCCAACCCACTTCTTCCTAGCTGTAAATCCACTTGGGTTCTAGTCCTTGTTATAAGTTGACCTGTTGAAACATCGTTGCCTTTTTTCTTCCACTAACCTTGCTGATGAGTCTGCTGGAGTGGTAGTGAACAACAACCTTGTCCATGAAGACCATAGCAAAACATCTTTGTCCCGAGCAATATTCTGGGAATGTGTTTTCATTTAAATGCCTCCATCTTTGCATATTCTCTTTTTCACTTTCATTAAGGCCGTGGCCACAAGCCTGCAAACATTCAAGTAAAAGTCGCAGATGTCTCAACTCTTTGTCTTCTCAGACTTCCTCTATCTGTCTACCCTCACCCTGGATGTTCTCCAGGCCTCCTAAAAAGGAAGGCAACTCAGCCTTCTTTATGATTCTTTATGACACTTTTTTTGTTTTATTCTTTCCTTTTTGTGGGAGGAGAAGCATCACAGTGTAGTAACTAAGGGCTTTGAAGAAAAGTGAAAAGATGGGTTTAAACTTTAGGCTCTACCATTTATTAGTTGTGTGTCCTCAAACAAATTATTGAAACTTCCACAAAACTCATTGCCCTCATTTACAAAATAGAAACAAGTAATTTATACTTGAGGTTATTTTTGAGGATTAATGAGACAATATATGTAAAGTATTAAGTGCTTTTGATATAATAAGTAACAAAGAATTTTTGCACCTGTCTTCGTTTGCTTGATATTTAGCCATAGTCACATTTATATTAGACTCAAGTAAACTTTGGCACATCCTGTATTTCAGTGGGCCCTAATAGTAAATATCAAGGCAAATGAACACCCAATTTTGCTCCATCAATTGTAGCATATTCATGCAAGGGCACTGTCAGTATATAGGAAATGAAAGAATTTTTTATGCATGGAACAATGAACAATTATAGTAGATTAAATACCAGTTGTTAAAACACACTGTATCTATACAAAAGACAAATGAGAAGGAAAATTAAAACTAAATATATTTAATGAGACCCATAGCCATCTTCTGCTCATCTTAGTTGTCAGTGTGTTTTTTATTTTAGTCTGGTTTTTCCTGTAAAGCAGTAAAGATGTTGAATTTTGCTCTGGAAATTAAACCAAGAGAGGTAAAATTTTTTTATTCCTCTGAGAAATATTGCAGATTATTGTGTTCCATGAATAGTATAATTACTTTCACAATAACAGAAGACTGAACAGTCACAGGTGTTGGGTTTTGCATTGCAAAGTGTGGGTGAAGCCATCATTAGCAGCTTTGTTCTCAGTGTCACCAAAAACAGGCATCGCTGTGTGCCTCATAGTTGCCAATATTCCAGGGTATTCGTAGAGTCAGACTCTCAAACATCTTGAACCAACAATTCCTAGAGGAGGCTACCCATTTTAGAATGTAATTTTTATCATGCCCTTCTCTCCTTCAGCCACAGACCTGACATGAGCAGCAAGTGTCCAGAACTGCAGGACTCTCCTTGAAAGGCACATCTAGTGATGAGTCTTCACTGTCAAATGTCTCTTCCTAACATGTACTTTCTAAGGCTTCCTATACATATTCTAAAATAAGACTGGCTCCTCCTTTATCTATGCCTATCCTCCTTCTTCTTCCCACAAATCTGCCATGCCTCATGTCCCTTCTGCAGTGATCAGAGAGAAGCAGTGGAATCAAGCATGACTTCAGTAGTTTTGATCTGAGCAGATGAAGGATTAGTTGTCACTAATTTATATGGGGAAGAATGCATAAGAAGCAGGTTTGGAGGTAGGGGATGAAGGCAATCAAAAAAAGGGAGTTTTATTATTATGTTTGAAACATGTATTATGCATCCATATGAAAATCAAGTGAACAGTTGAATATGAGACTCTAGAGTTCCTGGGAGAGGCCAGGGATAGAGATATACATGTGGCAGTTGCCAGTATATAGATGGTATTTGAAGCCATGAGATCAGATGCAATGGCCAATGGAGTTAGGATATATGAAAAAGAGAGGACAAATAACTTACTTTTGCGAAAATTCAACAATAATAAGATGTGAAAGAAATGAGAAGAAGTAATTAGTGTAAGTTTTTATACAATCTGTTTTCTACTCTTGGCTAAATATGCCAAGATTTACTAATCATTTTAATGGGACATGTTTGCCCAATCCCAGTACCATGTTTCACTTATTTGTGAGAAGTAAATGAACCTCTAATAATTTAGCAATCAGAATGGAATACAGCAAGTCAGCCATGACAGGAACTGTACAAAGGAAAAAGGGACCAGTGTCCCATGATCTGAATCCCAAAATTTAATCGGATCATTAGACTATGTTCCATTATTGTCTTTAAAAAGCAAATAACTTTGTCACTTAAAAATCCCTCTATTTCTGTCTTAATCATTTCAGGTTCCGTTCTCCTAAAAATATACTTACGAGGCTGAATTATTGAACCTAAATGTAGTAATTTTTATTTATTTCCTACAGATTTTATATTGATGGATTTGACTCATCATTAGTCAAGCAATATATTTTTTAACCTAAAGCTAAATATTCACTGCATTAACTTTCTTTAGCTTTGTGTTACCACATACAAGAAAATCATACCTTCTGTAGCTATCTATTTCCCTTCCTCCAGGCAAATTTATTTTTTTTAATTTTTTAAAAAATTTTTTTGTTTTTCTTTGAGATGGAGTCTTACTCTGTTACCCAGACTGGAGGGCAGTGGCACGATCTTGGCTCACTGCAACCTCTGCCTCCAGGTTCAAGCAGTTCTCCTGCGTCAGACTCCTGGGTAGCTGGGACTGCAGGCACACTACCATGCCCGTCTAATTTTTTTTGTATTTTTAGTAGAGATGGGGTTTTACCCTGTTGGCCAAGCTGGTCTTGAACTCCTGACCTCATGTGATCCACCTGCCTCCGCCTTCAAAATTGCTGGGATTACAGGCGTGAGCTACTACGCCCAGCCTGTTTTGTCCTTAGTAGGAAATAAGACCTATCAAGATTAAACAAACCAACTTGACAGGAAAATGTTTATTTCAATCAGAAAGGCCAGATAAAAAACCTTGACTGAAACAGTAGTAACTTTAGTTACTTTGTGGCAGGTTTATAATATTTTATTATTTATTCATTATTTATTAATTTTTCTCTTAGGTTACACATGCACAATGTAAATTTTAATGTAATTGAAACTTTTATTTCTATGAAAGATTTTATCTTTTAGAAAAAAATACAATGTTGATATTTTACAGCTGGGATCTTGAAAGGTAAGGCAATTTACTTCCATCACAGATCAGAGACAGATCCAGATCCCTGAGATCCATTCTGGTGCCTTTATACACATTTGGGAGTCCCTAGTACCAATTAAAGACCCTAAACAGCCTGAATTTACTAAATTCATAATTTTAACTATAAAATAATTATTTTTCATTTGCATTTTATAGCTCTGATCTCGTTAGTTACAAAGCTGAAATATGCCGTAAAAATATGTAGTCAATAGGTTCAAAATATTAAAGACCTAAATAAGCTCACATGGACATCAGAAACAGCATCATAATTATTGTCTTTACAAAATTAATATCTCCCTCATTTATACAGGAACTGTTGTAAAGACTAAATGCATTAGTTAACAATTTTAAAAGTGAAAAAGTTCATTTTCTTGCCATATAAACACATAAATAACATACTTATCTGTTACAATTTGTCAAAGGGTCCTTCCAATCACTGTCAGAAGTACATTATCTAAGTATTTAGTCTGCTGAATCTAAATATCATTGGCAATAAAAACTGCCCATCTTTTGATTAAAGAAATTGATTTTGCAAAGTGCAATTGGTCATGGCAAATGATGTGCTTTGTGACCAGCTTTTTTTTCTTTTTTTTTAAATTTTATTATTATTATACTTTAAGTTTTAGAGTACATGTGCACAATGTGCAGGTTTGTTACATATGTATACATGTGCCATGTTGGTGTGCTGCACCCATTAACTCATCATTTAGCATTAGGTATATCTCCTAATGCTATCCCTCCCCCCTCCCCCGACCCCACAACAGTCCCCGGTGTGTGATGTTCCCCTTCCTGTGTCCATGTGTTCTCACTGTTCAATTCCCACCTATGAGTGAGAACATGCGGTGTTTGGTTTTTTTGTCCTTGCGATAGTTTACTGAGAATGATGGTTTCCAGCTTCATCCATGTCCCTACAAAGGACATGAACTCATCATTTTTGATGGCTGCATAGTATTCCATGGTGTATATGTGCCACATTTTCTTAATCCAGTCTATCGTTGTTGGACATTCACAATAGCAAAGACTTGTGACCAGCTTTATTGAGAAATTTCTATCATCATTCACCTGGCATCTGGCAGAGATCAAACAATATGCCCTAAACACATATTAAAACAAATTTAAAAGCTGAGGAAAGTATTTTAAAAACAATTCTAAACAAGTCCCTGAACTAGCAATGACAAAAAATTAACTGAAGGTGGAAACTCCGGATGTTGGTGCATGCCAAAGCCTGATAGTATCTGCTGACACACTTCTGTTTTGAAGGATAATAAGAATTCTGGATAAAGAAAATAAAGCCTAGGGTCTACTCAAGGCTTAGAACATTCTAATAAGGGAACTAGACATAAAACTGGAGTACCATAGGCTTATACAATCTGTACAACATAAACAAGAAATAAGCTCTCTGTGCAGAAAAAGACAGCAAGGAAACTTGCCTATCTTTATCCTGTGGTTGAAATGGATAGAATCTTTCCTGAAAACTGATGAATACAAAGACTTCCCTGACAAGTTTTTGTCCCCATATTCAACCTGTCGGGTGGGGTCTCTGGAAGGTAGGGGAAATGCCCTTAAGTTAGAAATTTAATTTAATGTGGCCAAAGACATCTAGCAGAAGCAATTGAAACTTTGTTCCAAAGAAATGAAATTTCAACTAAGTTCCCCAAAAATTCTTGAAGACTATGTTCCAAGGGTCATGTGTTTACAGCCAAAAATCACAAACAACAGACATCAGACGCCATCTAGGAAATACTTAAATTCCTGAAATTATCTACCATCTAATAGGTACATCTAATATGGTTTAAGACACAAAAATGACTTGAAAATATGAGCAAGATACAAGTGACCATAAAAAGACAAAAAAGAACCAAATAGAAATTCAGGAAGTAAAGAATATAATAATATGAATTAAAAATGAAATGTAAGAGATAAAAGCCAATTAAATATAGCTAAAGAGAGAACTGTAGAATTAAAAATTTAAAAATTATTTATAATGCAACCTATAGAGACCAAAAGATGGAAAACATGAAAGAGAAGTTAAGGGACATAGAAGATAAAATATGTAGATCAACATACCTAATTATGATACCAGAAGGAGACAATTTAGAAATGGAGAGAAGGTAAGATCTGAAGGTGCAACACCGTAGAATTTTCTAGAATTGTTGAAAAAGATTAAAGCAAAAAAAAAAAATCCCAAGCAAATAAAAACAGCCATGCCAAGAAACATTATGAACAAACCACAGAACATCACAGAGAGATGATCTAAAGGGGAAATTACGATTAGTGTAACAGCTGACTTCATAACAAACTAACAAAGGCCAGAAGATGATAAAATCATATCTTTTATAAGCTTGAAAATTTAGGATTCTGGCAAGATGGCAGAATAGGAACACCTCTGGTCTGCAGCTCCCAAGCAAGAACGACACAGAAGATGGGTGATTTCTGCATTTTCAACTGAGGTACCTGGTTCATCTCATTGGGACTGGTTGGACAGTGGGTGCAGCCCACAGAGGGTGAGCTGAAGCAGGATGGGGCATCGCCTCACCCAGGAAGCACAAGGGGTCAGGGTATTTCCCTTTCCTAGCCAAAGGAAGCCATAAGAGCCTGTACTGGGAGGAATGGTACACTTCTGCCCAGAGACAGCACTTTTCCCACTGTCTTTGCAACTGACAGACCAGGAGATTCCCTCCGGTGCTTGGGTCGGTGGGTCCTATGCCCATAGAGCCCATCAAGCTAAGATCCATTGGCTTGAAATTCTCGCTGCTAGTGCAGCAGTCTGAGAACGACCTGAGACACTGGAGCATAGCGGGGGGAGGGGTGTCTGCCATTGCCCAGGCTTGAGTAGGCAGTTTTAGTCACCTATAAGTCTATATTGAAATTATCTTTCAAGTGATACTATTTCTCATGAATTAGAGTGACACTATCTTTCACAAATTACAATATATAAGGTATATTCAATTAAAATAACTGAGTTTGCTGCAAAAAGACAATCTCTAATAAAAGCTTAATATGTGTATTTCAGTCAGAAAAAAAAATCTTATGTGTATTACTCAGGGATTTTCCAGAAAAACAGAATCAATTGTGTGTGTGTGTGTGTGTGTGTGTGTGTGTGTGTGTGTGTATTAGTCAGGGTTATTAAGGGAGAGAGAACTCATAGGAGATAAATAGAAGATAGAGATAGATAGATGATAGATAGATAGATAGATAGATAGATAGATAGATAGATAGGAGATTTATTAGGATAATTGGCTCATGCAATTCTGGAGACTGAGAAATCCCAGGGCAGGCCATCTACAAGCTGGATACCCAGGGATGTCAGTAGTGTGGCTCAGTCCAAGTCCAAAAGCCTCCGAACTAGGTAAGCCAGTTGTATAAGTCAGCCTGAGGCTGAGGGACCGTGAACCCAGGGGGATACCAGTGCATGTCTTGGAGTCCAAAAGGCCAGAGGGAATGGTGTTCTGATATCCAAGGGCAAGAGAAAAAAAACTTCCTTTCCTCTGCCTTTTAGTGTTTTGCTTTGTTTTATTTTGTTTTGTTTTGTTTTGTTTTGTTTGTTTGTTTTGAGATGTAGTCTCCCTCTGTCACCCAGACTAGAGTACAGTGGCGTGATCTCAGCTCACTACATCCTCTGCCTCTGGCATCCAAATAATCCCAAGACCTCAGCCTCCCCAGTAGCTGGGATTACAGGCGCACACCACCATGCCAGCTAATTTTTGTATTTTTAGTAGAGGTGGGGTTTCACTATGTTGGCCAGGCTGGTCTCGAACTCCTGATCTCAAGTGATCCACCCACCCAGCCTCCCAAAATGTTGGGATTACAGGCATGAACCACTGCACCCAGCCTTCCTCTGCCTTTTACTCTATCCAGGCTGCCAGCCAACTGGATGGTGCCTGCCCACATTGAGGACAGATCTTTCCCACTCAGTATGGCATCTCATGTGCCAATATCCTCTGGAAACACTCTCACAGATACACCTAGAAATAATGCTTGATCACCTATATAGGGATCTCTTAATCCAGTCAGCCTGATAGCTAAAAATAAACTTCACTATTTATATCTCTATCATCTATCTATCAATCTATCTATCTCTATATATCTATCTCTACCTATCTATCTGTCCATCTTTCCAGAGAAAGAAAGAGAGAGAGAGATTTATTATGAGAAATTGGCTCAAGTAATTGTGAAGGCCAACAACCAACAGGAGAGCCAATGGTCACATTCCAGAACAGCCCACAGGCATGAAACCCAGGGAGAACTGAAGTGTCAGTTGAAGTCCAGAGGCATGACAAAAACCAGTCTGTTTGAAAGCAGTCTAGCAAGAGGCATTCCCTCTTGCTTGGGGAATGGTCAGACTTTTTGTTCTATTTAGGCCTTCAACTGATAGGATGAGGTTCACCAAAATTAGGATGAACAATCTGCTTTACTTAGTCTGCCAATTTAAATATTAATCTCATTCAAAACATCCTCAAAGAAACACCCAGAATCATTTCTGACCAAATATATGGGCAGACTTTGGCCCAGTGAAGTTAACACATAAAATTAACCATCACCACCTCATACTAAGTAGAAGAGGTGAGGAAAAAAATAAAGATGATGAGTAGATATGTGGGGATCTAAACAAACATTGACTATATAAGAAAAGAATAATAGAAATTAACCTGGTTAAACAAAAAGAAAGCAAAAGCTGAAATATTGGGTTAAGTTAGCATTTAAATTGGGGGGGCAGGGAAGAAGGTGTCTGGAATTAGAACAGTCAAAGATTACTGAATTATTTTTGAGGTGGCAAGAGCTATTAATTCCAGACTTGTTAAATTATTTGTTCTAAAATACCTAGAGCAACTTCTAGAAAGTAGACAACAATTTTATTTGCCAGTTTATGGGCCTGAAACTTCCCAATATAACTATAAGAGAGATAAAGAAACAGTGTTTCTGGGCACCCAGAAAGAGGAATGTAAGATAGGACTTGAACACAGCATTGTCTCTGCCACAGATTTAATAATGTTCAAACTAGCAGAGGAGGTGGAAAGCATCATGAGAAAAACGAAATATCTAATCCAAAAAGATGCAAGAAATGAGGGAGGGCAGAGAAACAGAAAATGTAGAACGATAAAAGAACAAAATAAAATGATATAAATAAATCAAATATATTTGTTATCATAGTAAATATAAATACACTAAACTCTCCTTAAAAGACAAAGAGACTGGATTTTTTTTAAAGACGGTTACTCAGAAAAACACAAGAAATTAGTACATGTAGTAAACAGAACAATAGAAAAGAGAAAATCTTCCGAGTGGGAAGATAATAGATAAATTCTAAAAGTGGAAAACCAAGAAGTACCAATATAAAGCATGTTCTTTAGAGAAATTACAATAAATAAATAATGATCAGAAACAACAGGTGCTGGAGAGGATGCGGAGAAATAGGAACACTTTTACACTGTTGGTGGGACTGTAAACTAGTTCGACCATTGTGGAAGTCAGTGTGGCGATTCCTCAGGGATCTAGAACTAGAAATACCATTTGACCCAGCCATCCCATTACTGGGTATATACCCAAATGACTGTAAATCATGCTGCTATAAAGACACATGCACACGTATGTTTATTGCGGCACTATTCACAATAGCAAAGACTTGGAACCAACCCAAATGTCCAACAATGATAGACTGGATTAAGAAAATGTGGCACATATACACCATGGAATACTATGCAGCCATAAAAAATGATGAGTTCATATCCTTTGTAGGGACATGGATGAAATTGGAAACCATCATTCTCAGTAAACTATCGCAAGAACAAAAAACCAAACACCGCATGTTCTCACTCATAGGTGGGAATTGAACAATGAGATCACATGGACACAGGAAGGGGAATATCACACTCTGGGGACTGTGGTGGGGTCGGGGGAGGGGGGAGGGATAGCATTGGGAGATATACCTAATGCTAGATGACACATTAGTGGGTGCAGCGCACCAGCATGGCACATGTATACATATGTAACTAACCTGCACAATGTGCACATGTACCCTAAAACTTAGAGTATAATAATAATAAAAAAAAAAAAAAAGAAAGTTTAATTGTCTCTGAGCAGCAGGAAGTCAGGGTAACAGTGGCATCTACTGTTTTTCATACAAGACCTTGTATGGTAAACAACCATTTTTATCTTCAAACTGTGTACATGTATACATTTTTATTTCTTTATTTATTTTAAACAAGAATGCCTTACTATGCTACCTTTCAGTTAGGTTATTTTGTTTCACTACATGGTATGTTTAAGCTTAGTTGTGAAATAAAGAATTCGTGACTAAATTCTACACATTTACTAATAATGAGTATATAGATCCAAGGTCTAATCAATATATATTGGAAAATGAATAAATAGTGAATTAATGAATGAAAAATTAAATGTTCACTTTGTATTGAATGTCAAAACCATATATAACCTCCTTTAATTACTATAAACAGAAAAACATTAGACCAATTTGCTGAAAATTTCTGACATATTGTTTGTCATCATCAACAAGAAATAATCTGGCTATAATATAGAAATTTAAGAAAATACTGAATAAACTATAAATCATATTTTTAAAAATGCATCAGAGAGATAAAGATGCACAGACACCTCAATGACCAAAACTCAGAGAGGGACAATCCCTATGTGAGCACAGTCTGGAAGGTTCTTTCATTTCTTGGGGTCACAGGGCACTGAGAAGTAAGCCCACCACACACCAGGAGAATTTGCCCCAACCTGAAGAAACCAGCTAAAATTTAATAACCCTGTGGGATATGCTATAGATGAGACAGTGAAGAAGCCCCAGGCAGAACTAGCTCACCTTGCCCATTGTTTCCCCAACGGATTTCTTTCTTTACTGAGTGTGTGGCTGCTTGCAGGAGCTGTTAAGCAAAAAGGAATATCCAGTGATTGATGGAGCCCGTACCAGTGCATGAGAACCAATTATGTATGTCTCTTCCTGAGTCTGCATTCAGTAACATGTCAGTAGACTGAAACTGCACATGGTGGCAGCATTCATACTACAGACATCAGCAGATGCTGCAAATTAGACTTTCTTTTTAGGACAGTTCATTAAGCATTTACCAGCACACCACTGGCTATATTCCATGGTACAGGATACTGCAGGCTGGGCAGAAAAGTTGAGTAAGTATAGTCTCAAAGTGCCTAAAACTCAAGCCTTGCTGGAAGAAGTAACCTAAATCTGCTCTGAGGGCATTTGTAACTGGTGGCGAACTGAAATTAAATACAGCCCAATCCTGACCTAGGTTAATTCATAATGAGAAGAAATCAGCTCCTAACCCCTGACAGATGAAACATTGTACACTTTCTGGAGCTAAATACTATTTATTTCAATCTCTACTTTTTTATACACAATATCTAACATATCAAAATAATTTTCATATAAGCCAAAGTAGGAATATACCATCCAGCAGAAGAAAAAAACTGTTCAGTGAAGTAGACTCACAGAAAATCCAGGTGCAAGAATTAGAAAACAAGAACTTAAAAATACCTATTATAAATATGTTGCAGAAATAAGATTAAAAGGTAGATACCATGAGTAAAAAAGATAATGAATCTCAGCGGAGAAATAAAAAAATTAAGAAGTAAACAAAGGGAAATTTCTGGAACTGAGAGTATAATATACCCTATGAAGAATTCATATAATAGGGTCAATGGCAGACATAACAGAGCAGAAGAAAAGATCAGTAAACTCAGATAAGTCAATAGAAATTATCCAAACAGAACCACCAAAAAATGTAATATATATACATAAAAACGCACATATTTTACATACACAGTTCATCCTCACCATCTGTGGAGGATTGGCTCCAGGACCTCTTGTGGATACTAAAATCTAGAAATCTTTAAGTCCCTGTTACAAAATGCTGTGGTGTTTGCATATAACCTACACACATTCTTTTGTATACTTTAAATCACTAAATTATTTATAATACCTAAAATACTGTAAATGCTGTCTAAATCATTGTTATACTCTTTAGGGAATAATGGCAAGAAAAGAAGTCCATACATGTTTAGCACAGATGCACTGTTTTTAGAAAAATATTTTCAATCTTTGGTTTATGAAATCCATGGATGCAGAATCCATGAATATGGAAGGACAACTGTATATATAAATACATATACATACATATGTACATGCATGTATGCATACACACATTGAAAGAGAGAGAGGGAATGAGGCAAACAAAATATATAAATAGATCGGCCGGGCGCAGTGGCTCACGCCTGTAATCCCAGCACTTTGGGAGGCGGGCGGATCATGAGGTCAGGAGATCGAGATCATCCTGGCTAACATGGTGAAACCCTATCTCTACTAAAAATACAAAAAATTAGCAGGACGTGGTGGTGGGCGCCTGTAGTCCTAGCTACTCGGGAGGCTGAGGCAGGAGAATGGCGTGAACCCGGGAGGCAGAGCTTGCAGTGAGCTGAGATCACGCCACTGCACTCCAGCCTGGGCGACAGAGGGAGACTCCGTCTCGAAAAAAAAAAAAAAGAAAAAAAATGTTATATATGTATACACATATACGTATATATATATAGATTATGTTAAAGGATTTTTCAGAATCAGTAAGACATTAACTCATAGATTCAAAAAAGGCAACACATATAGAAACATTATAATCAATCTACTAAAAAATCAAGGGTTAAAAAAAGGTAAAGAAGAAAATCTTAAAACTCACCCAAAGTAAAAAGACACATATTCAAAAGAAAAACAGTAATAATTGTCACTCTCCATTTTTACTAATGAATCATAGTAGTCTTTCGGGATTCCGAAATAATTAGCACTAATTCAGAGTCACAGGGAAAAGTAAATATTTGGGAATATGTGTACAATTTTTTTAAAGACCATTAGCTGCTCATGGAAAAAAGTTAACTGTGGATTTTGGAGTTTTAACATTTGTGGAAGTAAAATTTGTGACAATAATAGCACAAAGGGAAGGAGATATAATGGCATTCTATTGTTTTCAGGTTCTTATTTTGTGAAATGATAAAATCCAATGTAGACTGTTATAAGTTAAGAATATATATTGTAATCTCTGTGGAAAAATAAAAACTAATCAAAAGGGCAGGACTAAAAAGCCAATATACATAATTAAGTAAAATTAATCCAAAACAAGGCAGGAAATGAGGATGGTACAAATAGGAGAAATGAAAATCAAGTTGCAACATGGTAGTCTTGACCTAACGTATATAAGTAATGGACTGAATGTCCACCTCTGCTATCTTCTAGCTCTATTTTCCCACCTTTAGTTATTTTCTCATTTGTTAAGCCATTTGGAACCTACCCTTTTTAAAAATTTTCATGAACAGGATCATAAACACTTATCTCAAGAAGAGAAATAATATGTGATAATTTAAACAACTGATCAGATGAACTTATTAGTCTCCAGTTTAACACTAAAACCTTTTTAATTAATAGTGAGAAAGTTAGCAAATTATATCAAACAAAAATTGAGTCCTCTGTGAAAAGACACACATAAAAAATTTAATATTCTATATTGACACCATTATAAAAATTGGGCAGCTATCTTCATGCACCATTTCTATTAAATTATTCTCAAAAAGTTATTCTCTTAGTAGTTGATTTCTTCATTATGTAAATTATGAAGTGATGCTTCATTCATGCTCTGGTATCCACAAGTATGCTACCCAGACACTTTCAGATATAGGAAGAGAAGAGGCATGTATGTGTCCATTTTTATTTCTAGCAAAATTACATTTTACTCAGTGTAGTAATCTTCAAATAAAAGTCACTAGTTTCCAATCTTTTTTTCCCATGGATGATTGCCATGACAATCAAAAGTGCAAAATGTCCTTGTTCATGGAGATAGTTCTGGAAAAATTGTCTCTAGCTCAAACTTTTTGGTAAAAGCAATTATAGTGTCACTGTTTTAAATAACTCTGAGATGAGGCCGGGCGCGGTGGCTCACGCCTGTAATCCCAGCACTTTGGGAGGCCGAGGCGGGTGGATCATGAGGTCAGGAGATCGAGACCATCCTGGCTAACAAGGTGAAACCCCGTCTCTACTAAAAATACAAAAAATTAGCCGGGCGCGGTGGCGGGCGCCTGTAGTCCCAGCTACTCGGGAGGCTGAGGCAGGAGAATGGCGTGAACCCGGGAAGCGGAGCTTGCAGTGAGCCGAGATTGCGCCACTGCAGTCCGCAGTTCGGCCTGGGTGACAGGGCGAGACTCCGTCTCAAAAAAAAAAAAAAAAAAAAAAACTCTGAGATGAATCTTTTATTAAAATGAAGACTCCTTTTATAATGAAAAGGTAGGCATGTTTCCGAAGCCACTTTGGCCTTGAGGGGAAAGCAATGTTCCAATAGGGTCACAAAACAGTAATTCCTCTTCCTGCACTTTTGCCAATGGAATTCCCTACCTATTTATGAAGACTGCTGGTTCCGTTTTAGATAATCAGATTCTTATACACACTTATTGAACTTGCCATTTTTCTCCTCTCAACTCCCACTGAGAGACACTGATGTCTTCCAAGTGGTTAGGCCCTGTCCTTTTTCACTCCAGATGGTGACCGGTTCAATCGATGGTTCAAGCTACTCTGCCTATTCTATATTTGAATATTCCACAGCAGTAATCCACAGTAATTTCAAATAAAGTCTCCTTCTCCTGTTTTGGCTAAATTCATAACATAAGCTACAAAGTAATACCGTCAGGTTCATGATCTCTTCATAATTCACTGAGAGGACTACAAAATCATGTTTTTATTTGTTTATTATTATTTTTTCTTTTTTTATTATATTTTAAGTTCTAGGGTACATGTGCACAACCTGCAGGTTTGTTACATATGTATACATGTGCCATGTTGGTGTGCTGCACCCATTAACTTGTCATTTACGTTAGGTATATCTCCTAATGCTATCCTTTCCCCAGCCCCCCATCACAATACAGGCCCTGGTGTGTGGTGTTCCCCACCCTGTGTCCGAGTGTTCTCATTGTTCAATTCCCACCTGTGAGTGAGAACAAGTGGTGTTTGGCTTTCTGTCCTTGCCATACTTTGCTCAGAATTATGGTTTCCAGCTTCATCCATGTCCCTACAAAGGATATGAACTCATCATTTTTTATGGCTACATAGTATTCCATGGTGTATATGTGCCACATTTTCTTAATCCAGTCTATCATTGATGGACATTTGGGTTGGTTCCAAGTCTTTGCTATTGTGAACAGTGCCGCAATAAACATACGTGTGCATGCGTCTTTATAGCAGCATGATTTATAATCCTTTGGGTATATACCCAGTAATGGGATGGCTGGGTCAAATGGTATTTCTGGTTCTAGATCCTTGAGGAATCACCACACTGTCTTCCACAATGGTTGAACTAGTTTACAGTCCCACCAACAGTGTAAAAGTGTTCCTATTTCTCCACATCCTCTCCAGCACCTGTTGTTTCCTGACTTTTTAATGATTGCCATTCTAACCCTGAGATGGTATCTCATTTTGGGTTTGATTTGCATTTCTCTGATGGCCAGTGATGATGAGCATTTTTTCATGTGTCTGTTGGCTGCATTAAATGTCTTCTTTTGAGAAGTGTCTGTTCATATCCTTCACCCACTTTTTGATGGGGTTGTTTGATTTTTTCTTGTGAATTTATTTAAGTTCTTTGTAGATTCTGGATATTAGCCCTTTGTCAGATGGATAGATTGTAAAAATTTTCTCCCATTCTCTAGGTTGCCTGTTCACTCTGATGGTAGTTTCTTTTTGTGTGCAGAAGCTCTTTAGTTTAATTAGATTGCATTTGTCAATTTTGGCTTTTGTTGCCATTGCTTTTGTGTTTTAGTCATGAAGTCCTTGCCCATGCCTATGTCCTGAATGGTATTGCCTTGGTTTTTTTCTAGGGTTTTTATGGTTTTAGGTCTAATGTTTAAGTCTTTAATCCATCTTGAATTAATTTCTGTATAAGGTGTAAGGAAGGGATACAGTTTCAGCTTTCTACATGTGGCTAGCCGGTTTTCCCAGCACCATTTATTAAATAGGGAATCCTTTCCCCATTGCTTGTTTTTGTCAGATTTTTCAAATATCAGATGGTTGTAGATCTGTGGTATTATTTCTGAGGGCTCTGTTCTGTTCCATTGGTCTGTATCTCTGTTTTGGTACCAGTACCATGCTCTTTTGGTTACTGTAACCTTGTAGTATAGTTTGAAGTAGGTAGCATGATGCCTCCAGCTTTGTTCTTTTGGCTTAGGATTGACTTGGCAATGTGGGCTCTTTTTTGGTTCCATATGAACTTTAAAGTAGTTTTTACCAATTCTGTGAAGAAAGTCATTGGTAGCTTGATGGGGATGGATGGCATTCAATCTATAAATTACCTTGGGCAGTATGGCCATTTTCACGATATTGATTCTTCCTACCCATGAGCATGGAATGTTCTTCCATTTGTTTGTGTCCTCTTTTATTTCATTGAGCAGTGGTTTGTAGTTCTCCCCAAAGAGGTCCTTCACATCCCTTGTAAGTTGGATTCCTGGGTATTTTATTCTCTTTGAAGCAATTGTGAATGGGAGTTCACTCATGATTTGGCTCTGTGTTTGTCTGTTATTTGTGTATAGGAATGCTTGTGATTTTTGCACATTGATTTTGTATCCTGAGACTTTGCTGAAGTTGCTTATCAGCTTAAGGAGATTTTGGGCTGAGACGCTGGGGTTTGCTAGATATACAATCATGTCATTTGCAAACGGGGACAATTTGACTTCCTCTTTTCCTAATTGAATATCCTTTATTTCTTTCTCCTGCCTGATTGCCCTGGCCAGAACTTCCAACGCTATGTTGAATAGGAGTGGTGAGAGAGGGCATCCCTGTCTTGTGCCAGTTTTCAAAGGGAATGCTTCCAGTTTTTGCCCATTCAGTATGATATTGGTTGTGGGTTTGTCATAAATAGCTCCTATTATTTTGAGATACGTCCCATCAATACCTAATTTATTGAGAGTTTTTAGCATGAAGTGTTGTTGAATTTTGTCAAAGGCCTTTTCTGCATCTATTGAGATAATCATGTGGTTTTTGTCTTTGGTTCTGTTTATATGCTGGATTACATTTATTGGTTTGTGTATGTTGAACCAGCCTTGCATCCCAGGGATGAAGCCCACTTGATCATGATGGATAAGTTTTTGATGTGCTGCTGGATTCGGTTTGCCAGTATTTTATTGAGGATCTTTGCATCGATATTCATCAGGGATATTGGTCTAAATTTCCCTTTTTCTGTTGTGTCTCTGCCAGGCTTTGGTATCAGGATGATGCTGGCCTCATAAAATGAGTTAGGGAGGATTCCCTCTTGTTCTATTGATTGGAATAATTTCAGAAGGAATGGTACCAGCTCCTCTTTGTACCTCTGGTAGAATTCGGCTGTGAATCAGTCTGGTCCTGCCCTTTTTTGGTCGGTAGGCTATTAATTATTGCCTCAATTTCAGAGCCTGTTATTGGTCTCTTCAGGGATTCAACTTCTTCCTGGTTTAGTCTTGGGAGGGTGTATGTGTCGAGGAATTTATCCATTTCTTCTAGACTTTCTAGTTTATTTGCATAGAGGAGTTTGTGGTATTCTCTGATGGTAGTTTGTATTTCTGTGGGATCGGTGGTGATCTCCCCTTTATCATTTTTTATTGCATCTATTTGATTCTTCTCTATTTTCTTCTTTATTAGTCTTGCTAGCGGTCTATCAATTTCATTGATCTTTTCAAAAAACCAGCTTCTGGATTCATTGATTTTTTTGAAGGAATTTTCATGTCTCTATCTCCTTCAGTTCTGCTCTGATCTTAGTTATTTCTTGCCTTCTGCTAGCTTTTGAATGTGTTTGCTCTTGCTTCTCTAGTTCTTTTAATTGTGATGTTAGGGTGTCAATTTTAGATCTTTTCTGCTTTCTCTTGTGGGCATTTAGTGCTATAAATTTCCCTCTACACACTGCTTTAAATGCATCCCAGAGATTCTGGTATGTTGTGTCTTTGTTCTCATTGGTTTCAAAGAACATCTTTATTTCTGCCTTCATTTCCTTATGTAACCAGTAGTCATTCAAGAGCAGGTTGTTCAGTTTCCATGTAGTTGAGTGGTTTTGAGTGAGTTTCTTAATCCTGAGTTCTAGTTTGATTGCACTGTGGTCTGAGAGACAGTTTGTTATAATTTCTGTTCTTTTACATTTGCTGAGGAGTGCTTTACTTCCAACTATGCGGTCAATTTTGGAATAAGTGTGATGTGGTGCTGAGAAGAATGCATATTCCGTTGATTTGGGGTGGAGAGTTCTGTAGATGTCTATTAGGTCCACTTGGTGAAGAGCTCAGTTCAATTCCTTCATATCCTTGTTAACTTTCTGTCTCGTTGATCTGTCTAATGTTGACAGTTGGATGTTAAAGTCTTCCATTATTATTGTGTGAGAGTCTAAGTCGCTTTGTAGGTCACTCAGGACTTGCTTTATGAATCTGGGTGCTCCTGTATTGGGTGCATATATATGTAGGATAGTTAGCTCTTCTTGTTGATTTCATCCTTTTACCATTATATAATGACCTTCTCTGTCTCTTTTTATCTTTGTTGGTTTAAAGTCTGTTTTATCAGAGACTAGGATTGCAACCCCTGGTTTTTTTTTGTTTTCCATTTGCTTGGTAGATCTTCCTCCATCCCTTTATTTTGAGCCTATGTGTGTCTCTGCACGTGAGATGGGTTTCCTGAATACAGCACACTGATGGGTCTTGACTCTATCCAATTTGCCAGTCTGTGTCTTTTAATTGGAGCATTTATCCTATTTACATTTAAGGTTAATATTGTTATGTGTGAATTTGATCCCATCATTATGATGTTACCAGTTATTTTGCTCAATAGCTCATGCAGTTTCTTCCTAGCATCAATGGTCTTTACAATTTGGCATGTTTTTGCAGTGGCTGGAACTGGTTGTTCCTTTTCATGTTTAGTGCGTCCTTCAGGAGCTCTTGTAAGGCAGGCCTGTTGGTGACAAAATCTCTCAGCATTTGTTTGTCTGTAAAGTATTTTATTTCTCCTTCACTTATGAAGCTTAGTTTGGCTGGATATGAAATTCTGGGTTGAAAATTCTTTTCTTTAAGAATGTTGAATATTTGCCCCCACTCTCTTCTGGCTTGTAGAGTTTCTGCCAAGAGATCTGCTGTTAGTCTGATGAGCTTCCCTTTGTGGGTAACCTGACCTTTCTTTCTGGCTGTCCTTAACTTTTTTTCCCTCATTTCAACCTTGGTGAATCTGACAATTATGTGTCTTTGAGTTGCTCTTCTCAAGGAGTATCTTTGTGGCATTCTCTGTATTTCCTGAATTTGAATGTTGGCCTGGCTTGCTAGGTTGGGGAAGTTCTCCTAGATAATATCCTGCAGAGTGTTTTCCAACTTGGTTCCATTCTCCCCGTCACTTTCAGGTACATCAATCAAAACATAGATTTGGTCTTTTCACATAGTCCCGTATTTCCTGGAGGCTTTGTTCTTTTCTGTTTACTCTTTATTCTCTAAACTTCTCTTCTCACTTCATTTCATTCATTTGATCTTCAGTCACTGGTACCCTTTCTTCCACTTGATCAAATCAGCTACTGAGGTTTGTGCTAGCAGACTCAGACTGCTGTGCTAGCAGTGAGTGAGGTTCTGTTGGTGTGGGACCCCTGAGCCAGGCGCAGGATATAATCTCCTGTTGTGCCGTTTGCTAAGACCATTGGAAAAGCACAGTATTAGGGTGGGAGTGTCCTGATTTTCCAGGTACCGTCTGTCATGGCTTTCCTCGGCTAGGAAAGGGAATTCCCCGACCCCTTGTGCTTCCTGGGTGAGGCGACGCCCTGCTCTTCTTTGGCTCACTCTCTGTGGGCTGCACCCACTGTCCAACAAGCCCCAGTGAGATGAACCCGGTACCTCAGTTGGAAATGCAGAAATCACTTGTCTTCTGTGTCACTCACGCTGGGAGCTATAGACTGGAGCTGTTCCTATTCAGCCATTTGGAACCCCTATTGTTTATTTTTTTATTCAATCTCTTTTAAGATTGAGGTTCAAACTCTTCTGGAGTAGGGAGTGCTGACTGGGAGGGCGATTTTGATGAGAAATTCTGTGTTGTACAAATCACCCCTACTCCTCCAGTCCTAAGGTATTATTCTTTTTATAATCTTTTGAGTATAATGTCTAGCCCTTTCCTTAAGATGGATGCTTCCCCAGGGGGGATCCAGTGTTCTTTACACAAATGGATCCCTGGCAATCCCATTCCTACAGAGCTCCGGCTGAAGTCAGACATACTTAAGACCTAGAGAGAACACTGCTTAGGCTTGTTTGGGACCCTGGTATTATAAAAAATTATCTCTTCATTTATTTGTTGTTTAAGTTTTAGTTAAAGTGAAATTAATTTCTTAAAGATATTCATTTAAGTGTGTGCGTGTGTTTAGAGTAATTTCTATACTTACTAAATGTTGAGGGAACTGGATTTTAAACTATTATTTCGTTGCCAGGATTTTGCATTTCAAATATTGCATTACAGCTTCATTCTTTCCTTGAACTAGATTTTTAAGTGCAGGAAACAACCTTGAGCTTTCAGTTGAGAGTGCCTCCTTGCTCACAGACAAAGGATAAATCAGGACAGTTTGAAGCATGCTGAGATGTACTCTTAGAATTTCCTGCAATTCTGTGTGACTCCATTGACAGTGACAAATGAAAGTGGTTTCCACACTCCAGTGGACTATGTACCATCCTAACTAGGACACATTTAGCACTAAGTCAGGGAGTAAGTATTCTTTGTATTTTTCTGTCAGCAATTTTTGACTGTTTTCCTTATTGGTATTGTTGATTTTGCTTTGTGTTGTTGTTTTACTGTTAAGCCACAACAGATAAGAAAGAAGAAAAAAACAAAAAACATAAGTTAGCACAAATTTTGGGGATATGAATTACAATTGTGCTTTGCTATTTATTTCTCTAAAATTGAGTTTCATGTTAATATTAAAAAAATACACATTGTGGCTCAGAGGGAGTTTTAGGTTATTAGGGAAAATGGTTTCATGAAAGAAAACAGATGCCAAATGGTATTATGCAGTATTCTAAAATGATCATGACGTTTGAGAAAAGCAGTTAAACAATACCTCCACTAGAAGTCATAAGATTATACAATTTTCAAGAGAAATAAAGGAACGTTTATTATATCAAAACTTTTGAGCTGCATTTTTAAGTTTTATCCACTGACTAGCATTTCAATTTATGAGGTAGTCAGACTTTGTGTCATGAAATGTTTGTTAGTGTTCTGTCCAGGTACAGAAATTGTTAGAGCGATTTCTCCTACAGACACTAAAATGATAGCAATGTTCCATGGAAATGAAAAGCTATTTGCCTGATGAATAGCAAGACAATATGCAACCTAGGATGCATAATTCTACTTTCCACTGTTACCCTTGGGATCCATAGAATGAGATTACCTTAAAACTGAACATATCTCCTATTCAAGTCCTTCCAGTATTTCAGGAACTAAACATTCAAGAAAAGACTAGAAGCAGGGAGCTCAATGTGGAAGCTAATATTATAACAGTTCTCAATAGTCCCTGCAACAAAAACTTGATTTCTTCAAAATTACTCTAGGAAAGAAAGTGACTCCTTATCTTGTGACAACATGCAGTACTTAGCACTTTATTTCAGACACCATTATTGACTGTATCAAACTGGGCATCTATTGGGAAAAGGCATGAAGAACAACCATGTAAGAAATATGCCAACATAGAAAAAAAATCTTAGATTAATTATGTTTAGCTTATGTCGTATTTTAAACCTGAGTGTAGAACGTTATGTTCAAGTCCATTATTTCTAGCATTCTCAATCACAAATAGCTTTTATTGAACGAATACATTTGTTCCTTGATTCTTTAGGACTGTTAACCAGGCCCAAATAGGAGCTGAGCCATCTAAGCATGTTGAGGGATTACCAGAGATTGTAATCCCCTAGAGAATCAATTTTCTTCTCATCTTTATCTGATTCTATTTTCTTGTCTCCCTGTAATGGGAGCCAGATTCTTTGAATATAAATTTCCTGAGCTAACATGGCAAAAAGCCTACCTGAGAAGATGAAACCACATGACCTGGGGTGAGGAGAGTATTAGAAAGTGGGCGAGCCCCTGAGCACCCCTATAGACAACACTCCAGTTTGTAGGTATTGTTAATCTGCAGGATCAAGTTACAGAAAACCCAACTCAAATTACTTAAGCAAATAAGGAATCTAGAGTCATGTAATACAAAGTCAAAAATGGCTGAGCCCTGTGCTGCAAGCGCTGTGAGTAGGGCTCATGGGTCTTTACATTGCCTCCACTTTCCTCTCTGGGTCCTTTTTCAGAAAGGCTTTCTTCACATTGGTGAGCTACCTGACAGCAGCATTTGCTTATATCAACCCAGGTCTAAATCCAGCAGAAATAAGAATAACACAATCTTATGAGTGAAGCAAAAGTCCTGGAATTAACTCTGATTGGAAAATAATCACCTTGATTTAGGTCCTGCTCCATCCCTACAACAATCTCTATAGGAAGAAATAGGTGAGCCTCAAATCACCCAGTTCGTAATAACCTGCTTTTCTTGAGGCTGTGAGTGGGATCAGTTTTACCAATAGCGCCTAGGCCAGGAATGGGTTCGTGATGGTGTCCTGAGGTCAGGTCACCATGACCACAAAAGCAGGCCACCAATATGGGCAGGCACAATCAATAACTGTCCATTAAACACTATTCCAATGGTTTTTCAATTCTGGCTATACATTATCCAAGAAGATTTATATAAATACATAAAAAATATACTTGGACTTTATCCCTCAAAAATTCTCAAATGTTAAGTTCAGGGTGGGAACTGGATGTTTGTATTTTGACAAAGTTCTGTAGATGAATCAATAATTACCAGATCTAAATCATTAAGTGGTCTCACTGAATTTATTTATTAAATGAGTGTGGTAAAATAACTTATCAATTCTCAAACATTTCCAACTATGAGCCACCTAAACAGTGTCAAGAGTCCTAGAGCCCACATATCCATTCACCCACCCATACTTCACCAGCACCAAACATACCTCCCTCATTAATGTTATTTTGACAGGGTACCACTCAAAAAAACTGCTTTTGAGGAGTTCTAACTAGGACTTTGAGCTCTGCCCTAGTTACAGTAATGTTCTTGTCAAGGTTACCGGAGTTCTTTAGAATTCATTTTTTAAGTGTATGATTAATGGAAAAATTATATTTAACTATATATTAAAAGATAATATGTTGAATTCACAAACATTTTGCCTCTTTTTTTCTTAACCTTCTCACTTAATCACTCTCATCCATAGTTACAACATCGACCTTAGGATTGCATGATGCTGCATTATCTCCCACACCTGGACCACAATCTTTTTTTGGTCTTGCTAGTTTGTTTGACTATTCTTTTTCCTCACAAATCTTCAAGTTCATTGACAATTCTCTCCCACCCCTCTCCATTGGTCTCTACCTGTCTTTATGACTTTACTGACTACTGACTTTACTGACTCAAATTAGATTCCAGAGTCAACAAAGACAAAAACTCTATACTCAATTCCTCTCTGTCTTTTCTTTGTGCTTGCCACCTCAACTCCAGCTCTTCCTCCAAGTTTGCACTAAGACAGCTGAGTTTTGCTGGAGAAAAATCCCAACATCCAAATATGTCATGTCACTCCTGTGCCCAGAACCCTCCAATGGCTTTCTTACTTTGATTAAAACCCAAATTCCTTTCCATGCTGTGAAACACTGTGATTTGGTCGACAGTTTCCACTCTGGCCTCATCTCCTCTTCATGTCACTGCTGTCACTCTGACCTCATCACTGGTCCTTCAACAAGCAAGTGTCTTCCTGCCTTAAGCATTTGCATTTACTGTTTTCTTTACTCAAAATACTCTTCTTCCAGATATCTGCAAGTCTCATGACCTCATTTTATTCAGTTTTGTTCCCAAACATCTCCTTCCCTGACTATCCTAGATAACAGATATTTTCCTAGATAACAGATATTTATGAGTTGAAACACACACACACAATTAAAGCCTGAAACACAGATAGATATGGGTAGCATCACCATGCTGGTCAACTAAATTGATTCCCCTGGGATGATATTGCACTAATCAGCACCTAACATAATACATGTACTACATTTACTCTTTGATCTTTTCCTGTCTTCTTCTGCTTGATTATAGGCTCCGTAATGACAGAATTTGTTTTGTCCACTGCTGTATCTTCAGTACTTAAAACAGCAATGACACTTAATGAATATTTGTTGAATGAATAAATACATGAAGCAAGTATGTTTATACCATTATAAGTTCACAGTCACTTACTTCAACTGGGCCTCAATACTACCTGGCAATTCCACTGTTTTTATCTCTTCAACTGAATCTCTCACCCTCCATAATGACTATTTTAAATTTTCACTCTTTAAACCTCTCATCAACACAAACCTACACACACGTATACACTCATGTGTACACTCCACAACCCACAACCACATGCTCACAACAGACAACTTTGTTTCCTATGTTACAGAAACATAGATGTTCATAGACAAGAGATCCCTGTAAGTCTTGTTACAAAACCAACATGCATTACCATATGGGTACTTGTGCTTCTCTAATTGCTGTTGTTATTTTTTAGAAAAAAAGTTGTATTTACTCCTATCTAAGCCAATTCCTCCTCATTTTGTTAGGACCTACTTCTTCCTATCTTTTCAGGAATATCTCATTGTGAATCTTCAAATAACCTTAACTCCATCCCACCTTAAAAAACAAAATTAAAATACTTCCTTCAGCCACATAATCCTCCGCAATCACTGTCTCCTTCCCTTCACTGCAAAACTTTTTAGAGTAATGGCCCCCTTGTCTCTCTCCTCTCTTCCCACACACTCCTCAGTCCACTCTAATCTCAATAAACACCCACTCCTTCACTAGAAAGACTGTTGCTAAGATTCTCAGTGACCTACTTCCACATTGCTAAAATGCATGGGTATTTTTTAATCTTCATTTTAGGTGAATTGTCAGCAGAATGTTGTACTATTAACCACCCCTTCTTTTTAAAAATTCTTACTGTAAACTTCCTTAACATTGTATCCTCCTAACTTTCCTCCTACATCTTCAGCCAGTGCTCCTCAGTTTCCATTGTGAATTCAACCTCCTCTAGATGGCCCCATGTATGAACATTCCTGAAAACTCAGCCCTGGCCTCTTCTCTTCTCTTCTTATTCTATACTTTCTTTTCTGGAGATCCCACTATCAGCCAAGGCTTTAATAACCAACCATAAACCAGTGATATTCAGATTTTTACCACTAGTGATAATCTCTCCTCTGAGCTCCTAGCTTGCCTCTCCAATTTTGTAATGTGTATTCTCCACTTGAAGATCTTAAAGATACCTCAAAATCAATCTATCCAAAACCAAATCCATTTGCTTTCCCTTCCAAAGTAGTCCTTCACCCTTGTTTCCACTGTTAGGAACACAGCACCCTGTATCTAGTTGTGAAAGCCAGAAAACAGGGAGTTGTCATGGCCACCACCCTCTTTCCTTAATTCCCTTATATAATTCATCACCAAATTCTGCTAATTCTACATCTTAAATATCAAATATCTCCTTCCTCTCTGTTCTTTCTCTCTAATTCACTGGCTACCATCTTAGTCTAAGACATTACCATCTATCAACTCTCTCTACATGGTCTCCTCATTTGCCTTTTGCCCACTCCAGTCTGTCCTCCACGTGGCAAACAAAGAGATTTTCTCAAAGCACGACCCTAATCATGCCACAACTCTGCCACAAATCCTTTGTTT
The DNA here is from genome assembly GCF_000001405.40 of Homo sapiens. Taxonomy (NCBI): domain Eukaryota; kingdom Metazoa; phylum Chordata; class Mammalia; order Primates; family Hominidae; genus Homo; species Homo sapiens. Next base: position 41,615,745 of record NC_000005.10, read on the forward strand.
CCCATTGTTCTTAAAATAAAGAACAAAGTATTTTTTAACATGCCTTGCAATCAATTAATGAAGAAGCTGGTCCCTGCCAAGGTCTACAGACTACCCCACCCACTACACTTCAGATACCCTGGTCATTAGTGGTAGAAGGAGCTATGCTATCACTCCTGCCATGGCCTTTTCTCATGCTGTTACCTTTGTATCCAAGGCCTTTCCTCATCCACCATTCCCTAGTTCATTTCTGTTCTTCATTCTGCAAATCTCAATTCTCAACTCAACTTTTAAATTTCTTAGGGAAAGTTTTCTTACTAGAACACTGGAAAAAGTTCTCCTACAATATATTCTTTTAGTTCACAATATTATCTTTGGCACTTGTCACAGTAAATAACTGTAAACTTAAGCAGTTATACGGTCAACATTGGCCTAATAAGGAAGCCCTTCAGAGAATGACTGTATCTTCAGTTGGTCCTTCATATTCATAGGTTCCACATTCATGTATTCAACCAACCTCATAAAAATATATTTTAAAATGGCACCTGTACTGAACATGTACAGACTTTTTTCTTGTCATTTTTCTCTAAACTACACACTATAACAAATATATACATAGCATTTATATTGTACTAAGTATTACAAGTAATCTAGAGATTATTTAAAGTACATGGGAGAATGTGTGTAGGTTATATGCAAATACTACACAAAACAACTTCATTTAACCATTACTTCTCTATTTGATATTTTGGTGGCTTAGAGTTATTTTGCTATTATTTTTGAAAATTTATGCAATGAGAATACACAACTCTCACACTGTGGGTAAGAGAAAATTTATTTTAAAAATAAATATTTGCTGATCAAACAGTTGGATGACAATATTTGTTTTTCAAAAACAAAAGAAAAGACACTGTCATTATCAAAAACATCAAATTTTGAAATACCAGCTGATGGCAAGGTACCACCTCTAGAGATCTGTGAATTAATTGGTGTGTAATGAGATTTGGGCATTGAAAATTTTTAAAGTTGCCCAGGTGATTCTGATGTGCAGCCAAGTTTGAAAACCACTGCAGAAGATGCTTATCAATGCCCTTTTCACAAGTTGAATGCTACCACAATTAATGTACCAATGGATATAAATACAGATGACGTGGCTCTCCAAAACAAAGACCATGTCAGCTAATAGCTTTATGTAGCACTTGGCAGGAAACCGTGTAATCACAGGCTCATAGTGATTAATAAATCTAAGGGGAGAATCATTTGGGTGAAATGATTCAAGAAGCATTCTTTCTCCCTACTAATTTGGAATGCAACTTACATCTGAAAGAGATATTGCACAGATGTCAGCCCAAGCAGCAATGTTGAGTCCCTCCAATGAAGAAGTTAGCCAGCTCCATAACTAGTGAATCAGGACAACAGACACTCTCATCGTGCCACAAGGTCAAAAAACCCACCTCTGTGCTCAGAATGACTGGGTTTCAATCTCAGCTCTGCCACTTGCTAGTTTGCACCTTGGTCAAGTCTTTTAACTTTTCTATGCCTCAGTCTCTATTTTTAATAATAGAAAAATGATAAATATATAATAAGGTATATAATAGTAACTATTTCAAAAGCTTGGTTTGAAGGTTAATTGAAATAATTCATGTAAAGCACTGAGCCTAGGTGCCTGGCCTATAGTTAACACTAAATATATATCAGCTGTTACTACTTTCTCAAGTTAAAGCTGGAAATTCCTACTGAAGGATGGAAACTCATCCATTTTGTTGTTTTAAAGCTTATTTGTAAGTCAAAGAAAATTAAAACTGAAACTGCAGAATTAGCCTAGAATGAAATAATATCAATAACAGAACTAAAGAATATCACTAAAGCTGTATTCATTTTCCTAAATCCTGATACCAATGAAGAAAATAGACTACAATTAGTGAAATAAGAGTTTGACAACAAAATAGCCCTAAATCTAAAAGCAAAAAAGAAAAATTAATAGAGACAGTAGCAAAAATTAATGAATTAGATAATAGAAAATTAACTAATCAATAAATTCAAGACCTAGTTTTCAAAATAAAAAAAAATAAAATAGATAAAATCTTAGGTAACCTAATAAAAAAAGGGAGAAAGGGAGAAATCACAAATTTAGGATTTGGACAAAGACTTACTTCATGTTTACATTTACCTTTTCTTTTATTTTGAATTTTATATTCTAGGCCCTGGTTTGAACTGGTAGCATAGGATTTACATTTGGTAAGTGTTACATTGACTTTGTTTCTTATAGTCTGTTAGTGGTTTGGAACAAGCTGCAGTGGCTCTTGGCATTTGTGTGTCCCCAGGGGATAACTGAGCTGGACAGATTTTTTTGGCACTTTGGGAACTAGCTGCCAAAGCATCCAGTGAATTATAAATGGCAATATTTTTGTATCAGATTATGGTTTAGATTAATAAATTTGTCTTTTGGTGTCTGTTACTGAGGAAATTTCTTTGACGCATTCTGTAAGTAGAAGCATGAAATCTCTAGAGTGGCCTGATGCACTAAAAGCCACAGGGAGAAATATAATTGAAAGACATCTGTACTGCAATGACAAAGCAATGGAAAGGCTGAAGTTCAAATTGCAACAGGCTCAAAATATCAACACTTAAGTTAAACTACCGGGGCTGGTGCCTGGACAGAAACTTTGGAGAACAGATTTTTTTTTTTAGTTGAAAGTTAGTTACTAGTACTAATCTTCCTTTGAAATCAGGAAACCTTCTCCATTCCCTTGAGGAACAAAGTCCCCAGTTTGTGTGATAAACTAGCACCTCAACGGAGTCCAGAACTAGGCAAGAGAAAGTAAAGATGTCTTCCAAGTCCTCCTATGCAGATTTGTATCACGGTCTCATTTTTCAGAACTTATCAGTCAAGCAATAGCTGTCCAATCCAGACTCAACTCCAAGCAGACTGTGTTCAGGAAACCTAAGTCTTTTGTCTACAATGTTTATAAAAGCATAAATCACTGAAATGTGGCATTTATATTTTAAATTATTTCATTAGAAATTTACAATTTCTATGCTTTATGAGAACAAATTAAACTATGACTTATGTTTAAGAATTTTGTTACTAATTGTTTGTACTTAAAAGCCCAATTTACAAGCTTTTTTCTCTAGGAAATAGGGGATCATGCATCCTTTTACACTTTTCCCCCATCCTTCACCCAATCTCTCATAAGCACACACACGGACACATATTATGTCTAGGAGTCAGTGGATATGCTCATAGAGCATCTCTCTGGAAGAGAGAAAAGTCGTGATTTGTACTGCCTTCCAATTTCCATGGTGTAAATATTCCCACAGCGGCTGATTTCAAGCTAACAGCCAGCTTTAGCCACTGGCTTACAAAATTCCTGAATATTTAAAATCAGCTCTTTTAAGTCATTTCCATTGTCTACAATACATCTCTGCTGGGACTGTACTGCCTCTGTATTCTGCTCCCTACCCTCCAGCAAGCACTTAGTGGTTAGGAAATTTATCAGTTGAAACACACACACACAGTTAAAGTCCGAAGCACAAATAGATATGGGTAGCATTACCATGCTGGTCAACTAGATTAATTCCATTTATTTTCTTAGTCACTCAGTCACTCTATGTTTACTGAATGTCTAATATGTGTCAGATACCATGCTAGGCATTGAAGTTAAAAATAATAAACTAATATAAGCTTATTGCCCTGGAGGAGCTCAGGGTCTAGAAACATTAGGAAAAAAAAGAACAAAAATATTAAAATGAACAAAATTATTTGATGCAAATATATGGAGGCTTCATTGCATGCCCATTTTGGAGCATTGCTGATTTTCTATTTCTTTTATATAAAGCCTCCCCTAATTAACACTCTCCACAGACAGTTCTCAGAGTGCCTTGATTTTTCATAAGAATAAATCTTGTCATCTCAACTAAATTATAAGCTTTGTACAGACACTGACCATATTTTGCATTTATTTCCCATGCTTTGCAAGACCAGATACCCCAAAATAATAAACCAACATTTGTATTTCCAAAACATTTTCATAGATGTTATCTCATCTGAGCCTCACAGCAGACCTGTGGTGTATGTAGATTTGGTATTATTACAACTAGTCTTTATCTTTGTTTTATAACCAGAAACTAAAGCCTAAAAAAGGTTAGGGAACTGACCAAGGTCATGTGAACCAGAACACAAACGCATGTCTTTGAACTCCAAATCCCATACTCCCTTCACTGTACAGTAACTCTACAACTTTTTATTGATTTATCAACTGCATATAAAATATTCAATGGTCTTTAACAGAGCACAGATGAAATTCTTATTCCTGCAGACCCTAAATGTCTAGAATAAGAACATGTCCTTGTCCTAAGTGCCTGTCTATTTCCACAATCTTAGCCAGCATGCAGGACCCAAAAGATGTAAAGCACATCACTGTCCTAAATCTCCATTTCCAATGGTAGATGGCTAATTTCTGAATCCATCTGGCTACTCGGTGCCATTTATTTTTTCTATTTTATCTCCCTAATGATAATTTAAAGAAATAGAACCTTTAAGTCTTAATTTAAGACACTGTTTCCAATAATCCATCATGGCAGGAACCCTTTAAAAAACATCATGGACAAGAAATGTGAAATAGCAACTTATTCCTCACCCTGTGCTCTCCACTGTCATGTACAGAGCCCACATACCACTGCTAACCAGTTCCACATGGGATTGTTAGGCATTCTGAAAGTCAGAGGCAATGTTAATACAATGTTTCTACCTCAAAGGCATGTTTATAATTTTCTACTAGCTCCTAGATGAGTCTGGTCCCTTGTTCTAGTTCAATCAAAGATTTTGCAGGAACTTTCAATCTGGATTTCAACTTCTCATGTTATCATGATTAGAGGAAGTTCTGCCCCCAGGTACCTGTCCTGTGCCCTGCCAGCTTCAAGAGCTCCAACTGGAGGACAGCAACCACAGGAGTAGACTGTGTGCTACAGTATTAAAATAGACTTTGGGAAGAAAAAAGAAAAATGTGTAACCCTTAAAGAGCATTTGTAACCTGAATATCCAGATCTCATGACTTTACAAGTATATGCAAGTATATATAAGCACAGCATGAGGTATAATGTGTCTCGCACAAAAACAGATTCTCATTTGGTATTTATTGAACAGATGAATTATTTTGATGTGTATGCATGTGTGTATCTGTTGAGACAACTGACTTACTTAAGTGTCTTTCTTGCCTATTACAGTGTAAGCTACTTGAAGGCAGGGACTATGACTTATTTTTGTCCCTATATCTGGGGCTTAACACAGTCAGGTATATAGTAGATACTCAATATGCATTTGCAGAATTAATGAATAAACTTGGTTCATATTAGCATCATTATTTAAATCTTGCCAACTATGTCTTACTGTTTATGAACTAATTTTAGGTCTTTGCAGGAACATGGTACACACATCTATAAAACCATCCAGGCTGCCCCTCCCCTTCTTCTGTTATTCCAGCTCAGGCACTGCTGCTTTATTGACATAATTGTTCTCTCTGCTTCTGCCAAAGTGTAGCTCTGGGCCCCCACTGCCACAGTGATAATTGGGTTGAGTATTTGCTGATGTTTCCACTTTCACAGCCAGCTCATCCAGGAATCTACAGCCATAATTCTCAACAGCACTTCAGAAGTGTTGCTTTAAGAAAAGCTATGTCACCTTCACTGACCACTGACCCCTGTCTCCTCAAGTCACCACAACCAAAGCTCAGCATTTTATGAAAGATTGGTACTGACTTCACCACCACTGTTTCTCATAAAATGCAAATCTCTGCCCCTTTATCTGGACACAAGAACTCTTGAAAACTGAGAGCAGTTCCCTTCTTCCATATTGCACTCTGTGTGAAAGCAATCTGACCACAGAGTTTAGAATCGAAAATGTTACAGAGTTCCAATGGGTATATGACCCATTTTCTCCTTGTGCATTTTCTCCCTGGCTGAACTGAGGTGAAGTAACAGCTGCATGCTCTCTAGCCAGAATCAACACACCTCTCCAGACTTGAAGTCTTGTTGCTAAGACTCTCTCCTCGGGGTAAACTTCTTTCCCTTTAGGATGACTTGTCCTTCTATTTTCATCCTGAAGTCTGGTTTTTATTATCTTTGTAACTCCCACCACAGCTGGTCAGTCATGTCTGTTCTTCTCTGAGTCTTGCTTCAAAATCCCTTGCCCATGAGCTTCTTAGTACCCCCTCATGAAAAATCAATGCATTCACATAGATATTTGCCTGAGGGGGAGGAAAAGGGTATGTTATTCCTCACATTAGACCAAACCAACCAAATCTCAGATCCAGCCTAACTCAGGTTCCATTAAAATACATAACACCTAATTCTGGAATTTTAACTGAAGCTTCTGCAGATTTAGAATTCTTCTTTTCTCTAGCTAAGACAAAGAGAGAAAACAAAGGAGATGGAGACTCCTTTATTCCCCCCAGAAGAAGATTCCACAACATGGCTGTGCTGCATCTGACAGTTGCGCCTTACTTTTGAGAATGCAGTATACTCTTATAAAAGGATTGAGTGGTCCACTTGTCAGAGTCACAGGCTAGGTGAGTCATGCATACTCAGAGAAAGAAGCATTTGCAGCCAGGTCTTCCAAAGTGACACCTGGGAAAGAGAAATAATCTGTCCTGTCTTGAGCAATTAGGAATCAGACAAATAACACTCAAAGACTGAGGCTTCCTACGGGAATTCTAAGTATCAACAGACAGTCTGCAAAATTATTGTTTGGCAGGTGGTTTTCTAATTATCATATATATTATTTGGGGAGTGGGATGTTGGAGAATATAAATAACATCATCTTTGTTTCATGCCTTACATAATACAGTATTCGTGGAGGGAAGCTACAAGTACTAACGAAAGAAATTGGGTGGGAGACTCATGCAAGAGTGTGCTCATGATGGGATTCACATATATTACACCATCTACTGGTATTACTCCCTTCCATTCCATTGACATACTTACCAGTCTTGTTTCACCCAGGAAGATTTTGTGTATCAACCAATTGTATACTTTAAGGACAGGCTAGGGACTAGGGTGCCATGGAAATTCTGATGTGACTCAGGAAGCATTAAAAATGGGGAATTCTTATTCAGAAGGACAATCCTTTTGTACATGAAGTTCAGTAGCCTATTAGCCTTTGGGATTGGGGTAACCCAAGCTCAAGTTAACTACATTTAGTTATCAATAATGAAAAAACAAGATAACCCCCAGTATCTACTCTAATTTTACCATCCAAGGCACAGGTGCCACCACACTTATAATCCATGCCACATCAACCAGGACCTTGCTAATAGCTGCCCTATGCACAGAATGTTTCAGAGTTAGTATGTTCCTTTGGAAGATATTTCATAAATAATCTGAAGGGGATTATATTGAAGTTCATATAAAATAATAAAATTATATAGGGAGTCTGAAGTAGAGATGACCAAAAACAAAAAAAATCCATCACATATTCACTGACTGGGCTAACCAAGACATAAGGGAATAGGAGGCCTATATGGAGTAATTTCTAGAGTCTCCCACAGCTGTCACATTGCCTGAAACTCCAGGATCCACACATATTCATAAAGGACTTTATGTTTTCGCTATGATGAAGAATTCTGTTCCCTCAATGGGGCTAATTCATTGAAGGGATAATGTGATACATCATTAAGCCATTTGTAGCAAGATGAAAAATCCAGAGCATAAAGATACATATGACAAAATAGCATCCAAAAGAATAAAATACTTAGATACAAACCTAACTCAGAACACGAAAGTGTGTACACTGAAAACTATAAAACAATGCTGAAAGAAAGTAAAGAAGACTCAAGTAAATGGAAAGACATCCCATACTCATGGATTGTAAAACTTAGTATTGTTAGCACGTCCATACTACCCAAAGCAATCTACAGATTCAACCCAACCCCTACCAAAATCTCAACAGTATTTTTTGCAGATATAGAAAAATTCCTCCTAAAATTCATATGAAATTTTCGGGAACCCCAAATAACCAAAACAATTGGGAAAAGGAAGAACAAAGTTGGTGGACATATAATTCATAATTTCAAAATTACAACATTTAAAACTGTTGTACTGGCATAAAGACAGACAAGTAGACCAAAAGAATAAAATAGGGAGCCCAGAAATAAACCCTCATGTACACAATCAAGTGATATTTGATGAAAATAACAAGATTACTCAGTGGAAAAAAAGATGGATTTTCTACAGAGAGTGTTGGTAAAACTGGATATCCACATGCAAAAGAATGAAGTTGAACCCTTACCTTATAGTCCATACAAAATTTAACTCAAAAAGATTAAAGACCTAAAATTATACTAGAAGAAAATATAGAGGAAAAGTCTCATAACATTGTACTTGACAATGATTTCCTGAATATGATACCAAAAGCATAGGCTACAAAAGCAAAAATAAACCAATAAGACTACATCAAACTTTAAAGCTTTTGAGCATCAAAGAACACAATCAACAGAGTGAAAGTGCAATCTATGAAATAGGAGAAAATATTTGCAAATCATGTATCTGATAGAAGTTAATATCCAAAATACATAAAGATTTCCTATAACTCAAGAATGAAAAAATCAAATAACCCAATTTTTAACATGGGCAAAGAATCTGAATAGACATTTCTCCAAATATGATTGAGATACAAATGGCCAACAAGCATATAAAAAGATGCTCAACATAACTAATCATGAGAGGAATGCAAATGAAAACCATAATGATATATCACCTCATACCCATTAGAATGCCTACTATCAAAAATCAGAAAATGACAGTGTTAGAGAGGATGCAGAGAAACTGGAAACTTAGTTGCACAGTGGGTGGGATTGTAAAATGGTGTAATTGCTACGGAAAACAGTATGGTTCCTCAAAAAATTAAAAATAGAATTACCATATGATCCAGGAATTCCACTTCTGGGTATATAGTCAAAAGAATTGAAAGCAGGATCTCAGAGAGTTACAGTCATGTGTCTCTTAATGATAGGGATACTTCTGAGAAATGCATTATTAGGTGATTCTGTCATTGAGTGAACGTCATAGAATATACTATACTTACACAAACCCAGATGATATAGCCTACTACACAACTAGACTTTAAGGTATAGCCTACTGCTCCTAGGCTACAAACCTAGGCTATGGCATGTTACTATACTAAATACTATAGGCAATTGTAACACAATGGTAAGTATTTGTGTATCTAAACATATCTAAACACAGAAAAGATAAAATAAAAATACCGTATTATGGAACCACACACACCCACGTTTGTAACATCACTATTCACAATAGGCAAAGAGGTGTGAGTAATCCAAAGGTCTATCAACAGATGAATGAATAAACAAAATGTGGTATATACATGTAGTGGAGTATTATTCAGCCGTAAAAAAGGCAAAAATTTTGTCACAAGGTAAAACATGGGTTAATCTTGAAGGTATCCATGTTGCTAAGTAATTATCATTTGCTAAGTGAAATAAGCCAGTCACTAAAATGCAAATACTGTATAATTCTACTATTATGAGGCATCTAAAGTAGTCAAATTCATAGAAACAGAAAAAAGAATGGTGGTTACCAGGGTTTTAGGGGAGAAGAAAAGGAGGAGTCGTTTAATTAATATAGAGTTTCAGATTTGCAAGATAAAAAAGTGCTGGAGATCTGTTTCACAACAGTATGAATATATTTTACATTACTGAACTATACACTTCAAAATGGTTAAGATGTCAAAAAATGCAATTAATTAATTAAATAAATATGATGTACACCCTAAAAGAATAAAAAGAGATAAATAGAATGTTCCCTGAACAAGCCTTGATCAGTAGAGCTCCACAATGAGGTGCTATGTGCCTGAAGGTTAGAAAGGGCTGGAGTGCCCCAAAATGATTTGCTGTGTGTAAGTGCTAAAGAACCCTTGTCAGTTTTATGGTTTTGCCTCAGGCCAGCCCTTAGCCTGGTTTTGCTGCTTTTGGGAAAAGCCAGTACAATTCTGAGAGGGGGCATTTATACATTCACAGTTTATTCATCCATTCAGCAAACATTTCCTGAGGCTCAACTGTATGCTAGCCATTGTGTGAGGCCCTGGGGATACACAAAGAAGGAAAAGTCCAGACTTTAAGGAGCCCTCATATCAAAGCCTCCTTGAGAGATGCCAGAGCTGCATTCCCAGATGAGAGATATAAGATTGGTCACCTGAACAATTGATGGACATTAAAAGCAGCACCACAAAACTAAAGTGACAGAAACCTAGAAATCTATTAGTTCAGTCCTTCCCTGCTGTCTTCCCCACTCATCCAATCCCAAGTCAAAATAAGCAAAAGTTGCTATATCTACATGCATACCTCAGAGACACTGCAGGTTTGGTTTCAGACCACTGCAATAAAGCAAATAACACAATAAAGCAAGTCGCACAAATTTTTTGGTTTCCCAGTGCATATAAAAGTTATTTTTACGCTATACTGTAGTCTAGTAAGTGTGCAGTAGTATTACTGCTGAAAAAACAATGTACATATCTTAATTAAAATACTTTATTGCCAAAAAATGTTAACAATAATCTAAGCCTTCAGTGAGTTGAGATCTTTGCTGTTGGAGTGTCTTACCTTGATGTTGATTGCTGACTGATCAGGTTGGTGGTTGCTGAAGGCTGGAGTGACTGTGGCAATTTCTTAAAATAAGACAATAACATTGCCATATCAATTAACTCTTCCTATCACAAAAAAAATTCTGTAGCCTGTATTGCGGTTCGATAGCATTTTACCCAAAGTAGAACTTCTTTCAGAATTCAAGTCAATCCTCTCCAACCCTGATAAGACTTTACAACTAAGTTTATATAATATTTTAAATTATTTGTTGTCATTTAAACAACGTTCACAGTATCTTCACCAAGAGTAGGTTCCATCTCAATAAACCACTTTCTTTGTTCATCCATAAAAAGCAGCTTCTCAGCCGGGCGCGGTGATTCATCATGCCTGTAATCCCAGCACTTTGGGAGGCCGAGGAGGGCGGATCACAAGGTCAGGAGATCGAGACCATCCTGGCTAATACGGAGAAACCCCGTCTCTACTAAAAATGCAAAAACTTAGCCGGGCATGGTAGTGGGTGCCTGTAGTCCCAGCTACTTGGGAGGCTGAGGCAGGAGAATGGCGTGAACCTGGGAGGCAGAGCTTACAGTTAGCCGAGATTGCGCCACTGCACTCCAGCCTGGGTGACAGAGCAAGACTCCATTTCAAAAAAAAAAGCAACTTCTCATTTGTTAAAGTTTTATTGAGATTAAAATACTTTAGTCATATCATCAGCTTACCACTTCTAATTCTAGTTCTCTTGTTATTTCTACCACATCTGCAGTTAGTTCCTTCCAGTTTCACCGAAGTCTTGAACCCCACAAAATCATCCATGAGGTTTGAAACCAACTTCTTCCAATCTCCTGTTACTGTTAACATTTTTACTTCTTCCCATGAGTTATGAATATTCTTAATGGCACCTAGAATGGTGAACTCTTTTTAGAAGATTTTCAATTAATTTTGCCTAAATTCATCAGAGGATCTATATATCTATGACAGGTATAGTTTACAAAATATATATTTCTTAAATAATAAGATTTGAAAGCTGAAATTACTGATTGATCCAGGGGCTACAGAATGAAAGTTGTGTTAACAGGCACAAAGGCATTAATTTCCTTGCACACCTCCATCAGAGCTCTTGGGTCACTACGTGCATTGTCAATGGGCAGTCATATTTTTAAAGCAAGTCTCAACAGTGGCTTTAAAATATACAGCAAACCACGATGTAAACATATGTTCTGTCATCCAGACTTTATTATTCCAATTTTACAGCACAGGCTGAGTAGATTTAGCATAATTCTTAAGGGCCCTAGGATTCTTGGAATGATACATGGGTGTCGGCTTCAACTTATCGTCACCAGCTGCATTAGCTTCTAGCAGAAGAGTCAAGCTGTCCTTAGACACTTTGAAGCCAGATATTGATTTCTCCTCTTTAGCTATGAAAGTCCTACATGGTACCTTCTTCCAATATAAAGCTGTTTTGTCTCCATTGAAAATCTGTTGTTGAGTCTAGACATCTTCATTAATGTTCTTACATAGACCTTCTGAATAATTGCTGCAGTTTCTACAGCAGAAAATTCTGCTTCATCTTATGCTTTTATGATATGGAGACAACTTCTTTCCTTAAACCTCACAAACCAAACTCTACTAGCTTAAAATGTTTCTTCTTCAGCTTCCTTAACTCTCTAAGCTTTCATAGAATTAAAGAGAGTTAGGGTCTTTCTCTGGATTAGGCTTTAGCTTAAGTAAATATTGTGTCTAGCTTGATCTTCTCTCCAGAACATGAAAACTTTCTCCATATTGGCAATAAAGCTGTTTTGCCTTTTTATCATTTGTGTGCTTACGGGAGTAGCACTTTTAATATCCTTCAAGAACTTTTCCTTTGCATTCACAACTTGGCTATTTGGCACAAGAGGCCTAGAATTTGGTCTGTCTCATCTTTTGATATGCCTTCCTTAGTAAGCTTAATTGTTTCTAGTTTTTTATTTAAAGTAAAAGATGTGCAACTCTTCCTTTCACTTGAACACTTAGAAGCCATTGTAGAGTTATTAATTGGCCTAATTTTAATATTTAGTATCTCAGGGAATAGAGAAGCCCAAGAATAAGGGAGAGATGGTGGAACAGCCTGTTGATACAACAGTCAGAACACACAACATTTATTGATTAAATTTGCCATCTTCTATGGGCACTATTTGTGGTGCCCAAAAAGAGTTACAATAGTAACATCAAAGATCACAAATCACAGATCACCATAATAGATATAGGAGTGTTTAAAAAGTTTGAAATATTGCTATAATTACCACAAGGTGACACAGAAACTCAAAGTAGGCACATGCTGTTGGAAAAATGGATTTGTTTGTCCCAGGATTGCCACAAACTTCAATTTGCAAAAAGCACAGTACCTGCAAAGTACAATAAAGCAAAGCAAAATAAAATGAGGTATGCCTGTATAAACTCCTCAATAAGCATAAAAGTTCATGAACAATAAATACCCATTGAAATAGAGGACCACGGAAGGTGGCTTCAGATTTATAAACAGCTGCTTCACTAACCAGCTTCCTATAAAGCTACTACAATTGAGACAAATAGACCTGCTCGAAGTTCTTGCCGTGGAAGCAGGTGCTCTGCCTGCATCCTAGTGTTTGCTTTGCAGTTTGTCTCTGTACAGATGCCCCCACCCACCTCACAAGCCATTTTCCATCAGTACATCAATACCCTTAAGAGTGACAAAAACCTGTAACTGGTAGATTGAGAGGATCAGCTAGCTCTATGAGGTAAAATTACTAGAAACCACTGTTTAAAAAGCAGTGTCGAATCAACTTTGCTGATGACTAACCAGGCAATGTGCAAATCACTAAAAATTTCTGGATCACACTTGCCTCTTCTATAAAATGAGAACTTGTATTCATTGATCTCTGCCATTCTTAGATTCTATGTAAAGTCCTAAAAAAATGATCCAGGGAAATACCTGGCTAAAACAGTGATTTCAAAGGTTATGTCTGCCTCTAAAGCAGTGGTTCTTAAAATGTGGCCCATGCACCTGCAACATCAGCATCAGCTAGGAGCTTGCTAAAAATACATTCACCCTAGACTCATGAATCAGAGTTGCTGGAGATGGGAGCCAAGGAATCCACGTTTCAACAAGCCTTCTAGGTGATTCTCATGCACATAGAAGTCTGAAAAGCATCGCTCTAAAGCATCATGGTATCATAATTTAAAACATCTGCTTGGGCTTTAAATTCCGTGAGTTGCTCTATTGTGAATATACAATGTATTTTCTCTCTAAAGGACCCCAGATAGAATTGAAAACTTCCACCTTTTTATTTATGATACTATTTCATGTGCATACATCTGTCATAGAATTTGCCTTATTTTGAAGAACATGCTATTGTCTGTCTCCAGTATAGAGGGAAAGGACTAAATCTTTTTCAACTTTGTGGCTGTAGGATTTAGGATAGTGCCTGTGGGTCCTTTGTTGAGAATGGATACACGGATGGATGAATGGGTAGATGGCAGATAGATACATGCATGGATGACAAAGTGTTTAAAAATCCAGAAAGCCTCGTTTGAGTAAAAGGAAGAGTTAATATCAGGCAGCAAGAAACTGTAAATTTTGGCTTCAGCAGTATAAATATTGCTGTATTGGGGCCTAAATAGATTTTCTATTTATTCCTGCTATTCCTGTACTTGGGCCTAAATAAATTTTTTCCAGCTAAAAATTATACTGGTGAGAGTACTGATCCTGAGTAAACAACTGAGATCTGCTCCTGAATCACCCAGGCCCCTTTGGAACAGCCTGGAGGCATCACATTGACTTCCAGTTCTCTCATGTGAATGAGGCAGATAACACCACCTGTCGTGTTCCTGTCTCACAGGGACACTGAGCATATTAACTAATAATGACTATGAATTTCTTTTGAGGTTCTATGAGAAGATTGCTATATATATAGGAAATGTTAATTAAAAGATCAAACATTTGACAGTATTTTAAACAAACTTAATCAGTTTTGCCAAGGTGAGGCAGGAAGAAAATGAACTGGCTGTCTTCTCCTTAAATAGAAATCAAAAATCATCCACATTCTGTGTCTGCTTGTTCTGTGAAAGACTGTGTGTGCAGCTCATAGGAATCTTCCCTTTCAAATGTGAAAGGAAATGCAACACTGAAAACCCAGGAGGGATAGGAGATGAGGAGTTAAATCATACAACTAAATTATCAGAATGAGATGTTTTTTTCTGGCATGATATGGTCGGGAAGAAAAATAAAGTCTAATGTTCCCATCTATATTTTTATGACCATTTTCAAAGACAACAACATAAAATCAACCTATGCTTATCTGTGATTCAGCTTCTTCACCTTTAAAACTAGCCAAACTAAGCTCATCTCCCAAAGATGTTGAGAAGATAATATGACGTGGCATAGAGGATTGTTTTGGTGGCAAAGGAGGCTTTTTGCCAAATGATAACTTTGGTTTTTATGTTGCACTTGTTGATATTTTGCTGTCATGGAAAACTCCTCAGCATGAACGCTTGAACCTTCAACATATAGAACATATATATTACAGTTTACCGATGGCTCTTAAAAACATATTCTTAATTAGTCTACCCAATAATGCTTTCAAGTAGACATAATAATTCCTATTTTAAGTATAAGAAGAGTAAATGTCAGAGAAGTTTAGTGAAGAGCTCAAGGTCATTGTTATTAAGTGGCAGAATTAAAAGTTCCCCCAGGACTTCTGACTTAGCTTCCAAGTCAGCTGCTCACCCTACTGGTGTAAGGGATATTAGGAAGGGAGGAAAGGAGAGAGAAAGAGTCTAGGGATGTTAGTATGTTTTTTGTGTTTTTTTGTCTGTTTGTTTTTTTGAGACGGAGTCTCACTCTGTCTCCAGGCTGGAGTGCAGTGGCGCGATCTCAGTTTACTGCAACCTCCACCTCCAGGGTTCAAGCAATTCTCCTGCCTCAGACTCCCAAGTAACTGGGACTACAGGCACCCACCACCACACCCAACTAATTTTTGTATTTTTAGTAGAGACGGGGTTTCACCATGTTGGACAGGATGGTCTTGATCTCTTAACCTCGTGATCTGCCCGCCTCGGCCTCCCAAAGTGCTGGGATTACAGGCATGAGCCACCATGCCCGTCCATAAGTATGCTTTAACAAATAAAAAAAAATCAATTAGTGTAATTTACTATATTAGTAGACTAAAAATCAAACAAACATATGACCATCCCAATATATGTAAAAAAGCACTTGACAAAAATCCAACAGCCATTGCTGATAAAAAATGTTCGGCATACTAGCAATGGAAGCAAACTTCTGCAGCCTGATAAGGAACATTCACAAAAAAATCTACATCCAACATCATACCTAACGGCAAAGACTCAATGCCTTTCTTCTAATATCAGGAACAAGGCAGGGATGTCTATTGTCATATTCAACATTGTACTAGCTGTCCTAACCTGAGTTCAACTAGGCAATAAAAATAAATAGGCACCCAGATTGTGGGAAAAGGTAAAACTGTCTTTATTTACAGTTTTTATTCACATAAGACATAATCATCTATGTAGAAAATCCTGTGGAATTTTAAAAGAGATACTGAAAGTAATCAGTGAGTTTGTCAAGTCTCATAATACATAAAAGTCAACTGTATTTCTACTTACTAGCAAAAAAGAACTTGAAGTTGAAATAAAAAACAATATTTTTATAATGACATTAAAAATAGAAAATACTTAGAGATATATCTGACAAAAGTTGTGCAATCCTTACACTGAAAACTATAAAACATTGCTGACACATGTTTTAAAAAGCTTTTAAAAAGGGAGAGATCTACCATTTTCATGGACCAGAAGAATGAGTATTCTAACGATGCTAGTTCTCCTTAAGATGATCAATAAATCCAATACAATTGCAATAAAAATCCTTATAGGCTTTTTGTAGAAATTAATACACTGATTCTAAAATCCATATAGTAATGCAAATAATGTACCAAAGCTACAACAACTTTGAAAAGAAAAGGAGGAAACTTGGAGGACTTAACCTGATTTCAAGACTTATTATAAACATATAGTAATCAAGACAGTATGGTATTGTTATTAAAATGGACAAATACATAAATGGAACATAATAAAGTGTTCAGAAATAGACACATTTATTATCAATTGATTTTTGGAAAATGTGCAAAAGTAATAGAAAGAAAAAAATAGTTTCTTCAATGAATGGTGCTACACAACTGGATATAGGGAGGTAAACCTATTAACAATCAAGAACTTGGTTCTGTATTTATATCATATGCAACTATTAACTCAAAAGAGTTCGTAGACAAAATGTAAAATCTGAATCTATAAAACTACTAAAAAATGGGAGGAAATCATTGTGAACTTGAGCTAGACAAATATTGACTAAATACAACACTGAAAGCATTAGCTGGAATGGAAAACAATTGATATCAAACTTCATCAAGATTAAGAACTTAGGTGTATTAAAAATACTTTTAAGAGAGTAAAAAGACAAACAACACATTGAAAAAATATTTGCAAGTCGCATATCTAGGAGCTTTGCATATAGAATATACAAATCATTCTCAAAAATACAATAATAAGAAAACAAATTACCCAATTTTAAAAAGGGGGGCAAAGGTTTTGAACCAGCCTATCACCAAAGATATTTAAATAACAAATAACACATGAAAAGATATTCAATGTCGTTAGTCATTAGGGAAGTGCAAATTTAAACTACAATGAGATACTGCTACATGCATTTTAAAAAGTCAAAAATTTTAAAAGACTGACATCATCAAGATTTGGTGAAGATATGGAGCAATTTGAAATCTCATATACTATCAATATGAATGTAAAATGGTACCACCATTTTGGAAAAATTTTGGAAGTTTCTTAAAAAGATTAATATGCCTATTACATTACCCAGCTATTTCACTTCTAGGTATGCAGTAGTAGTGAATGAAATAATGTGTGCGTACAAAGACCTGTCAACAAATGTTCATAGCAGCTTTATTTGTTAGAATCAAAAACTAGAAACAACCCAAAATGTACATCAACCAGTAAGTGGGAAAACAGTTGTGGTATATACATGTTATAGAATATTTAGCAATAAAAGGGAAAGGAACTATTGATGCAAGTGGATGATTGATACAACATGGATTAATCTCAAAAACATTACTCTGAGTTAAAGAAGCCAGATAAAAAAGAGTACATATAAAAGTCTAGAAAATACAAAACTATTCTATACTAACAGAAAACAAATCCATGGTTGTGTAGGATGTCAAGGTGGCTAGAGGTGTTTATTATCTTGATTATGATGATGATTTCAAAAGCGTGTGTGTGTGTGTGTATTGTATATGTGTTTCAAAACTTATCAAATTGCACAATTTAAATATGTGAAGCTTATTGTATGCCAGTTATACCTCATAATCTATTAAAATAAATACAGACCATATGCGGTATGCAGTTACACCACTGACAGTTGTCAGACAGCTACTTTAAGGCAGAGTAATAAATGGCAGCATATACAACCACTCTGGGTCACTTTCAATTTTTTGTGCACATGGTCTGGTTGCCTAAATAATTTGGTGGACAGAAATAGGTGATTTCCAGAGCTAACAAGATTTGCTAATGAATGCTGTTGAAACAGACTTATACATTATTTAAGTTAGAGACTAACTGTGTCTGACTATAGGACAATGTTGCAGGAAGTCAGGAACCACAAACGAAGGGACCAGCTGAAGCCATGGCAGAAGAACATGGATTGTGAAGATTTCATGGACATTTATTAGTTCCCCAAATTAATACTTTTATAATTTCCTATGCCTGTCTTTATTGCAATCTCTACACACAAACTGCAAAGATTTCATGGACACTTATTACTTCCCCAATCAATACCCTTGTGATTTTATATGCCCATCTTTACTTTAATCTCTTAATCCTGTCAGCTGAGGAGGATGTATGTCACCTCAGGACCCTGTAATAATTGCATTAACTGCGCAAATTGTAGAGCATGTGTGTTTGAACAATATGAAATCTGGGCGCCTTGAAAAAAGAACAGGATAACAGCAATTGTTCAAGGAAAAAGAGAGATAACCTTAAACTCTGACCGCCAGTGAGCCGGGTGGAACAGAGCCATATTTCTCTTCTTTCAAAAGCAAATGGGAGAAATATCGCTGAATTCTTTTTCTCAGCAAGGAACATCCCTGAGAAAGAGAATATGCCCCTAAGGGTGGGACTATAA
The DNA here is from genome assembly GCF_000001405.40 of Homo sapiens. Classification (NCBI taxonomy): domain Eukaryota; kingdom Metazoa; phylum Chordata; class Mammalia; order Primates; family Hominidae; genus Homo; species Homo sapiens. The sequence goes on from NC_000005.10 coordinate 41,634,537, forward strand.
ATGGCCCCCTTGGGTGTGGCCATCTTCTGTGGTTGAAACTGTAGGGGTGAAATAAACCCCAGTCTCCCATAGCACTCCCAGGCTTATTAGGAAGAGGAAATTCCCGCCTAATAAATTTTGGTCAGACTGGTTGCTCTCAAAACCCTGTCTCCTCATAAGATGTTACCAATGACAATGGTGCCCAAAACTTCATTAGCAATTTTAATTTCGCCCCAGTCCTGTGGTCCTGTGATCTCGCCCTGTCTCCATTTGCCTTGTGATATTCTATTACCTTGTGAAGTATATGATCTTTGTGACACACCCTATTTGTACACTCCCTCCCCTTTTGAAAGACTCCCTCCCCTTTTGAAAGTCCCTAATAAAAACTTGCTGGTTTTGTGGTTTGTGGGGTATCACGGAACTTATCGACATGTGATGTCTCCCCTGGACACCCAGCTTTAAAATTTCTCTCTTTTGTACTCTGCCCCTTTATTTCTCAAACCGGGCGATGCTTAGGGAAAATAGAAAAGAACCTACGTGACTATCGGGGCAGGTTCCCCGATATGACAAGATGAGAAAAGTCAGTCTACTTGTTCTGAATCCTATAAGAAATCCTTCAACATGTAGGAAGTAGCCACTGGATAATGGAAAGACCATAGGGATCTGAATCAGATCTGGACTTGAATCCCAGCTCTGCTACCTACTATCTCAGGAAAGATAATTGAACTCAATTCTTTTATTTCCATAGATTGAGGATAATAATTACACTTGCCTGGTAGCCATTTGATGATTAAATAAGATAGTATACACTCAACATTCAATATTTCATTTTTCTTCCCCTTCCCCATACACTCCAGTAAGATCCATCTTCTTCCTATTCTCTAGGCTAGCCAGGCTTGTTTCTGTCTCATTTGCTCATGACCATGGGTTATTAATCCAGGGCACATGCACCTGAGTTTAATGGAGCACAATATGCAGATAACCAGATTTATGCATCAGCTAAATTGGGGAACAGTTATTCATGTTAGCAAATTGGTCCTCACATTACCAATAAATAGGTCACCAGTTTCCCCCAAGATATGCAAAATCTTCAGAGTATTTAAAGTGCCACTTGACTTGCAAACTTTCATTTACATGTAAAAGTAAGTTTAATCAATTTCTAATTTTCCAGGAATTTCTCCATTTTTCAGCCAGAATAAAAGCAAATTTGTCCTTTCATCTGTTGGGGCAAACTAATAATTTGATATTCAAAGTGTCACTGAAAATAAACTCCACTGTGGGACTCATTTATGCTGTGAATGCTAAAAATCTGATCCAACAAAAGCAAATAGCTTCCTTTCACATTGAATTAAAATCAAAGAGAGACAAAGATACAGAAAGACAGAGGCACAAAGAGATGAAAACCTTATAGGTTGGAGAAGAAAGTCTGACTTAGTTTTTAAGAATTTCATTTTCATCTTGACTATTAACAAATATATTTTATTTCTGTAGGATTTCAATAGGAGGAGAAACATGATACAATTTACCTTTTCTCTAAAGCTTTTCTTAAATTTAGTCTTAATAGAAATATCTGCCTTTATTTTGACTATGAAGCAATATTTGGATACGTATTTTTGAGTCTTAAAAGTTTACTCAAATATAGTGATAAGATAGTGGCACAGTTTTTTGGCATTCTGCATTTAATTTGTTTTTTTTTTTTTGGCTTTTAAATCCTGAAATTTAAAAAAGTACATAAAAGCTGTAAAGCTAAAAATGTATTCATATGTTACACAAGCACTGATAACCCATTAAATTTGAGCAACAAAGTCTAAAGTAGTGCTCTTAGAATACAGGCTGAGGAAGGACTCCCTGTATCAACATTATCCATGTTCCTATTATAATAAAAATGCCAATTTTTGGACTTTCTCCAGATCTCTTGACAGTAGCTCCCACGAATTGAGGTGTTGTTGTTTTTTTTATTTTTTATTTTTTGTTTTTTTTGCTAGACACGTTACGTGACTTTCTACACTGGAAATTTGAAAACACATGGGCTTTAAATTGGAGCGGAGGCCAGCAAGTAGGTAGGAAAGAGAAAGAAAAGAATTGAAAGAAAAGTTCCTATCACTAGGCAAAATGAAAATCAGCATGAAGCCATGTGAAGGATCCTTTACCACAACCCTGAGAGATGCTATACTAAGCCCATTTTAAAGAGCTGTCAAGTGGGCTTTAAAAAGCCCTCCAGAGCCTGCTGAAAAATACAGTTCTTAAACACTGTGCTGTTGCATTACTGTCTCTGCCCAGCAGGTGTATGTTGTCTAGTGTCCTTCTGTAGAAGCAGGATGCCTGCTAGAGCAGTCCATGGTACTGGGGAGAATGAGCAGCATTATTCAATAAGCCTAGGGCATCTTTTTATCCAGAGCTCCCTGAACGAAATGGCCAGGGCTGGGAAAAAAGACAGCAATACTGGACATTAACGGGAAGCCATGCAAGGATTAGTTTGGATGGAGAATTGCTAGAAAAGACCATACTCCATAAGAAAGCCAGGTTCCCATGACCTAGGATGCCTGCTTTTTCTTACTCATTCATGAGTGAGCCTTTGTTCATAACTATGAATATCACTGCAGGCGACCCTGTATGAAAAACGACAGACTGGCATGAAGATAAGAAGATTCTCCCCACTGGATATCCCACTGTTTATTGCCAGCTAACAGATGTTTACTCAAATCTCCAGAATTTACTTATTTTTGAGATGGAGTCTTGCTCTGTCACCCAGGCTGGAGGGCAGTGGCACTATTTTGGCTCACTTCAACCTCTACCTCCCGGGTTCCAGAGATTCTCCTGCCTCAGCCTCCTGGGTAGCTGGGATTACAGGCACATGCCACCACACCGGGCTAATTTTCGTATTTTTCATAGAGATGGGGTTTCTTCATGTTGGCCAGGCTGGCCTCAAACTCCTGACCTCAAGGAATCTGCCCCCTTTGGCCTTCTGAAGTGCTGGGATTACAAGCGTGAGCCACCGTGCCCGGCCTCAAATCTCCAGAATTTAAAAGGGATTTCCTGCTGTTCCTGTTGTGCCTTCCACCCTGCCCACTCAGCCTCAGGCCACTGCAGGCTGAGGCCTCTCTCCTGAGAGCGGCTTCCTGCTCAGTTGATGAATAGTCAGGCAAGGCTGAAGCAGTAGCCCCCGCCCACAGACCACGGTTTCCAGACTGATAAACGCAAATTCTCTTGTAACTCATTTCTCTTCTTCCTGTTTGAAAGAGTGAAGATATAATGTAGGCACATCTTTTGTTGTTGTTGTTGTTTAAGGCTGTTTTCACGCTTGGTGCTTGTTGTGTGTAGGCAGGACTAATAACTGTGAGCTTGTTTTGAGAGGGATCTCCTTGTAAAGGTTGAGGAGGAAAAAACAACTCAAATAACCCCAGAATATGTGAGGAGATTATGATGTGGATGAGTTCCATAGATTAAGGTCTCCTCTCCTGGAAACTAGGAAACTTATTGAAATTACAAAGGTCAAAATCCAGAGACATTATCTTTTGCAGAGGTCTTTCGCCTTTCCTGATTTAATATCTGCCACCTAGTGAGAGGTTGAGGAACAGGCATCGCAGAAATTGAACATTCACGGCTATTTTCAGGCTACAATGGCTCCCTAAGGCTGAGAGTAAAAAGGAAATTGTCGAAAAGAGATATGGCAGCAACATGGGAGAAACAGCTCTTGAAGCTTTCTGAAGGCCTTAAACCCCACTTCCAATTCCCCTTCTGAACAAGTACAAACCGTCCTAGGCCCCCATCTCCTCTACCTCCTTTATTCTTCCTTCTCCCCTTCCTCTTTCTTTTCCTTTTTCTATTCCTACCACAAAGCCCAAGTGGCAGATGATCATTTTCAGGCCCTAGCACAATAGACAGACACTTAGTCCCTTTCCTCACACTCTCCACCCTGACGCCTCAAATGCAGTGGCTTTTTTCATGAGCTTCTGCACATCTGAAGGAAGAGTATCAATCAGGACCGAGGCCATAGATAACGTATTAGTAACGTTCTTCTTGTACAATATTCAGAAAATGTCTTCATCTAGGACTCAAGGCAGAAATATATAAATATGATTAAAAGGAGGTTAACCCATCTTAATGGAAACCAGATTAATTGCTGTATTAGTCAAGATTCTCCAGAGAAACAGAACAAATAGAATGTATATACAGAAAGAAAAAGATTATTATAAAGAATTGGCTCTTACAATTATGGAGACTGACAAGTCCCAAGATCTGCAAGATAAGTCAGACCCGGGAACCCAGAAGAGCTAATGTTGTAGATCCAGTCTGAGTTCAAAGGCCTAAGTATCAAGAGATCTATTTGCTTAGTTTCGGTCCCAGGAAGAGCTGATGTCTCAGTTCAAATAGAAAAAAGCCAATGACCCAGTTCAAAGGTAGTTTGGCACGAGGAATTCTCTCTTACTCAGGAAAGGGTCAGCTCTTTGTTCTATTCAGGCCTTCAACTGACTACATGAGGCCCATCCACATTAGGGATGAGTAATCTGCTTTACTTAATGTGCTCTACTTAATTAAGATTTAAATCTTAATCTCATCCAAAAGCACGCCCATAATAATAATTATTTAAATTAATTAAATAATAATATTTGACTGAATGTCTGGGCACCCCATGACCCAGTCAAGTTGATACATAAAATTAACCAACCCAATTTCCCAAAAGCTGGGTTTTCATAAATCTGACTCATAAAATACAGTAAGTGGACCATTAGTCCACTTATTTTTTATCAGTATGAAATCCTTTTTCAGGAGCTATTCACTGGAGTTTTAAGAAAAATAGTTGCCTGACACACCACTAATCTAGAGGTCATATCCAGAGTGACATCATTTTATGAGAGATGACCACTGGTAAAGTGGTATATGTTTCCCAACTGTCACATAAATGGGAAAGGTGGGCCTGTTTCCTTTCTGAAGGTATTTCAATGAGGGGTTTTGTTATAAGAATATCTTTCTAACCTCCAGAGAGCCCAGCACACTCCAAAGGTAAGGAATGGCATGATGAGCAAATTCAATCCATTTAATTCTTCTATTCCATGACTTCTAATTGGTTATGTTAAACTGGGAATGCACCTCAGCTCAGGGTTATGATTAGCCTCACAGATTGCTTTGTAGATGAAAGTCCTCAGAACTTTCCTATTAATAGTCCTCTATGGAGGGTATTGATCTTTGTGAGAAAACTGCTTGCATCCTGATGCATGCAAAACTTATGGCTTTTATTTTTATCTGTACCTTTGGATACTAAGGCAATTAATCCTCACAATACAAACAGGACTGATACACCTAATTTCTTAAGCCATTACCTCTTCCAGGTAAACCCTAGTGAGAACTTCTAGCCTTTATGCAAACCTCAAAAAAAAATTAGGAATACTTTTTAATGACTGAAAAGTGTACATGGATCTAAACCTCCAAGGAAGGTGAGCATGGGGATTTGCTCAAGTTCTTCCCTGACCTTCTCTTGGCTCTGGAAAAGTTTGGATCACTTAGACAATTTTGCCTGAGTGTCTAATTCATTGAGGACAAAAAGGAATCCCAGCCAGTGATGGCAAAAGGGGCATCATCACACAAGCATGAAGCTCCCAGGACAACCCTCCCTACCTACCAAAGACTACACCATTTATTTATTCCAATCAATCCAGAAAAGGAGGAAGGCAGTGAAATTGCTTAAAGCCAACACCGAGAGCTGAACTTAAACTCAAGGGACATGTGAAGGCCTAGACTTTATTACAATTGCATAATAAAGTGGCACTATTGATTTATTTAAACATTACCTCACTGGCAATAGCAAATATTCTGATATTAAAAACATTAACCTGAACAATGATGATAAATTTCCTTCAGAGAGACATGTTGTGGTCTCTTTATACCATCAGTAAAACCATGCCATCCGCTGGCTAATGTAATAACACACACCCAGACACCCCCATACATACACTTAAACTACTTTTGGAGGATATGAGAAGCTTGTTTTTCAAACAATAAGTCGATAAGATTCCACTCTGAGAATCATCAACATCCAGAAAGAGCAGCTCACTCCTTTTAATTCAAGTCCCAGATATTTATAGATCAAGGAAAAGATTCATCACTTAGGTAGAAAGCTGCTTTCAGTTACTTTTCTTCTTTTTTTCTTAAATCTCTTTTAAATGGAAAGCAGCCATCTTTTGGCTATAAATAGATAGAAGATAGATAGAAGATAGATAGATAGATAGATAGATAGATAGATAGATATCATTATTTACTTTTGAATTTAATTAAAAACATAAAAGATTAAAAAGCCAACATGCTTTTACTGCCATTTTGTTATTGTACATCAGATAAGAAAAAGGAGAACACAGATCTCTGCAGAATAATGCAGAGAGTGGCTTGAAGCTGTGTGTGAGGTGGAATTATGTTGTGAGAGTGGGGGTCATGGGAAGAGGAACCATTGTAAACTAACTGGCTAGCTAGAGCCTGTCTAGGCATCTGTGGAAGGGGAAGGCAGGAACAGAGCAGAAATAATAGGAGAAAGAAGAGAGAAGCAGCTGGAAAACTGAAAAAGAAAAACAAACACGCTAGGGAAAACAACACAGTGGTTGCAAAGTAGAGGAAAAGTAAGTCCAAAAATGGTAAAGTGAGGATTATTATCCAAGCACCTCTGACAATAAGAACTTACTGAAAAAGTTGAATTAATGAAATCAAATATTTCTTCAAGTCAATCAAAATATGAAACTGACTCTTGTTCCTTGTCAGAAATCAATGTAATTTTAAAAGACTAAGTCCTTCTTTGGGAACAGTACTCTCCTAGCAATGTTGAGCTATTTTTTAAAAAATTATCATCAATAAAACACAAACTAAAAATCTCATTGGCAATGAAACCAGTCAAAAACCTTAGGTTGAAAATCATTTAATGTGTCTGTTTTAATGATTTATGCTAAGCTTAAATAATGATTGGATAAAAAAAATCTAAATAAGGCTGAGATTTTACAAATAAGACCTTCAACAGAACATGTTACAGAGAAGAGAAACATACATTCTCAGCTCGAAGAGTTTTTATGTGAATTACATGTAAACCCCAGGAAAAAATGAGATGTTCTGAGATTTAGTAAAGCCATCTTGGATCCTCTAGCAATAAGTAGAAGACCGTCTCAATGATTACTTCCAAAACTCTATTCTTTAATGGGTATGGAATATTTATTTACTTCAGCTTAACTGTTTTAATAAAGGGTTTTATCTTTTTTTTTTTTCCTTTAGAACTGCTCATGGTCTACTCATAAATGTGACTCTTGTCAGAAATCAAGCTATACTATGACATCTGGTGGTCACATACCTAAATTGAATGTTCTATATTTTGGAGAAATGAATGTTATTCCACAAACTTAAATAATAGAATGGTAAAAGAAGTAATAGAAAATACCATTAATCAAAGTCCTAAAAATAAACGTTTGCATAATTGGGCTCACTAAAAGAAGGCGTTTTTAAAGTTCCATTTTGAGGGGCCCAGTTCAGAAGCAGTCTGAAATCTGATGCAATGTTATGAACGACTTCATGTCAACTGATCAGACCCTCAGAAGATGGTGCTGGCTGAGGCCCTGAGAGTCAGAAAGGAAATTATATACTTGGAATATGTCTCTCATATATAACTCATTCTATGAGGCCAGTATCTTCCTGATAGCAAAACCTGCCAGATACACAACTAAAATAGAAAACTGTAGACCTATATCCTTGATAAACATAGATTCAAAAATTCTCAACAAAATACTAGTAAACCATATCCAGCAGCAATACATTAGAAAGCTAGGCCACCATGATCAAGTAGGTTTTATCCCTGGGATGCAAGGTTGGTTCAACATACACAAATCAATAAATGTGTTTCATCACATAAACAGAACTAAAAACAGAAACCACGTGATCATCTCAATACATGCAGAAAAGACTTTTGATAAGATTCAACATCTTTCATATTTAAAACCATCAACAAACTAGGCATTGGAGGACCATACCTCAAAATAATAAGAGCCAATCTATGACAAACCCACAGCCAACATACTGAATGGGCAAAACCTGGAAGTATTCCCCTTGAAAGCTGGAACAAGACAAGGAAGTATGCCCATTCTCACCGCTCTTATTCAATATAGTACTAGAAGTCCTAGCCTGAGCAATCAGGCAAGGGGAAGAAACAAAAGGCATCTAAATAGGAAGAGAGGAAGTCAAACTATCTTTGAGTGCAGATGATATTATTCTATACCTAGAAAACCTCTTGGTCTCTGCCTGAAAGCTCCTAGATCCAATAACGAACTTCAGAAAACTTTCAGGACACAAAATCAATGTAGAAAAGTCAATAGCATTTCTTTACACAAACAACATCCAAGCTGAGAGCCAAACCAAGAACATAATCCCATTCCCTATAGCCACAAAAAATAATAAAATACCTAAGAATACGGCTAACCAGAGAGGCAAAAAAATCTCTACAAGAAGAATTACAAAACACTGCTCAAAGAAATCAAAGATGACATAAACAAATGGAAAAACATTCCATGCTCCTGGACAGGAAGAATCAATGTTGTTAAAATGGCCATACTGACCAAAGCCATTTATAGACTCAATGCTATTCCTATCAAACACCAGTGACATTCTTCACAGAATTAGAAAAAACTATTTAAAAATTCATATGGAACCAAAACAGAGCCTGAATAACAGAGGCAATCCTAAGCAAAAAGAGCAAAGTGGGAGACATCACATTACCCCATTTAAAACTGTACTACAAGGCTACAGTAACCAAAACAGCATGGTACTGGTACAAAGACAGACACACAGACCAATGGAACAGAATAGAGAGCCTAGAAATAACACTGTACACCTACAACCATCTGATCTTTGACAAAGCCAACAAAAACAAGCAATGGGGAAAGGATTCCCTATTCAATAAATAGTGCTGGGATAACTGGCTAGCCATATGCAAAAGATTGAAACAGGATCCCTTCCTTATATTATATACAAAAGTCAACTCAAGATAGATTATAGAGTTAAGTGTAAAACCCAAAACTATAAAAACCCTGGAAGACAACATAAGCAATACTATTCTGTAAATAGAAACTGGTAAAGATTTTATGACAAAAACACCAAAAACAACTTCAACAAAAGTAAAAATTGACAAATGGTACTTAAACTAAAGATCTTCTGCACAGCAAAAGAAACTTTCAACAAAGGAAGGAGATCACCTACAGAATGGTTGAAAATATTTGCAAACTATGCATCCAACAAAGGTCTAAAATCCAGAATCTATAATGTACTCAAACAAACTAACAAGCAAAAAGCAAACAATTCCATTAAAAAGTTGGCAAAGGACATAGACACTTTCGAAAAGAAGACGGACACATGGCCAACAAGCATAGGAAAAAAATGCTCAACATCACTAATCATTAGAGAAATCCAAATCAAAATCACAATGAAATGCCTCTGACACCATTCAGGTTTATTATTAAAAAATAAAAATAAAAAAACAGATGCTGGTGAGATTGTGGATAAAAAGGAACACTTATACACTGCTGGTGAGAATGTTAATTAGTTCAACCATTGTGGAAAGCAGTTTGGCAATTTCTCAAAGAACTTAAAACAAAACTACCATTTGACCTGGCAATCCCATCACTAGGTTTATGCCAAAAGGAATATAATTATTCTACCATAAAGACACATGATTGCATATGTTCATTACAGCACTACTCACAATAGCAAAGAAATGGCATTGATCTAAATGTCCATCAATGGTGGACTGGATAAAGAATGTGGTACATATACACGATGATATATTATACAGCCATTAAAAAGAATGAGATCATGTTCTTTGCAGCAATATGGATGGAACTAGAGGCCATTTTCCTAAGCAAACCAGTGCAGGAACATAAAATCAAATAATGCATGTTCTAACTTATAAGTGGGAGCTAAACATTGAGTACACATGGACACAAAGAAGAGAACAACAGACACCAGGGTCTACTTGTGGGTGAAAAGTGGGAGGAGGGTGAGAATCAAGAAGCTTCCTATCAAGTACTATGCTTAGTACCTGAGTGATGTAGATTATTTCATCTATACAACAAACCCCGATGACGCACAATTTAGCTATTTAACAAACCTGCGCATGTGCCCCTGAACCTAAAGCAAAAGTTTAAAAAATTAGAAACTAAATAAGCAAATAAATAAATGCTGAATGTATGAATGACAAAGAGGCTCGGGGTGGTTAAATGAGTTTCCCAAACTTATGTATTAATATTTTTGGTAAATATAAAGTGTCAAGATTTCAATCCATTCTGTCTTCTCTAAAACCTAGATGCTCTCATTGATACCGCAGTGATTGGTAGGCAAACTTTAAGAGGTTTAATAGGTTAACTGTCTCTTCATGTGGATGTCCTTTATAATTTAGTTAACTTACTTTGGCATGAAATCTCTTTCTTGAGCTGCAGGAAGCCCAGCTGCAGGATCTATTTTCCACACAGTGCTAGAGTCCTTGGAATACTTTGAGACACATATGTCCTCCTAAACTCCTAAAAAAGAAAAAGAAAATCTTCATTAGGAAAATACCTGTATCTTTTCCCTATTCTCCTAGGAGTCTGATAAAATTTTTATCCATTTATATTCCCTTGCAAAGCAAATGATCATATTTAGCTTCCTGATGAGATCTTTTCTAATTATGATTTTGTGCCTTATTGCATATCACTAATATCTACCAATATTCTACACTGAGAGATTTAATTCACATCCTCACATTTGCTTCTGCATTAATCCACACTTGAGGCATGAATTCTAGAGTCAATTTCCTTCGGATGCATTGCAGCCCTTTGGTCTAACTTTAACCCAGAATATGCCAGACCTCTGAATTGTGTCTAGTTTAATCCCTAAATGTTAGAATCTATGTTCAACCTTCAACCTTCCACCCAGTTCTTTTATCTTTCCATACATTTAATTTACCATACACCCATCATGTTCTACCCAGTATTTATGGGTATTAAATACATATAACTTAAAAAACAAACTTGTATAAATCTCTTCCTTATGTAAGTTTTTAGGGTAGTAATAGGCCTAGATTAAAATAATTTTCACCATCCATGGACTACCTGCCTCTAAACATGAGAATATAAACCCATGATCAAGCTATTACCTACAGCCGGTCCTGACTGATGGGGTGAGGAGACAAAAAAGGAAAGCAACTGGAGCACATTACAGGTTGCTTGCAAGAATATATAAGGTCATCAGGACAGGGTTCTAAAGGGAAAGAAAACATGTAAAAGGGAGAAGATAGTCATTAGAGAAAAAACAATCTTGACTGTGTTAATACTTGTCCCAAGGCCCGGTCCAACCCCTTCAAAAGCCTGATGACTATTGACCACAGTGGGGATTAAACATAAGCTGCACAGCAAAAAGCAACTCTCTGAGCAACTCTCCCTGTAGGACAGGTTTCTTACTTCTCCACAGAAAAGTGTTCCTTGCTGCCATTTTTCTGTTTCATTAGGTAAAACTCATTTCATAACTCTCAAACTAACTTCAAACCATTTATCATGTTTATGTTTCAAAAAGCCTTTTTCATTGCCAAGCAAATAGAGGATAATAAAAATGGCTGGATTCATTTCAGTCCAGGAGCAATGGATTCTCATTTATTTTCAGTACTAAATCAAAACATGACTGAGTTTGGTTTCTACTTTTAAAGAAATTATACTGATTTTAACTACACTGCATGTATAAAAGTGCCTGTGAAGAGATGGCCAATCCTTAATAAAAACCCAAGCCATGGAAGTTTGCTGACTTCTTACCATCTCTCCTAGGTCCTGGGGCAGAAAATGTTTCTTCCATATCACTAGAAGGTACAATTCCCTAAACTCCATGAGCACCCATGGGATCATTGGTTTAGTCTGTTACTGTGGAAATCATATCCTAGGACAAGTCAAGAGCCAAATCAGGGGAACAGGGTGAGGCAAGAGAGGCACTCACCTCAGGCTCAAAATTTAAGATGGGTAAAAAAATAGGTTATTAAGATAAATAATATTTATGTGATATTTTTGAAAAAGCAATGACCCAAAATCCATGATGAAGAAAATATCAAAGTTTTTAATACAAACAGAATCTGACCCTGCATGTGCATGACACCTTACTCATCTCATCCTAATCCCAGCTCTGATATCAAGTTGGGCTGGAAGGTCTCCATTGGGTCAGATGTAATCCTTCCTGTATTTGGGGGACAGTTGCAAAATAAAAGCACAGAGAAAAAAGGCAACAACCATTGAGGTGTAACCTTGGGAAGGATACTGACTATTTATAGAGTATGCAAGGCCCCACATGGATCTCATTAATGGCTTTCCCAGAAAATCAGTGCCTTCCTCCTCCCATCATTCCATCTCCAGAAACATGTTGATGTTTACCTGGCCTCTGCATGTTCAAACATAGCCTAGGATATTTCCATACCACCATGCCCTCAGACAGGACATCCTTGCTCCAGCTCCACTGGCAGTGATGTGCCCCTATAGCTTCTGAGCCTTGATGATGCCCAGAGATCCCCTCTGAACCCAGGCTTTTCTCAGGTCCCACTTTATCTTGAGCCCAAGCCCTTCTAATTCTAACATAGCGTGGTTAAAAAAAAAATTGATGTCAGTAGGCAACAGTGACCTGATATTTTTCTATTTTTCTAATATTTGGAAAAATATAACACCATGATTCTTTTTTCTGTTTTCATTAAGGTAACCCAATAACATGACTTCCAATTAACAGATGTCTCATTCCTCCCTTAGGTGTGGCCAGAACCACCCAGGCTGAATAGGTCTTTTTTGTGAAACCTTCGTTAGTGCAAATGGTACAGTAGGTAAAAATGGAACTTCATACCCAGGTCTTGTTTTAAATATGATTGCCATATGTACTTGTGAGTCATACGTTATGTTTCTAGGCAGTCCTGCCAGCAACAATGCCAGATTAAGGAAGGTCTCCAACCTGAGGCATTAACTAGAGAAAATAATTTCTTCCTTCAGTTCTGTCCTCACAGAGTACTATATTTTGAAAATAAAAACAACCCATATGCCCATGTGGATCACACAGCAGTGTGCATTGCTACAAAAGCAAATGTTCCCAAAAACTTATAGACCATATTTGAAGGCAGTCTTCCTGATCTCCTGATGGTTGCTCTAAATAATATAATTGGACCATCACTAATGCCATTTGATTTAAGCAAAACTAATCCTTGAAATCCAAAAAGATTTCTGAAGTTCCCTTTTTAGAGACTAGACACTATAATTTTTCATAAGTTTATGTTAAAATGGGCTTCAATTTGTTGTTTTCCTCTAGTAGCTTTTTATATGAGTTTCTTTTCTAAGGCCAAACATTGAACATTATGTCATATTTATAAGGATTCTGAACACTTGCTTCATACCAAAAATGGTTATGATGTTATGGTTTTCTTAACTTTTTATGGGACAGACACATTGTCTCTCCACTTCTCACATTTCAATCTTTTTCTTGCTTCTGAAAAATTGTACCAAATAGAGATAGGAATTGCATCTAATTTAGCTTATTCCTTTTTTCCTTATTATGTATCATTATTGTTCTCTACCGTGGAGGGAGACTAGCTCTGCATATACTGTGGTACCTCAAAGGGAGGTTGGCTCTGTATATATTGTGGAACCTCAGAGGAAGGCTGGCTCTGCATATACTGTGGAATCTCAAAGGGAGGGTGGCTCTGCATATACTGTGATACCGCAGAGGGAGAATGGCTCTGCATATACTATGGAACCTCAAAGGGAAGCTGGCTTTGTATATATTGTAGAACCTTAGAGTGGGGTGCAGGGCTCTGGATAAACTGTGAAACCTCAGAGAGAAGGTGGCTCTGTATATACTGTGGAATCTCAGAGGGAAGGTGGCTCTGTTCATACTGTGGAACCTCAGAGGGAGGCTAGCTCTGTGTATACTGTGGAAATTCAGAGGGACTTGGCTCTGTATATACCGCAATGGCCATTTGCTAGTACAGGAGGAGGGGAAAGCATGCCTTGAAGCTGACTAATAGATGGCTATTTTGCCTTTCCATCAAGCAACACTTGAGAAGCTGGTTGTTCTCAGTAATATTGTTCATCACATTATGCTACAGTCTTTAACTACTGAAGGAAATTGGTTGTCTAAGGTCACAAAGGAGACAAAGTAATCTTTTATTTTGCATGGGGTTTTAATATTTTTTTTTGCCCCAGGCATAACAGCCACTCAGAAACCTGCCTCATTATCCATGTCTCCTTCTGCCTTCTGCATCCCATTTTATTCATCTCTCCATCTTCCTCCATCTTAATTTCTTGTCTCAGTTAAAATAGACAGTAAGAGAAAAGGCTAGCACTCCTAGGATCTAAGTGAGAAGTGGTGGTGAGGATAAGAATGGCTGGGGTTGAAGCATTCCTATGTTTTTTTTCCTCTGATTCAGGTGTGGGGGTCTGTTAGACAGGTTTTCTTGTTTTCTGTAACAGTTACAGCAAGAAGTCTGAATATAGAACCTGAACAAACCTGCTTCTGAAAGCAGACCGCAGATTATGATTATCTGGAACTCCAGGCTCAGTGAATATAGTCATTGCTGGTATACAGCCAGTCATTCAAGGGTTAGCTTAGGTAAACGCCTGCATTTGGCTGCAGTTAGCCTGGCCCAGACTGATAGATTCAGTTAGCATGAGACTATCCTCACAGACAGGTGTCTGCTTTCACTGTGACCCAACTCAGAGATCAAATACAATCACAGCTCTCCTGGAGTCAGCTTTTCATTCTGTTCTGTCACTAGGCTCTAGGATCCTTAGCAATATCAAAGGGTATTCCCACAGGGCATGATAAAGAAGGCCAGGCTGGCCCTCTAATTGAGCTAGCAGGACCACAGGAGTGTGGAAGTTATGATTCCTTTGAAATGTGTGCTAACCTGTGTGGTGCAGCTGGGGTCCCAGCAGCACTCCATCACTGGCCTCACTTTTGCCAGTTTCATTCTAGAATTTGTGTTCCAAAAGAAAGACTTGAATAAACTCACTCATTTCATCAGAGATAACATACTTATTTTTAATGTGGGATAATATGCATTTATAGGCATTGTCTTAGTTTCTCTACCTTTTAATGAAAGCAACTTAATCTATTCATTACACATGATTGTGCTCTCCATTAGATACAGCCTGGTGCTAATCAGGTCAACGACTTCATTGCCAGAAGGACCCATTGGTTTTATCTCTTTCCAAGGCTTCATTACTCACAAATTCCAAAGAACTTGGAAATGTCTGTGTAAGGAACATGGCTGTGCTTTGGTCAAGGAATAGGCCAAGGTAAACAACCAGAGTGACTCAGTGAGTTTAGAGCGCAAGCATATAACTCCACTTGTTATCATAGCCACGTAGACATAACATAGAGAAGCTCACTGCCATAGCCATAAAATAATGAAGGCTCATCACCTGGCTCTATGCCACTATTGTCTGTAAAAGGTATAATTGTCCTGTTGACACTGTGCAGGAGTGCTGGTGCCCAGAGAAAGAGAGAGAGCCAAAGCTGTCTATCTTTGCAGATGGACAGAGGGGAGCCAGGATACAGCTCGGCTCACTTGTGCCCAGAGAGAGAAAGAGTTAAGCTGCTAACCCTGAAGTCAGGGGAGAGCTGGCCGCACAGCTGTATGTGGGACCCGCTGGCTCAAGAAGCCGAGACAGGGCAGACAGTGTGAGAAAGCTGTTGATGAGAGCTGCTGCTGAATAAAATCATCCTTCACCTGCCTGTGGCCCTCCAAGTGTTCTTTGTGCTCATCCACCCACTCCCTCAGACCTCAGCATGTGCTGGAACCCAACCCTGGGCGTGACATTTGGCGAGTCATGAACCTGACTGTCTGCCATTGTCACATGAAGTACAAGAAGATGGATTTGAACTGGCCTTTCATGGTATCCATATAACCTACACATACAAGAGACAACATTGATTTCTTGTTGTTGTCGCTGCTGTTGTTATACCACAGCATCACATGATGCTCTGGGATGGCCAAGAGAGGCAGCAGCCACAGGTAGAATGCATGGACCCAGAAGGCCTCAGTCCTTCCAGTTCCTAGGTGTGTGACTTTGGGTAAGTCACTCTCCTTCAGCTTCTTCATCTGTAAAATAAGGATGAAAAAAATTAATCCTTGTACCACTTTCTGCACAAGATTGTTTTGAAATTCACAATAGATCATGCACACAAAAGTGCTTTAAAAACTATAACATCTTTTAAAAATTACTGTTGTTATTGCCATTCACCATTTTAAACCATAATCTCCCATTATTCATGGGTAGAAATCATCAGGGCACAGCTGGAGATAGTACACGATTCTTCAAGTTTAAAACCAGAACCATACAGTCATTGACTTGGAGTAGAAAGAAGATGGTCTTTCCTGTTACATAGAACCATACTAGGACTGGATTCCAAGAGCCCACTCACTCCCAAAGCAGGAGAACCAGGTATGGAAAAAGAAATGGGTCCTCATCAATGAAGTCTGAGTTAGGAAAATAACTGATGTATGGGGAATCCATTATTACCAGTAGAGAATTGGACCTAATTTAACAAGCACCTACTGAATTCGTGGCACAGAGGTATAAAAGAACTATGGCGCAGAACAGATAGGAGTGGAGTGGAACATTTCTGAGTGGGAAGATCTTTCTTCCATCAGCAAATATTTGCCATAGAAGTCCTAAGGATTTCTTAAAGTGACACAGGCTGTCATCACTAACTCTCATTTTTCCCATTACAAGAGATACTTATTGCCCTGAAATAGATAATTGATTAAAAATATCTGATTACTGAAACTTTGGGTTTCTGAGTAACCTTAGCTAAGTTCCCCAAACTGGTGATAGATGAGACATTGCCCAAGTCCCACCAGCACTTCATAGTCTCCACCATAGGCTGTGAGATAGAGAGCAAACTCAAAGCAATGTGTTTAGACAACATGGGTCATTCCCATGAGTCAAATTTGGGAAGCAGAGGTAAGTAAGGACCCCTGAGGATTTCTGACTTTGGCTTAGAATAGTTTTATTTTGTGGGCCTTTGGTCCATGGTGCTAATTAAGTGTGTCTGGAAGGGATATTCAATTTGCTGTGCTTCATTAAGTATCTACTTACAACCTCACAAATAATAATTTTCAAATCTTTTACTAAGATATTTGAAAAACAAAACCATTAATCTATTTCTCTCTGGGTAATTTCAAAGCATTTACCTCCATAGTACCCAAGAATTCAGACAAAGACAAATCTAATAACAAAGGAGAAGAAAATATCCTTGGTGTCTCCTAAAAAAAAAAAAGGAAACAAGAAAAATCTGAATAAATACAAACATGATTTGAGTACCTTTCTGTCTGCTGGATATAATACTGATATACAAAGAGCCAAGCTTTTTAGGATGCTAAGACTTTCTTCCCCTACTTTTGGTTGTTTAAATGAGATTCCTCTACTCCACCGAAAACATTTGCTGACTGACTTACTTCAGTCTGTTGTTGATCAGAATGAAGTTTACACAGGTTGGAGAATTTATCTTCCCTACAGCTTCCCAATGGAATATTTGTAACTAGTCAGGTGCAAAATATGTTGTTGATAGGACAGAGCCCCTTTGTGTGTGTGTGTGTGTCTCTTCCTCCCCAACCCCAATTCCAACCATGTTAGGAAGAGAGACAATATACTATTATTAAATGTCATTTGAGAAAATATGATCTCATGAATATTTCAGTTTGTCTATGAAATCAAAATTGCATTATCTGTGCTCTTCAGTGCTCACCATATAAGACACCTCATTTATTTGACTTTATCACAAAATAAGATGTTTCAAATAAATACATTTTCCAGGTAACCATAACTTATCTATTAGAGCATTACAATGTGTTTTATTTGAACTACTTTACTTGAAAATGTTTCTAAAGTGCTTTGAATTATTTGCTGTGGCTCGAGCAGGGGTTACTTGTTATAAATTTCCCACTTTACTTTTTGCTTGATGATCCGGGGTCAACACTATGAACATCCTATTGCTCTGCCGTGTTGTAATATAGATGTTCTGCTTCCCAGCATGAGTGGAGAGGGCCACTTGCCCACATACAAAATGGCCCCAGGCACTAAGGTGTTTATTTGTAGTTCTTGTGTCTACCTTTCAACATTTCTGTTCATTCTTTATCACAATATGACCACCCGTTGTGACCTCTTAATGATCCTAATATGTTTGTCCTTTCTAATATATTGTTTCTAACATACTATGAGCTGGGACACCATACTCCTACACTTGTTAAAATTTTGTGTGGAGTAAGAATATACTGTCAAGATCAGAGAGATTATATACATAAAGCACATCAACTTAATATATGGGTATTAAGAAATCTAGATGGTTCCTGTCAGCTTTTTAAAATATTACCTTCTCTTTCTCAGCTGAATTTTAGATAGAGTAAGTGACCAGTAGAAAAGGGAAGTGCTCTAGAATTTAGACATGTGAGATGGCTTTGAGTTATATTTATTCATGGCATATTTTCTAGAGAAACGGTTCACCATCCAGATTGTGAGAGTAATCCAGATCTTGGAAGGGATTTTTGTATTAGAAAAGTTATCTGAGCATTATGAACTCGTGAATATACAGGGTCTTGGTCTTGATCATTTGGCCATTGATGTATTAGTTTGGCCACTATTAGATCCTGCAACCACAGGGCCTGGTTGAAGATGTCTTGTTAACGCCATGGGTCTTGCAATCGCCACAATGTCCAAAGGAGAAAGTGGCTGTGACTATGTCAAGCTCTCCAGTCTTCATGATCTAAATGGGATGGCCACATGCTCTGCAAAGGCAGGAGGAGGAGAGGGACTGGAGACCTGGGAGTCTAAGTTAGGTATGCCACTGCCAGGGTAATCTCAGAAAGATGGAAACTGTCCTGAAAGAGGTCAGAAGTAGCTAACTTCAAAGCTATTAGAAGGAGGATTTCTGAACTCTTTGTTAAACAAGTGTTTTAAAAACAGATCTTGCCTTTTCTCCCACACATATGATACCATAGGAAGTTGAAAATTGGGGTACCTGAGTGTAGTCAAAGGATTCTCACAGACAACCTAACACAAAAGGAAGAAACATCGCTGGCTTAGCACTTCCACCTCCCTTTCCTAAACAGTTAAGGAGCTCAATACCCCAAAAAAGAAATATAGTTAAGTTTGTTTTATCTCCGATACTTGGAAAGGGCTCTAGTCAAAAGTTTTGCAGTTTAGTCAATTTTCTTCACATTTTTAAGTGAAACCTTTAAAAAATAACAACAGAAATTGTTCTCAGCCTGTTATGAATTGAAGTTTCAAAAGTTTGAAGGAATGGCTGAACCACACCCCTGGTCTCTTACAGAAATTATCTGGCCATCGATTCTACTCAATCTATTCTGTCATCTGACCCTGAGCTTTCATCCTCTCATATTTCTATAAATCAGAAGCAAGTTGAAGTTCCAAAGAGGACTGTAGTAGATCTGAGCCAATCAGCTTACATTTAAAACATGGCCTGGGAGACCACAAAATATTCCTTTGATTATATATATGGTTCTTAACTCTGACCTAAAAAAAGACTCAGTCTTTAAAATAAGTCACTGCTACAGCAAGGAAGGACTCTCCTGTGGGCAGAGTCCATTTAGTCAATCAACAAACAAATATTGGGCACCTAATGCCTATAAAGACTGTGCCAGAATTTGGGACCACAATGGGACATTAAAAAGCCCAATTTGGGTACTTATAGATCTTGAAGTCCAGTGAAGTAGACAAGCATTAATAAAAACTTATGCAAATTAATTATTTACATATCATTATGGAAACTGCCATAAAGGAAAAGTTCAAGGAATTCTGTAACTGGGTATCACAACCAAACCTGGGAGTCAGCAAAGGCTTTCTTGAGGATGAAACATTTAAACTGTCTTGAGGCTGAAGAGGCATTAACTAGATGAAGAAGGGGAGACAAGTATGTCAAAGAGAAGTATAAATACAGAGCCCTAAGAGTTCTGTTAGCTCAGATCAATCATATGAATTATGAGTAGGCATGTTCAAATCTGCATGATCCTTGAGTACTCTTGCTTGTGAGTCTGCAGCCTGTTCCCCCACCCCAATCCCACCAAGCCCTGGGAGTCTTCTTCTACCACCAAAGCTACTCAGACCCCTCCTGCCCCCAAAACATTTATCATATTCTTCACTTAGTGCTAGGCACTTACTGTCTTGAACTACTTTTAAAAATTGTATCTTACTTATATTAGTCAGCTCAGGCTGCCATAAGAAAATACCATAGACTAGATGACTTAAACAGCAGAAACTTATTTCTCACAGTTCTGAAGTCTGGGAAGTCCAAGAGCAAGGTGTTGGCAAGGAAGGTTTCATTCTTAGGCCTCTTCTTTTAGCTTATATGCAGCCACCATCTTGCTGTATGCTCACATGACATTTTTTTATGCAGGTTGAGTCCTGGGGGAGGTGGGCAGAGCAAGCTCTCTGGTGTCTCTTCCCATAAGGGCACTAATCCCATCATGAGGGCCCCATCCTCATGACCTCATCCAACCTTAATTAGTTCCCAACATTCTCATCCCCAAGTACCATCACATTGGGAATTCGAAGTTTGACATAAATTTTACGGGGATACAAATATTCAGTCCATAACATTTTTCTATGCATATATATCTTGCCTCCACAACTATACTGTCAGCAAGAGAGTTTAGTGGAATCATTTTACATGTCCCTCAATCCTCAAAGCCTCTTATACATATCAAATCCCCATATCAAATTGCATATGTGACAGTTAACTAGTTGCCAATGAATTATCTATGGCCCTGTCAAATAATGAAACATACAGCCATTAAACACACTGAGTCTTATTTAAGTGACCCCTGTGAAGGTCACTCTACATGTCAAATGATTCAATACTTGACTAGTGATATTAACATTTGTCCTTCGGTTTCCTGTGTGTGTGTGTGTGTGTGTGTGTGTGTGTGTGTGTGTGTGTGTGTTGGGGGTACATTTTTTTCTACCTGATTTTTTAGCAGCTTTTTACTGACATATTCTTTCCTTGCTGAAATACTTATTTCCATACCTAACTACATTTAGGATGATCAAGAAAAAGAAATGCTATGTGAATGCATGCTGAAGACATACAGTTAGATAAAAATAAAACACAGAGAACTGGAATGATTCCAAGTTTGCAATGTATGTGTATGTGAGAGTCAGTAGATCAGAATGATCAAGAATAAGAGCCAAATACAAATCCAATTTCCTATATTTGAATATAAAGTTTACCATTCACTAGATATGTGACTCTGGACAAATTTTCTAACCTCTTTAATCTGTATGATTGGCATAATAATGATACCTACCCTCATAAGAGTGTTATGAGAATTTATTGAGTTAATATTTATAAAACGCATAGAATAGTGTCTGACACATTTAAACTTCATATATTTTCATAAATGAAATGAAATAAATTGAATTAAGATGACTATAATAAAATGAAGTTAAAATGTGCGATATTAAATATAAAATATATATAAATATATATAAAATAGATGTGAAAATATGTTAATAGAGGTGATCTATGATGATAAAGTTATTTGATTATTACTTTCTTTTTGGAGAGAGGGATCTGTATTTCCAAATTTTCTACAATAAACACATCAAACTTTTAAAACAAAAATAAAAATATAAACATTATATAAATAAGTGGAAATATATGTATGTGTGTATATATACAAAAAACATATATAGTAAATTGTTTACTACTTAAAAGTCAGTGTTCTGACAAACTGGAATAATAATTATCTTACAAGGAGATTGTAAGAATTAAATCGGTAATCCATGCAAAGAGCTCTATCTATGCAGAAACATAGAAACCCACCTTTCTCTACCTTGACTAATATAGATTACAGCAAGGCACTCTTTTGACATCTGGCTTCAGGTTAGGTTCGGCCACAGCAGAGCCCTAGCATGAGGTCACAAGGGGAGGAGAATGATATCGTGGCCTCTCCTGGACACCTTCATTTGAGGTCACCCTGCGGCATGACCACATCCTTCTAACTAAGATCAAACTCTATCAAGATAGCCTCTGCTCAGAACTGACTCCAGCAGGTTTTGATAATAGCTCCTTCTCTCCTACTTCACTCTAAGATGATAATGGCCCCACTCTTATTAACTAGAGGTATTACTCAATTGCTTCTATGTTCCCTACACTTCGCCCACATCTATATGAGTATCCTTTTATTAGAGCTTCTCATGAACTGTTCTAATGGAACTTGCTGTCTGTTTCCTGCTGGGGACTGCATGACACAGAGCTGACATCATCTGACACCAGGTGACTGCTCAGTAATTACAAGGTGGGTATTACCATATGGGTGAGAAAACTAGTGCAAAGGCTGAATCCCCAGGGCTAAAGTCTCATGATCTGCTGGTAGTGCAAGTTATTTGTCCTTCACAGAGCCTGATGCTTTATTTCAGAAAAAAGAGTTATGTGTATACATATACAACACATATAGTGCTTACTATGTGCTAGGCAGTGGTCTATCCTGATTTTGTCCTTCCTTCATGTTGAGTACCCTCTTGGGAACTAGAGGTCTTAGAGAGCCTTTCTGTTGTTCTGGCATAAGTTTGCCCTTATAAGGCAGCTTTCAGGCTAGTGACAGAAGCTCTGACTGACTGAAATCTGAGTGTAGTCTATCAACACACTACTTCAGTTCTGGTCACCAAATTGTGTGAGGATTTCTCCCTACCAGCAACAAATTTTCCAGCAGACACCAACTAGTGTCATATAATTAAATTCAATTTTGACATTCTATACATGGAGTTCATGTCAGATCCCACAGGGTAAGGGTTCAGTCCAATAAGACTGACCCCCTACATTAGACACCAATCACAAGTAATAGATTTTCACCTATATTTCTTACTGGCTATAAATCAGGGTTCCCCCCTACTCCCTCCTTGGGTTTGTTTAATATGCTAGATTGGCTCACAAAACTCAGGGATACATTTAAGATTTGCCAGTTTATATATAAAGGATATTACAAAGGAAAGATACTGACAAACAGCCAAATGAAGAGATGGATAGGGCAAGGTATTGGTGCAGAGGGTTGCAGGGGAAGATCTTCCCTGCCTTCACCTCCAAGCACCTCCAGCAACCCTGAAACTCTTCAAGTCCTGGAGAGGTTTTTGTGGAGGCTTCACTATGTAGGCATGATCGATTACATTGTTGGTCATTGGTGATCAACTCAACATTCAACCCCTTTCCTCTCCCCAGAGGCTGAAGAATAGAACTAAAAGATTTAACCATCTAATCACATAGTTTGTTTTCCTGGCAACCAGCCTTCATCCCAAGGTTATCCAGATGCCCATCAAGAGTCACCAAATAAAACAGAAGATACTTTTATCAACTGAAAGTTTTCAAGAGATGTAGAAACTTTGTGTCAGAGGTTCCTATAACTCAGAAAATTATAAAAGCGTTAGGAGCTCTATGTCAAAAACTGGGCTGGTGGGGGTGTCAAAGACCAAATATAACAAAAGACTCTCATAGGGCCCCTATTTATAAGAGTTTCAAGATATTTATATCAAGAGTTGGGGGAAGAACCCAAATAAATATAATTTCTTATTATATCACATTATCACACCAGTTTACGAAGTATATAGTTTATAGATGAGGAAACTGAGATTCTACAACATTAATTAATCAGGTTAATTAGGAATAAGTAGTGTCTGGCTCCAAAATTTGTCCTCCTAACATATATGTAAGCATCTCCCAGGGCACAGGTCACACAAAGTCATCAAGGGCTTCAGGCTTTAGGGCACTTGTAGAAACTTCTAATGATACTAGGGGCAACTGAAGCCCGTTAGCAGCAACCAGCAGGGGTACCCCTGGTCAGGAAAGAGAAGGCCATTGGAAGGGCATTTCCATGTGATTTTTTGTGGCATAAAAATATCTGGTTATTGTAAGCCATTTTTTCTTTCATCATGCAGAGTGATTGAAGCTACCGTTTTCTGATCCAGAAGGGTGATAGTTCTCCATTGTTCCCTAAGCCTGGTTGTTTTCACTTTTTAGCCTAGAGAATAGATTTTACACCTCTAGATTATTAGCCCTCCAGGGCAGGGCTGGAGCTCTTTGTTTGATCTAATCCCATCTATGGTTGATCTGCTTGTGCATTCATGATGTTGTGGATAAATAAACCATGCTCATTTTTAATATGATTTATTAACAATGTGCAGGGCAGGCTTCTTCCCCATATGTCTTAGCCAAGACTCCCTTCTGAAATGCACTAGAATTTCATAAATTGAGCCATTCCCAAATAAAGAGGTAGGTGCTCCAATGGTTACATTGGAGAGGCAGTTGGTCTAGTGATTAGGAACACAAAATCCAAAGCCTAATTGCCTGAGTTCATATCCAATGCTGTCACTTTACCACCTTGTGCCTCAGTTTCCTCAGCTGCAACATGAGGATAATTGCATTATTTCTTCACAGACTGATTGTAACAATTAAAAGAGTGAATACATACAAAGTGTTTAAAAGGGTGCATGACACATATGTACACTACTAAGAGTATTAACTGTATTTGACCAGAAACCAGGAGTATTTCTGAAATCTTGATAAGGCAGGGAGTGTCAGAAAGCAGAGACTCAGGGAGTAGATTAACTGACTGTCTTGTAGACTTTGAAGTAAAAAGAACCTAAAAGAAATAAAATATCATGGCTTCTCAGATGATCCAATCATCAAATATTTTGGAGCACCAAATATATGCCAGGCACTATTTGATAGGCATTAGAGATACAGCAGTGGAGTAAATCAGGCAACAGAGGGATGATATATTCTAGTGGAGGAAGATTGGCAACAATACTTTGGATTGGATTGGATTGAAGGATACAAAGTATTGATCCTTCAATCCAATCAGGCTGACACTCGGTATTAACCATCACAAGTCCGCCCCTTGTCAATTTGAACCCCTACACATCTCCTGAGATCATACATAATCTTCAAGTAAAGACAATAATAAGGTCATAATTATGCCTAACATAATACAACTATCCTTCATACTAGCAGAAACACACCAATCCTCAACCCAAATACTATTACATAAAGTTAACGATACTTAAATGCTGATGTGAGGTCAATAAATCTTATATCACATGATAAAGGAGAAAGGAAATAAAATGAAGATATTTTCTTAGTACAAGTGTACACATGCACAAACATGTTTTTAACAAAAGAGGGGGAAAGTACTCGCAACAATTACAGTCCTCATTTCTGCAGCTGGTCATGTGGTCATAGCTGATATTGATGACTACCTTCTTCTACTACCCATTCTATATTCCCCTTGCCTTCAATAGCACCTCAGCAGGTTGTAGGTATTTTTCCTGGTAGAGTGACCCAAACCTTCATTCCTAAAGCGTCTGGGTCATTTGTAGTCCTGCCTGGATTGGGCTGTTGTAGTTTCCCACTGACCTTACTCACAGGGCATGGTAATATTAAGAGATGCCCTAATGGATCTCCTGTATTCCATGCATACTCTTCCTTACCTCCATTATGCAGTAGAAGACTGATTTGATATTGATAGTCCAGGTCAATCACACCAGCCAACATTGTAACTCCCTTCTTAGCCTGTTGACTTACAGGTAGGAGGACCCAAAAGTGTCCAAGTGGCAATCTTCCAGTTTAATTGAATCATTCTCATGTCTCCTGCTCCTGGTGGCATCGTTCTTCCCTCTGGAACTAAGACCTCTAGGCCAGCAGAATGTAATGTTGCGGGAACAGGAAGCAAAAATTTTGCTAGTGGATCACTAGGGTTGATGGTGAGTGGTGCCACTTCCACTTCCACCCGTTGATTTCTGGACCCGTGAATCCTGGCTATGGGAGAAAACAGTACCGTATATTGGATGCCAATTCAGAGCATACATGGCCTTCTGGAGAACTTTGCCCCAGCCCTGCAAAGTATTGTCACCTAGTTGGTGTTGTAATTGTGATTTCAAAAGGCCATTCCACCATTCTATCAGTCCAGCTGCTTCAGGATGATGGGAGTCTTGGTAAGACTGGTGAATTCCATGAGTATGAGCCCACTGCCACACTTCTTTAGCTGTAAAGTGAGTACCTTGGTCAGAGGCAATGCTGTGTGGAATACCATGACAGTGGATGAGGCATTCCATGAGTTCACAGATGGTAGTCTTGGCAGAAGCATTGCATGCAGGATAGGCAAACCTATATCCAGAATAAGTGTCCATTCCACTGAGGACAAACCTCTGCCCTTTCCATGATGGAAGAGCCCAAATATAATCAACCTGCCACCAGGAATCTGGCTGATCTACCCGAGGAATTATGCCATATCGAGGGCCCAGTGTTGGTCTCTGCTGCTGGCAAATTGGGCACTCAGCAGTAGCTATAGCCAGGTCAGCCTTGGTAAGTGGAAGTCCATGTTGCTGAGCCCATGCATAACCTCCATCCCTGCCACTGTGGCCACTTTGTTCATGGGCCCATTGGGCGATGACAGGGGTGGCTGGGGAAAGAGACTGAGTGGTGTCCACAGAACGGGTCATCCTATCCACTTAATTATTAAAACTTTCTTCTGCTGAGGTCACCTGTTGGTGAGCACTCACATGGATACAAATATCTTAACAGTTTTTGACCACTCACAAAGGTCCATCCACATACTTCTTCCCCAAATTTCTTTGTCACCAATTTTCCAATCATGCTTCTTCTAAGTCCCTGACCATCCAGCCAAACCATTGGCTACAGCCCATGAATTAGTATATAATCGCACATCTGGTCATTTCTCCTTCCATGCACAGTGTGCAGCCAGGTGCACTGCTCAAACTTCTGCCCACTGGGAAGATTTCCCTTCACTGCTGTGCTTCAGGAATGTCCTAGATAGGGGCTGTAGTGCTACAGCTGTCCACTTTCAGGTGGTGCCTGCATATCATGCAGAACCATCTGTGGACTAAGCCCTAGTCTTATTTTCCTTGTCAACTGATCACAGGGAACTCCCCATGAAGTCATCGGTGTAGGCTGGGGGAGAGAAGGCAGGGTAGCTGGAGTGGAGACTATGGGCATTTGAGCTACTTCTTCATGTATCTTACTTGTACCTTCAGGACCTGCTCGAGCCCTGTTATGTATATATCACTTCCATTTGATGATAGAATGCTTCTTTGTATGACCCACTTTATGGCTAGATGGGTCAGAAAATACCCAGTTCATGGTAGGCAATTCAGTTCACATGGTGACTTGATGACCCAAAGTCAAACGTTCAGTTTCCACCAAAGCCTAGTAACAGGCCAAGAGCTGTCCCTCAAAAGAAGAGTAGTTATCTGCAGAAGATGGCGGGGCCTCGTTTCAAAATCCTAGAGGCCTCCACTGTGATCGACCTGTGGGCGCCTGCCAAAGGCTCTGAACAGCATCCCTATCTGCCACTGACACATCAAGCACCATTGGATCTGCTGGGTTGTATGGCCCAAGTGGCAGAGCAACTTGCACAGCAGCCTGGACCTGTTGCAGAGCCTTCTCCTATTCTGAACCCCACTCAAAACTGGCAGCCTTTCAGGTCACTCAAAAAATGGGCCAGAGTAACACACACAAATGAGGAATGTGTTGCCTCCACCACCCAAATAGGCCCACTAGGCATTGTGCCTCTTTCTTGGCTGTAGGAGGGGCCAAATGCAGCAACTTATCCTTCACCTTAGAAGGAATATCTCAACAGGCCCCACCCCACTGGACTCCTAGAAATTTTACTGAGGTATAAGGTCCCTGAGTTTTAGTTGAATTTATTTCCCATCTTCTGGCATGCAAATGTCTCACAAATAAGTCCAGTGTGTTTGCTACTTGTTGCTCACTGGATCCAATCAGCATAATATCGTCAATGTAATGGACCAGTGTGATATCTCACGGAAGTGAAAAGCGATCAACGTCTCTCCGAATAAGATTATGACACAAACCTGGAGAGTTGATATATCCCTGAGGTAGGACAGTAAAAGTATATTGCTGGCCTTGCCAGCTGAAGGCAAATTGCTTCTGGTGGCCGTTATGACAGGAATAGAGGAAAAGGCATTTTCCAAGTCAGTGGCTACATACCAGGTACCAGATGTATTAATTTGCTCAAGCAATGAAACCTCATCTGATACAGCAGCTGCAACTGGAGTCACCACTTGGTTAAGCATATGATAAACCACTTTCATTCTCCATGACCTATCTTTCTTCTGCACAGGCCAAATGGGAGAGTTGAATGGGCATGTGGTGGGAATCACCACCCCTGAGCCTTTCAAGTTCTTGGTGGTGGCACTAATCTCTGCAGTCCCTCCAGGAATATGATACTGTTTTTGAATTACTATTTTTCTAGGTAAAGACAGCTTTAATGGCTTCCATTTGGCCTTTCCCACCATAACAGCCCTAACTCTACCAGTCAGGGAGCCAGTATGGGGATTCTGCCACCTGCTAAATATGTCTATGCTAATTATGCATTCTGGCACTGGGGAAATGAGCATAGGATGAGTCCAGGGACCCACTGGACCCACTATAAGTTGAACCTGAGCTAAAACTCCATTAATTACCTGACCTCCATCAGCCACTACTTTAACTGGAGGACCTCAATGATGTTTTGGGACCCCTGGAATCAATGTCAGCTCAGAGCCAGTGTCCAGTAGTCCCCAAAATGTCTCATCATTTCCCTTTCCCTAGTGCACAGTTACCCTGGTGAAGGTGGGAGGTATCCTTGGGGAAGGATGGGAGAAAGATTCACTGCATAAGTTGTCAGTAATGTAGTGGGGTCCTTCCTCAAGGGGACCCATCCTCCCCTTCATTCAAGTGGTTCTGGATCTGTAAACTGGCTCAAGTCTGGAAATTGATTGAGGGGCCATGATTCTCTGTTTTTATAATTCACATTAGTCTTTTGTCCATTCGACCTAGAAGTTTTCTCCTTATATAAATTAAGTAGGAATGCAGTAGGCTTCTTATCAATTTCACTTCTAGGAACACTTTGATTAATTAGACAGTGCCAGAGCTCTACACGAGTCAGACTATTCTGATTGCCACTTTGCCTCTGCTGTCCATTCTGGTAGCTATGCCCACCTTGCCATTGACAGTTGAGTGCCTCCACTTGGCCCCTGCCATCTTGGGATTCAATTATTCCCATTGTATTTAAATTTTATGGTTGAGTGACTGTGGTTCCCATTGTTAGATCTGACATATAGAGAAGAGCAATTACAGGGATCTTCAAAAATGCAGGTGCTGCCCTCACAAATCTATTTCGCAAGGTATTGGTCAAGAGTATATCTTCTGGACCCTGCCAGCTGAGATTAGTAGGTCTGAAGTGACTAATCCACTCCACTATCCCAGTCTCCCTAAGCCTTTGGATCTCTTCCTCTACATTAAACCAAGGGAGATCAGGTATTTCCAGCTTGCTCACAGTGAACCATCTTTTAATCCATATTTTAGCTAACCGAGCAAATAAACTATTAGAATGTTTTGTCTCCCTAGGCTGCAACATTAAATGCAGAAGCCCTACTTAGTGGGCCTAAATCAATAAATTTAGCCTGATCCAACTCTATGTTCCTTCCACCATTATCCCACACCCTTAATATCCATTCCCATGTCTGTTCTCCAAATTACTGTTTATATAAGTTAGAAAACTTAAACAGTTCTTTTCAATTGTAGTGAATCTCCTCATGTGTCACACTCTCAACCTCATCTCTAGGGGCCTGCCAGGACTTTAGTTATAGGTCTAGAACCAAACAGGGGTGTTGGGGTGGCTCCTAAGGAGCATCAACATTATTTTGCTTGGAAACTAACTCAGGGGAGGCCATCACTGTTGCTTCAGGCAGCACAGGGTTTATCTCCTCAGACAAAGGTGGAAAGGCTGATGTCAGCTTGGGTTGGGAGGGGATATTGCCACTACTGGGGATGGGGAGGCTGTTTCTTCTGGCAAAAAAGATTCATCAGAGTTTACAAACTCAGTGTCCCCAGCTTCATCAGGGTCCTCCCATACACCCCTATTCCAATTTTCAGGGTCCCATTCTTTTCCAATCAATGCCCTCGCTTTAACAGTAGACACCTGGCAAGGCTGTGCATGCACCTTTCATTGCAGATCAGCCACTTGCATCTTAAGAGCTTGTGTCTGTTTTTCCACAATTTCAGCTCTTTCTCTACAAAAGAGAACACTCTCACTCAGGGCAATCTTAGCAGATTTGAGGTTCAGTATCTGCTTATGAAGCTGGGAAATAGAATCCCTGCATTCATCATTTTCTTTCATCACTTTGTCCACTGAATTACGAGCAAACAACCAGCTTTATTATGTTCCTTGGTTCTCCACATATGGTCAAAGGTATTATGTATAGAGTCACTAAACTCCTTGCCTCTCAGGAATGATGAATCAGGAGTGTCAAATGCATTTATTTTGCATAACTCTCTAAACAGTTCACACCAAGGTCTATCAGGTTCTCCATACGTTAGAAGTAGAGTCCTTAGCATTTGGGGTCTAATCATATTAAGCAGCCAACTCCAGAAACCCCAAAACCAAGGAAAGCACTCCATCCTTAATATTCTCTTCCTCAAGTACAAAATCTGTATTAGTCAAGGTTCTCTAGAGAGAAAGATATATATATATATATATATATATATATATATATATATATATATATATATATGGAAGTTTATTAGGTATTAACTCACACAATGTCAAGGTCCCACAATAGGCCATCTGCAGTCTGAGGAGCCAGGAGAGCAAATCCAAGTTCCAAAACTGAAGAACTTGAAGTCTGCTGTTTGAGGGCAGGAAGCATCGAGCAAGGGAGAAACATGTAGGCTGGGAGGCTAAGCCAGTCCCTTTTTACACTTTTCTGCCTGCTTATATTCTAGCCGCCCTGGCAACTGATTAGATTGTTCCCACCCAGATTAAGGGTGAGTCTGCCTTTCCCAGCCCACTGATTCAAATGTTAGTCTCCTTCAGCAACACCCTCACAGACACACCCAGGAACAATACTTTGTATCCTTCAACCCAATCAAGTTGAGACTCAGTATCAACCATCATAGACACTTTTTGCTGAACTAACATACCAAAGCTTACATCAGGGCACAAGTCATAGTCAGTAACATTAATACAGTCATCAAGCTTAGGATCCCATTAGTAAAATGGGATTTTCCACATTAGTAAAATAAGAGAGTTGAGCTAAAGGGCCTTAAGGTCAATTTCCAGTATCTATAGAGTCTCTATATTCTAGGAATTCAGGTGATGCCTGCAGACTGCGGTGATAAATATACATTAATTTATCTATTGAACAAATATGTGTTGAGAGTTTACTATATACCAGACACTCTGTTGAGCTTTGGGGATATACAATAATGACATGGTTCCTACCTTTCACAGTGTTTATAGTCTAGTGAGTGAGACAGATAATATAAAAACAGACAAATCTACAAAGGAAAGAAACAAGATGTGGTTGTAGAGAAGGTGGAGGAAGGGGTATCTAATTTAAATAAGTAGTCATTAAATATCTCTTGGAGAAGGTAATATCGTGTTTAAAGGATTAGAAGCAGGCACCAAAACAAAGTGCAAGAGAAAAAGCTTTCTTGGCAGCAGGAACAGCACTATTAAAGTCTCAAATGAAAATAGCATGACACAGAATACAAAGGAGCAGAAAGAGATAATAAGGTCATATTTACTAGACACTCTCTACATGTCCTAAGTGTTTACATTTGTGATCTCTTTTAGGCTTCGCAATTTTCCTGTATCTAGGTGATACCATTATTCTCATTTTATAGAATGGAAAAAAGAAACAGTAGTAAAGAAATTAAGTCCCTCTCTCATGGTCATAAAGACAGTAAATAGTGAAGCTGGAATTGGTTCTCTGGAAGTCTGACTGTCATGCCCACACTCCTAATTATCATGCTTAGAGTACTTAAGGAACTGGAAAATAGCCATGTGGCTGGAGTACAGTGAGCCAGAATAATGGCAAGAGATGAAGTTGGAGAGGAGGTAGGGGCCAGGTCAAAAAAAAAAAAAAAAAAGAGAGAGAGAGAATGAAGGACTATGATATAACTTTATTTAATCCAATGTGTAACGGGAAGCACAGGAGAGTTTTAAGTAGGAGGGCGACAAGGTACAATTTGCCTTTTAAAAGACCACTCTGACTGCTGGATATAGATGGAACAGAGCCTAGCCTTGGACTTTCAGCATGATCATCATCTGGGAGCTTGTTAGAAATGTAAACTAGGCCGAGCACAGTGACTTACACCTGTAATCCCAGCACTCTGGGAGGCCGAGGTGGGGGCGGATCACGAGCTCAGGAGATCGAGACCATCCTGGCTAACACGGTGAAACCCCGTCTCTACTAAAAATACGAAAACAAAATTAGCCAGGAGTGGTGGTGGGAGCCTGTAGTCCCAGCTACTCAGGGGGCTGAGGCAGGAGAATGGCATGAACCCAGGAGGCAGAGCTTCCTGTGAGACGAGATCACGCCACTGCACTCCAGCCTGGGATCCAAACCAGGTATACTGAATCAGAATCTTCATTTTATCAAGGACCATGTGTAAATATATGTACAGTAAAACTTGAAAACCACTGAATTAGAGCAGTTGTCCTTAATCCTGGAGATAAATTTGAGTCGCTTGGGGGATACTTTCTATAAACTCCATTCCAAACCTATTGAATCAAAATTTGTGGAGATTGGGACCCAGACATCTGTAGATTATTCAATGTGCAACCTGGGTTGAGAACTATTGGATTAGAGGAAACAAGAGGAAGAAGGAAGACCAACTCAGAGGCCCTTGCACTAGTGTGGAGTTTGGTTTCCCTGGAGATAGATAGAGGTAGATACACTTAAGTTATCTTTCGGAAGTATAATCACCAAAATATGCTAGTGGATTATATGTGAAGATTGAGGAAAATGAGAAATTAAGATGACTGTACAATTCTGAGGTGAATATCAATGGTGAATATGATAGTGATGACCTTTAGTAAGATGGAGTGAATTGTGGAAGAAACGGATTTGAAGAAGAGAGAAAAGAGGAGCTCAGGATTGAGCTTTGGACCACTCTACCTTATAATAGTTGTAGGGAGGAGAAGCCCATAAGTGAGACTGAAAAGGTGTAGCTATTAAGGAAGAGAGATCAGAAGAGGAGAGTTACAGAAGCTAAGAGAGAAAAAAAATTCAAAAAAGAAAAAGAAGTATGAGTTGCATCAGTGCTACCAAGATAACAAATAAGCTAGTTGAGGATCAAGTGGAGGCATCTTAGTTTATTCAGGCTGCTCTAACAAAATATCTTAGACTTGGTAATTTATAAACCATAGAAATATATTTCTCACAGTTCTGGAGACTGGGAAGTCCAAGATGAAGGTGTCAACAGATTTGGTGTCCGTTGAGAGCTACTCACTCTCTGATTCCAAGATGGTACCTGATATGGTTTGGCTATGTCCCCACCCAAATCTCACCTTGAATTCCCACATGTTGTGGGAGAGACCCAGTGGGAGGTAATTGAATCGTGGGGGCAAGTCTTTCCTGTGCTGTTCTTGCGATAGTGAATAAGTCTCATGAGATCTGATGGTTTTAAAAAGAGGAGTTCCCCTGTACAAGTTCTCTCTCTTTGCCTGCTGCCATCTATGTAAGACATGACTTGCTTCTCCTTGCCTTCCACTATGATTGTGAGGCTTCCCCAGCCATGTGGAACTGAAATCCAGTTAAACCTCTTTCTTCTGTAAACTGCCCAGTCTCAGGTATGTGTTTATCAGTAGCATGAAAATGGACTAATACAGTACCTTTTTGCTGCATTCTCCAGAGGGGAAACATGCTGTGTCCTCACATGGCAGAAAAGATGGAAGGGTAAAAGGGCCAGGCAAGTCTTTTGAAGGCTCTTTTATAAGAACATTAATCTCATTCACAAGAGCAGAGCCCTCAGGGCCTAATCATATCCCCAAAGCCCTACTTCTTAATACCATCATCTTGGGGTTAAAGGTTCCAACATGGGAGGGACACATATGTTCAATCCATAGCAGGAAGGTCCTAATGACCATGTAAAAATAGGTCCAATGGAGGGTGGTGATGGAATCAGAAATCTGACTATAATCTTGGGCAAACAGAACAGGTCTCTGAGAACCCAAGTCAGGGTGCAGAAGATTTGAGCCAAGTTGACTTACTAAGGTCAGAAAGCAAATAATTAGGAAGGAAAGAGGGAATCCCATCATGCCAGGGTCAGGGTCTAGAAGAGAAAAGATCAGAGAAACAAAAATCTATCCACACAAAGATTATCTGAGGGTCTTAACCACTAGCTGTTCTCTCCACCTATCTTGAATAATGTAATGTACTGGTAATGTCACCCATTTCTCAGGTAGGATCTAGATCAATCAGAAAGTCACAGTAAATTTGGGAATTATCCAAAAGATTTATTCACCTATTACCTGCCAGGCAGTGGTCTAGATACCGAAAACAGTGCACAAGAGAGACATCTCTGGTGCCTGCCTTTCTGATCTCACATTGGCATTGGGGAGAGGGAATGGAGGATGTCCACGGGAGAGGAATAGAAAATAAGCAAATAGATACAAAAAATGATGTCAAGTAGTAACAGTATTGCACATCAAACTAGACCAGGGTAAGAGGATAGAGAGGGATGGGCCCACGCATCTCCCTGGGGTAGCAACATTTAAGCAGAGATTTTAATAAAGGGAGAATTAGGATACATCAATAACCAGATATATTTTTAAAGAACTTACCTACATAGAACAACCCTATACAGGTTGTTTTGGAAATGCCAGTTTGTTCATTGAGCAAGCCCTCTTCCAAATTGGTAATTATCTGTAATAAATAACTAAGGACCAGACCTCTAGGAAATTATAACAAGCCCTCTTGGGCAGTGGCTTGAAGCTCGTCTTTTATGAATGTCTTGGCAGGATGAGGCCAGTGAATCTGTGAGTCCTTGAGGATGAAGGGGCTGTCTGAGCCATCCATCAGCTTAGTCTAGACACTGCTGAGTTATGGTGCATGGGGGTGCTAAAGGGCCCAGCTCACTCCTACTCTCATCAACCTCTTTTCTTTCCTTCCGCTTTAATGCCTTATTACACCATTTTCTCCCAGTGGGTTCTCAGAACCACAACTCTGTTACAGCACTGTAACAGTAATTCTCTCAGCAACAGCTTCTTACCAAACCCCAACCCCCAAAAGAACCTAACCAGACTGAGGAAAGATGTGACTCAGCTTCTGTTAAAGAGTCAGTCTTGAACCAGGCACAGTGGCTCATGCCTGTCACTTCAGCACTTTGGGAGACTGAGAGGGGAGGATCACTTGAGCCCAGGAGTTTGAGACCAGCCTGGGCAACAAAGTGAAACACCTGTCTCAAAAAGAATAAAAATTAGCCAGGCATGGTAGCATGTGCCTGTAGTCTTAGTTAATTGGGGGGCTGAGGCAGGAGGATCACTCAGAGGATGCAGTGAGCTATGATCACCTCACTGCCTTCCAGCCTGGGTGACAGAGTGAAGCCATCTCAAAAAATTAAAAAGAGGTTAAGTTTTTTTCCATCTATTTAAACCATTACAAACTTTCCTCCATCTGAAGACCAAGACTTGAAAATATAAAGGTGAGGTTTTCCTCCCCAAAACACTATGTCTATGCTGAGTGCAACACATTTACTCCAAATTTTCTATTTCAGCCAGTAGATATTTGTCACAATATGACACACTGTACATTTCCTTATAGCTTATCAAGGCCATCTGAAAAAATATATTACTTCAATTAGATGTGTCAAACCATCTGCCACAAGAAAATTTGAAGTGCCCTTTCTTCCACCTGATGGAACATAGTTGATTTATTCAGAAGGTGGCTGGAACATTGGCAAAGACTCAGCTCTTCATGGAGCAGGCATTGCTGTCATAAGACACAAAAAACAAAAACTTCACTCAAAATAAAAAGGGAAGGCCTGCTGAAGGCAATGTGAGAGATAACACAACAGATGCCCTTCTTAAATTAGTTTAGTTTACAGTAGACTGCAGATCCCAGGTCAACTTAATGTGAATGAATCTTGACATGATCCGCGGAACTTGGAAACTCGATCAGTTATTCTGCAGCTGCTTTGCCACAACACCTGCATATTTTGGGTGTGGATGACATGCAGCTTCTACAAGCCTTCTCATTAAAGGTTGACATAGAAATCACCACATATGTACAATATACAATCCCTTGTAAATTTGCGAGGGAGGTGCATAGGACTGTAAGAGGAACACAGCATGTCAGTAATTTCTCTGGATTTCTTTCCTCCCTGCAGGACTACCAACAAGTAGGGAGGTAAATACCAAATGTTTTATTTTAGAAAATCAGTAGTGAGGTGTGAACAATATTAATGTAATCTCAAGAACAGAATGGATACTTTGTCTTTCTTATAACAGGAATGTGCTGAATCATACTTTATCACCACCAAATCTGATGTTTTAAAATACCCCATGTGGAGGAGATTTGACCAAGGTTTGTAATTCATTCTCCCTACACTGCCAGCTGTCTCTGAAACCCTCACCTCAAAGACAAGGTTTTCCTAACCTCGGCACTGTTGACATCTTGCACCTGATAATTCCTTGTTGTCAGGGGTGGTGGCGCTGCTGTCTTGTGCCCTGCAGGATGTTAGGTAGCATCCCTGGCCTCTGCTTACTAGATAACCAGCAGCACCTCCCTAGCCATGGCAATAAAAAATGTCTCCAAACATTTCCAATTGTCCCCTGGGGTGAAGGGCTAAATGGCACCCAGTTGAGAACAATTCCTATAAGGGTTTTGGGGAATAGTGATGTCAGAGTTCCCTGGGGCAAGTCACATGACATTTTTCAACCAATTGTAGCCTGTTGGTACCTTCAAGATGACAGCTGTCTCAAGTATTAAGAAGGAGTACCCATTGTTTCTTCATGCTGGTAATGAAACTGCCAATAAGACCCAATTTTTGGACATCAGTGATATGTGAATATGACATTACTAAAATCCCTTTTTCTAGCAGTCATGATAGAGACAAATATGCCATTTGTGTGAGCTGGATTAAACTGTCCAAGATGATGAGGTATCTTGTGGTCCTCTCAGCCAACCCATGGCAGAACAGATCAAGAAACTCATGGTCTAGCTAAACACAACAAAAGCAAAGCATTATTCACCCAGATGGCAGAAGATAGTAGCTCAGATTTCAGTACAATTGCTACATGACAGGCATGTCAGGAAGCAGTGAGGTCCAAGATATATGTGGGTTATAAATACTATGAAACTCAAAATAGTAATAAGTTCACATGCCCAAATGACATTATAAACTAACATGTGAAAAAATACTTTATGCTTTTAATTGAGAATAAATATGTCAGAAATAATATGATTAGGTAGATATAGTAGCACTGATATTTGACAATATTTTCCTTTTTATTTTACACACACACACACACACACACACATACATACACACTTACCCCATGGTATATTTTAACCCAGGATTTTGCTTCTACTTTACTCTATAAAGAATATAGTCCCAGGTGCTACACATCAGTTTTCATTATCTAAAAGTTATCATTTTTCATTATGCATAAAAATGATTTAAGACACTTTAAAATATCAGGAAATATTTTCTAAAATTCTGTTCCATTCTTTGTGAAGTGTAAAACATATTCCTTTAGTGGACAGGGATCCCCTTCTTACATGCTTATTGGATGATCCATAGTTCTTGATTCTCTTAACACCAGAGCATAATATTGCTAGATAATAATAGCAAGATTTTGCATTTTTATGGCACTGTTCCATATAGCACTTAGAACTGTCTCAGATATCATCTCAATTAATCTTCACAAATTCAACAATCCTCACTTGACAGTTGAAAAAAATGAAACTGATTTTTTTTCAGAAGCATCTGGGAAGAGGAGGAGGGAGAAAGATTAAACACTGCTTCTCTGGTTTTCATCAAAAAACAGCTTCAACCACCTGTGTTTGTTGGATATAAAAGAGACATATTGGTTGCCGAAACTGTTCAATGCCATAAATTTAGATGTTTAGATCTGAATAGTGGAAGACGAAATGTTTAAGGAAGAAATGGTAACAAACTGTAATGTTACAGTCTACACTGGCTCTTTGAGAAGTTTAAGTGTTTGGTGTACCATATTCTTTAAGGATAGCAGTACCAGTGGTCAGTGAAAGTTGCAAATAGAAACAGTCCCAAAGTATATCATGTAATGTGTGTTCCTCCCCCTCCTACGTCACAAATTTACCCAAGTGAAATCAGGCTAACATAAACACCAAGAGTAGCCTGGTAGTTAAAGGAAAATCATAAAAAGAGAAGATATGACATTTGGCTAGAGAAGGAGATCGTTTGCATTATTGTAGCTTGGTAATAACAGGAGGGCTTATGGGCACATTTTATCATGGAATCTTAGATACATTTTTAACAGCAGCTGACAGAACTATCTTCTTTTTTCCTTCCAAGCAAACTGCCTTTCTAAGCCATTACTTTTTAGCAACCAGCCCAGGTCAGCCCTCAGGCTTATCACCCCAGCACCTCCAGAACTACTGGATCTAGGGGAAGTGCTCTTACTTTGGGATGGTATTGACAGTGTGAGTGAAAAAAAAAAAAAAACATGGCTTCATAGTTCAGCACTTAGGGAAGCATGAG
Source organism: Homo sapiens (assembly GCF_000001405.40). Lineage (NCBI taxonomy): Eukaryota > Metazoa > Chordata > Mammalia > Primates > Hominidae > Homo > Homo sapiens. The sequence goes on from NC_000005.10 coordinate 41,673,090, forward strand.
TAACCTGAGTTTCATGGTCTCACACCCTCTCTCAGGAACCAATTTACTCTTAGATATGTTTAAATGTTCAGAGGCTTATAAAAAAATTGAGGCTCATAATAAAAGCCAGCCTCCCTAAGGTGATGTGAATAGCTCACAACAAAACACTTTTGACTCAGGCATATGTTCAGCAGACATCATAAAGAACAGTGCCCAGGTGATGGGCACTGTATGACTTAAAACTGAATAGATTTAGGAATTGAAAGCATTGAGGGTTTATCAGCCGCTCTCACGTATTAACGCGTGGTCCTGCCAAACAGTCTCGTCCATGCTTGTCGTCCTTTTGCAGTCACTGTGCACCAATTATCTCTGCACATTATTCTCATTATCTCTGATTATAATAATGAGAATCCAAATGTTTCCAGAGCCTCAAGTTATTTCCAGATACTAAAGAAAGAACATTAACTCTTTTAAGTTTTTAGGGTGTCATTAAGGGCACAGCAATGGTAACATGCTAAATGGTACTGAGTATCCAGAAAAAAAAAAAATTCTGCCTCTTTCAGAGCCCAGCAGAAAACCATGAGTTCAGTGCAGGTGACAAGAGAGGCCAGTAATAACCATGCCACATAAAAGAGTGACATAAAGCATTATCCTTATTTAAGCATTGAGTTACAATAATAATACCTAGTGTTTTGGGGCCTCTCCTTGGTTGCAGCTAATTTTAATTTCTTAGTGTTTTTGCAGCACATAGGCTGGAACTTTGTTTTTTGTACATAAATTCCATGGCTCTTGCTAAGTAATAAAGGCTTAGGCCTTATAAGACAGTGTCTCTTGAATCTGACAATTCTTGAAAATACATTTTAAAGACTCCGGGACCTTCAAGAGAAGCCAGCCAAGAGAAGTAAGGTTCCTAGGATTCAGAGAGTATTTAGAGACCACAGAAGCATGTCACTGGTGTAGGAACCAGCTTCTTTTCAGTGAAAAGTTATTAAAGGGCTGAAACAACACCCCTGCCACTGCAGCAGGATTACTTGTCTTTTCTGACCATTCCAATTTATTTCTTAGTGCTGTGGGAATCCCAACATCTCCACAAACCCAGTTTGTACGATGGAAGCCACTGTGTTCAAAATGTTTTTCATTATGCCCAATTCCTTCGACATAGCAGATGGCATTCCAAACTTGTCTAGAAAATGCCTTTAAAGACTTTCTGTTTATTACAGTGATTTTTTTAGACCCTTATACTTTGGGTTATAAATTATCACTACAATGTTTGAGTATTCATCAGTGAATCGACACTACATCTGCCCAGAAAAGGGACATGTGTTCTTTTCCTCCCCAACTTGATGCTTACATACCAGCTGAAGAAATTCAGATAACAGGATGGGAACTTTCAGATTTTCAATTAAGCTTCTGACCTTACTGTTAATATTATATTCTCATAATTTTTTAATAAATAAGGAGACATAAAGGAGTTTCTTCAGCACAAATACTGTCCTTCTTACTTAGGTAAGCGGATTTATTTGCCTTATTACAGCAGTGTAAACTTGTATTTTTTCTGAGACCACATCACATTTCAGGTTAAGACACTCACCTATCATATGTACACAGGATAATCTCCATGGCAACCTTCCTTCTTTTTAATTTTTTAGGATTGACATTTTAAATGTAAATGATCTGGTTGTTTGATTGCATACACAACAGGTCAAAATATGCAACTCATTAAAATGTGCGTTACATTGTGCTCTGATGTCTCTAGAAATGAAAGAATATTCAATAAAAGCCCAAATGTTCATTATCATGTAGCTTTGTGCTATTGTTTCTCACAGCTTTAACCTCTGTACCCATGCCAAAAAAACCAGCCAGAACATAACAAATACTTTTAAAGCTGATCCTATCATTAAGGTAGTTAGTTTCCATTCCTTTTATCTTACCTTATTGTAGCTGCTAAAATGGGGAGTTCTGGAGAGATTTACATTGCCAAAGCTGCTGCTTCATAGATTCTAAGAGTCATCAGGTTATTTGAAGAATGCTTCACAAATTTGGAGAAAAAAACACTCCATGAAACATATTGTACACTTTAAATCCCGTCATCCATGTGACAGTTTTATAACAAAAAATTGTAATAATTTAAGTGTGTGTATCTCACAAACATACATATAAATAATAGTTAACAACATATGGGTGCCTTTGTCACTTGGGATCCATTGCTCAGCTGTGGTAAAGTGCACATCATAACCACCCACACCCACGCTTGTTACTAACACCATTCAGGCCCTTGAGAAATGCTTCTTCTCATATCCTTTCCCTGTCCTAGAAACAGATGGCTACTACATCCAAACACCATGAAAGTTTTGGGCTATGTTCCTGTTGACACTGAAGATGAATGCAGCTATGAAGTCAGAGGAGGATTTAGGCAGCAGATTAACTTAGGTAAAAAGAAAACAAAAGACTAATTTATCAAATCCTTCCACTCCAATAGCATGGATACAGTATTCTTGCATGATAAAGCATCATCTCCCAGTAGTGCTGAATATCTTTTTTCTTACTCTTTTATTATTTTCCAACTTGTAATTCTGAGGATATTCATGAATTAGCGCAATATTCACAACAGTTACACTTGGCTGAGAAACATTTAAAAATATTAAAGGTTCATGTTTCTCTTAAATGTGTACATCTAGGTATAACATCAGGGAGCACAATACCTCTTACTAACCTTGCCAACTAGTTGAAAGATTAATGATATAACTAAGTACTTTTATAATAATATTTAATAAAATTAAATTACGTTTTAATATATTTTAATTTCAGCCATAAATAATTTTTATTTTAAATGTAATATACATAATTGCAATTTATATTTTTTATTTTAAATATAGTTCATAACTATGAATATTAAGTTACATAAAGCTATGTAAAAACAATAACTTTACATAAATTTTTAAATTTGTCATTATGAAGGTAAAATTTTAAGGTAGTTGATTTATGACTTATAAATGCTCAAGCCACACAAATGTTAGGGGTGAGCCTGTTCTTTGCTTTTAGTCAAGAATTCCCAGTTTTATGTTCAGCTCTAGCATACCTGGATGGCCTCTCACCATGTTCCTCTCTCCACACTACACTTCCAGAGTTTCCTTGGATCATCACAGGGTGATACAGATGGACCAGAGGGATGAAGCATCTCCAGCATTCACGCAGGTTTTTATCTTCTGCATTCTCTTCTGATACTCATAGACATACAAGGACAGGATCTCAAGGCTTTAAGGAAATAAGGGCTATTAAACGCTCACCAGAATCACTGGAAAACCCTCCCAAATCTATCCCTGGATATGCATCCCCCCAAAAAATATAATTTTCTTCTTGCCCTTAATCTTATCACTTTATAATGAACTCTAAAAATACAAAATATTTATTCAACTTAAGTATATAATGCATATTCTATGAGCAAAGCAAGATTTTTCTGATCAGTGAGTCATTCCCTCAAAACAAGAAAAGAAACAGAAAAAGTGCTCACATGGGCTACAGTCACTTGGTGAAAGTTTCTGAAACATTACTTCTTAACACTCTTCATTATAATTTTATATGTTTGCTTTTATGCTCTAAATTTGAAAACTTATCTGTTTGAACTTTATTTAGAATAAACATTCTTTGTATCATTGTTTTAGAAATGCCTAGGATCTAGCCAGTGAAGGAAGTGACTATTTCACCAATCTGTGCACTCAAGTCTGCAAGAATCCATCTCTCAAGATGTTTAATACATGTGTAAGCTACTATTAATAATTCGTCATGATTAGGGAAAAAATTAGGTAGTTCTTTGACTGTCAGGTTGTTACCCTAATGAAAAGCTGTCAAGATAATTTTATTTTACTCTGAAGTATCTCCATCAATTAACTGTATCTGATTGCTAGAAAACTAACCTTGGTTTTCCTTTCAGATCTGCTAGTCCCACAATGATGAGCAAAGTAAAATATAATATCAAATATTTTACTGTTTAAAGTTGATTTGTTGGATTTTTTATATGCTATATAAATAAAATCTAATATCCTAATCAGGAAAATGCATTAACTATTTTCCTGGGATTAAAAAAATATATCTATTAGAAAGGGCCAAATGAATTCTTGATCCTATAGCAGGTACAAGTCTTATTTAGGTTTTTTGATGTCCATAGAACTGTATGATCACATAAAGCTGTAAAATAACTGACCCAACAAAGTCACATCCACTGTTATCATTGCTAGAAGTGACACCTATACAAGATCTCCTTGACGATGTTGGGATGGTAGGCTCCTCATACTAATCTTTTCCATGCATGAAGCAGGTTCAGATAACAGAAGAGAGCAGACTATATCAGCATTTTAATAGCCCCAAGAGAATAGGTTAAGCAGGTGATAATATCTTTGGAACTCTCATCTTCACCCCAGTTCTGTTGCTCAGTCCCCTTCTACTGGAGCTCTTTTCCCTCATAGAAACCAGGACAAATTGGGGTGTTGGTGCAGGGAATAATGATTCATAAAATTCTAGCCAGAGTTGAGTTTACAATTACTCCAATTGTGTTTAAGAAAACCACAGGGACATCATGTTATAGTGTTGATCTTTTCTACAATTCAACAAAATCTTGTATTAAATAGACTTCCTGTACTTCCTTCTCTACTTGATTGTAAGCTCCTCATGACAGAAATAATATCCAATACATAATTGGCTCCCCCAAATATCTAACACAGTGGTAGATATTCATTAATTGTTGGTTGATTGGGATAATAAACGAACAGCCTTCTGTTTCTGATGAAATGTTTGGCCAGGTATTCAACTAGGAATAACCACAAAATACTGAAGAAAATACCTTTAAGCCTTTTTATTTGCACTGAAATCTTTGAAAAATTGTAGGGATTTTTCAGGCCAAATTCTACCTGCAGGAGGAAACTCATAAAAATACATTAGAATCACTTTTGCCCTGAGAGCATTATTTGAACTTTACAAACTTGAACTTCACTTTTCATGACCTCACTGGTGTGCGAACAGAAAACCAAGCTCAGAGCCTGCCAAAAGGGAAGTTTAATGCGAGACCCTCCCCCTCATAAAGTTCTACTTTCAGTTTAAGTTCAAATCAGAGGCGAATTGCTGCTTCTCCCAACATGAGAGCACTTGAAGAAAATTTGTTTTTGTGTTGAGCAGAGAAGAAAGAAATGTCCCTAGGAAGTTATAAATAATAGCTGGCCATTATGCAGATTTGTAAACTAAATTTAAATTCCCTAGAGGTCTGTAACAAATGTACCATACAGATAGGGATATTGATGGTGGGGGATGCTGGGGGGAAGAGGGGAGATGAATAAACTTTCTTTCATTTTGTCTACTTTGCTGTGAACCTAAAACTGCTCTAAATAATAAAATCTATTATTTAAAAAAAATATGTATTAGTGGGAATTCACAAAAACTTGAAACCAATAATTTTGTTGTACATTTCAACTTTTATTTTAGATACGGGGGTACCTACACAGTTTTGTTACATGGATATATTGCCTGATGCTGAGGTTTGAGGTATGGATCCCGTCACCCAGGTAGTGAGCATCATGCCCAACAGGTAGTATTTCCACCCATGCCCCCCATCCTCCCAGCCCCCTCTAATAGGCCTACAGTGTCTATATGCCCACTTTTTAATGGGGTTATTTTTTTTTTTGCTTATTTATTTAAGTTTCTTACGGACTCTGGATATTAGATCTTTGTTGGATGCATAACTTTTGAATATTTTCTTCCATTCTGTAGGTAGTCTGTTCACTCCGTTGATCTTTAATTTCATTTGTTTGTTTGTTTTGCTGTGCAGGAAGTTTCTAGTTTAATCAGATCCCACTTGTCAGTTTTTGTTTTTGTTGCAATTGCTTTTGGAGACTTAGCCAGAAATTCTTTGTCAAGACCAATGTTGAGAAGGGTATTTTCTAGGTTTTCTTCTAGGATTTTTTATAATTTGAGACCTTACATTTAAATCTTTAATCCACCTTGGGTTAATTTTTGTATATGGTGAAAGGTAAGGGTCAAATTTCAACCTGACAAACCCACGACCCACATCATATTGAATGGGCCAAAGCTGGAACCATTCCCCTTGAGAGTTCGAACATGACAAGGATGCCCACATTTACCACTCCTCTTCAACATAGTACTGGAAGTCCTGGATAGAGCAAGCAAATAAGAGAAAGAAATAAAAGGCATCCAAATATGAAAAATAAGTCAAACTCTCTCTCTTTACCGATGATATGATCCTATGCCTAGGAAACCCTAAAGGCTCCTGGAATTGATAAACTGACAAAAGACCCCTGGAACTGATAAACAACTTTAGAAAAGTTTTAGGATGCAAAAATCAATGTAGAAAAATCAGGAGTATTTTTATACATAAATGATGTCCAGGCTGACAGTCAAATCAAGAACACAATCCCATTTACAATAGCCACAAAGAAAATGAAATACCTAGGAATACAGCTAGCCAAGGAGGTGAAACATCTCTACAAGGAGAACTGTAATACACTGCTGAAAGAAATCAAAGATAACACAAACAAATGAAATAATATTCCAGGCCCATGGATTAACAGAATTAATATCATTAAAATGGCCATACTGCTCAAAGCAACTTACAGATTTCAACAATATCCCTATCAAACCACCAAAGTCATTCATCACAGAATTAGAAAAATCTATTCTGATTCATAGGGAACTCAAAATAAGCCTGAATAACCAAATTAATCTTAAGGGGAAAAAAAAGCCAGAGGCATCATATTACCCAAGTTCAAACTATATTATAAAGTGACGGTAATCAAAACAGCATGGTACTAGTACAAAAACAGCCACATAGGTCAATGGAACAAAAATAGAAAACTCAGAAATATAGCTGCACACCTACTACCATCTGATCTTCAACAAAACTGACAAAAACAAGCAATAGGAAAAGGACTCCCTATTCAATAAGCGTTGCTGGAATAATTGGCTAAGTATATGGAGAATTTCATTTAAAAGTGTTCCAGACTATTGAGGCTCCATGCTTCCCAAGCAAATGTAAGTCTACTCCGAAGAAATGCTCCTTTACCGTAAGTGTCAAGAATTCCCACAAATACTTTTGTAAGGATAATGCACATAGTTAAAAAACAAAAACACCCAAGGAAACAAGGCTTCATGAGTAAAATCTGGCAAAAATAAAGTGCTTAAAATTTCAAATATTAAAATAAGGCTCAGAATTGAATATAGATCAAATATAAGCTTGAAACATTTTCAGAGATTATAAGATATAAAATATAATACAAAAGAATTGAACAACCATATAATAGTACTTTTAGAAATGATAAAGGTAATTAAAATAGAAAACTCAGCAAGTGGATTTATCAGCAAATTGATACAGCTTACTAAAGACATTATAAACATAAAAATAGGCCAAAGGAAATGTTTCAGAAAGTAGCATAGAAAAAGGTAATGGAAAGTATGAATAAGCATCTAAGAAAGCATAATATACATATAACTGGAGTTCCAGGAAGAGGAGAAAAAGAAGGGACTGGGGCAATATTTGAAGAGATAATGGCTGATATTTTCTACAACTGATGAAAAACATTAATTCATTCATTCAGAAATCATAAAGAATTCCAAGAAGGTAAATATAAAGAAACTCATATCTAGTCACATCATGGAGAAATTGCCCAACAACAAAGGTCATGAGGAGATTTAAGGCAGCCAGAGGAAAAAAAGTAAATTATCTTCGAAGGAGCAACATTTACATTAAGAAAGCCATTGGAGATGGAAGACTTTCTTCAATTTGCTGAAAGAAAATAATTGCCAACCAAGAAAAGAGAGAAATAAATTCATTTTCAGATAAAAAATTTGCCACCAGCAGATCCTCACAAAAGGAAATTTTAAAGGAAGAAGTAAAGTGATCACAAATAGAGCTGTGATTTATGAGTAATGAAGTTATGTCCTACAATTAAAGCATGATGAGAATTAAGAATTCACCTTTGAATTTAGCAATGTGATAGCCAATCATGACTTTCATTTTTTTAAAAAATAAGGTCTTTTGGGTATAAAAGCCTGGAGCAAAAGAAAGAATGAAAAGAGAGAAATTGGAGACAAGTATAGATAAACCAATTCAAGGAGATTGGATCTAAAGGGGAGAGAAGTGGGTATCTTTTGAGGTCAATGTCTCTAAGTGAACAGGGTAGATTGAGAGATATTGGAGGGTTTTACCTAGCTAGGAATTCAGGGTAGTTTAATCTGTTCATTGTAACAGAAGAGAACACAGAATATATAGGTTCAGATACAGGTGGGTAGATGCAGTGGTGGGAGTCTGTGGAATAGCTTTCTGACCCTTTTATTTATTTATTTATTTTTGTAAAACAATAAGTAAGGTCATAGCCAAAGAGTAACTGTGATAAAGAAGGTATAGGAGGTTGGGAAAAAGAAAATATGACATAGCCCTATGAAAAGTGGAAGAATGAATAGGCCAGGGAAACAGTAGATTGTCTATTTACATTAAATGTACAGTCGAAGCTCCAGGGTCAATAATTTAAAACAAGACCATCGTTATGTTTTTTTGTTTTTTGTTTTTTCAGCCACATCTACCTACACATAAGCAGGCATTAAAGAGGGAGACAATTGTTTTTAACCACATAGGTGGTTAGGCCAAGCAAGCTTAACAAGGCAGAAGAGAGCAAGGAAGTTGAAAGTATGTATAAAAGAATGATTATAATAATTAATACTGAGTGTGTTAAGCCAGGCCCTCTGAGAAGCAGACACCAAGATGGAATTAAACATCCAAAGATTTTTTTAGGGAAAATGCTTCCATGAGAGAAAATGAAGAGCCCAGAAAAGCCAGGCAAACTGTCAGACATTGATACATGTGAAACCCTGTTCAAAGGAGGGAGGGAATGTTGGTTTGCTGTGCAGCCTAAAGAGATCTAAAGAAGCTCAGTGAAGCCTTTGGCCTCCAGCCACAGTGAGGCATCCAGCTCAGAGAAGAATCCAGTGTCTCCCGTGAACAGGCCTGTCTATGCAACCCTGCTGCACTCAGCCACTGAGAGAGTGAGATGCTTGCAGGAAACACAGGCTGGCCACCAACATAGCCATGGATTTCAAAGCTCAGAAACTGGAGCCCTTAATCACTCCTGGTGGATGGAGGTCTGAGAGGCTCAGTCTGAGATGCTCAGTCTGGGAGGCTCATTCTCACAGCCACCACAGTAGGTCAGGAGTTCAAGACCAGCCCAGGCAGCAAGGTAAAACGCCATCTCTACTAAAAATGCAAAACTTAGCCAGGCATGGTAGTGCACTCCTGTAATCCCAGCTACTCAGGAAGCTGAGGCGAGAGAATCGCTTTAACCCAGGAGGCGGAGGCTGCAGTGACCTGAGATCATGCCAGCCTGGGCGAGAGAGTGAGACTCTATCTCAAATGATAATAATAATAATAATAATAATAAATTACTATATATGGTTTATACACTCCTTTGTGAATTTCAACACTTTAATAATGAAAAAGAATACTGAATGAATGAATGAATAAACAAATGATCAATGGCTGCTGATTGGTAATTGCCTTTTCCACAAGAGCTCTTACTCTGGGCTTCATTTGACATGGCTGCTTACATTTGGGGAAAGTTAGGTGAACCAGTCCACTACTATCCTTATTTGAATTTCCAGCACTCTTGTGTTTCTTAAAAGAACAAAAATTTTCCTTTTAAAATATAACAATAGCCATTCCTGGAAACTCATTCAGTAGCATTTTAAACGTCATTTGTTCCTTTTTAAAAGCTTTTTATCTTCAAAATCTCCTCTAAAGCTTTAGATTTTGTATGCTTTTTGTTCCTAAGCCAGGCAATCTGCATAACAACTGTATTTCTTTTGAAACTTCCATGCAATTACTGGAAACAGTCTGCCTGCCCACTATTTGTGGTATATTTTGGTCCAGCTGAGGATTAGACAAATGAGGTGATCAATTTAATTATTTTTGCTGTATTTAACTCCTACTCCTTTCTCAAGCTTATCAACAGGCTTTGGGGCTAAACATGCTTATTGTCAAATTCTACCTTTGTTATTTACTAATTGTATAGATTTGAGTAAGTCCATTCACCTCTCTAAGCCTCAGTTTCTTCAACTTTGTAGGGTTGATTAAAAAGGTAGGAAACAAGACAGGTAGGACATCTCTCACCAATATCTGATGCATAATAGTGATGCATGAGTTTTCTCAGTCACTTTGCAAGCAGGGGACCTCTGGCCAGCCAAGCTCCCGCCTAGGCCTCACTTGAGCATGCTACCTGCCACAGGAAACAGCCAGCTCACTCAGCCCACCCGGGCTGTGCCTGGCTTGTGCACCAGCTCAGTCTGTGGTTGGGCTGGGGATGCCCCAGCCTGCCTGTGTTATAACTTGCACCTGCATTCAGCGGTTCCTGAGTTCTTGTCCCTTACCCAAGAAGGATGAGGATATGCTGACCATTGAAGGGTCATGAGGGCAGAGAATGTTATTGAGAGACAAAACAGTTCTCAGCAGAGAGGGAACAGGAAAATGGTCTCACCTGAAGTTGGGTTGTCTCTCTCCCAGTGTGGCTGTATCTGGGGCTTTTTTGGGCTCCGAATAAGGGTGTGAATGCTGATTGGTTTCTGAGCATGCAAAAAAGTTAAAACAAAGGTACAACCAAAAGGTGGGCATAACACTGCAAAAAAATCTAATTAGGGAAAGGTGTGTATATGTAAAATAGGTGAAAGGTAGGGATCAATCAGAGGAAACCATACCAAACAGGAAGACAGGCTCTCAATCCAGTCCATAGATTTACCTGGAACTTGTAGCTAGGCTTTGAATTGTCTTCAGCTTGAAGGTGGGGTTTCACTGGGGACTCACCTCTGTCTTCCTAGGCATTCGTCTGCCTCCTGCCACCATCAGTAGTTATTCATTAATGGAAATAATTATTACACCTGACTACATCTGACTAATTCAAGAAGATGTAGAATATGAAAACGAGAGTAAGAGGAAAAGTCTAGGAGGGAGAATAGAGTCCATTTCTTCCTACAAATGCTTTTTCCAAAATGTAGGTAGCAGCTAGATAATTAACCAGTTTTTGTAGGTGACAGTGATTTATCTGTGACCATAAACATATCAAACCTGAGATAGGAATGCCGGATTCCCCAGTGGCTGATGCTCAGTCCAGTCGTCTTTCAACCAAGTCTCAGTGCCTCCAAGGACATCTAATCAGATTCCTGAAGAATAGAGGTGTTTATCTCACTATCTGGCACCTACAACTGTATCTGACTCTGTGGGCTTTAAAGATACCCTCATACCCCAGGGAAGGCTTCCTTGGCTCATTTAGCCTAATTTTCTCTAGACTCTGAGAGCACATCACGGTTATAGTTTCCTCAAGAACCAAGTTCTTCCCAAATGAGGTTCTTGAGGCCATAGTTCCGTTAGCTACTAGGAGTTCCTCATTTTTTATGTTACATTAGTCCTTTATTCCCTCGCACACCTGTGGAGTTACAAAGTGATCCTGGCCCTTTCTTCTCCACATCAGTTTAACTTCAGAGCTAGTCAAATTTTATAAGGGAATGAACAGGAAGTGACATGATCACTCATGGTATAGTAGGTCTCTCTGCAAGATTGTGCTTATAATTTTTCCTTGCTTTTCATTTTCTCTAAGTTTTATTTTTAAAATGTAATTTTTACATTTTTCTAGGAGAAACAGGACCATGAATTATGTCACAATTTATACAGTTGCTTATATGTCCTATCATTTTGTGTGTTCTTCCAGCAGCTTTTTTCCAACCCCTCTCCCACCACCCTGCATCTATGTTCTGTCTTCTCATCATGTCATGTTTGCCCTGCTGTCTTGAAGGAGTTTGCATATTGTAATATAGTTAGGTATGGACAGGGCAATATTTCTTCTCTGTAAGCAGGATATTCTGCTTATCTAGAGTAGGAGTTCGTACAAATGTAATGCTCTCTGGGTGTGTAAAACCAACAGTTTCCATTTGAGAGAAGAGCTAGGAGTGTGGAACACTCAGATTTTAGTGAAGTCAAAAAAGTAAAGGGAACTTTATCACTGAAGATATTTTCATGTAGTCTAGGCTTTGATTTTTTAAGTCAAATATTTTAGTAGTTTAACACAAAAGGAATTCAATTTTTTAACTCACACATACACAAAAGGTATTCCTGGATAGTAATACCATCCTCTGCATCAAATTTGGATGCCATTCCTCGAAGTGCCATGACCAAAGAAGCAAAAAACAGGTTATTTACCTCTTCACACCCGAAGAAAATGATGAAACAGAAACGATATTTGTGATAGAAACTCCCCTCTCAGAAAAGGCAGAATGGGAGACAGTGATGCCTGTGATCCACAGCATTGATGACATGAAGATTGCCCCAGCAGTGCTTCCATTCCTTTATTGACTCTGATCCTGCCTTAGAGGACTCGACCAGTGTTTGCACGGGGTGTATTATTTCATTGTTTCAGCATGCTTCCTGTTTATACAAGTTTAGGAGGCTGAAGGCTTTTTTTTTTCTTTTTTTTTTTTAATAGAGTCTTACTCTGTCACCCACCACCTAGGCTGGAGTGAAGTGGCATGACCTCAAGTCACTGCAACCTCCACCTCCTGGGTTCAAGTGATTCTCCTGCTTCAGCCTCCCAAGCAGCTGGTATTACAGGTGTGCACCACCACACCCGGCTAATTTTTGTGTTTTTAGTAGAGACAGGGTTTCACCATGTTGGCCAGGTTGGTCTTGAACTCCTGACCTCAGATGATCCACCCGCCTCGGCCTCCTAAAGTGCTGGGATTGCAGGCGTGAGCCACTGCGCCCAGCCTGAAGGCTTTTATGAGGCTTGAATACTCAGTGACTTTTTCAGGTCATGCTATTTGTTTTATTGTCAAATTAATTCCCTCAAAATCTTATTAGCTCTCTTATTCATTTATCAGTAATCATACTTTTCCATGTATCAGTAACCATAGCTACCCAAAGTGCTTTCCTAGACATAGTTGTCCTAGACATAGTTTTCAAGTTTGATTTATGTTTTTTATATCCTCAACCTCATTGTTACTTGTGAATGAATGAACATACATCAGTAGAATCTTCTGTACAAGTCAGCACCTTCTTTCAATACTTATTGGGCGGAATGCAAAGACATGACCTCTGATCTCAGGAAGAAATATGGGTAGGGTGGGAGAATATATATGCCTAAAAAAGACAAAGAACAATTCAAGGTATTGTTTCAGTACTAAATGAATAATGTAAGTAATGTTTTATACCAGTTCAGAAGAGGAAATGATGGCCAAAGTGGTGGGAGGAGATGGGTTGTTGGCCTGAAACAAAGGTCAGAACTCAGACAGGCTGAGTTTGGAAGGATCTGTAAGGCATTGTAAATGGCAGGAAAACAGTCAGTGAGATACAAAAGCACATGATCTGCTGAGTAGACAAGTAGTAGACCAATCTGGCTGGCATGAATAGATCATTTATATAAAGCAGGAACAGAAGAGAAATTTGGTGAAGTAAAGAGGGATCAAGCCATAAGTAGCCTTAATGCCAGACTAAGCAATTTTGAATAGAAAGTCACAAATTGCAAAGAATTATGGGAATAATGAGAGTGGACTCTGGGTGGAGAAAAACATTACATATCTGAAACATGGCTCTGTCCCTACCTGCTATGTGATTTCATTTAAGTTGCTAAATCTGTCCTCATCCATACAAGGGGGATGATCCAACTTACCTCTCTGGTTTTGAGCAGATTCAATGAGATAATTCCCGTAAAGAGTTTAGCATACTGTCTTGATAGTACTAGGCAACAGTAATAGCTCCATTAAGAGACACACTGCAAAACTATGGAAACAGTAAAAAGATTAGTAGTTGCCAGAGGTTAGTGGAGAGGGAGGGATGAATTCACAGAGCACAAAGGATTTTTAGGGAAGTGAAACTATTCCATATGACATATAATTACAGATATCTGTCATTACACATTTATCATAGCCCATAGAATGTTGACAACACCAAGAGTGAACCCTCATGTAAACTATGGACTTTTAAGGTGTCAGTGTGGGCTTACCGACTGTAACAAATGTACTATCCAGATGCAAAATGTTGGTAGTTGGGGAGACTGTGCATGTGTGGAGGGAGGGGATTTATAGGAACTCTATAGTTTCTGCTAAATTTTGCTGTGAATCTAGAACTGCTTTAATTAATGAAGTGCATTTTAAAATTCCTTTAATTTTTTTAAAAAAATTACTATCACCAGGGATTAGTAGTAAAGTTCACTAATTGTGGCAAAATATTATAGGTAAATAATTCAATTACAATGATGTCATAAGTAGAGTTGAGTCTCTATACTCACAAAAATTTTCTAGAAGGAAGGTACATTTTACTTTGATTTCCAGGAAAGGCTTTATAATAGTTAATGTGTTGTTTTTAGTTGTGCCATCACTGTGATAATGCTTTTTCTGCCACAAAGTAAATGACTTGTGTCTTGATTGAAGTAACTAATGTCCAATTCATTTTTTCTCCTTTATCCTATGGTATACAGATCTGAAAGAGTAACTTTTCTTCCCATGCCCTCTCCACTCCCCAACCCCAAACTAATATTTAATTCTCTTCAACCTAATGAAAGAGGACACTACGTATTCCCTCTAGAGTGTCACAGGGGCTTTACCTTATTTACTGTATTGATGTCATTTTCCTAGAAGGACTCCCATTCACTAGATTTCTAAGTGAACTCAGGATAACCTAAAATTATTCCAGACAACAAAAAAGTATACTCCATAATTTAAGGGACAAAATATCACTTATTCATTTATATATACCCTTAAGAAACTTCCATCTATTACTGGTATAAGAAATGAACAAATGAGGATTCATCAGAGGAAGAAATGACATCCTACTTCACTGAAGAGACACCACTGGGCTAATGGTAAAAGATGGGCAGGATTTAAACTTCTAGAAAGCTATTTCAGAGAGAAAGAACAGAGTGAGGAAAGGCTAAGTGGAAAAGTATAAGACCATATGAGTACCAACAAGGTGTTAATTGTCCTGCTATCTCAATAACTCCTCACCAAGAAGTAATACAATACATACTTCCAAAATAATTTTTATTTCCCATAAAGTTGCCCAAGATACCTAAGTCATATTGCATTAGGAAATTACCATATTAGCAAAAATTACAAATGCCTCTTCTACTGTCAAATACGAAAAGAAAGGCTTTTCCATCATTTCAGTACATTTACTCTACTACTTTTACACATATCTTTCTTGATAAAATGCTGAAGAAAAAAGTTGCAACACAGCTCAATTTTCTTTGCAGGATATTTCTGATTATCCAAACATCTAGGGCGGGAGAGTGCCTGATCCAGCCTACCACATTAGATTCATTGTACTTCAGGAGTTGTAAATGTGTTCAGATAGAAACTAAATTTGTTTTTGAGGATCTCAACCATTTAGGATGCAAAATTCAGGTAGACAGCTGCATGGTATTGGAGAATGTGTCTGTCCTGTTCACTAATGTTTCTCCAGCTTCTAGCATATCTGGTATATTTACTGAATACAATGGTTTCCAAGCAGAATGTCTTTTGAGGTTTTGGTCTCCATACATGTAATATGAGGACCTGGAGGTGGAATCAGGTGTGATTCTCTTAATGTTTTTTTACATAACAAAACTTATTTATTTTTTAATTGTACATAATTATGGGGTAAAATTTGATATTTCTATACATAAATATGTTGTATAGTGATCCAATCAGGGTAGTTACTGTATCTATCACCTCATGCATTTCTTTGTGGTAAGAACATTCAAAAACCTTTCTCCTAGCTATTTTGTAATACACAATACTTTGCTGTTAACTACAGTCACCTCATGTGCAGTAGACCACCAAAACTTATTTCTTCGCATTTAAACTTTGTACCCACTGACCAACCTCTCCTCATCCTTCTGTACCCCCTCCCTTTTCCAGTCTCTGATAACCACTGTTCTACTCTGTTTCACTTAACATGATGTCCTCCAGTTTCATCCATGTTGTTGTAAATGACAGGATTTCATTATTTTTATGGATAAATAGTATTCCATATATCACATTTTCTTTATTAATACATTGTTAGACACTTAGGTTGATTCCATATCTTGGCTATTGTAAATAATGCTGCAGTAAATATGAGAGTTCAAGTTCCCATTAAGCATAAAAACCTGAAAATGGAAGTCATATATTCTGAAATTCATCACATCCAAGCAAATATCTCTTTGACATACTGATTTCATTTCCTTTGGATCAATACCCAGTAGTGAGATTACTGGCTTATGTGGTAGTTCTATTTTTATTTACTTTTATTTTTGAGGATTTAGGTGTATAAGTGCAATTGTGTTACATATTGCATAGTGACAAAGTCTGGGATTTTAGTGTACCCATCATCTGAATAGTGTACATTGTATACCCAATAAGTATGTCATCCCTCACCACCCTCCCACCCTCCCATTTTTTGGAGTCTCCAATGTCTGTTATTCCACTCTGTATGTCCATGTACCCATTATTTAACTCCCATTTATATGTGAGAACATGCAATATTTGACTTTCTATTTCTGAGTCATTTCACTAAGGATAATGGCCTCCAATTCCACTTATATTGCTGAAAAAGACATGTTTTTTTTTCTTTTTATGGCTGAATAGTAATCCATGGTGAGGCGTGTGTGTGTGTGCATGCGTGTGTGTGTGTGTGTGTGCGTGCGTGTGTGTATTTTTTAATGCCATGATCCACTGATGGACACTTAGGTTGATTCATTATCTTTGCTATTGAGAATAGAGCTGCAGTAAACATACAAATACAGGTATCTTTAATAAAATGATTTCTTTTTCTTTGGGTAGACACCCAGTAGTGGGAGTGCTGGATCACAGTGTAGTTGTATTTTTAGTTCTTTGAAAAATCTCCATACTGTTTTCTGTAGACATTGTATTAATTTATATTCCCACCAAAAGTGTATAAGCATTCCCTTTTCTGTGGATATTTGCCAACATCTGCTGTTTCTTTTTTTACTTTTTAGTAATAGCCATTCTGACTGCTGTAAGATAGTATCTCATTGTGATTTTAATTTGCATTTCTCTGATGATTAGTGATGTTGAGCACTTTTTTCATATGTTTTTTGGCCACCTGTATGTCATCTTTTGAAAAATGTCTGTTCATGACATTTGCCCACTTTTTAATGGGGTTGTTTGGTGTTGTGGTGGTGGTGGTTGTTGAGTTGAGTTCCTTATAGATTCTTATTATTAGCCCCTTGTTGGATGCTGATATGGTTTGGCTGTGTCCCTACCCAAATCTCATCTTGAATTATAGTTACAATTCAAGTTAAATTTTGATATTTTGATATTGAATTATAGTTCTCATAATCCCCACATGTCATGGGAAGGGCCAAGTGGGAGGTAATTGAACCTTCCACTTCCGGTAAATGGTGGCTTCCCCCATACTATTCTTGTGACAGTAAGTTCTCATGACATCCGATGGTTTTATAAGGGGCTTCCCCCTTCACTCGGCTCTCATTTTTCTTCTTCCTGCTGCAATGTTTGCTTCTCCTTCTGCCATGATTATAAGTTTCCTGAGGACTCCCCAGCCCTGTGGATCTGTGAGTAAATTAAACCCCTTTCCTTTATAACTTACCCAGTCTCGGGCAGTTCTTTATAGCAGCATGAGAACATACTACTACAGATGCATTGTTTGCAAATATTTTCTACGATTCTGTAGGTTGTCTGTTTACTCTATTGATTATTTCTCTTGCTATGCAGAAGCTTTTTAGTTTAAGTCTCTTTTCTCTACTTATGGTTTTGCTGCATTTCTTTTTGAGAACTAAGTCATAAATTCTTTGTCTAGACTAATGTCCAGAAGAGTTTTCCCAGGTATTCCTCTTGGATTTTTATAGTTTCGGGTCTTACACTTGAGTCTTTAGGCCATCTTGAGTTAGTTTTTGTATATGGTGAGACATAGGGGTCAAATTTCATTCTTCTGCATATGCCAGCATCATTTATTTAAAGTGATATCATTTCCCCAGTGTATATTTTTGTTGACTTTGTCAAAGGTCAGTTGGTTATGGATATGTGAAATTATTTCTGTATTCTTTAATCTGTTTCATTGATCTGTGTATCTATTTTTATGCTAGTACTATGCTGTTTTGATTACTATAGACTTGTTGTATAATTTGAAGTCAGGTAATGTGATTCCTCCAGCTTTATTCTTTTTGCTTAGAATTACTTTGGCTATTCAAGCTCTCTTTTTGTGTCATATGAATTTTAGGATTGTTTTTCCTATGTGCAGAATCATGTTGGTAATTTGAAAGAAATCATGTTGAATCTGTATATAATTTTTGGCAGTATGGTCATTTTAATGATATTAATTCTTACAATCCATGAGCACGTGATGTATTTCCATTTTTTCTGTTGCCCCTTATTTCCTTCATCAGTGTTTTGTAATTCTCCTTGAAAAGATCTTTCACCTCCTAGGTTAAATGTATTCCTATGTATTTTTTTGCAGCTATTGTAAGTGGAATCGAGTTTTTGATTTGGTTCTTAGCTTTATCATTATTGGTGTATAGAAATGCTACTGATTTTGGTATGTTTATTTGGTATCCTGAAATTTTACTGAAGTTATTTAGCAAATCTAAGAGTCTTTTGGAGGAGTATTTAAGGTTTTATAGGTATAAGATAATATCAGTGAACAGGGATAATTTGACTTCTTCTTTTCCAATTTAGATGATTTGCTTTTCATTTATTTCTCTTGCCTTATTGCTCTAGCTAGGACTTCCAGTATGATGTTGAATAGGACTGTTGAAAGTGAGCATTCTCGTCTTGTTTCAGTTCTTTGGGGGAATGCTTTCAACTTTTGCTCATTCAGTATTGATATGGCTTTGATGTTTGTCCCCTCCAAATCTCATGTTAAAATGTGATTCCTAATATTGGAGGTGGGGCCAATGGGGAGATACTGGATTATGAGGGCTGATCCGTCATGAATGACTTAGTGCCATCCCCTTGGTAACAAGTAAGTTCTCACTTGTTTAAAAGAGTATGGCAGCACACTCCTCTACATTTTCTCTTGCTCCTGATCTTGCCATGTGACTTGCCTATTCCTGCTTCAGCTTCCACCATGATTGTAAACTTCTTGAGGCCCTCACCAGAACCCAAGCAGATGTTGGTGCCATGCTTGTACAGCCTGCAGATCTGTGAACCAATTAAACATCTTTCTGCATAAATTACCCATCTCGGGTATTCTTTTATAGCAACAATTTTCTGCGTTAGGCCATCTCTGCGTTGGTATAAAGAAATACCTTAGGCTAGGTAATTTATAAAGAGAATAAGTTTAATTGGCTTGTGTTTCTACAGGCTGTACGAGCATGGCACCAACCTCAGCTCAGCTTCTGGTGAGGGCCTCAGGAAGCTTATAATCATGGTGAAAGATGAAAAGGGAAGCCAGCATATTACATGGGAAAAAGGGAGAAAGAGAGAGATGGAAGAGATGCCAGGCTCTTCAACCAACCAGATCTCAAATGAGCTAACTGAGTGATAACTCACTTATCACAAGGGGATGGTGCTCAAACATTCATGAGGGATATGCCCCCATGATCCAACAACCTCCCACCAGGCCCCACCTCCAACACTGGAAATCACATTTCAACATAAGATTTGGAGGGAACAAGCATCCAAACCATATTAAGCATAATGTTGCCAGTGGATTTGTCACATATGGCTTTTATTATTTTGAGGTATGTGCCTTCTTTGTCCAGTTTGGTAAGAGTTTTTATTATGACAGAATGCTGGATTTTGTCAAATGCTTTTACTGCATCTATTGACATGATAACATGGTTTTTCTTTTTAATTCTTTTTATGTGGTAAATCACATTTATTGATTTGTATATGTTGAACCAACATTGCATCTCTGGAATAAAAGCTACTTGATCATGGTGTACTATCTTTTTGATGTGCTGTTAGATTCAGTTTCCTAGTATTTTGTTGAGGATTTTTGCATCTATGTTCATTAGGGGTATTGGTCTGTAGTTTTCTTTTTATGTTGTGTCCTTGCTTGATTTTGGTATCACGGTGATGCTTACTTCACAGAATGAGGTAGTAAGAATTAACTTTCTCCTCGATTTTTTGGAACAGTTTCAGTAGAATTGGTACCACTTCTTCCTTGCATGTCAGATGGAATTTGGCTGTGAACCTGTCTGGTCCTGAACTTTTTTGTTGGAAGATTTTTATTACTGATTAAATTTTACTATTAATTATTGGTCTCTTCAGGATTTCTATTTCTCCCTGGTTAGATCTTGGATGGTTGTATGTTCCAGGAATTTATCCATTTCTTCTGGGTTTTCTAGTTTGCATACATACAGATGCTCAGAGTAGTCTCTGATGGTCTTTTGTGTTTCTGTTGTATCAGTTGTAATGACATCTTTATGAATTCTGTTTGTGCTTATTTCAATCTTCTCCATTTCTTTCTTGGTTAATTTAGCTAGTGGTCTATCAATTTTGTTTATCTTTTCAAAAAAACAGTTTTTCTTTTTCATCAATTCTTTGTAATTTTTTGGTCTCAATTTTGTTTAGTTCTGCTCTTTGTTATTTCTTTTCTTTTGCTAGCTTTGGGCATGCTTTGTTCCTGTTTTTTCTAGTTCCTTGAGGTGAAACTTTGGCTGTCTATTTTGAGATCTTTCTTTTTTGTTTGCTTTTAGCCATACACATCTTCTTTTTAAGTTTTAGTTTTTGTGGATATATTTAGGCATTTAATGCTATAAACTTCCCTCTTAGCACTACTTTTGCTATATCTCAGAGGTTTTGGTGTGTTCTGTCTTCATTTTCATTTGTTTCAAAAATTTTGTGGGTTTCTGTGACTATGGAGTAGTAATTCTTTTGTTTCTTTGCTTCTCTAATTAACTTGCTTTCACTTTAAAAAAATTTTAATTTCTTCCTTAATTTCATTGTTGACCCAAAAATCATTCAGGAGCAGATTATTTAATTTCCATGTATTTGTATAGTTTTGAGGGCTCCTCTTGGTTTTAATTTCTAGATTTATTCGACTGTGGTCCAAGAAGGTACATGATATGATTTCAATTTTTTAAAATTTATTGAGACTTGCCTCATGGCCTGCAACATGGTCAATTTTTGAGAACACTCAATGCACAAATGAGAAGAATGTGTATTCTGCAGTTGCAGGGTAGAATCTTCTGTAAATGTCTGTTAGGTCCATTTGGTCTACAGTCCAATTTGCATCCAGAGTTTCTTTTTTGATATTCTCCCTTGATGATCTATCTAGTGCTGTCAGTGGGGTATTAAAGTCCTCTACTATTATTGTATTGCTGTCTATCCTTTTTCATAGGTCTAATAGTATTTGTTTTATGAATCTGGATGCTCCAGTGTTAAGTGCATATATATTTAGGATTATTATCTCTTCTTCTGGAATCAATCTCTTTATCATTATGTAATGACTTCTTTTGTCTTTTTTTTCTTTACTGTTGTAGATTTAAAGTCTTTTTAATGTGATAGAAGAATAGCTACTACTGCTTGCTTTTTGTATCTGTTTGCACAAAATATCTTGTTCCATCCCTGTACTTTGAGGCTGTAAACGTATTTACCCATTAGGTGAATTTCTTGTATGCAGCATATGGTTGCATCTTAGTGTTTTATCCATTCTGCTAACCTCTATATCTTTTAGGTAGAGCACTTAGTTCATTTACCTTTAAAATTAGTATTGATGTGTGAGGTTTTGTTCTTGCCATAATGTGAATTATTACCTAATTGCTTTGCAATCTCGATTGTGTAATTGATTTATAAGACCTGTGTTTTTATGATAACAAGTATTACCCTTTCAGTTCCATGTTTCAAACTCTTTTGAACATTTCTTGTAGGAGCAGCCTAGAGGTGACATTCCCTCAGTGTTTGCTTGTCTGGAAAAGACTTTATTTCTCCTTCATTTATGAAGTTTGGTTTAGCAGCACACAAAACTTTTGGTTGGATTGTTTGTTTCTCTAAGAAGACTGAAAATAGGACTCCAAACTCTTCTGGCTTTGAAACTTTCTGCTGAGAAGTCTGCTGTTAGTTTGAGGGAATTTCTTTTACTGGTGATTAGATGATTCTCTCTTGTCACTTTTTAGGATTTTTTCCTTTATGTTGACTTTGGATAGTCTGATGACTCTATGCCTTGGTTAAGTTATTCTTGAAGTGTATCTTCTAAGGATTCTCTGAGCTTCTTGTATCTGGATGTCTAGATATTTAGCAGGACCAGAGAAGTTTTCCTGCATTAGACCCTCAAATAGGTTTTTCATACTTTTTACCTTTTCTTCTTCTCCCTCTGGAATACCTATAACTCATAGGCTTGGATGCTTTGCACAATGCCATATTTCTCAAAAGCTTTGTTCATTTAAAAAAAATCTTTATTTTTGTCTGACTGGGTTAATTCAAAAGCCCTATCTTTCTACTCTAAAATTTTTCTTCTGCTTGGTCTAGCCTACTGTTAAGGCTTTCAAGTGTATTTTATGATTCCTTCCATGATTTTTGTTTCAATTTTAGAAGTTCTGCTTTCCTTTTTAAAGTATCTATCTCTTCTTCATATTCTGAATTGTTTTCCTGATTCTTTTGTGTTGGTTTTCAACTTTCTCTTGGATCACATTAAGCATTAAAGTCAATATTTTGAATTCTTTTTCTGATATTTCAAAGATTTCATTTTGATTAGGATCCACTGCTGAAGACTTAGTGTGTACTTTGGGAGTGTTGTAACACTCTGTCTTTTCATACTTACAGAATTGTTTCTCTGGTTCCTTTCCTTCTTACTTTCGAATTTATTTTCATTTGGATGGGATTTCCCCCCATTTTGAGGATATGACTAGAGTGTGTGTTGTGCAGGATCCTTTGGCATCAGTTCTGGGTGCTTTCAATGTTAAAGATTCTGTATAAGTTCCTCGGTTATAGATAGCTTTTGTTTGGTGGCTTTCTCAAATGCTGGTTGAAGTCGTGATGTACTGTGTGTGTGAACAGACTCACTGCTTCCTCCTGTGGGGCTGGGAGGGTGGTGGTCTCATGAGACTTATCTCATTCCCTAGTGCTGCGCACTTGTGTCAGCAGATTTTTCTTTTGGGTTATACAGTTCAACCTCCAAGCCAGTAGGTGGCACTTATGGATAAGAGCTGGCTGCAGCTGATAAAAAATGGTATATGTTTGATCTTTGTTTACCATGAGAAGCTCCCTGTAGATTCAGACATTAGACTGTCCTGTGGCATACATAATAGTCTGAGCTCCCTGCTTAGCCCCTGAGTGGGGACTAAGGGCCAGATCAGCAGGCCTGCCTACACCATCACTCAATGGCAGGCATAATCACCAGGTCCAAGGTGGGATTCAGGGTACAGCCATCAAGCACCCAGGGATGTACTGGGGAGTAGAGTGTACAGACCTCCACTGTTCCAAGTTCTGTGCCTAGGACAGGTGGCCTAAACTCCTAATCAAAAAGAGTGGGTGCTCCAGTCATATGCCTGCAGATATAACTGGGCATGTAGTGTAGAGGGTGCCAGTGCACCAAGATGGGTGGTGAGAGGGAAAGGGGGTGACTCAGGCTTCTACTCCAGGTGAGCAGGTGCACTGATTGCTTGGAATTATGCCTGGGTATGGAGAGGAGAGGGCACCACTGCACCCAGATTTGTGCACAGGAAAGAAGGGGTGACTCAGGCTCCTAATTCAGGCAGCAGGTGTGCCAAATACCTGGAGATATGTACTCTGGCAAGAAGTGGAGTAACTCCTGCATAACATTTTAATAGCTGATGCAGAAAGGTCTTTACAGGGGAATAAAGGGGCAACTCAGGCCCCTATTCCAGGCAAGTGGTTGTACCAAATGCCTGGAAATATGCCCAGGTGTGGAGAAGAAGGAGCACCACTGCACCAAGTTCTTTGCAAGGGAAGAGAGATGTGGCCCACGTTCCCATTCCGGGTGAGGAAGAGTAGGGTCTGCCTCCCTCTTGCACCTTACAGCTGGTGGGGCACTGTCTCCTGATTGACCAAGGGAGCAATCTGGGGCACCCAGCAATGACAGAGGCAGACCAGTCTCAAGCTACAAAGCTGTTCCTGGCCAGAGATTACACCACTCAGGAGAACCTGCAGCTTCGGCAATTCTCCTCCTGCTCAAGTTCAGTGATGGGAGAAAGCCCAATTCTAGCACCTACTTATGGGGTGCACTCTACATTTGCCATTCAATTTTGTCTTTGGGCAGTCTTCCCACACTCCAGAGCAAATGCTCTAATCTCTGGCTGGAGACTAAACTGCTTGTGACAGACACCACTGCCAGATCATCAATCAATGAGTGACTGCATGAGTCCAGATTAAAAATGATATCTTCCGGCCGGGAGTGGTGGCTCACACTTGTAATCCCAGCACTTTGGGAGGCCAAGGCAGGCAGATCATGAGGTCAGGAGATCGAGACCATCCTGGATAACCTGGTGAAACCCCGTCTCTACTAAAAATACAACAACAACAACAAAATTATCCGGGCATGGTGGTGGGTGCCTGTAGTCCCAGCTACTCGGGAGGCTGAGGCAGGAGAATGGCATGAACCTGGGAGGCGGAGCTTGAAGTGAGCTGAGATTGTGCCATTGCACTCCAGCCTGGGCAACAGAGCAAGGCTCCATCTCAAAAAAAAAAAAAAAAGAAAAGAAAAGAAAAGAAAGATACTTTCTTCTCAGTCCTGGGTCTGGGAATATGCCTGTAGCTTTTCCCAGTGGATTTTCCTGTTATTGTCTCCCAGCCTTTCCCCAAGCTAGCTCCAGCACTTCAGAGACCCAAGGTGCTCCCTCATGGCCTGAGTTGCATGGATCCTTAATGGAAAACTGAATCACAGGTATGTTGTCCGCCTCTCATGTACTGGGGATTCACTCACTTTTATCAGCAAATGCTGACATATAGCCTGCTTTCTGCCTTCTCTTTTCCAGGAAATGTAGAGTCCTTTGCTTTTTGGGTGAATTCCCATATTCCTTCTTGAATAAAAGCTCACAATATTGATCTTCATGCACTATTTTGCTGTGTCTAAGTGTATGAGGCACACTAAAAGCCTCTAATTTACCATTTTGGAAAAAAAAAACCTGATAGTTCTATTTTCAATTTTTTTAAGAACCCCCATACTACCAGTACAGAATGGCTATACTGGTATACAATTGCACCAACAGTGGGTA
Organism: Homo sapiens; assembly: GCF_000001405.40. Lineage (NCBI taxonomy): Eukaryota > Metazoa > Chordata > Mammalia > Primates > Hominidae > Homo > Homo sapiens. The sequence goes on from NC_000005.10 coordinate 41,698,217, forward strand.
AGTATTCCCTCTTCTCCACATCCTTGCCAACACTTGTTTTCTTTTGCCTTCTTGATAGTAGCCATTCTAACTGAAGTGAATAGACTGACAGCCAACTGATTTTTCTACAAAAGTGCCAAGAACACATATTGGTGAAAAGACAATCTCTTCAATGAATGGTGCTGAGAAAATTGGCTATCAACATGCTGAAGAATGAGACTAGACCACTACCTGACACCATATAAAAAAATCAATTCAAAATAGATTAAAGGTTTAAATGTAAAACCTGAAACTCCAAAACTACTAAAAGAAAACACAGGGAAAATACTTCCCAAATTGGGCTGGGCAAGGATTTTTAAAATAAGACCTCAAAAGCACAGGAAATAAAAGCAAATATAGACAAATTGGATTATAACAAACTAAAAACCTTATGGACAGCAAAGGAAACTATTAACAAAGTGAAGAGATGACATACAGAATGAAGAAAATGTTGTGAACTATACATCTGACAAGAAGTTAATATCCAGCATATATAAGGAACTTAAACAACTCATCAACTTAAAAACAAATGACCTGATTAAAAAATGGGCAGAAGATCATAATAGGTATTTCTCAAAAGATGACACACAAACTGTCAACAGATATATGAAAAAATAATGTTCAGCATCTCTAATCGTCAGGGAAATGCAAATCTAAACCACAGTGAGAAACCTTTTAATGTTCTTTTCGTGGCATGCTCTAAAGTACAGTTCACATGGTGGCCCAGAAACATGCTCTGTTTGATCTGCACGGTGACCTAAATTTTTTAAATTAAATGCAAAAAAAAAATGGAGATTCACACATAAAATACACCTGAAAAAAAATCAAAAGACATGACACATTGTGCCAACCGATTTGCCAGTCAGATGGTTTAAATGAGTTCTTATGTCTCCAGTATGTGTGCTACACTTCCCAGCACTCCCTATTACTTATACAATAGCTCATTTCACCCATTTCCTCTTACTCTTCAATCCCTGTAGACATTTGATTTTGTGATCTTCTTAAACTTTCATAAAATATAATATCCTTCCCATTTAATAGATGGGAATAGAGACACAAAAAAATGCTGTGTGATTATAATAAGGTTCTCATGAACTATCAAAGTCTGGAAAAGGAAATCAAATTCATTGAAACTTCATATCCAAGCCATAATATACTTCTTCAAGCTTTGAACTTCTTACTGCCAAGGATTAGCTATATTTCATGTAAAAGTATACTAGAGATTCATTTGGAAAAGAAAACAATGCCATACTCCATGCAATTATAAATTAGTTTCTGTAGAAACTGTAGCACCAACTACATTTTATAATTATAATTTGTGATTTATTTAAAAAATTAAATTTTCCATTCAGCATTAGCTGTAGTGACTCATACTATTGGATTAGTCAATTTCCATCTCTCTACCCTATAGATTATAGTTTCTTACATTGTTTGGAATCACTTTTAAGGATCTGAGAGATGTTCCAGTCCATTGTTAAAGCAATTTTCCATTGTCTACAGAAAGGCTGCTCTCAGTGGATGGCAAAAGTCTATGGTTTCATTGACAGAAGAGAAAAACACGGCTCCCAAAATTTGCCCACTTGCTCACAGTCACAAAACAGAAAAATGGCAGAACTAGAAAAAGAACTGTATGTCCTCATCATATTTGAACTCTTTCCTTTACACCATGCAGACCATTCTGCTCCCATCTACACTCCTCCTTTCAGTGCTGCAAAGGAGTTACTTTCTGGAAGAGTGGTGGTAATAAGTTTAATCATGGCCCATTCTACCAAGCTTAGAGATGTCAACAAACTTGTGGAATTTCACAGATTGCATGGCTTTTTGTTTATTTCTATAGAACCCCTCCTATCTAAAAATTGAACTGTCACTTCTTAACAAAATACTGATTAAAATGGAATATCACTAGAAAATTCTACTGCTTTCCTGTTGGTCATGGCTAAATATTAGTCTATATTAGGAAAATGGTCAAATCATCTGAGAAACTAATGATTCTGCTAGCAATGTTAACCAATTAATTAAGATTAATCACCCAATTATGGACCCCCCATTGTTTGTGTTGAGGGGTACAGTTATAAGGTATCTAAAACAAAAACAAAGCCTAGAAAACAATTATTTGCCAATCTGTGTGAGACTCAATTCTCATGCATTTTCACATCCTTTTCCTACTGTATTTGGAATTCAATGAAGAAATTGATAAAGCAATCTAGGATAAGAGGAGCAGGCTGCTCAGAAAAGATTGGGCTCTACCTGGGTCTTAAAGTAAAAGTGGATTAGAGGTAACTGAAGAGGAAGAAAGGCAGTGAAAATGCATGAGAATTTATACCAAAAGAAGCGTGAATATAGAGTATCTATAGGTTGCAAACAAGCACCCCACTTTAAACATTTCAGGAGCAGTGTGTAGGGAATAGTGAGAGAGGTAGTAGGTAGAGTGAGAGACTAGACACAGTATTTAACACTGAATAACATTCAAGGAGGTGACTGAGTATGTAAATCTAAAAATAACCAAATCGAATATAAAAACAAAAACTAAATTTTTAACAATATATTAAAAATTAAAAATATTTTGAAAACCCAGTCATTATTTTTTCATCCTGTTTAGTAATAGCTTTCCTTATTGAAACCATTGTGTTCCATTTTATAATAACCACCTTCTGACAGACACATGCAAATAAATATTGTGTTTGCTATTACAGATCTCAGCAATGCCTATATGAAAGAACTTATATTCCTGTAAAAATTTTGTTTACTTTCCACATGTTGGAAAACAAGATCCAGGGATTTACCGAGAGCCTTTTCACTTTAAAATTCTCTTAAATTTCTGCATAACATCTTGTGCCTTATTGTAGATTGGGAAAACCTTTGTCTCACTTCAAGTCAATTCACGGCAGATTTGCAGACCTGTTTCTAAGGAAAGTTATCTTACTTGTTTTTAAAGACATAATTTCTGTTCAAATTATCACCGATCTGCTGTCTCACTCATTGGTATGAATCAATAGCCAGGGCTGTAGCTTCTGCAGTTTATGCCAGATGTCCTCCTTCAAGCTTCTCCAAGTCTGACCAGGGTCATGCGTAAATCCATGATGAAGGGAGCCAGCTTCTGCAGGCCACACATGTGCTCAGGTTGAAAGCAGAGACACAGGCAAGGGTTCTAGTTTATCTGCATGGCTTCCATTTTGTCTTCCCTTTCTCCAGCTTCACATTCAGTTTTTCTTTCCAGCTGCCTGCCCGACTGGCCTACAGAGACAATAGGCCACAACCAAACACAGCAATAACATCCTTCCATAGAATTGTATCCCAACTCCTACAAATATGTAAGTTCTAATTCCTATGAAAATTCTTTATCTTTCATAGTGATTCTGCATCACTGAATAAACTCTAGCTGAAACAAAATTGTTTTACCTTCAAACTTTCAACATCTATATATTTTGGGTAGTTCTCTTGTAAACCTTATAACTTGGGTTTATATATTCACATTCAGAAAATCTTTTAATTTGATTATGTTTTTCATACTTATGTTATTTTGAGGACATTTGGCTTTAAATAGACTACATTTTTTTTTCTATTTGTTCCACATGTTCTACTTTACTTTTTACTCTGTTTTTGGCATTCTTCTGAATTAATCTAGTATTTCCATTGTTGGTTTTACATTCTTTCACTATTTTATTTTTAGTAGTTATACTCATTAATCTTTAATTTACTCAAGTTTAATGTAAGAAAGAGATTCACATTTCCTGTTGTTAATAGCGTATTTGGGGTAAATATGACATTTTAAGATTTAATTTCCATTTATTACAATGTTTCATATAACTTTCTCCCTTTATTATTTTTTAAACAGATCAATTTTATTATTCCATTTTTTCTCTCTTTTAGCTTGTTATCCATTATTTTACTCTTCTTTTTGTGTGCTAGAGATTACAACATGCATGCTTGACTTGTTAAAGTACCATATAAAATTTTCAGACAATGCAAGAATCTTCAACACATTAATTCTATTTACCCTTCTCCCATCATTTGTGCTATTGTCGTATGCTATATTTCCTATATGCATTTAAAATTCCATAAAGCCTTATTTGTTTAGATCATTCCATATATTTACTCTTTCTATTATTTTTTATATCTATTCACATTTCTGTATTTTCCTTCTGCCTCACAAATTCCCTTTAATATTTTAATACAGGTCTTCTAGTGATAAATTCGCTAATACTTTTTTCTGCTTAATGATAAGTTTAGTTTGTCTTATTTTAAAATTTTCTGTCCAACTTTTATATGTTTGGGGGTATATTTGCAGGTTTGTTACATGAGTAAAATCACGTGTTGTAGGGGTGTGGTGTACAGATTATTGTGTCATTCAGATAATGGGCATAGTGCCCAACAGGTAGTTTTTCAATCCTCACCCCCTTCCCAACCTCCACCCTCAAGTAGACCCTGGTGTCTATTGTTCCTATCTTTGCATCAATGTGTACTCAGTGTTTAGCTCTCACTTGTAAGTGATAACATGCAATAATTGATTTTTCTGTTACTGTGTTAATTTGTTTAGGATAATGGCCTCCAGTTCCATCCGTGTTGCTGCAAAGGATATAATTTCATTATTTTTTATGGCTGCATAATATTTCATGGTATGTATGTACTATATTTTCTTTATCCAGTCCACTGTTGATGGGCATGTGTGTTGATACCATGTCTTCGCCATTGTGAATAGTGTTGTGGTGAGCACACATATGAACGTGTTTTTATGATAGAATGATTTATATTCTTTTGGGCACATACACAGTAATGGGAATGCTGGGTCAAATGGTAGCTCTGTTTTAAGTTCTTTGAGAAATCTCCAGACTGCTTTCTCCAGTGGCTGAACTAATTTACATTCCTACCAGCAATGTATAAGCATCCCATTTTCTCTCCAACCTCTTCAGCATCTGTTATTTTTTACTTTTTAACAGTAGCCATTCTGACTGGCATGAGATAGTATCTCACTGTAGTTTTAATTTGTACTTCTTGAATAATTAATGATGTTGAACATTTTTCCATATGCTTGTTGTTCATGCGTATGTGTTCTTTTGAGAAGTGTGTCTGTTTATATCCTTTGCCCATTTAAAAAATGTTATTTTCTGCTTGTTGATATAAGTTACTTATAGATTCTGTACATTAGACCTTTGTTGGATGCGTAGTTTGAATATATTTTCTACTATTCTGTAGGCTGTCTGTTTACTCTCTTCATAGTTTTTTCTTCTGTGCAGAAGCTCTTTAATTAGGTTTCACTTATCAATTTTTGATTTTGTTGCAATTATTTTTGTAGTCTTTGTCATGAAATCTTTGCCAGAGCCGATCTCCAGAATGCTATTTTCTAGGTTTTCTTCTACAGTTTTCATAGCGTGGGGTTTTACATCTAAGTATTTAGTTCATCTTGAGTTTATTTTTGGATATGGTGAAAGGAAGAGGTCCAAATTCCATCTTCTGCATATGGCTAACCAATTATCCTGGCACCATTTATTAAATAGAGAGTCATTTCCCCATTGCTTGTTATTGGTGGATTTGTGAAAGATCAGATGGTTGTAGATGTGTGGCTTTATTTCTGGGTTCTTTAACCTGTTCCATTGGTCTACATGTCTTTTTTTTTTTTTTTTTTTGGTACCAGTATCATGCTGTTTTGGTTACTATTACCTTGTAGTATAGTTTGAAGTCAGGTAGTGTGATGCCTCAAGCTTTGTTCTTTTTGCTTAGGATTGCTTTAGCTATTTGGGCTCTCTTTGGTTCTATATAAATTTTACAATGGTTTTTTAATTTTTTTATTATACTTTAATTTCTGGGTTAATGTGCAGAACATGCAGGTTTGTTACATAGATATAAACATGACCTGGTGGTTTGCTGCACCCATCAACCCGTCATCTGCATTAGGTATTTCTCCTAATGCTATCCCTCCCCTAGCCCCCCAGCCTCCGACAGGCCCTGGTGTGTGATGTTTCCCTCCCTGTGTCCATATGTTCTCATTGTTCAACTCCCACTTATGAGTGAGAACATGCGGTGTTTGGTTTTCTGTTCCTGTGTTAGTTTGCTGAGAATGATGGTTTCCAGCTTCATCCATGTTCCCACAAAAGACATGAACTCATCCTTTTTTATGGCTGCATTCTATTTCATGGTGTATATGTGCCACATTTTCTTAATCCAGTCTATCATGGATGGGCATTTGGGTTGGTTCCAAGTCTTTGCTATTGTGACTAGTGCTGCAATAAACATATGTGTGCATGTGTCTTAATAGTAGAATGATTTATAATCCTTTGGGTATATACCCAGTAATGGGATTGCTGGGTCAAATGGTATTTCTAGTTCTAGATCCTTGAGGAATCACCAGACTGTCTTCCACAATGGCTCAACTAATTTACACTTGCACCAACAGTGTAAAAGCATTCCTATTAAAAAAAAAAAAAGCATTCCTATTTCTCTACATCCTCTCCAGCATCTGTTGTTTCCTGACTTTTTAATGATCACCATTTTAACTGGTGTGAGATGGTATCTCATTGTGGTTTTGATTTGCATTTCTCTAATGACCAGTGATGAAGAGCTTTTCTTCATATGTTTGTTGGCTGCATAAATGTCTTCTTTTGAGAAGTGTCTGTTCATATCCTTTGCCCACTTTTTGATGGGTTTGTTTTTTTTCTTGTAAACTTGTTTAAGTTCTTTGTAGATTCTGGATATTAGCCTTTTGTCAGATGGATAGATTGCAAAAATTTTCTCCCTTCTGTAGGTTACCTGTTCACTCTGATGACAGTTTCTTTTGCTGTGCAGAAGCTCTTTAGTTTAATCAGATTCCATTTGTCAATTTTGGCTGTTGTTGCCATTGCTTTTGGTGTTTTAGCCATGAAGTCTTTGCCCTTGCCTATGTCCTGAATTCTATTGCCTAGGTTTTCTTCTGTGGTTTTTATGGTTTTAGGTCTTACTTTTAAGTCTTTAATCCATCTTGAGTTAATTTTTGTATAAGGTGTAAGGAAGAGATCCAGTTTCAGCTTTCTGCATATGGCTTGCCAGTTTTCCCCACTTATTAAATAGGGAATCCTTTCCCCATTGCTTGTTTCTGTGAAAAAATGTCATCAGTAGTTTCATAGGAATACCATTGAATCTGTAAACTGCTTTGGAGAGAATGGCCATTTTAAGAATTTTGATTCTTCCTATTCATAAGCAGGGAAAATTTCCCATTTGTTTGTGTCCTCTGATTTCTTTGACCATTCTTGTTGTACATATCCTTTACTTCTTGTTGTAATTCTTGTTGTAGATATCCTTTACTTCCCGGTTAGCTATATTCCTTGGTATATATGTTGTAATTCTTGTTAATTTCCTTGTTGTAATTCTTGTAATATTCCTTGGTATATATGTTGTAATTCTTGTTATAGATATCCTTTACATCCTGGTTAGCTATATTCCTTGGTATTTTATTCCTTATGTGGCTATTGCAAATGGGATTGCATTCTTGATTTGGTTCTTGGCTTGGGTGGTATTGGTGTGTAGAAACACTACTGACTTTTGCCCATTGATATTGTATGTTGAAACTTTGCTGAAGTTGTTTGTAGGATTCAGGAGCCTTTGGGCAGTGACCATGGGGTTTTCTGGGTATAAAATCATATCATAAGTGAAGAGACATAGTTTAACTTTCTCTCCTCCTATTTGGATGCCATTTATTTCTTTCCCTTGCCAAATTGCTCTGGCTAGTACTTCCACTACTGTGTTGAATAGGAATGGTGAGAGTGGGCATCCTTTTCTTGTTCAGGCTCTCAAGAATAATCTTGTTTATTCTTTCAAAGAACCTACTTTTGGTTTCCTTGATCTTTTTTATGACGTTCTTCATCTCCATTTTGTTCAGTACAGCTCTGATTTTGGTTATTTCCTTTCTTCAGTTAGCTTTGGGGTTAGTTTGCTCTTGTTTTTTAAGTTTATCTAGGCATGATGTTAGGTTGTCAATTTGAGAACTTTCTAACTTTTTCTTGTGGGTGTTTAGTGCTATAACCTTTCCTCTTGATTTCTGCCTTAATTTCATTGTTCACCCAAAAGTCGTTCAGGAACAAGATTGTTTAATTTCCATGTAATCATATGGTTTTGAGGGATCTTCTTGGTATTAGTTAGAATGATTTCCATTTCTTAAAACTTGAGAATTGTTTTATGACCCAGTATGTGGTCCATTTTAGAGTATGTACCATGTGCAGATGAGAAGAATATATATACTGCTGTTATTGGGTGGAGTGTTCTGTGGCTGTCTGTTAAGTCCATTTGGTTAAATGTGGAGTTCAGGTCCTGAATATCTTTGTTAGTTTTCTGCCTCAATGATCTGTCTAATACTGTCAGTGGGATGTTGAAGCCTCCAACTGTTGTTATGTGGTTATTTAAATCTTTTCATAAGTCACTAAGAACTCGTTTTATGAATCTGAGTGTTCCAGATGCATATATATGTTTTTATATATTTAGGATAATTAGGTCTTCTTGTTGATTGAACCCTTTATCATTATGTAATGCCCTTGTCATTTTTTATTGTTTTTGGTTTAAAGTCTGTTTTGTCTGAAATAAGATTAGCAACCTTTGCTCACTTTTGTTTTCTGTTGGTTTGATAGATCTTTCTCCATCACTTAGAGTCTATGGATGTAATTGCATATGAGATGGATCTCTTGAAGACAGCATACAGTTGGGTCTGGTTTCTTTATCCAACTTGCCACTCTTTCAAGTGGGAGCATTTAGCCCAGTTACATTCAAGGTTAATATCAATGTGTGAATTTGATCCTGTCATGGTGGTATTGGCTGGTTCTTATGCAGACTTAATTGTAAAGTTGCTTTATGGCATCAATAGTCTATGTACTTAAGTGTGTTTTTGTAGTGGCTGGTAATGGTTTTCCATTTCCATTGTTAGCACTCCCTTTGGAACCTCTTGTTAGGCAAGTCTGCTGGTAATGAATTCTTTTAGCATTTGCTTGTCTGAAAAAGATTTTATTTCTCCTTCACATATGATGCTTAGTTTGGCTAGATATAAAATTCTTGGTTGGAGAATTTTTATTATCCTTTTTTTTTTCTCTAAGGATGCTGAATATAGGCTCCCAATCTCTTCTGGCTTGTAGGGTTAATGCTGAACGGTCCCCTATTAGCCTGATGGAGTTTCATTTGTAGGTGACCCACTCCTTCTTGCTAGCTACCTTTAATATTTTTTCTTTCATGCTGACCTTGGAGAATCTGATGACTCTCTGTCTTCACCATGGTCCTTTTGTATAATATTTCACAGGGGTTCTCTGAATTTCCTGTATTTGAATGTTGACCTCTCTGGTGAGGTTGGGGGAATTGTCATGGACAATATCCTCAAATATGTTTTCTATGTTTCTTGCTCTCTCTCCTGCTTTCTCAGGGACCCTAATGAGTCATAGGCTTGGTCTCTTTACATAATCTCATATTTCTTTGAAGTTTTCTTCATTTTTAAAAATTCTTTTTTCATTATTGTTGTCTGACTGAGTTCATTCAAAAAGCCGGTTCGAGCTCTGAGATTCTTTCCTCATCTTGTCCTATTCTGCAGTTAATACTTCTGATGGTGTTATGAAATTATTGTAGTAAGTTATTTAGCTCAAGATCAATTTGGTTCTTTCTTAAAATAATCATTTCATGTTACATCCCTTGAATTGTTTTGCTGAATTCCTAAGATTCCTTGTATCAGATTTCTACTTTTTCATAGACTCTATTTGACTTTCATTGGTAAACAGATTCTGATTTATATGTCTGTTACTTCATTCATTTCATTCTGTTTAAGAACCATTGCTGGGGAGCTAGTGCAGCTGTTTGGAGGTAATAAGACACTCTGGCTTTTAGAGCTGCTAGAGTTCTTGCACTTTTTTTTCTCATCTGTGTGGGCTGATATTCCTTTAACTGTTGTGTAATTTGAGTATTGTTAGTCGGCTTCCTTTCTGAATGTTTTTAGAAGGCCAAGACTTTGTGCAGTGTCTTTATTTGTGGCTGAATTCTTGCCCTTGATTTTATAGAGGGTTATATTATTATAGCAAAGTATTTTTGGTGTTGTAGTTTGGGCTGCAATACTGCAGATGGCACTCAAGTGTAATGTTCAGTATAGGCTCTTATCCTGCTGGTGAAGAACAATGGGGTTAGGGCTTACAGGGAAGATTGACTGGCTTCTTCTCCATAGACTGTCTGTGGCATGATGGAGGTGCCGGTAAAGCACCCAGGCTCTTAGTTTCTTTCCCAATCTCGTGCAGTCAGTGCCCTGTATCAGTTCCCAGAGGCAACTGACAGCCTCTCTGCCACTGTTGCTGCAGCCGTACCTGTCCCAGCAAGGTATGGGTACTGCTTCAGTGGCAGTGGCAGAGGGGCTATCAGTTTAGCTGGGAGTGGGACAGCTACTCTGTGGGCCCAAGCTGAGGGCTCTGACTGGTAAAGAGCATGGGGAGTGGAGGCTCATGTGGAAGACAGTCTAGCCTCCTCCCTGTAGGACAGCTGTGGTATGCTGGAGGTGTGAGTAAAGCACTCAGGCTCTTTGTTCCTTCCCCAGACTAATGGCAGCAAGGGAGGGTACTGCTACAAAGCTTTGGCAGAGAGCCTGTGGATTGTCTCCGGGAAGTCCAGCCCAGAGAAATGCAGAGCCACACCTGGCTGAAGTGATCCACTTGTTAATTACTGGTGTATAAGAAAGTGATTGACTTTTGTATTCTGTGATCTTGCTGTAATCGTTTATTAGTCCCAGGAAGAGTATGTATGTGTGTGTGTGTGCGTGTGTGTGTGTGTGTGTGTGTGTGTGTGAATTCTTTGATTGTCTATTGTCTACCTAGACAATTATGCAAACAAAGACAGTTTTATTTCTTCCTTCCCAATCTGGATAATTTTATTTCTTTTTCTTATCTTATTGCATTAGTTAGGAATTCCAGTACAATGTTTAAAAGCAGCAGTGAGAGGAGACATGTTTGCTTTATTCCTGATATTAGTGGGAAGACTTCACATTTCTCACCATTAAGTATGATGTTAGCTGTAGGGTTTTTTTTATAGGTAATCTTTATCAGGTTGAGTAAGTTTCCCTCCATTTCTAGTTTACTGGAGTTTTATTTTTTATTATGAATGGATATTGCATTTTATCCAGTGTTTTTATCTGAATCTATTGATGTGATCATGTGGTTTTTCTTTGTTAGCATGTTGATGTGATGGATTACATCACATCAATTAATTGACTTTTGAAAGTTGAACAAGCCTTGCATACCTGGAATAAATCCCACTTGGTCATGGTGTATAATTTCTATTATACATTGTTGGATTTTATTTGCTAATGTTTTGTTGATATTTTTTGCATTTATGTTCATGAAAGATATTGCATAGTTTCTCTTTCTTGGAATGTCTTTATTTGGTTTTGATGTTATGGTAGTCCTAGCCTTACAGAATGAGTTAGAAAGTATTCCCTCTGCTTTTATATTTTGAAAAAGACTGTAAAAAAATTGGTATAATTTCTTCCTTATATGTTTAGTAGAATTCACCAGAGAATCCATCTGAGCTTGCTTCTTTCTCTTTTGGAAAGTTATTACTTATTTATTAGTGTCTTTAATAAACATAGGACAATTCAGATTATTTCTTCTTGTGTGAGCTTTGGCAAGTTGTGTCTTTAAAGGAATTGGTCCATCTAGGTTATCAAATGTGTGAACATAGAGGTGTTCATAGCATTCCTTTATTATTCTTTTAATGTTCATGGTATCTGTAGTGGTATTCCTTCTTAGTTAGCCTTGCTAGAGGCTTATCAATTATAGTTAATCTTTTCAAAAAACCAGCCTCTGATTTTGTTAATTTCTTCTACTGATTTTCTGTTTTCAAGTATTAATCTATGTTCTAATTCTTATCATTTCTTTTGCTTCATTTGAATTTAATTTGCCCTTCTTTTTCTTGTTTTCTAAAGTGGAAGCTTAGATTATTGATTTTAGATCTTTCTTCTTTTGTAATATATGAATTAAATGCTATAACTATCTCTTAAGCACTACTTTCACTGAAATCCACAAGTATTAATAAATTGTGTTTTTTATTTAGCTCAAAATATTGTGTAATATCTTTCCAAATTCTTTCGTCCATGTTGTTACAAATGTATTTTTTTAGTTTTAAACTTTTTTTCTGTTATTAATTTCTAGTTTAGTCTCATTGTGGTCTGAGAGCAGACATTATATCATTTCTATTCTTTTAAATTTGTTAAAATGTATTTTATGGCTCAGAATGTGGTCTGTCTTGGCAAATGTTCCATGTCAGCACGACAAAAATGTGTATTCTGATGTTGTTGAATGAAGTAGTACAGATCTTCATTATATTCATTTGATTGATGGGGTTGTTGAATTCAGTTATACCTTTACTGATTTTCTGCCTGTTAAATCTGTACATTTCTGATAGAGGTGTGTTAAGTCTCCAACTGTGATTGTGGATTCATCTCTTATTTCTTGCAGTTTTCTCAGGCTTTCCCTCGTATAATTTGATGCTGCTGTTAGGCACATACATGTTGAAGATTGTTGTCTTTCAGATAATTGATCCCTTTATAGTTATGTAATGCTCTTTCTTATTCCTGATAACTTCCTTGCATTAAAATCTGCTCTTTTTGAAATTTATACAGCTACTCCACTTTTGTTTTCATTCGTGTTAGCATGGTATATTTTCTCCATCTATTTACTTTTGATATATATGTATTTTTATATTTAAACTGAGTTTCTTGCAGACAACATCTAGTTGTGTCTTGTTTTCTTGATGTGCTCTGACAATTTCTGTCTTGCAGTTGATGCATTTTGACCATTGATGTTCAAAGTGATTATGTAGTTGGATTACTATCTACCATATTTGCTACTGTTTTCTACTTGTTGCCTTTGTTCTTTGGTCCAGTTTTTATTTTCCACTCTTTTTCTGCCTTTTGTGATTTCTATTGAACATTTTATATAATTTTCTCTTCTTTCTTAGCATATCAATTCGACTTCTTTTCAATGTTTCTCCTGGCTGTCCTAGAGTTTGCAATATACATTTATAACTAATCCATGTCTACTTTCAAATAACACTATATCACTTCACAGGAAGTGTGAGCACCTTATAAACACAAAATATTTCTAATTTCCTCTGCCATTCCTTCTATCACCACTTATACATAGTATACGTAAACATATATATGGTATATACATAAGTATACATAATTGAACATATTGTCAGTATTATTACTTTAAACAAATGGTTATCTGTTAGATCAATTAAAATAAGGGAAAAAAACTTTTTTATTTTGCCTTCACTTATTCCTACTTCAATGATCTTCCTTTCTTTACATACATCTGAGTTTCTGACCTATATTATTTTCCTTCCATCCCAAGGAATTATTTTAACATTTCTTGCAAGGCAGATCTGCCTCCTCAGTTTTTGTCTGCGAAAGACTTCATTACTCATTCAACTTTGAAAGACAATTCACAGGGTACAGAATTCTAGGTTGGTAGGGGATGAAAATCAGCAGTTTATTTAGCTCCACTCTCTTCCAGTATGCCTGGTTTCTGAGAAGTTGGTTGTAGTTCTTATCTTTGTCCCTCTATAGATAAGTACAATGTAGGTAATGTGTTGTTTCCCTCTGCTTCTTTCAGAATTTTATGTTTGATTTTCTGTAGTTTGGAAATAGCATGCCTAGACATAGGCTTTTGTTTTGCTTTGGTTTTTGCATTTATCCTGCTTGCTGTTTTCTAGGTTTCCTGGCTGTGTGATTTGGTGTTGAACATTACTTTGGGGAAATACTTGGTCATTATTATTTCACATATTTCTTCTGTTTCTTTCGTCTGGTATTTCCATTACATGTGTATTACACTTTTTTTTTTTGAGACGGAGTCTGGCTCCTGTCGCCCAGGCCTGAGTGTAGTGGCGCGATCTCTGCTCACTGCAAGCTCTGCCTCCTGAGTTCACGCCATTTGCCTGCCTCAGCCTCCCGAGTAGCTGGGACTACAGGTGCCCGCCACCACGCCCGGCTTTTTATTTATTTATTTATTTATTTATTTATTTATTTATTTTGTATTTTTAGTAGAGACGGGGTTTTGCCATGTTAGCCAGGATGATCTCTATCTCCTGACCTCGTGATGTGCCCGCCTCGGCCTCCCAAAATGTTGGGATTACAGGCATGAGCCACTGCGCCCGGCTGTATATTACACTTTTTTGTAGTTGTGCCACAGTCCTTGGATATTCTTTTGTTTTTTCAAGTCTTTGTTCTCATTTCTTTTCATTTTTGGAAGTTTCTGTTGATATATCCTCAAGCTCAGAGATATTTTCTTCAGCCATACCTAGTCTATTGTAAACCCATCAAGGACATTATTCTTTCAGTTACAGTGTTTTTTATTTCTAGCATTTTTTTTAGAATGTTTATCTCTGTGTTTACATTGCCCACCTATTCTTGCATTCTGTCTACTTTATTCATTAGGGAACTTAGCATATTAACTATAGTTGTTTTAAATTTTCTTTCTAATAATTCCAGCATCCTTGCCATATCTGATTCTGGTTTTAATGCTTCTTTTGCCTCTTCTACTTGTGGATTTTTTTTTTTGCCTTTAGTATGTTTTGTAATATTTTCTTGATAACCAGATATGATGGACCAGGTAAAAGGAACTGCTTTGTATGGGCTTTTAGTAATGTGTTGCTAAGGTTTAGGGGCAGGGGAAAACATTCTATAGACCCATGCTTGCTTAGGTCTCAATCTTTAAGTGAGCCTGTGTTCCTGGACTGTGAACTACACAAGTGCTTCTCAGTTTCTCCCCTATCCCTTTAGGGAGACAGGACAACTAGAGTAGGCTGGAATTGGGTATTTCCTTTTCTGAGGTCAATTAGTTTCTGATAATATCCCAGCAAGTTAGGCTCTGGTTCTGGAGTTTCTTCTGGGGTCAGGTCTGGTTAAGAAGAGCATAGTTCTCTAGCATATTGCAAAATAATTCTTTCTTCTTGCCTTCCTCTCCCCTTCCCTACCAAAAGCATGAGGAAATTTTTGTCTGATGTTTGCTGTAAGAACTTGGTGAACTCCTCAAGGTAAAAGCCACAAAAGTGTGACAGCTCCCATTTGACTGAATCCCCCTTGGAGTTTTTAACTCTCAGGCTTGCATGCACAGGCATTTTTAAACAAAAGAAGTCAGTTCTCTGTTTTATTTTTCCTCCTTTAAGAGTAGTATGTCTTTATCACTCTGGCTGTTTTTAGATCTTTCTTTGTCTTTGGCTTTTAGCTATTGGCCCCTGATATACTACCTATGTTTTTGTTTTTGCTTTTAATTCTGCTTAGGTTTGACGGCGCTCCTTTGAATCTGTGGTTTAAGTGCTTTTGATAATCTTGGAAATTAATTGGCCAAAATTTTACCTATTAAAGCTTTTAGCCCCTCCCTTTCTCACTCTCCTCTTCTTCTGTAATATTTTTACACAGCTATTAGACCTTCTTTTTACCATGTTTCATAGGTACTTTTTGTATTTATTAATCCATTCATTTTTTCTATGTTTCACTCTGGATATTTTATATCATCCTATCTTTCAGTTTACTAATAGTGTTTCATTGTCTCATTTACTGTTACACACATATATCGGTTTTGTTTTTTTGGTTGTTTGTTGCTTTTTTGTTGGGGTTGTTGTTGTTGTTTGAGATGGAGTTTTGCTCTTGTTGCCCAGGCTGGAGTGCAATGGTGGAATCTCGGCCTATTGCAACCTCCGCCTTCCAGGTTCAAGCAATCCTCCTGCCTCAGCCTCCTGGGTAGCTAGGATTAAGACATGTGCCGCCATGCCCGGCTAATTTTTTTTTGTATTTTTAGCAGAGATGGGGTTTCTCCATGTTTGTCAGACTGGTCTCGAACTCCCAACCTCAGGTGATCCGCCTGCCTCGGCCTCCCAAAGTGCTGGGATTAGAAGCATGAGCTACCGCGCTCGGCTATGTTGGGTTCTTGACTTTATTATGTTAGAATTTCTCTGGTTAAATTATCCACCTCATCATTTATTTTCTTGAATATATTTATCTTTTTCTATGTCCGTGTCTAATGGTTCCAACATATGGGACATCTGTGTGTAAAAAAATGGGGCATTACTTTGAAGCTCTTTCTGAGATCTTTTTAGAGGAATTTTCTTTTTCTTTCTATTGGGTACTTCTGAAGTATAGTCTTCAGGAGAACTATAGTTGACCCTTGACCAACATGGGGGATAGGGAAGCCATCCCCTCATGCAATCACTCTTTGACCCCAGAAATCCCATTACTGGGTATATACCCAAAAGATTATAAATCATGCTACTATAAAGACACATGCACATGTATGTTTATTGCAGCACTATTCACAATAGCAAAGACTTGGAACCAACCCAAATGCCCATCAGTGATAGACTGGATAAAGAAAATGTGGCATATATACACTATGGAATACTATGCAGCCATAAAAAAGGATGAGTTCACATCCTTTGCAGGGACATGGATGAAGCTGGAAACCATCATTCTCAGCAAACTAACACAGGAACAGAAAACCAAACATCACAAGTTCTCACTCATAAGTGGGAGTTGAACAATGTGAACACATGGACTCAGGGAGGGGAACATCACACACCAGGGCCTGTCAGGGTGTGGGGGTGCTAGAGGAAGAATAGCATTGGGAGAAATACCTGGTGTAGATGACAGATTGATGGGTGCAGCAAACCACCATGGCACGTGTATACCTATGTAACAAATCTGCCTATTCTGCACATGTATCCCAGAACTTAAAGTATAATAAAAAATTGCATATAACTTTTGACTCCTCAAATACTTAACTACTAATAGCCTTCTGTTGACTGGAAGCCTTACCAATAATATAAGCGGTCTAGTAACACATATTTTATATATTATGTGTATGATATCTGCATTCTTACAATAAGCTAAAGAAAAGAAAATGTTATTCAGAAAATCACAAGGGAGATAAATTATACTTATTAGTCATTAAGTGAAAGTGGATCATCAAAAGGGTTTTCATTCTCATGGTCTTCACATTGAGTAGGCTGAAGAAGAGCAGGGATTGATCTTGCCATCTCAGGAGTGGCAGAGGTGGCAGAGATGGAGAAGGTAGAGAGGAGGAAGGAGAGGCAGGCACACTTGGTGGAACTTAATGGAAATGCATCATAATTTCAGACATTTTGCTTGTTTCTTTTCTCTAAAAATATTTCTATACAGTACCAATACTTCTTCCACTATTTGCATTACTTTCATTGCCTGTATCATAGAAGGGTCCATGTCATAAAAGAAGTCAAAAGCAGTTTTGAATAATTGGAATCCTTCTGTCAAGTTTTCTAATGTCAATTTGTTTTCTGGCACTGCTTCTTCTGTCTTCTTTTTCATAGTTTGGCATGGTTTAGAAGCACTCATCTTTATCAAGTCATATTCTGTTAATTCCTCTGCTGTGGTGCCTATTACCACTTGAATTTCTCTAAGATTCACAAAATCTTTAAACACTTCACCCCCTACCTTTTTTTGCCATATCTATAATTTCTTTCGTGATTTTCTTGATTGGCTCTGTTATAAATCCTGTGAAGCCATGCACATATAGACACAGTTTTCTTCAGCAGGAATGTATTATTTTGAGCTTGATGGTTTTCATGGATTTTTCTATAACAAGGATGGCATAATCAATGGTGTAATCCTGTTAGACTTATGTAACATTCTAACTATCAGGTTTCTCTGTCATAGCATTGACAATCTTTTCCATAGAGTAGCATGTATAATGAGCCTTAAGGGTTCCTATGACCCCAATCTAGAGGATGAATTAAAGATGTTGTGTTTGGAGGCAAGTGGACCACTTTGACACCTTCAGTATTAAACTCACAGGGCTCTGGATGAGCAGGGGTATGGTCCAATATCAAAAGAACTGGAAAAGGCAGTCCCTTACTGGCAAGGTACTTCCTGACTTCAAGGACAAAACATTGATGAAACCAATCCAGAAAAGGGGATCCTGCTGTCCAGGCTATCTTGTTGTATAATCAGAAGACTGGAAGCAGGTGCTTATCTTTTCCCTTTATTGGCCTAAAGAAGGAAACCGAAGCACAAATACAACTTCAAACTTCAACTAAAATGGGACAAGCTTCCCAGAAGACTCACACCCAAGCAACCTTGGATATGTGCTCCATGTAGCCTTTGTTACAGTAGGTTTTTAAGGGCAAACAAGGGAGACAAGGAGTGGGCTAATACAAAGTTGTTTGTCAGGAATTCTTCATGGGTTCACAAAAATAGCATTTATTAGTGACTGTTGTACATTTTTTAACCATAGGGTATGATTTATGGTGTCCAGTATGTGGGATTGTTAGGTTAGTTTATAGCTATTTGTGTCATCAGTCAGTCTAGAGTCCACATAGCATGCAGCTTCAAGTAATGATTATGTAGCTCAAGGGGGAAGTTGGACACAGTTGGTGTCTCATTCCTATGCCTCCCTAGGCCTGATAATTTAGAGGAGATTCATATTCCTCAGATAAAATGTTTATTTTCTTTTTTACCTTCAAGGTTCAGCGGATAGCAGTTTTATAGGTAACGGCAATCCTGATCATAAACCTGACTGAACTTGCATAAAACAGTAGAATTAGCCTATCCCTTCCTGCTTTAAATCCCAGTGCTCGCTTCTCTTCCTTACTAATAAATTTCTTTTGTGGATTTTCTGGAATAGGGCACTTTCATCTGCATTAAGAACTTGGTCAGGCAGATAGCCTTTCCCCTCAATGATTTTCTTAATGGCATTTAAGAACTCATCTGCTGTCTGTTGGTCAGCAGAAGCTCCTCCTGTTATCTTGACATTTTAAAAGTCAAACCTCTTTCTAAAATTATCAAACCATCCTTTGCTGGCATTAAATTTTCCAGCTTTAGATCCTTCATCTTCTTTTTGCTTTAAGTTGTCACATATAATGACTTTGCTTTTTCTCAAATCATATTAGAGTTTATATGTATGCCTTTCCTATAATGCAACCCTGCACCCATATAAAGCTGCATTTTCAATACAGATACAAGATAATACAAGATAAATAGGCACTTCACAACAAGGGCAAGGATTTTGTGCCTGCTAGCATAGCTGCAGCAACAGCTTCATGAATTTCCTTCCTTTTTTATTTTTTGACAGTGGTCCTTACACTGGATTCATTTATCCTGAAATGGTGGGCAATCACAGCTTTAGACCCCGATCTGTGGTACGTATCAAGTGACCCAAACTTTTCTTGTAATGCCATGACTTTTCTATGCTTCTTGGGAGCACTTCCAGCACTACTAGTGGCACTTTGTATGAGTCCCATAGTATTATTTAAGGTTTATGGTATTGCAAGAAACACAACAAAAATGTCCACATAAATCATGAGAGATCACTTTTTACTGTGATAAGAAATTTACGGCCGGGCGTGGTAGCTCACGCCTGTAATCCCAGCACTTTGGGAGGCCGAGGCGGGCGGATCACGAGGTCAGGAGATTGAGACCATCCTGGCTAACATGCTGAAACCCCGTCTCTACTAAAAATACAAAAAAATTAGCCGGGCATGGTGGTGGGCGCCTGTAGTCCCAGCTACTCGGGAGGCTGAGGCAGGAGAATGGCGTGAACCTGGGAGGCGGAGCTTGCAGTGAGCCGAGATCGCACCACTGCACTCCAGCCTGGGCGACAGAGCGAGACTCCGTCTCAAAAAAAAAAAAAAAAAAAAAAAAAATTTACTAGAGAGACAAACTGCGCACATGGAGATGATTAGTATGGCATGGCATTTTAAATGGAGACTTGGATACTCACAACAGGAGCTCACTGCAATTGCAAAAGAAGGTAGCTACAAAGTTATTATAGTAGTACAGTATTACTCCAGTTAATTTTATGCAGTTATCACTTACTACTGTATCTTTATATTTATTTACATTTCTCTAGACTGCAAATGACACTGTGTATAGTGATTGTGTGCATAAGTTTTGATAAATTTTAACTTTTTATGCTAGATTTGTATATATCTTCTGGTAGTAAAGGACAAAATAGATTAGTATCTACATATATTTTATGTATTCTTGACATACCTAACTTTATTTTTCAAAGCTGCATGGTTCATCTGCAAGTTATTTCCAATTGTTGCAAATCTCCAAAATATTTTCAGTGTATTTATTGAAAAAATATCTGTGTAAAAGTGGACCCATACAGTTCAAACCTATGTTGTTCAAGGGTCAACTGTAATTGGAATTCTAAGGTCTTTAGTAGGACTGTTTTTCCTTGGCTGTCTCTGATTCCTAATTGTCGTCTCCCCAATATATAAGATAACTTAAGCTCATCTGAGCTTCTCAGACTCTTAGCTGTCACTTTATGTTTACTTTCTCAGTGTTTTAGCCCTACAAGTTCTGTAAGTTAGCAAACACCTCAAAGGGGACAATGCCATGGAATGTTAAGCTTAAGAATATAAGACTAACCTCATTTTGCTTCTTTATTGCTCCAGAAAGTTTCAGTTTCTCTTTGATGCCCTCAAACATTTGTGTGTGTGTGTGTGTGTGTGTGTGTGGTGGTGGTGGTGGTGGTGGTAGAGATAGTGGAACAGGGGTGGGGGTATTTTATCCAGCCTTCCTGGTAGCTTTCTATTGCCAGATTTATCTATACCAATCTATGCCACCATTCCTGGCAGTAGATAACTCCTAGCTTGGTTTCTAAGAGTGATTTTCCTCATTTGCCTTCAAAAATACTCATTGTCTGCTTCATAAAATTAGATGGATCTGGATATGCACATAGTTACTAATGGGACAATGCTGATATTTCATAACTTCTCATTACAAGGCCAGAACAAGCTCTCACTCAGTACTTCTACACTTTTAAATCAACAGGTGTCCTTGGTAATAAACGAGAATTGATGAAAAATCACCGTGAGAATTTATATTCATCTTTAATGGCTTAATTAAGCAGCATTTTAAATTGCCATTCAATGCCACTAGTTCTTGATTTCATATGCTACACTTGGCCAGGAAGAGGATAGATCACTGAAAATCACAGATAATCCAACATTTCTTTTGGGTCACTAGTTTCAAGCTTTCTCTCCAAACTTTCTTTACTCTTAACCAGAAATTTTACTGTATATAATATATTCATGTTCCAGGGAATACATAAACACATACAGAAATTCCCAAAGACTAATGGGAGAGCAAAAGTAAAAAAAGCAGGGACTGTAAAAAAACTACAAATGAAACATTATCTCTAGTGTAAAGAAGAATTTTTTAAATTGGCAATTATGTGCCAGGAACTTAAGATATATTTTAAATCCTTTCAGCAGCCCTGTGAGGAAGGCATTATATCCATTTACATATTAGAAAACCTACACAGTGAGGTTAAGAAACTTCATTAGAGGCATCTAGCCAGTGGGTGGCATTCCTAGGTAAAACAAGTAAAGAACTTCCTATGATTAGTAGGAAGAGTACAACCATTTCTTTTTATTCCCTTTGGAAAAAAAGTCAAGAAGATCATCTATCAAGGGTTTGAGCAGATTAAAAAGGCAGCCTTTCAACACTGATTTTTTAACTTTATTTGTGGGTGAAATTTTTATTGAGATAATTTTAGTTTCACACGAAGCTGTGAGAAATACCAACGGGGAGATCCCATGTACTCTTTACCTATTTTCCTCTGATGGGATCATCTTACAAAATTATGTTACAATATCACAGCTAGGTTAATGAGAATATACTCGTTTTATTCATATTGCTTGTGCTCACTTGTGCTTTACTTGTGTGTGTGTGATTTAGTTCTGTTTACTTGTATTACATGTGTAGGTTCATATATCCACCACTACAGGTGAAATACAGAACAGTTCCATCACCCCAAGTATCCCTCCTGTGACTCTGTTATAACCACACAAACCTCTTTTCTACTTTCCCTCCCAGATCCCTAACCCCTGACAACATCTGATATGTTCTCTGTTGCTAAAATTTTATCATTTCAAAAATGTTACATAAGTGAAATCATATTGTATATAGCCTTTTGGCACAGGCTTTTTTTCTCAGTGTAATTTCCTGGAAATTCATCCTAGTTGTTGCATATATCAATAGTTTGTTTCTTTTTATTGCTGAGTAGTATTCTATTTAAGGATTTCCCACAGTTTGTTTAACCATTCACCCATTTAAGGATATCTGGGCTGCTCCCAGCTTTTGACTTTCATAAATAAAACTGCTGCTGATATTCTTGTATAGGTTTTTATATCAACATAAGTTCATTTTTCTGGAATAATGCCCAATAGTGCATTCATTGGGCCATACAGTAAACTATATGTTAGTTTTATAAGAAACTGCCAAACTGTTTTCCGGAATGGCTGTATCATTTTACATTCCCTCAGAAATGTATGAGAGATTTAGTGTCTCCATATCTTTACCAACATTTGGTGGTGTCACTGTTTTTATTTTAGTTATTCTGTCAGGTGTGTGGTAGTATCTTAGTATGGCTTAAAGTTGCATTTGCCTGATAGCTAATAATGTTGTTTTTTTTTTCATGCTTTTTGTACTTATTTTCATTCTTCTGGGGTTTGCATTATTAGTGATTAAAATAATAAAAATGAACTTGATTAAAAAAATCCATCCTCATCTTCTCTCTTCCATTGAGATTGTAGTTCCTCTTGACTAAATTTCTAATCCCAACCCCAGGGAATCATCACTAAATTTTCTTATTCAAAACATCACTAAATTTTCCTATTCAAAACTGTAATTATCATAAATATGCTATAATGGATATTGCATTTATATCTTTCTTTTGAAAACCCTTCTAATATGATGAATTTCAAACATACAGTAAAGAAGAGCATAATTAACTTTCATGTACCTGTCACCCCCAGCTTTACCCAAATTTTGCCAATATTACTTCATCGATTTTTCTATAATTGTCATTATCATCATTACTTGACAGAGTATTTTTAAGCAAATCTTCATGTCCGATCATTTCACCCACAAATTAATACTTTTCCTGACAAGGTCAAGTCATGAGATTCCCGAGATTAAGGGACATAAGTTGGTTGTGGAGTAAAGTTTCAACATGCTTTCTATTTTTATTATTAAATTAGTGCTTACAAACTATGACCTATTTGGCAGATGAACTTCTTATGCTGTTTTAGTAATTTTTTAAAACATATTTGCTCTTTTTCTGGACTGGACTTATAGGTTGTATACATATTGGTAGATTGATAGATCTTTTTGTGCTATGGTCTTGTTAAATGAAAAAAAAAATTTCCTTATTAATTGGATAGCCATTATTGAGATAAACAAATGGATGTATTCCAGGTATAGAACAGGTTTGTAAATGATTTTATGTTTTCATTTTTCCCTTCTAACAATATAAAGTAGTTTTATGTTTATGCCAGAGTTAACTTTTATAAATATGTTCGACTTTAACACCAGCTCAGATGTCCTTGGAATATTTCTGCTTCTCCATGATATTACAGATGACAATGAGGTCATTTCACAATTCCTTCTTCTCTGAAAAACACAGCTGGCTCAGTTTGGTTAGCAGCATTCTCATTGCTGCATTTCCTCAGTCACCAGAGTATTTCAATTGACCCCTTCAGGACAGATTGTATCTATGTAATATCCTTCCACGATAAAACATCTATAATCAAATGACTACAACAACCACTGAGTGGTATGGCTTTCACCCTGGGCCAGAATCATTCTATTTCATATCCTTTTAATAACTCTATTATTTCACTGAAACTGTAAAGTTCAGATTTTCTCAAATCAAGCACAAGTGATGTTTGATTTTTGTCCTCTAACCACTTTTACCAGAGTTCTGCCTTGTGGCTGAATTCTTTTTGTAATTTTTCACAGATGTTAAGTTACTTGATCTCCATATTGTTTTGAGGGATTTTTTTTTTTTTTGGTTGGTTGGTTGGTTGGTTTTTATTGTCAAGAGTCACTTTAGCTTTTTACACATGCTTTCACATTTTATTGAAGAACCTGTGGCAAATGTAAGGATGTGCTGAACAGAGGCAAGTAAGAAATATTAATATAACTTCAAGATCCTTTAAAATAACCTCTCATGGCACTCATACTTTTTCTTCATAAAAAGAAAACTCAACACAGTTATAAGTTAACTCTTAAGGGTGATTATGTGATTAAGAGCTATTTCTCTCCACTAGAATCTAAGCTCCATGAGGGTGAGACAATATGCTTTCTTATTGCCATATCCCTAGCATCTAGTACACTGCTGGCTCATAGCAGGTAATTATGTCAGTTAGCATCTTGCTGACTTCTGGCTCCAAATCCAGCTTTCGTTGCTTTGTCCAAGATAATACAGATGAAGCCTGCAAATATGACTTCTTTGCCAACTGGCACTATATTAAGCTTTGTCAATAGAAGGTGCTAGAGAGACACTGGAGGAGGAAGAGCTTTATCCTCCTAGTTCTGGTGTGCTTCTCTTTCCAGGGTCCTGCAGCACACATAGCTTCCCCAGTACCCAACAATCACAGCAAAACTGGCTTTTCCCATTCATGGCTCCTGCAGTATGTGGCAGCCTGTGGGACTCAGCAGCCAGCTACATCCCCCAGCAGGTGTCTGTGCAGTGGAATGCCCCAGATGAGACAGCTCCCTGTTAACAGACTTCCCTAGCACCTCTTCGGGTGGCTTTGTGGCACCAGGAGAAGCATGGCTGCATCTCTGTGACAGCTTCCTGTTGCACCCCAGAGGCAGATTTCGAGAAAGTTCTGTTGGCATAGCATCACATTGACTTCTCTGCCATCCAGTGAGCCACAGCCATGCACTTTTGAACAAGGTCTGGATCTCAGCCCTGGAGGCCTGTTCCTTGGATGCTCTATTTCAACTCAAAGTGTAGTGGTTGCTCCTTATAGCTGTTAATCTCGTGTTGCTTAGAATTTGCTTTACTTCTTACTAGTCAATTATGCATTCCTCCAATTTCCTGTTATAGTTAACAATTCTTTATTTTAAACTTTCCCTGTTCAACTCACCATGTACTTTCTGTCTCCTGATTGGACTCTGACTGATAAGAGTGCTTAATACATATCTCTTAAAAGGAAGAAAGAAAGGAGAGGGGGGAAAGAGATAGTGACAGAGAGAGACCTTAACTATCCCTGGTATCTCTGGGCCAGTTTTGCTTGTTTGCTGTTATTATTTGGAGTTAGAAATTTAAAAAGACAAACTGAATTTTGTCTAAATATGATCCTGTGCCACTGAATTATTTATTAGTTCATATTCTCTTCACTCACTCTTTCACTAAAAATTTATTGAGCATCTATTGTTTGCCAAGCATATACAAATAGGTGTTTTTGGATAATGAGAGAATTAATACGTTTATAAAGAGAATCCAGACTGTAAAGCCAGTAGAAATTTCCTTGAATGCCAGATTTTAGGAATGCTAGATTCCAGAACTGTCTCCAAATTAGACTACCCAACACCTCTCCTCTCTCTCCCTTTCTCTCTCTCCCCCTCAATTCCTACCAGTAAATAAATGAACATCATGGTGTATACCTTAAATATATGCAATAAAATTTAAAATAAATGAATGAATAAATAGGTCATTTAATTCCTGTTTCTTAAAATCTCATTGTCATGAAATGCTGGTTAGTGTCTAAATTAAATTCCACACCCTCTTCTTCTTCTTTCCCTTTGGGCCTGGGCATTCTTTAGTTATAAACAGCAGTTTTCTAAATTCTTGTTAAATCACTCTTTTAACGTCTCTTCTGCAAGTTAAATATTCCATGGCATTTTATTCTTTCTCCATAGTTGTATTATTTTTAATTATTTGTTTTCCTATGCTTTCTCCAATTTGATCACACTCATCCTAAATGGCATTGTTCACTTCAACAATCTCATATGGAGTTTCATACTACTGACTTAATAGAAGTAACTCCTCAGATGCATGGCCTTCTATACTTGCTTATATATTTGAGTATCTATACCATGTTAAATATCTTTAATTACAACATTAAAAATTTTTCTTTTTATTTTTTTTTTTGAGACAGGGTCTCACTTTGTCACCCATGCTGGAGTGCAGTGGTGCAATCTCAGCTCACTGTGGCCTTGACCTCCTGGACTCAAGCGATCCTCCCACCTCAACCCCTCAAGTAGCTGGGACTACAGGTGAGTGTCATCATGCCCAGCTAATTTTTTTGTATTTTTGGTAGAGATGAGGTTTCACCATGTCTTGCCCAACCTGGTTTCAAACTCCTGAGCTCAAGCTATCCACCTGCCTCGGCCTCCCAAAGTGCTGGGATTACAGGCATGAGCCACTGCACCCACCCCAGTATTCAAACTTTTTCACAGATAAACTTTTCTTTTTTTGAGTTGGAGTTTCACTCTTTTTGCCTAGGCTTGAGTGCAATGGCACGATCTCAGCTCACTGCAACCTCTGCCTCCCAGGTTCAAGCGATTCTCCTGCCTTAGCCTCCCAAGTAGCTGGGATTACAGGCATGACCCACGCCCAGCTAATTTTGTATTTTTAGTAGAGATGGGGTTTTGCCATGTTGGTAAGGCTGGTCTCAAACTCCTGACCTCAAGTGATCCACCTGCCTCAGCCTCCCAAAGTGCTGGGATTACAGGCAAAACTTTTATATACCTGAAACAGAAATTGTGTGTATAGAAAAGATGGGTGTGAGAGGAAAAGGTTAGGAGGACACAGAGACAAACCTGGAAGGCAAATCATGATGGAAAGTTTCCATAATGAACACTTGGATTGCTGGGGGAACCATTTTTAAGCACTTATTTACATACACACTAATATAATTACCAACTCTTATTTGTGAAAGAGGTCCTTAGGGATTATTTCCTATGCAATCAGTGCTGTATGTAATAGAATGTAATGACAAGATGTGTCTTTAAAATATTCGTAAATCAAACATTATGCCAATTCAGAAAGGCCTGAGAGGACTCCCTGCAATTCACTGATTTTAGCAAAGATAAACAATTTTCCACATTTTATCACCTCTGAAATTGAGATGCATCTCACAAATGGTGGCACACTACAATTGTCTTGGCACCCTTGGCCTCTGGTTGCACTACTGTTCCAGAGGGGGAGCTGAGGCAGGCACCAGCTCCCCACACCTCCACCCTTCTCCTGACCTGATCCCCACCCTGACCCTGTCCCTTTGACCATTTGACCCCTCTTGTCAGTGATAAACTCCTGGATTGCAAATGCACAGACTTCAAGACTGGTCAATTTTCTTGGGTCATTAACTGCTTGCAATGCCTATCAGCTGCACAAGGCATCCATTAATGACTCTTCTTTGCCTTAAACAGGCAGGGACTAATTGGTGAACTCATCTGGGACTGAGGAGAAGTCTAAAAAATCTTAGTATCTACACAATAAAATTTCTAAGTGATAAGAAAGTAAACAAAATCATAGTGCATTTTAAAATTGATGCTGTCTTAACATTTAAAGAAAATACGATAATAACACTTAAATGTTTCATATAAAGTGTGTCTTGCTGAACCCTAATGCCTTCTTACTCCAACCCCAACCCCAACCCCACTCCACAGGCTCCAGTGCCATGACCAGTTTTCTTCTTTCCATGGATCCTGTCTTTCCTGTTGGAGGAAACTATTAGATCTCACTGAGCATTCCTCTATGTCACCTGTAACATTTACTTTCAGGATACAAATATTGAGATGGAGCAGGGACCCCTCTTTGAGGCCTGATGGGCCCACAGAGCATAGAAATAAAAGAAAACCTGGAGTCCCTTCAAGGAAAATCCCAGGCACCTAGCTATCCTTGAGAAGTGGCTAGCTAGCCTTATGAGCAACCTGTTAAGCAAAAAGGTAAATATAGCTTAAAACAGCCAAAGAAGTGAGAGCAACGAAATATTTGGTTCCCTATAGAAACTCAAGAGAACATCTTTATTTATGCCTCTGAGTTGTTTTTCAGAAACCCAGATCCCCAACACATGGAAAATGCTCTTTGCTGGCACACAGACCTCAGATACTAGGGAACTGAGGGCTGAACTCTGACCAATGTTCCTCATTCTGAATTTCTTCCTGAGGGGCCTGGAGGAAGTCATGCCCACAGGCCAGAGCTTAACACTTTTTTTCTACTGACCCCAAGTTTTTAAGCAAAGCTTAACCAAGGGCAAATCAGAAAATCTTTGAATCCACCTATGACCTATGGGCCCTGCTTCAAGATGTCCTGCCTTTTTAGGCTACACCAATGTACAGCCTCCATGTATTGACTTATGACTTCACCTGTAACCTCTGTCATCTTGTCTTTAAAAACCCTTACATTTAAGCCATTGAAGAGTATGGGTCCTAGGCATGAGCTGCCTAATTCTCCTTGCTTGCTGCCCTGCAATAAATACCTCACGTTTTCTTGCTGCATATCCCAATATCAGTGTTTGGCTTTGCTGTGTCAAGCAGGTAACCCATGTTCAGTTTGGTAACAATCTTAGCTTTATTTCTGGGACTCAACTGAATTAGTCTTAACTACAACTCTGACTTTGAACGTGGGTAAAGGTTAATTGCAAACAAACAATTTCAGAAAGTTGCTCAGCCACAAAGACAAAGCAAAGTGTGTCCGTCCCTCTGGTTGATGTCAGGTGAGCATGCTTACCTACATAGAACCTTTCATGTAAGCACATTGGGTAATTACAAGTCTTCCATGGGGACATTTTGCCTGGTGGGTGGCATCATCGTTTTTACTTGACAACTACCCATTTCCTTATAAACTGGGTTGTGTATAAGAGCTGTGAGGGCAGAGGGAACAAAATTTGAATATTTGTTCCATTAGGTTTAGAGAATTTGGACTCTGTTTTATAGCTTACCAAAGAGCCACAAATCTAGTTCTGTTCAGGGGATTTAATTCACGTCTCATTAACTACCTTGGCAAAATCCAACATTAGCCCTGAAAAGCTAATTTGATTAAAGAACTGACAGACATTACTTCTTTCCAACTAATCAAGTTAATTTTAATGGAGGTAATAATGTCTCCCTGGCAGGTTATTACGAGAATCAAATAAGCTAGCTAGCATATTTTGGGTACTTTATAAATTATCAAGTGTTAAACATGTGACCATCGCAGGTCTCTTTATTCCTGTGTTATGCCCTCCATATTCCACCTCGTTTCTTTTTCTTTTCTTACCTCTTCCTAAGGTCTTACCTAATTATTCAGCTGAGGGAACTCCTCAGCTAAATTTGCTGTTTTCAACCAGCAAATTGATTCAATAAATATTAACGAGCAATTACAGAAACAGTTTGGAGAGTTGAGTACTCCAACCCCAAGAATGCAAAATGGGAGAAGCTACCTTCTATCCCCACATTAAGACAGAGGGTCTTCCAAGGGAACACCAAGGTTTTATATGCCAGCTTCTGGAACTGTCTGATTTCCTCTTAAAAACTTTAAAGGGCAAGAGATAGAATACCTGGTGTTTAGGAGTGAGCCAAAAACAAAAAAATGGCTGTGTTGGGCATCTGGCATCCTGTAGTTTGTCAGCAGAAATAGGTGTGTTTCCAACATACACACTGTGGGCCATGCAAGAGTCAAGGTAGAGTTGCCTGAGGCCCTTTCCAACAGGACCATCCAGAGTGGCTCCCCATGAGGGGTGATAATGACTACAATCAAACATATTTGTTTCCCTAGACAAAGGAATTACCAATTAGTTATCTGGAGTGTTGTAGGCATCATGCTCATGGAAGCTGCTGCGTGATCCACAAGGGGTGTTTGGATGATTTTACACAGATGTGTCTAACTTTATAGAGGCAGGATCTTCAAATATGTCACATAAATGTGCACTCAGATCACATACACTTATTGGTATTTATACTTAAATCCACTTTGATATTCAGTATTGTCTCCAGTGGGAAGGCAGTGTAGTCATTAAATAAAACGACAGGAACAATAAACAATTCTGTCTCCAAGGTAATATGATGGCACAGCATTTTTAAAAGATGTCAGTTTTACAGCCAGATATTTTAATTACATCTTATAGAACCACAGTGGAAAACAGTGTATTCTCCCCTATTTTAAAGATGGAGGATCTAAAAATAAGCTTAAGAAACTCAAGATCACACCCTGAGAAAAGGAAGTCAGTGCCAAAGAAACCCATTTATTGATTAAATTTTTGCTTATACTTCCATTGAAATAACATCCCAAACTTTTGCTGAATATACTGAGATTGGAAGAGAATGAACTTCTACTCATAACCTCCCTACTCACTGTAAATACCCAGAAATGCTCTTGTGTTCTCTGGGACTAGGTACGAGCAGTTTTGCTCATATTCTGCATAACTTCTCTAGGAGACCAGGTCCCTCTCAGAACTCAAGAATTATGGCATGCATGTTGGGTCATGCCTGTAATCCCAGCACTATGGGTGACTGAGGCAGGAAGATCACTTGAGGCCAGGAGTTCCAGGCAAGCGTGGGCAGCATAGTGACACTCCGTTTCTACAAAAAATAAATTAGTCAAGTGTGGTAGTGCATACCTATAGTCTCAGGTACTCAGGAAGCTAAAGTGGAAGAATCACTTGAGCCCAGGAGGCTAAGGCTGCAGTGAGCCGTGATTGTGCCACTGCACTCCAACCTAGGTGACAGAGTGAGACACCGTGGCGAAAAAGAATTACCAAAGCTGTATGATTTCACTGTGCTTACAGGTGACAAAAACTCTGCTCAAGCAAAAAGATTTATGAACTCTATCCAGGCACGGCTGGAGGGAAGTTGGCCTTAGGCACTTCCAGAACCATCTATCCAAATACCACCAGAATGCCCCCACTGACATACTTCCTATACAGCTCCATGTTTTGTGTATCAGTTTCTTTCTCTCCAGCTGGAGCTCAGCTAGGTATGTGCATGTGTGTAGCAGACATGTGGGGTATTGGTGTCAGATTCACATTCTTATGGCTTCATAGCCCGAGAGGAGTAAGAAAGTTGACTTCTCATCTGTTTTTTAAATGTTGGAGAAATAAACTGGTACATCCTTGGTCATATGCACAACTCTGGGTATAACCACTGTCGACCAAGGACAGCTACCGGAAGTAGCAAATCCTGGGGACGTGCCCACCCCTTTGTTACCAGAGGAGCAGCAAAACAGATGCTGAGCAGACTACCACTAGAGCCACTTCAAAATGGAAATAAACTCACAGCACCAGGCAACTAATGTGTACAGTAAAGGAAAATGTTACACAAAAAGTGAACAAGGATTCACACATGAAGCCTTGGATAAATGATTTTTGTAAACATAGCAGCCTCTGACAAGGAGCAAGTTGTGAAACTCAATGTTCACTTGATCTTTCTAGAAGAACAATATCTTTTCTCTGGTAAGATAAAAAGAAAAGCAACAACTTGACTAGAAGTGGTGATGTGCGTATGTTTATTGTGGCACTATTCACAATAGCAAAGACTTGGAACCAACCCAAATGTCCATCAATGATAGACTGGATCAAGAAAATGTGGCACATATACACCATGGAATACTATGCAGCCATAAAAAAGGATGAGTTTATGTCCTTTGTAGGGACATGGATGAAGCTGGAAACCGTCATTCTCAGCAAACTATTGCAAGGACAAACAACCAAACACCGCACGTTCTCACTCATAGGTGGGAACTGAACAATGAGAACCCTTGGACACAGGAAGGGGAACATCACACACCGGGGCCTGTCATGGGGTGGGGGAAGGGGGGAGGGATAGCATTAGAAGATATACCTAATGTAAATGACGAGTTAATGGCACACCATTAGCATGTTGGCACACCAACATGGCACATGTATACATATGTAACAAACTTGCACATTGTGCACATGTACCCTAGAACTTAAAGTATAATTTAAAAAAAAGGAAAAAAAAAAGAAGTGGTGATGTGTGCTGACTTTATTGTTAGCTACCCTGACAATCTGTTGCATTATTCCCACATTTAGCAATGCCATTCCCAAGTGAAATAAAGGACAGTCACACTGATCTACATCACTTTAGAATATTTATTGTATTCCTTAATGCATTTCTTAACATGTATAGCACTCTTCAATCAAGAATATAAAGTCATCTACTTAGAATCACATTATCTTAAAGATGCATACTGGAATGATAAGTTTGAAGATGTAACTATCAACAATTCTTTTCAAAATCATATCAATATATTACTCTCATGGAACTTGCACATTCTAAGAAGGGTCATTTTTTCCCCCCAGTACTGGGAAGGTATGCATTTAACCATGTGGTCAGCCAGAAAGGCTGTTTTATATATGGTGTGTGTTACTCATAAAAAGCCTGTCCTTTCTCTAATATTGTACATTACACAATTGTAGCTACACCTGAAAAGAAGTGAGTTTCAATGACCATCATCACCTAAAAACATGAATAAGTTTGTATATTTAGGACCAGAGGAATGATATATCGTACTGTACTATGCCTACCTCTGTCCAGAGGCCAGCTGTCTCACCTGTTCTTCAGGGTGCCTAGACTTTTTACCCATCTATTATCCGGGATGCTTCTGAAGTCATTCCCATGGGCCCCTGTCAGGTATTGAGAATAAATACCTCTAAGGAAGTTTTTTTCAAACCTAATCTACCCACCATGTTTATTCCCTGACACTAAAAGTTCACTGACTCTTCAAATCCTAGACTTGTCCAACATTATTTTCCCTAGTTGGATAAGGCTGAATTAAAGGCACTTCGTTAAAGGAAGTAGCCTTGGCAGAAGAAAAACCGTTGTTCTGTAGAAGTGTCATTCAATATTTAAAATCTCCTCTGAACCAAAACAAGAGCCTGAAAGTAAAACACCTTTTATTTTTTAACTCTGCTGTCATTGCTACTAAGGATTCATGGTAAATTATCCCACAGCCCTTCTTGGCTTGAGAGGAGGTACAGTACAAGTAGCCCACAGGGTCTCAATAACAGAAGTATTCTCAAGGACCCTTGAGGATACAAAGGAATACTGGGCTGTTTTAAAATGAGAAAACTGAGAAGAATCAGTTAGGTTTCTAGCCCTCTTCCTATAATACGCCTTAGTCTTTGCAAAGCATAGATAGATAGTTGGTTTGAACTAGTTATTTCTCCCTGCCCTCCCCCACAAGAGGCATTCCTGCTTGCCTTCTTGGGCATCTGTTTAAAAGCAGTATGGGAGGAAGGGGGATGTTCTAGGGGGACAAGATGTAATCATAAAATCTGAAGCCCCAAAAGAAAAGTCAGAGGAGGCTGAAGAAAAAACAATCATGACAGCAACTCTCCTAACCACAAAAATCACATATGTTATCTTTCTTTCAGGACTAATAATTAATATTTAAGAGGAAAGCCACATCAATTTCTAGGGCCCTTCTTGGGGAAAGGTTCATATAATTTAGCATACATACCATATTCAGTGAAAATGCATTCAATATAATTACCTATTATAAAAACAACCTTCTCAGCCTTAACAAATGAGATAATTATAAATGCTCCTTTTGCTTTTTATTAAAATGTCACAGCATGCCTAGAGAACAGTTTATATGGCTGCATAAAGTCTGAAACACAAGAAAACTAATAAAAAACCACCTGTTAAATACACAATTATGATTATTGATGTCCTTTCAATTAAATCTTGTGTGTTTAAAATGAAAAACACGCAGCCTGGTACAAATATCCATATTTCAATTTGCGATCTGCTGCATTGGCATGAGTTTTGGTGAAACCTGGTAAAAGAGGAAAAAAAAATCAAATTATGAAAAACTGCATGATATAAATCTCTCTCCTTTTAATTTCCAAATTTCAATCATGTAGGCAACAAGCAGCCTTGCCATGGACATTCCCTGGAGTTTCCATATGATTTTCCATCCTGAAACATTGAGACAGAACAGTTCTGTTTACATTTTGGGTATTTTGTAGTTCTCAACCTTCTTGTATTAGCTCCTAAATTAAGGATGAACAAGGCTGGCAACAAGGAGCAGGTGGAAGAGGAGCAGAGGAAAACAAAGGATCCCAATAACCAAGCCCCCTGTCAGATGGATCACTGATCTCCGAGACTGATGCCTCTGAGACTTCACTTAAGACGCAGTACAAACCCCAAGTCTCCAAAACCTCAAAATAGATCCAGCCAATTCATAATTTTGTTGAAAGATGCTTTATGTAATCTTTGGATTACCTAAATACATATTAATGAAGAGACGTATGATCAATGATAAATCTTATCGGAAATTTCATAATCAGAATAGAAATGATACAAAGGCAATAAGAGGATTCCAAGTTATTAAAATATGGAAGTAATAGCATTAAAACAATTAAATGTTGATTATAATTATGTTCAGTGTATAAAACAGTCAATGCTTTCCTGCGAATCTGCAAGCAGAGAAAAGTGACAATGAATGTATATTTAAGGTAGAGCCGGTTGCAGGAGAACCATAAATATAAGTGGTCAGTTTAACTGAGACAGATTTTTCAAAGTGTGGTACCAGGTTCAGATTCCTTAATTCAACATGGCAAATATTGATTGGGTTCTAGTTAGTAACAGTCCCCATGGGAAGCAGGAAATACCAAAAATTGGGTGCTTTTTGAAATTCTGAAAGATGTGGCAATCAAAATGAGCCCAATTAGCATTTTACCTTCCAGAATAAACAATATTTTCTTAAATTGATAAATGAACAAATGAATGAATAAGTAGATAATTATATAAGTTTCAAAGAACTAGAAGGGAGGTTCCTAATAGAGGTTAAATCATCAGTATTAAAAACTGAAAGAACAGGCAGTCATTTGGCTTTCATAAGGTTAAATAGTTTTAGTTCATTTATAAATGTCTGCATTAGCTCTTCACAATTAACTCTTCATAGTATCAAGAGTTAATGTCTTGTCTTCCATTTTTGTACTAAAATATTAAACCAGAATGGCAAAAATGTCTACTAAAAGAATAAATAAGAATAAACAATAATAATAAAGTTCAGCATGATTTGGTATATAGCTTATGGTAAATGAGAACGCATTATGACTTATTTCTAAGAGTAGACATACAGACAAAATAAACAGAATAAGTAGACAAAAAGTAACATCACACATACGCACAGATTTTCAACTCTACTAATAATAACATTTAGTATTTAGATAAGTATATCTCACAGTTCATTTTCTTTCTTTTTTTTAAACAACAGAGCATCTGTGGAAATAATTTAGTGAAACTTTTTTTTTTTTTTTTTTTGAGACGGAGTTTTGCTCTTGTTGCCCAGGCTGGAGTGCAATGGCGCGATCTTGGCTCACCGCAACCTCCGCCTCCTGGGTTCAAGCGATTCTCCTGCCTTAGCCTCCCAAGTAGCTGGGATTACAGGCATGTGCCACCATGACCAGCTAATTTTTGTATATTTAGTAGAGACGGGGTTTCTCCATGTTGGTAAGGCTGGTCTTGAACTCCCGACCTCAGGTGATCCACCTGCCTCAGCCTCCCAAAGTGCTGGGATTACAGGCGTAAGCCACCGTGCCTGGCCCAATTTAGTGAAACTTTTTTACTACAAATCATTTTCTATAGATGCTTCATAGCACTTCCTTTAAAAAGAAACTGGACACATTAATTTTTTTAACTAAACATCTGATCCTTTTCCTTGTCATGTCAGCCCTATTTTGAGCTCTTAATGTCATTTACATTCTCAATGTGAAAAATGACATCAAAAATAAGATAACGCTTTATATAGACTGACTTTGCCTGCTTTTTAATGAAAAACATCTACTAAACCACCATTTCTCATTCTGTTCTCCCAGTCTCATCAACGTTGTAAATTCATGCAAGCCAAAGGAGCTTATTCTGCCAACGTGATCTGCAGGCTAAGCACAAGGTGACATGATTTAGCTATAGAAGACAAGCCAATGATTTGTCTTCCCAGTGCATTAATATCCCAAAAGTATATTGCTTGACTCTGGTAGAATGCCAGTTCATAGTAGATACTGAGAGTATAAATTTATTCAATTAGGCAAGGAATGTCTGCAGCTTCTTTCAGATTCCACTGCAAACATATCAACAAACATTGCTTTTACTAGTTTTTTATTTGTTTGTTTGTTTTGCCACTGGTGGTTTAGGTATATTCCTGCCTGGAGAATAAAGCCAAGGCTCTTGGGAGCAAGAACCATAAATTGGTTCTATTTTATTCATATTTTACAGCTCAATATGGAACATACATTGGGTGTATGACTAGTGACATCTGGAAGTTTATTCTAACACATAATGTTTAAATATGGAATACATTTTTAATTTTTTAAGTTAAGAAGATAAAATCAAAGAAATATTGTTTCAAAAGAGGTCCACAGACATATGGTTTATAAAAACACCTATTTTACATAGCTTAAGCATTCATCAGAAAAGAAACAACCCAAATAACCAATTGAAAGCCGTTATTTTCAATGGCAAAACCATTTATTAAACCACAATTACTTTTGCATCAACCTAATACTTTCGCCCATCAAGTAACTGGCATACTGCATGCTGTTAAGTATAGCCAAAAAATAAAGAAATTTGACATACTCATTAGCTTGTCAAGCTTTAATACGACATCATTTTGATTCTTTAAATATTTGAGAGACAGACTTCTTTCAAAATCTGAGGACAATGGGAGAAAAATAAGCCAAAGGATTCCTTAGTTGTGAAAATGTTGGGCCCTAGTAGCATAAAAGACAGACAGAAGACTATATCGAACTTAAAAACTTCCATGTGTCAAAGAAAACAGTGAAAAAGCAACCTATGAAATGGAAAAGAACATTCAAAAATCATCTGATAAGAGATTAGCATCCAGAATATATGAGAAACTTTGAGAACATCACCAGATAAATGCAAATCAAAACCACAATGAGATATCACCTCACAGCCATTAGAATGGCCACTATTAAACAGAAGATAACTGTTGGCAAAGATATGGAGAAATTAGAACCCCTGTGCACCAACAGTGGGAATGTAAAACGGGGCAAACATTGTGAAACAGTATGGCAGTTCCACAAAAAATTAAAAATAGAATTATCATATGATCCAGCAATCCAAATTCTGAATTATATATCTAAAAAATTTCAAAGCAGAATGTCAAAGAGATATTTGCACATCCATGTTCTTTGCAGCACTATTCACAGTAGCCAAGTGGTGGAAGCAACCCAAATGTCTACCAACAGATGAGTGGGTCATGAAAGTGTGGTATATATGCACAATGAAATATTATACAGCCTTAAAAAGAAGATAATCCTGTCATACATGCTACAACACAGATGAACCCTGAATACATTATGCTAAGCAAAATAAGCCAGTCACAAAAGGGCAAATACTGTATAACTCCACTCATATGAGGTATCTAGAATAGTCAAAATGATAGAAACAGAAAGCAAAAACAGTGGTTGCCAAAGGCTGTGGAATTAGTGTTTAATGAGTAGTTTCAGAGCTGCAAGTTATAAAAGTTCTAGAGATCTGTTGTATAACAATGTGAATACACTTAATATTACTGCATTGTACACTTAAACATGGTTAAGATGGTAAATTTTTTTAAAGTTTTTACCAGTTATTTAAAAATAGGAAAGCATTACTGAACAGCATCACAAGCATTTGTAGAGCATGAACATACATACAAGGCTCTACCAATAGCGCTGGGGACAGGGGAGCCTTTATTCCCCACTTCTCATATTCCATTCCATGTGGAAGGACACCTATCTATTCATGTAACTACCCTGACCTCCGGTGTGTCCCTTATTGATGTAATTAAATGATTATTTGGGCAGAGGAACCTTAACATGTGAAACTCAGCATGACTCTTCCTCTTCATTGAGGTCTTCACCTAGAAAGCAATGCTCTGTTTTGCTCTCAGCCATGTGGATGGAAGCTCAGCAATGAAGGCTACCCTTGTGGGAGGCCTGGGTTTCTCTGGTGCTGCCTACACTGGGGAGCCAAAGCCTCTGTATCTGTGGGGTTCACAACTGAAAAGCCTGCTGTGGCTGTACACCTAGGCCACATCCCTCACTCTAGCCTGTATAATAGTAATACTTTTACCTCTACCTGTTCAGCTCCTTTCTCTCAAGGGATTCAGCACTCAATCCCCAAGAAACAGCAAAGTCCCTATCGTCATAGCATCTACATTTTAAGGGAGAGTAATCATATGGTTGGCTTCTCTAGCTGTAAACAGCTCCTGACCAGAATCTTATTTTGGGTGTGTGAACCTTCAGGTTCCAGAAATATAATCAATATTTGCATTTCTACAACAAAATTTCCACAGCCTCTACCAAGTTCCAGACATATATGACCTTCAAGATACTGCCCTCCGATGGAAAACTCCAACTTTCAGTTGATACAAAATCATGAACAAAACTGTGACAGTCATTACAGGTTTTTTAAAGTTATGTTTCATGTGATTAAAAATCATATTTTTTCCACTTTTTTATTATGGCTAATAACACTATGATATATATGAAAAAGTCTTAGTAATTCTTTTTTTTAACAGTGCCCAAATATTTCACTATCATTCTTTTTTGATATCCTAAAACCAAAATTTTGTCACGTCCTGTTATCTGATGCTGTCATATTTAGTCTTTTACTTTGGAATTCCCAGTATTTTCCCAACCAGCTAATATCCACATAATGTAGCTTTTGCCCATTCACTTGCCCATATCCTTAGGGATACAGGACTTTTACCAACACATTTTAAATTGTTTTGCACTAGGATTTTACCTTTTTTTCTTTATGAGGCAACACTGGCCAATCATTC
The DNA here is from genome assembly GCF_000001405.40 of Homo sapiens. Taxonomy (NCBI): domain Eukaryota; kingdom Metazoa; phylum Chordata; class Mammalia; order Primates; family Hominidae; genus Homo; species Homo sapiens. Next base: position 41,736,787 of record NC_000005.10, read on the forward strand.
CCTTCTAGAATGTTGACTGCCAGTTGAAGGCTGAGTTCTAGGGACTTTTCTCAAACAGAACTTGAGCAACTAGTGTATAGTCACATATGGAGTACAATGCTAGCTATGCAGTGATAACCACAGGGAATATTTTCTAAATTAGGACATGGAATGTCTTCTGAATTGTCAAGAAAGAAATGCTATCTTCAATGTACTTTTGTAATTAAATGTATCCTTATTGATAATCCAGGTATTAAGTAGAACATTTTATTAATTAGGGCACTCCAGCTCTAGCCTTACAGAAAACAACCTGTTATATGTGATTTCATCTGTCAGAGTGTAAAGAGATGCCATTGATCGTCAGATGCTCAAAAGCTAGTCCTCTGGATGGTTCCATTGATACCATACCTTTTCATTCTCAGGACAACATTGACATACAAATTAACATTTCATCTCAACATCCTAATTTGGAGAAAACAAGATTACATATCCCTGTGAAAAGAAGAGATGGTACTGAAATTGAGAGGGTCTACAGAGATATTTTCCATTGGAACAGCACCTTTTATTGGAAAACAAAGCAAGAACAGTAAAAACTCATATTTTCATTCCTTATTTACCCACATGAATAAAAAAAGAACTAGATAACCAGGTCTTCCTTTGTACATTCTCTTTTGCTGCAAAAAAAAACTGAACATTCTGTGGATCTTGAAAATGTTATCTGATGAAGAGGTTAATTCTTCCACATAGAAAAAAATAATACAGATTGTTTGCTTTTCTCACTGGAGTGAGAAATCCTAAATAGTTAAAGTATAAGCATATCCTTCCCCTTGAGGTTATTGAAAGGCTAATTAAAGATGTGCTTTTCATGAAAGGTATTACTGGGAGACTTCTTTTTCCAAAGGGACATTCAAAAAAAGTTAATAGACAAAGACCTTGGTAGAGTACCAGGAACAGTTATTATATGGATAATGAACTATGAAACAAAAATCGTTTTTAGAGAAATGTGTAGGCCGGGCACGGTGGCTCACGCCTGTAATCCCAGCACTTTGGGAGGCCGAGGCGGGCAGATCACAAGGTCAGGAGATCGAGACCATCCTGGCTAGCACGGTGAAACCCCATCTCTACTAAAAATACAAAAAATTAGCCGGGCGTGGCGGCATGTGCCTGTAGTCCCAGCTGCTGGGGAGGCTGAGGCAGGAGAATGGTGTGAACCTGGGAGGCGGAGCTTGCAATGAGCCAAGATCGCGCCACTGCACTCCAGCCTGGGCAACAGAACAAGACTCCGTCTTAAAAAAAAAATGTGTTATGCACTGATAGGTACAAGCAAAGCATGTAGTACACAAGAAAGACATACATACAATATATGTATGACTTATCAAATAACTTTTGTTAAATTAGTTTCTCCAAGATGTGTAGCTGTAACATTAACATATTTTCTTCTCATTATAAATATATTTCATTTTAATTAGATTGGTTCTTAAATAGGTATGAGAATAATATCCCTTTCTGATATGGTTTGGCTGTGTCCCCACCCAAATCTCATCTTGATTTGGAGCTCCCATAATCCCCTTGTGTCACGGGAGGGACCTGGTGGGAGGTAACTGAATCATGGGGGTGGGTTTTTCACATGCTGTTCTTGTGATAGTGAGTAAGTCTTTGATCTGATGGTTTTATAAAGGGCAGTTTCCCTGCACACACTCTCTTGCTTGCTGCCACATAAGACGTGCCTTTGCTTCTCCTTCACCTTCTGCCATGATTGTGAGGCCTCCCCAGCCATGTGGACCTGAGTCCATCAAACCTCTTTTTCTCTATAAACTACCCAATCTTATGCTGTCTTTGTTAGCTCTGTGAGAATGGACTAATACACTTTCCTTCATTTCTTCAGAGACATTTTAGTTTTACTTTTGGTTAACTTCAAATAGACTGAGCCATGCTTTCAATGCCATTAGCTAGGTGATTGATTTATGAATAAGCACTTATATTAAAGAGCAATTATTTATATTCTCAGTAATATTCTGTTTTAAAAAGGGATTTGGAGGTTTCTTAAACGGATACTCCCCTGACGTATTTATCTGCTTTGTAAGTCTGTTTTATGTACTTATCTTCAAATACAGGGCATGTCTGTTTTGTGATGACTAACCTGGTGATGTCAGAGGCCCAACATTTTAATATTTTCAACGGATGAAATATGGCATAGAATTTAGAGAAAGTCATAAGTCATAGATGGGTTTAAAAATAAGGAAGTATCATTTCTCCATATGTGGCTAACATTTTTCAGTTAATCAAGTTCAAGCACAGCTGCCATATAACCAAAGAACAGGGGATTACAAGGGCCTTCAAAACATAAAGTAGCTTAGAGCTCAAGCTCAACCTTGTTTCTAGCAGCTCCTGGTGGTGTGTCCCCTTCCTGCTTCTGAGTCCTAAGCCAAACCTTGGCCAGTGAGTCAGAGCACAGCTCTGTTCCCACCTGCTCTCATCTAGAGGCACCCTTCCTTCTACTCCTGTTCACTGTAAAGGTCAACTCCAAAAATGATCACAAATTAATGGTTCATGTCCTGCAAACACCCATTAATCAAGCCTATAATATAAGACAAGTGTCTGGATTTGTTCACAGAAATACTTACTGCAAAATCACACCCAGTACTCTTCTGTACGTCATCCACTGTCAGGCCTTCCCAGAGCTCAATCAGAGTCAACCCTTTCTTCTTGTCCACATCAAACACAGCCTGTCAGAGTGGGAAGAAAAAGGACAATGACAATTTCCATCAAAATAATTATTATATGGCACAAAACAGAAATAACCTCGCAAGTTCGACGAGGTCGGGTGTGGTGGCTCAGGCCTATAATCCCAGCATTTTGGTAGGCTTAGGTGGGTGGATCACAAGGTCAGGAGATCGAGACCATCCTGGCTAACACGGTGAAACCCCGTCTCTACTAAAAATACAAAAAAAAAAAATTAGCTGGGCATGGTGGCAGGCACCTGTAGTCCCAGCTACTTGGGAGGCTGAGGCAGGAGAATGGCGTGAACCCGAGAGGCGGAGCTTGCAGTGAGCCGAGATCACGCCACTGCACTCCAGCCTGGACGACAGAGCCAGACTCTGTCTCAAAAAAAAAAAAAAAAGGAAACACAAGACCCAGGACAAAAGAAAAATCAGCAGTGAAAAAATGTCAACTGTAACTATGATATTTTGGTGAGGATAAATGCCAACTCCCTAATCAGCAATTAGTTGTGGAACAGTGTTGATGCCAGAAAATAAATGAGCATTGACCATGGATGGCATTTGTTACTACTGCAACCAGTTTTTTAAAAACTACCTCCCTTTTGTTAAGTCTAACACTTTTGGTCAAAGGTCAATTAGTGATTAATAATGATTTGAACAAAGAAAGGAATGAAGAAAGAGGGAGAGAGAAAGGGAATATTTGGAAGGTGAAAGCACATGAATGACAGGAAAAAAGTTTATAAATGATATTGGGTAAAGAATTACAGGAAACAGAAGAAGGTGCTCTGAAGTGTCTAGGAGTAATTATAAGAGGATAGCTACCCTGGTCCTGAAAGACATGCAAGTAACTGTTTAAAATATTCTCCTTAAGTCCTGTAAAACATATAGTCTCAAAAAGAGAGCATGGGAATCTCCCTTTGCTATGCAAATCAAATGAAGATGCTTATATTTAGGGCAAGCACCAGAAAGCCAATCTTACCTGAAACATTCCATCATTCTGGTCTGTAACATCAGGTGTTGGTAGTGCCAATTGGTATGGCTTGACCTCAGCAGATAGACCCCACCTGTTGTATCTGATTTAGAACACATGCTTTCACACTTAGAAATATAACTCAAGTGGAAGTGACCTACGAGGTCACTTAATATAACCTTCCACCCAAGAATTCTTCAAAACATTCTTCTCAGATAGTCAATGAGGTTCTGCTTAGATACTTGCAGTGGCAGGAGGCTCACTTATTTCAAGGCAGATTGTTTACTGAAGGGAAGCTCAAACCTTAAGAGCTAAAACTGCTTCTCCTATGGCTTTAGCTCCATGCTATAGTTACCCTCCAGCATATTAAGCACTGTACCCTCTTTCAGTTCTCATGGTTAGTTTCCTCTTTCTCAGACTAAAATGTTATGCATCCCAGAGCTTTCCTCTCCTCTACAGTTAACCTAAATTCAACTATTATTTGCAGGCCTAGAATCTTTTTTTTTTTTTTTTGAGACAGAGTCTCACTCTGTCACCCAGGCTGGAGTGCAATGGCCCGATCTCTGCTCACTGCAACCTCTGCCTCCAGGGTTCAAGTGATTCTCTTGCCTCAGCCTCCTGAGTAGCTGGGATTACAGGCATGCCCCACCACATCCAGCTAATTTTTTGTATTTTTAGTAGAGATGAGGTTTTACCATGTTGGTCAGGCTGGTCTCAAATTCCTGACCTCAGGTGATCCACCTGCCTGCCTCGGCCTCCTTTGGGATGCAAGGATTACAGGAGTGAGCCACCGCTTAACCAATTTTTCAATTGGCTTGGAAGTCAAACCTTGAATTGTCATTTTTGAATACACTCCTAACTAGGAGGGTAATATCAAGACACAGCAACACGTAGAGAAAAGAACCCTGGCCTTTGAGCTCAGTGAGAATTCCACTCTGCTGCACAACTGTTATGCAACCTTTAGTGAACCTGTCTTTGCATCTGTAGACATATATAATAAAAATGTACTTCCCAAGATTGTGATACAGGACAAATATAAGAAAACATACTCTGAGCACCATCCCTGAGACAGTGGGGGCAGCATACAAGCAGTTTTTTCACTTTTCACTCCTTAGTAGCTTAACATCTCACTTATATGTGATGCCAGATCAAAGCCCTGGAATGATTATTGACTCCAGCTGATTAATATTTTTCCCCAGAAACACACATCGCTGGGACCAGTGATAACTGCATTATTGGTTTGTCTGAAGAATTCACAGATAACCTGGTTGACATTACTGGAAAAGAGGGTTGAAATGTAAGACAAAATATTTCAGTAAACTTTCCTTTTGCTTGTACATTTTATGTTCCAAAAAAGTTTTTTGGCAGAAATGTGTGTTTCAAGAGGAAAAAAATAAATGGATAATTTAGGAATGTTTGTATACTCATTAGCTTGCTTCATTCCAAAATGACAATTAAATTTTTTTAAAATGAACACTTTCTTTGCAGAAAATGTATCTGGAGCACTATTCATATGATTTGCTTTTTCTTGCATTCTGAACAACTGTCAATTTATAAAAGAACAAATAAGAAAAAAAGAGCATCTGGATTAAGTTATTAAGAACAGGCATGGAAATGATTTAGAGAGAAGATAACTGTGGTATCAAAAATTTAAGGCTTCAGTAATCAGGGAGAGTAAATCTATGGCAAATTGACATTGCTTTTAAAAAAACCTTATTAACACATTTATCAAATCTTAATTAGATATATTAGAAAACCAAGTATCTATAATTTAAAAAAGGAAACTTACTTTTGAAATATTTAGGAAACTTTCCATTTAGTGATATAAGGTGCAAACAAAAAATTGACAAAAATGGAGACTAAAACCTAAAAGTCACAATAAATTGTTCAACTATCCAGAATACTGAAAGTACTTTGTCTAAGAGATAAATGTTAATTACTTTATCACCGTGACAAAAGCTTACATTATGGGTAACAGTGAATCACAGCCCAGGTGCTGGTGAGGAATGCATCTTTCTTTTATTTTACTTTATTTTTTTATTACACTTTAAGTTTTAGGGTACACGTGCACAACGTGCAGGTTTGTTACATATGTATGCATGTGCCATGTTGGTGTGCTGCACCCATTAACTCTTCATTTAACATTAGGTATATCTCCTAATGCTATCCCTTCCCCTGCCCCCCACCCCACAACAGGCCCCAGTGTGTGATGTTCCCCACCCTGTGTCCAAGTGTTCTCATTGTTCAATTCTCACCTATGAGAACATGCAGTGTTTGGTTTTCTGTCCTTGTGACAGTTTGATCAGAATGATGGTGTCCAGCTTCATCCATATCCCTACAAAGGACATGAACTCATCCTTTTTTATGGCTGCATAGTATTCCATGGTGTATATGTGCCGCATTTTCTTAATCCAGTCTATCATTGATGGGCATTTGGGTTGGTTCCAAGTCTTTGCTATTGTGAATAGTGCCACAATAAACATACATGTGCATGTGTCTTTATAGCAGCATGATTTATAATCCTTTGGGTATATACACAGTAATGGGATGGCTGGGTCAAATGGTATTTCTAATTCTAGATCCTTGAGGAATCACCACACTGTCTTCCACAATGGCTGAACTAGTTTACGGTCCCACCAACAGTGTAAAAGTGTTCTTATTTCTCCACATCCTCTCCAGCACCTGTTGTTTCCTGACTTTTTAATGATTGCCATTCTAACTGGTGTGAGATGGTATCTCATTGTGGCTTTGATTTGCATTTCTCTGATGGCCAGTGATGATGAGCATTTTTTCATGTGTCTGTTGGCTGCATAAATGTCTTCTTTTGAGAAGTGTCTGTTCATATCCTTTACCCACTTTTTGATGGGGTTGTTTGATTTTTTCTTGTAAATTTGTTTGGGTTCTTTGTAGATTCTGGATATTAGCCCTTTGTCAGATGGGTAGATTGTAAAAATTTTCTCCCATTCTGTAGGTTGCCTGTTCACTCTGATGGTAGTTTCTTTTGCTGTGCAGAAACTCTTTAGTTTAATTAGATCCCATTTGTCAATTTTGGCTTTTGTTGCCATTGCTTTTGGTGTTTTACACATGAAGTCCTCGCCCATGCCTATGTCCTGAATGGTGTTGCCTAGGTTTTCTTCTAGGGTTTTTATGGTTTTAGGTCTAACATTTAACTCTTTAATCCATCTTGAATTAATTTTTGTATAAGGTGCAAGGAAGGGATCCAGTTTCAGCTTTCTACATATGGCTAGCCAGTTTTCCCAGCACCATTTATTAAATAGGGAATCCTTTCCCCATTGCTTGTTTTTGTCAGGTTTGTCAAAGATCAGATAGTTGTACATATGTGGCATTATTTCTGAGGGCTCTGTTCTGTTCCATTGGTCTATATCTCTGTTTTGGTACCAGTACCATGCTGTTTTGGTTACTGTAGCCTTGTAGTATAGTTTGAAGTCAGGTAGCCTGATGCCTCCAGCTTTGTTCTTTTAGCTTAGTATTGACTTGGAAATGCGAGCTCTTTTTTGGTTCCATATGAACTTTAAAGTAGTTTGTTCCAATGCTGTGAAGAAAGTCATTGGTAGCTTGATGGGGATAGCATTGAATCTATAAATTACCTTGGGCAGTATGGCCATTTTCACGATACTGATTCTTCCTACCCATGAGCATGGAATGTTCTTCCATTTGTTTGTATCCTCTTCTATTTCATTGAGCAGTGGTTTGAAGAGGTCCTTCAGGTCCCTTGTAAGTTGGATTCCTAGGTATTTTATTCTCTTTGAAGCAATTGTGAATGGGAGTTCACTCATGATTTGGCTCTCTGTTTGTTATTGGTGTATAAGAATGCTTGTGATTTCTGCACATTCATTTTGTATCCTGAGACTTTGCTGAAGTTGCTTATCAGCTTAAGGAGATTTTGGGCTGAGATGATAGGGTTTTCTAGATATACAATCATGTCATCTGCAAACAGGGACAATTTGACTTCCTCTTTTCCTAATTGAATACCCTTTGTTTCCTTCTCCTGCCTGATTGCCCTGGCCAGAACTTCCAACACTATGTTGAATAGGAGTGGTGAGAGAAAGCATCCCTGTCTTGTGCCAGTTTTCAAAGGGGATGCTTCTAGTTTTTGCCCATTCAGTATGATATTGGCTGTGGGTTTGTCATAGATAGCTCTTATTATTTTGAGATACGTCCCATCAATACCTAATTTATTGAGAGTTTTTAGCATGAAGTGTTGTCGAATTTTGTCAAAGGCCTTTTCTGCATCTATTGAGATAATCATGCGGTTTTTGTCATTGGTTCTGACAAAAAAAGGCAGGGGTTGCAATCCTAGTCTCTGATAAAACAGACTTTAAGCCAACAAAGATCAAAAGAGACAAAGAAGGCCATTACATAATGGTAAAGGGATCAATTCAACAAGAAGAGCTAACTATCCTAAATATATATGCACCCAATACAGGAGCACCCAGTCCTTAGAGACCTACAAAGAGACTTAGACTGCCACACAATAATAATGGGACATTCCACTGTCAACATTAGACACATCAACGAGACAGAAAGGTAACAACGCTATCCAGGAACTGAACTCAACTCTGCACCAAGCGGACCTAATAGATACTACAGAACTCTCCACCCCAAATCAACAGAATATACATTATTTTCAGCACCACACCACACCTATTCCAAAACTGATCACATAGTTGGAAGTAAAGCACTCCTCAGCAAATGTAAAAAAAAAACAAATTATAACAAACTGTCTCTCAGACCACAGTGCAATCAAACTAGAACTCAGGATTAAGAAACTCACTCAAAACCACTCAACTACATGGAAACTGAACAACCTGCTCCTGAATGACTACTGGGTACATAACGAAATGAAGGCAGAAATAAAGATGTTCTTTGAAACCAATGAGAACAAAGACACAACATACCAGAATCTCTGGGACACATTCAAAGCAGTGTGTAGAGGGAAATTTATAGCACTAAATGCCCACAAGAGAAAGCAGGAAAGATCTAAAATTGACATCCTAACATCACGATTAAAAGAACTAGAGAAGCAAGAGCAAACACATTCAAAAGCTAGCAGAAGGCAAGAAATAACTAAGATCAGAGCAGAACTGAAGGAAATAGACACAAAAAACCCTTCAAAAAATCAGTGAATCCAGGAGCTGGTTTTTTGAAAAGATCAACAAAATTGATAGACCGCTAGCAAGACTAATAAAGAAGGAAAGAGAGAAGAATCAAATAGACGCAATAAAAAATGATAAAGGGGATATCACCACCGATCCCACAGAAATACAAACTACCATCAGAGAATACTATAAACACCTCTACGCAAATAAACTAGAAAGTCTAGAAGAAATGGATAAATTCCTCGACACATACACCCTCCCAAGACTAAACCAGGAAGAAGTTGAATCTCTGAATAGACCAATAACAGGCTCTGAAATTGAGGCAATAATTAATGGCTTACCAACCAAAAAACGTCCAGGACCAGATGGATTCACAGCCGAATTCTACCAGAGGTACAAAGAGGAGCTGGTACCATTCCTTCCAAAACTACTCGAATCAATAGAAAAAGAAGGAATCCTCCCTAACTCATTTTATGAGGCCAGCATTATCCTGACACCAAAGCCTGGCAGAGACACAACAAAAAAAGAGAATTTTAGACCAACATCCCTGATGAACATCGATGCAAAAAATCCTCAATAAAATACTGGCAAACCGAATCCAGCAGCACATCAAAAAGCTTATCCACCATGATCAAGTGGGCTTCATCCCTGGGATGCAAGCCTGGTTCAACATATGCAAATCAATAAATGTAATCCAGCATATAAACAGAACCAAGGAACGCATCTTTCATTACCTCATTCCAGCAGGTCAAAACTAGGAAATCAGGGTCATAGCATCCTCCAAATTCTCTTTCAAAGGGCAACTGAATGGAATTTTCTCTGGATCTGATAATGGCATTCTAGTCCACTGTTAGTGAGGGCTGGAGACCTTCATTGCTCTTAATGGCACTGCATTCTCATTACTCATTCAACAAGTATTTATTGAGCACCTACTATGCACAGAGCATAGCGATAAACACACAACCTTCCTTTCTTTAACGTACCAAAAGTTCCAGACGTAGATGCTCTTCTCTTTACTCATTCTTGCTATACATCTATAATTAAGGCTCCAATTATCCCCATATGTTAATGACACCCGCAAGTTTATTCCAATACTGACTTCTCTTTTGAGCTCTAGATCCAAATCTCCAATTGTTTATTGCAATATCTGACTGGGTATTCCCAAGAATATCACACTGAGGCTGTCCAAACTGAACCTATTCATGTCTTGTATTATCCTTCCCCTTCTCCTCCTGCAGTCCTGGGCTTCCTAAAGGATACACAGGTCAACTATTCTCTCTAGTCAGAAAACTTAGGAATCACCTCTGTCTTACCAACAATGTGCAATTCATCAAGTTAGGTCGAGTCCATCTCCTAAATCTCTTTCAAATCTCTCTATCTGTCCTATGGTTTAGAATTTTGAGATTTTTTGCCTAGGTCTATGAATCCTCTTAACTGGCTTCTGCCTTATCTCTTTTCTCCCCGCTTTACATAAAAGCTTACAGTGTTTTTTCTAATGCAAATCTAATTTATTGTGTCCCCAGCCTTAAAACAAAATCACTGAAGGGTTCCTTACTGCCTTCCTTATAAGACCCACAGTTCTTAGCAAGACATCTACATCCCTCCATTATTTGACCCCTCACTGCCTTTTCCACCTCAGCCTTCAGAATCCAGCCATGCCCTTGCTCCAACCAGTTCCACTTGCAGGTTATAGGACAAGCCATGTTTTCTTCATACCTCTGTGACTACATGTTTTCTTCCTTTTTTCCAGAAGGTCCTTGTTGGCTTTCTAACTTATGAAATTCCTACTGCTCTTTCGAGGCTCACCATTCAATCCAGTTTTTCAGCAAGAAAAGCATAAGTATTCACTGAGTATGGGTTGGCACTGTGCCAAGTGTTAGATAAACAATGGTGAGCCAGACAGGCAGAGATTAGAGTTTATTTCAGTATAGTGGTTTGTGCTAAGTTAGGATAAGTACAAAGATTCAGAGAAGCACCCAGAAAATTTGGGGAGGGATAGGGAAGACTTGCTAGATTAGCTAGATTAGGGAAGATTAGCTAGATGGATGGGGTGGGAAGAATGTTCCAGACAGAGAAGGAGGATGTGCAAAGTCTCAAAAGAACATGGTCCAGGGAAGAATGGAATGTAGTTCACAGCATTTTAGCATGGCTCAAGTAGGGAGAAAGTTAAAGCAGAGAGAAATAGGCTAAAGGAGAAAAGGTACATACTGTGAAATGCTTCACAAGATATGTTAAAAGCTTGTATTTAATAACACCAAAAATCTTTCCCTGACACCTCTGCCCACACTGCTGGGCAGCTTTTCTCTATGTCCCTAGATTAGCATCTGGCGTGTGTCTCCATATGGCCTTTATCATGTCAATTACTCTGACTGCTGGAAAGGCTGGATGTTTGGTGTCTCACCCTTCTTCCATGTTGTCCTTTAGGACAGAGACTCTGCCTTCCTCCTTTCTGTAGCACACTGTTGGGAACACTCTGGTTCAAAAGTTTTTAAAATGATAGTAAAGTTAAATATCAATGTAAGTTATAGCATAAGAATACATTAGATTATGAGTGCCAAAATGAACAGTGGACCACTATGAGAATAAATTGTTGTGTGCTATGATGGTGCAAAACCTCTTCATCATGAAGAGGGAAAATGCATTAGGTTTAAAGGACAGGTAGTATTTGGGGAGGCTGAGGATCAAGTGGGAGCTATGACAGGTAGAAGAACTGAACTGGTAAGAACAAGGGCAGGGCACATGTGGAGATGAGGAGAGGGCTGATGGAAGGAGGAGAGGACCCACAGGAAGAATGTTTCTGGAATTATCTTTAGAAGGACTACCACTTTATTTAAAAATAAACAAACAACCAACAGGGTAAAAGATTGCTTTGCTTTTATCTTTAAAGTAATGGATTCTTTTCAACAATCCCTGTTCATAGTTTTAGGGGGATTCAAGAAATGGTAAAGATTCAGAATAGATGGTGGGATAAAATATTCTGCCCCTTTATCTTGTTCTTTATATGTTACCTTCATGGCATTCCACATAAGTAGTCCTGGGGAAGGCATCATTTAGGACAGAACCTCCCTTAAAAGTGGCTTCTGGGAATAATAAGCCTCCTAGCCCACTTCAAAGCCTGCTTTAGGGTGCTCACTGTCACACCTCAGTGAGGTTAGCGAGTCAGATTAATGCCAAGACACTAATGCTATTGTTCTTGGCAAATGGAACAGCACTAAAAGAACCTGATATACATAATTCTGTTTTGTGGCTTCTTCAAGGTACTGAATCAAGAAAACACACCCTCCCAGCTGACTTAAAAGCAGTAAGTCATTCCGACATACTAGGTTCAAATCTGAGTCAGAAGGGTGATGACAGACAGCTGCTGGTGATGCTTCTCTGGTCTGAGCAGCTTTCAGTTGTACTACTGACCAATATGTTCCATCTAGTAAGAAGAATCTAGAGAGTCACTGTGTGTTTTGAAACCCTACTCTATAAAAGAGAGCAGAAAGCATGCAAGAAACAGAATACATTTCTTGGCTTACTGTGGGGCCTATACTACGATTTGCACTGAAACAATTAAAAACCCAACTTACACTGAATTTCTTAAAATCCAAAAATTTCTACTTGTGATTTAGAAAAGGTAGAAATAATATATTCATAACTTTGCATATATCACCATCCAGCCTGACACTGTAATAGTCAAAATATAAAGATCAATAAAACTTTTCTCTGATTATAGCACACTGTCAAAGTTACCAAGGACAGTGATTCAGTTTTGTTTGCATGTTTCCAAAGAGTTGCACATAAAGAATTCTACATTTAGAAACATTAAATTGATGAGCTTTCCTATTCGTTCTGCCCACAGACTAAATTAATCCTATGACTACTGGTGTAATACACTCTTAGAAGGTAACAAAACTTTCTAAAAATGCTTACTTAAAACATGGTAATAGTAGAAAAAGCACTTTTTACCTTTTCAGTAATAATGCGGTTGACACATTGCTTTCCAGTCAATGGTAATGTACATTTCTCCATGATTTTATGTGCATTTCCCTGTTTTAAAAAGAAAACATCAAAAAGAGTAGTTAGGGAGCAATTTTTATTTAGAATTGGCATAACTATAGGATAAACAGAAACTATCAGAGAAATTGTCTCCTAAGTAAAGACTCTTTCAGAATTTTTGCACAGTTACATTTTTTACTCTTTTTTTGGAGGCAGCTTCTGTACCTGCAATAATTTAGAGAATGCCAGATGAATGGCCAAAGGCAGAAATGATTTAATTGGGAAACATCCTGCCAGAAATTTGACTTCTCAAGCCTCAGCCCTTGTATCATTTGAAGTGAAATGTCACTAATATCCTGATTATTTTTCCCTTCCAAGGAATGGTCTCCTTTAAAAATGTGAGCAGATATCTGCGCAGGATGCAAAGCACATACAGAACACAAATGCGTAAGTCCTCTTCTTAAAAAATACTTTATCTGTTAAAAAAGTAATATGTACATGGAAAACAGCAGTGCCTTGCCTCCCTTCCCCACTCTTAGACTTGCTCTTAACTGGAATCCATTCTAGTGTGTTTTTTGGTTTTTTTTTTTTTTTTTTTTTTTTTAGCATTTTCTTCTAGGTTTCTACACATTTTCTTCTTATATCCACTTTTAAAATACTATGTTTACCATGCTACTTCTTGATTAATCAATTTTAAACAGTATCTATTCATTTCCTATTGTGGCAGAGGAAGACTTAAGAAAAACTAAAAGTGGAAAAAATGTTTTCATTCATTGACTCCCTCCTCCAGCCCCTCCTCCCACCTGCAATGTAGAACTGGCCTCTGAGGCATGTCTGAGGAACACAGTTGAAACATTGGCTCTGAGGATCTGATCTTCAGATCATTTTCTTCTGTTCATGATTAAGCTACTTTTTAAGAGTCAAGCACCAGGAGCCTAAATTACTGTCTCCCTTGGGGCTGATAGCTACTCTAACATATTCTAGATCTTCTCCAAAAATGACAAAATGCTTTTATTGCTTTCTTTTGGATCTAATGTACCACATGTGACGCCACTATCGTCCTTAGCCATCTCAATGTTTTACCTGCTTAAATGCACACCTACTATCTAGTTTATATCTCTCCCAAAACTGGTGTCAGGCTAAGTATATGGGCAGAGGCTATGAATTTCAGATAGGTGGACTCCATTAAGATTTCATTCCTTGTGATAGCCTGCCAACTCAGCAATGCACTAGTAATTAAGGGGCTTTAATGTACTTAAGCCAGTTCAGGGAATAAAAGACATTCAGTAGTTTTTGAATAAAGGCATGTAAGAATGAATGGGAAGAGAAACAGAGGTAAATTGGGAATCTTGGATAGATTTTTAAAAAAACTATTACTTTAGTTCAGACAAAACTGGTGCTAAATACATATGAAGTAAGTTGACATAACACCTTTTAAAACAATTCATATGTTTCCAGATCTTACTGTATATGAAAATTTATAGTTGCAGAAATAAAGCTTCATTTTCACTTCACTTCTAATTATTTTTCTTTTAAAATTTCAAATTCTGCACGACACAGAAGCTAAATTAATTAAACAGCTGAAATTAATGACAAATATTCGAACTTCTACAGTTGTCAGGTCTCCTTACATTTAATATAAATCAAGGCATGTCACAATGAATTCTGGGCCTGACTTCAAACAAACTGAACTATCTGCCAGCCACTGAAGAACATTTTCTGCAAGGAGCTCTTACTTAGTTCTCATTATTTGAGCAAGATCTACATCTGGCATGAGAGCAGCCACTTGGATTTTAATGAACAATCAACTTCATTTTAGGAGGAATCAAGGATTTCAACTGACAGAATTGGCTGTGCCCTACCAATGGAGACCTTTTTCTAGACCATTCTCTGCATACACACTATAGCATAGTGGTTAAGTGCATGGGCTAGAGCCAAAGGACCTGTGTGTAAAACCTGGCCATGCCCCCCACTGTCTCTGTAAGAGCCACATGCCCATGCTTCTCCATCCACCCTACCTTGAAAGATTAGATAAGTTCTACATGAAATGCAAGGGTCCAGCACTTAGTGCTTAATGAATGTTAGCTGGTACTGTTTTTAATACAATCCATAATTAATATTTCTAAAACCTGCGAGGAAATTAAGTTCCTATATGAAGTCTGACAGAGGATTATGTAGAAAATGGCCTAAATACAATTCCTGAGACACATAAAACTAGTGAAAACACAACACAAATTTGGGGGCAAACCATATGGCTCTCCTAAGAAACTGGCACCAAATGTATTCCTGTTAGAACAATGGAGCTAGATGATTCCATTCACATTTATAGTGCCAGGACATAACACAGATCAAGGAAAAAGAAAATGAGATGCAGAAAGATTTTAAAATGTCACAATTTCAATATTCAATAAAAGGTTAGCTATGAAACCAAAATATGACTAGCTCCCATGTTAGCACTCTATTCTAAATATGCTGGGCTGAGCCCTACAGTATGCTATGGCAGCTGCATATATTAGTGACTCACAAAGGAGGAACAAGTGCTGAGGTTTTAGCATTTAAAAATAAATCCTAGTAAAGGAATGCAGTATGGTGTGGGAGCAAAGAGCACTCTACTAGGAGTCCAAAGACCAGGTTTGTAGTCTTAGTTCTGCCATACAATTTTTGTGGTCCCTTAAATTCTTTGTGCCATAGTTCTCTCTTATCCTTTGCTTTATCCTCCTTACCTGATCATTGTAGGAATCAAATGAAATGTTCTGAAACTGCAATAAACTAGGGTGGGTTGAATCTAGGTGCAAATATACAGGGTTACGCGGATCTCATTCATGCTTATATATTGCATTTCTTTCCTTCCTCATGAAGGGTTGTCAGAAAAGGCAGAGAAATAGATACAAAGCATAGCATTAAAAATGCTTTGTGCATGGTGGCATGGGTCACACCTGTAATCCCAGCACTTTGGGAAGCTGAGGTGGGAGGATCACTTGAGGCCAGCAGTTCTAGAACACCCCAGGCAACATAGCAAGACCCTATTTCTACAAAAATTTTAAAAGTTAGCCAGTTGTGTCTGTGCGTGCCTGTAGTTCCAGCTACTCAGGAGGCCAAGGTAGGAGGACTGCTTGAGCCCAGGAGGTTGTAGTAAGCTATGCTCATGCCATTGCACTCCAGCTTGGGCAACAAAGAGAACTGGTCTCAAACAAACAAACAAAAACAAACAAAAAAAACTGACTAGTCCTGAGGCTCCTGATTTCAATATGCCCTTACTTATTAACTTCATCACAACCTTTGGTGAACATCTACCTTCTTTCCTGCATCAGCTTCCCTAATCTTTCTCTTTCTCCTTCAGCGCTTACAGGACTTGAGCAATACATAGGGTAATTCACCATTTTCAAGTGACTAAACACTCTAGTACTTTCTATTGCTTGCTTCTTGGTGATCTCTTTAATTCTTTAGATGTCTGAATAAAATCCTGGGCCTAAGTTCTGCAGTATTAAACAACTCTAGTTAAATAGTAATAAATCCCTTTGCTATCATAACAATAAGTTTCATGTTATTGCAATGAACTTAATCCCAAATCCAAATAAGCTCTTTATCACAACAGAATGATTTCTTGCATTTCATGTCAATACATTCACCTGAAATCTTTAAGACTGTGCTTTATACAAAACCTCATTTCATGCTCATCTTTTCTGTTAAGTGCTTGTTAAATGTGGCTGCAATACACACACACACACACACATAGACACACACACACACATAGACACACACACACACACACACACAGACACACACGTGTGCACGTATTTTTTCTCTCAGTACTTTCTTTGGCAAAGCCCTAATGATCAACTACAGAGAAGGCAAGTTCTGGGATTTGCCTGCTCCTAAAAAGACCAAGCCTTTCAGCTTTTGTTCATGCTGCCTGTTAGCTGGAACACATACCACCACATACCTCATCACCCCAGATTCAAACGGCAACACCCTTCCTATTCAGGAGTTGGCTCAGACACCATCTTCCCTAGGAAAACCTTCATCCAGCATCCTCATCTGGTGCTGCAGTCATGTTCCCATGGGTGTCCCCAGTGTGTGGCCCTCCTAGGTGCTCCTGTGCTTCCTCCTCCCTTCACATGTTGACCTCTTGCCACCACCTCCATTAGATGCTGAGCTCACTAAGCTAAGACTATTTTTCTTCATATGTACAGCCATGAGTAGAACATTAGGCAAACTACAGTGATCAATAAAGGCTGCATTTCTGATTCAAGGAACTCCAGAGGGGAGCTATAAAATGCCATGTGACTAATGTCTATGGACCACTAGGGGCTGCCTTTCTAGTTCTAAGATAGGTACTCGTACATTCCTAGTATCTCTGAGCTCACTAGAAGCAGCACAGCTAGCAGAAGCACATGACGGGGCTTATAAGACTTTGGGAAGACAGATAAAGGTGTGATAAAAGGAAGCAGCAAAGACACTTTAGGACTGTAGCCCAAAACATACAAATGTGAAAGTTAAGAGAGAAACAGTGAATTATAGTTATTTTACCTCTTCCACCTGCTCCCTTCTAAAGCTTAAAGGCACTTGCCATAATTTGCTGAAAAGAAGGACTACAAGGGCTTCTTTTAATTTAATATTCTTGGCAAGAGAATATTAAATACTTTGTCTGGTAGAACAAGGAAGCCAATGGCAGGTCTATCTTTGGGCTTGCCAAAATATCATGGATGAAGCCTGATTATCAACACCCTTGCTCTTTCCTTCTCCCACTTAATCTCAATGCTTAAATCAAGCATACCACATACACACACAAATACAATAATGGGAAATGCTGTATTACAAAATACATGACTGTCACATCACTATAACTGATGTAGCTGGATTATTTGTAACACAAAAGATACATGCTTGAGAAGATGGATACCCCATTCTCCACAGTGTGATTATTTCACACCATATGCCTATATCAAAACATCTCATGTACCCCATAAATATATTCACCTATTATGTGCCCACAAAAATTAAAAAATTTAATTTTTTTAAAAAAAGAAAAGAACTGGATTTGCTAAATAAAGAAAATCAAGGTACACAGAATAAAAGGAAAGAATGAGATTACTCACACTGCATTTGTCCTCATGGGATATGATTGACCTTTATACAGCGCCTACACTATAGGGTTTCCAACAATCCACTCAGGACTTCAGTAGAGAGACTCAGCTAACTTAGAAGCAGAGAACATTTGCTATTACAAATGATATGTGGAGGTAATATATGGAGGTAATAAAAGTTTGTGGTTACAGGTATATTCTCAAGGGGAAGACTAGCCAAATGAAACAGTAGATACAGCAAGCCATTTGCCTGAAAAACGGTCTTCAGGGTTTTGAGATCTTAGAATAGAAGGCCCCTTATACACTGTATCATATACATTTCTTGTACACTGTATCATAAAAATCATTATCATAGACATACTTATTTTTTCTAAAGGTTGCGTCCTATGATCTCTAACCTCCAGAGGGCAGAGCACAGAAGTCAGCAGGAATTACTTTCTCTTTTCATTCATGAACTGTTGTGGTACCTTAGAAAGCCTCTGTTAGCATTAGTTTTCCTTTTTATTTTAGAAAATGTGGAGACTTGTGCACATAAATGCAAAGCTAAAGAATTTAAAGTGATAAGGTTAATTAAATTCTGTAACACATTTTAAAGAGTTTTACTAGTTGTTGGACTGTGTTCTGCTTTTTTTCTCCCATTTTATAACGTTTTTGCAGGCATTTCTATCATAAAGGAGAAATAAAAAGGCAAAACCATGTAAGGATTTATAGTTTTTAAAGGTGAATTTTTTTTCCCCAAACAGAACCTGGCTACTGTATATTCTAATTGAAGCTAGGAAAGAATTATACGCTTTTATAAATGAGAAAAAAATTAAGCTAGCTGAAACTCTTATTAATTATGAATTCTCCTAAGAAAAGAATACTTTCATTTTGAGCTACTTTTCAATGTTGCTGAAAATTATCTGAAGGATGTCTCCCAAGAAAGGGTTTTCCTTAAAAAGCCTTCATATTTGTTGGCTTTTGATAACACATTTCATCCAAAATAAGCAGGATTAATAAACTCCATTTACCTTTTATAATTCTTCTCCACAAAAAGTGAAGTCAAGATAAGATAGCTTTCAGCTCTATATGAGACCTGTGCTATAGACACAGATTAAAGGCTGAAATGAAAAGATACTTGACTATAATTTGAATCAAGGTGAAGAAATAAAGAACAGCAGGAAAGGTAAATATAAAAGGTCACCTAAAAGCAAATATTGGTACACATAAAGGTACATACATAAATATAACATTTCCTTTACAAGACTGTAAACACAGTTGCATAAAACAACAATTATAAATATGTTCTGATGGGCAGATGAGTATAAAGATCGCTACAGTTTATATGACAAAGGCAGCACAAGCCAGGAGAGAGTGAGTGAAGCTATATGAGTATACTTTTTAACACTAATAAGCTTAAGGTAATCCAAATTAAAAAACACAAGGTTTATTCTTTCATTCACCAGGTTTATTCTCAACTTCATAACAATTATTCTTTTTATCCCTTCAGAATCCAGACCTCCTATTGTAATACAAAAATCTAAACCTGTTTTAGTAATAGAGTTCTCATTTTGTCTCCAAAATTAAGAAACCAAGCTTTGTTTGTTGCCATTAAATGACAACAGTAACTGAATTCCTTTGTTTTTGTGGTCTGAAAGTTATACTTAGGAACACGTTTCCCGTACATGATATTGAGAACAAAACAGATTCTTCATGTTGTTAGTGGTAATGGTGCTTGCCAGCAGAAAAGCTTAACAAAAGGAAAAGGAAGCCCAGAGGCAGAATGCATGGACTCTGGGCTTGGTTTTACTTTTTATTTTATTGGGTTACTTAACCTCTATGAAATTCTGCCTCTAGAAAGAAAATATCAAGAACCATCTCATGAGAGGGTTATAATGATAAAATGGAGACAGAAGCATGTAACAACTTGGAAAAGTTAGAAGTGCTTTCTATATGTTCAAGGTGGATTACTTGAAAAATTAATTCAACAAGTATGTATTGAGCCATGATGTACATAAGGCTCTATTCTACTCGGTGCTTATAACAGAGCCCCTGTCTTCATGGAGTTTGCATTCTGCTGAAGAAGGGGGAGAAAGGATCGTCTGAAGACGGAAGAGTTCTGTTGTATATAATAAGGTAGTCAAAGAAAGCTTCTCTGGTATTTTGAGTCTGAGTGAAGTGAGGCAGTGAGCCATGTGGATAGCTAGGAAAAAGTATTCTAGGCATAAAGAATAACAAATGCAAAGGTCCCAAGGCAAGATATTCTTACGATGTTCTAGAAACTTTCAGGAAGTGAGTGAGGGTGAAGTTAAGTGGGCAAGAGAGATAACAGATTCAGAGAGGCAGTTGGGGTGGCAAAGCAGGGGGAGTCTACAAACCATGGAAGTCTTGGAGACAATAGTAAGGACTCTGGACTTGAATCTAAGTGAGATGGGAAGTCATTGAGGGTTTTTGAGCTGCCATTGAGGGTTTTTGAGCCAACAAAGAAGTAGCATGATCCCATTTACATTTTGGCGAAAAAAATCACTCTGGCCACTGTGTGTGTTTAAGTGTGAGTATATTTTTTCCCACTCAACCTTTCTCGCTTTGTTCTTTGACTAGAGGGACCTAATTATAAATCTCTTAACATGCACCATCCTCCCACACACCAGTGTCTATTCTTTTATTTCCTGCAACACTTAATCCCTGTCAAGCTGCCCCATCCCTCAGATCTCCTGCAAATACTCCATACATCCCATGGGAAGCCTCTTTGTTGCTCCCCAACAATGGAACTGGGAATGAGATGCCAGGTTCTGCAGGCTCTGCTTTGCTCACCTTTCATCTTAAGTACTGATTTCCATGACTCTGCCCCCATAAGACTGGGCTGCCTGAAGGACCATATCTTTTTTCATTTCCTCAGAGCCTATGATAGTACTTTGTACATATCAAGTCCTCAGTAAATATTTTATGTCTGAATAAACAAGTAAATTAACATACTCAGAAGGTAATTTTACCAAAATTCAAGACAAAACATCAAAGAATATTCCTTTGGTCATTCACAATGTCGAGAGGACAGAAGGAACTAAACCAGCAAATTCATAAAACATTGGCTCATTCATCTATGATTTTACAGAGGTAGGAATAAGCCAGATAAAGAGGGAGTGGGCACTGAATGTACAAACACCTAAGAATGGGAAACACCATGATGCCTTTCTGTAGATCTTAGTAGACCTTAAGTTCTGCGGGCAAGGATGAGATAGGCTGCTGGGGAGCGAATCGCAAAGGCAGATGGGCTAAGTAGAACCAAGCAGTGTTGACTATGTTTACAGATTTTAAATAGCAACAACTTCATCTAGCTTTAGTTTTAGACTAGTCAATCTGGCAGTCGTGTGCTTGATTACCAGGACGTAGGGGCAGTCAGCAGTCAGGGACCTTTGGAATGCTGCAGTAGTGATCTATGCAGATGTAAAGAAGGCCTTAACAGGGATAAACAGAGTAGAAATACATAGTGGGGAGCAGACTACAAGAGTCACATTGATGCAATATTTATAGTGCTTGGTGTACGTAGGGGTAGGGGCAGAGAGGGACCATGGATGCCCTGCCAAATGATAACTGGGAGATCATCACTTCTCTAGTTGGGCCAAATAAGCAGAACATATTTAGGGGGAATGATGATTTAGTTGGCAAAATTTGTTGCAGATGAGGTGGCTGTGGAACAACCAGGTGGAGTTGTGTAATAGGAAGTTAGAAATATAGTTCTATGGCTGATCAGAAGATTCTAGTGTGGAAAAATGATTAAGGAGCCACTGAGTGAAAAATAGTACTTGGTACCAAAGATTCAGATGGCACCTTAGAAGGCTGCAGAGCAGAGGGCATTATAAAGAGTTCTGGAGGGAACCCATAAAGGAAGGAATGGGGAATCTATCTATGGATACAAGTGGTGGAGGGAGCCACTGAGTGAAAAATAGTAGTTGGTACCAAAGATTCAGATGGCACCTTAGAAGGCTGCAGAGCAGAGGGCATTATAAAGAGTTCTGGAGGGAACCCATAAAGGAAGGAATGGGGAATCTATCTATGGATACAAGTGGTGGAGGCAGCTCTGCAACCCGCAGCACATGGTTTACAGGTTTGTACCCAAGGCTGCTGCTGCAGTCAAGGCCTTTATCAGACAGAGGGGGCATAGAAAATTTAATGCAATTGGCTTTAACTTTAAAGACATACCTCAGAAATTACATACATCATAAATACTCAAATCCCACTGACCCAAACTTGGTAGCATGGATGTATCTATGCACAGGAAGGCTAGGAAATGTAGCCAGTCACTGGGTTTATCTGTGTGCCCAGATAAAACAGGGAGGAGTCTAATGCAAAAAGGAAGAAATGGAGATAGGTATTAGAAGATATAATTAGATTTTTGGATTATTTTCTTTTAAACATATTGCTGATGTAAGTCTCACCTAAGCAAAGAGAGCTTTGTCCAGGGAAAATGAAAAAAAAAAAAAAAAACCTGAAGCTTCCTGAAAGGGCAGATGTGGGTGGGACGCTGGTGCAGAGGTAGCTTTGTGAGGATGTGGCATGGTGCAGTATGAACACAGGCTGCACCACACTGAATCAAATTCCAGCTCTGTCACTTTCCTGGATAAGCTTCTTAATACCCATATCTCAACCTTACTTCAGAGGATCAATGAGATTAAGCATATGCAGTGCCAAGCACAGCACCTCCACCTGGTAAGGACTCAGATTGTTACTCCTTTCCTTTCTTCACATTTTTAAAGGGCAGAAGATAAGATATACCTAGAAATGAAAAAGAAGCTTAAGAAGAAAGGTGGCTGGACACCAAAAAAAACTTTGCCTACTTCAAAACTTTGCCTGTAACTCTGATGTCTAGGCTCAAATGAAAATCAAGTTACAATGCCAGTCTGACCCGTGTGCCTGACATACGTTGCAGAGGTAGTCTGAGGGCAGGTGTTACTCCAGAGCAGCACCCGTAGGTAGCCAGGTCTCAGGTTTTAGAAGCTGCTGGAGTCTGAACTAAAGGCAGTAACTGGTTGCAAGAGTTTCCTTTGTCTTATTAAAACAACAACAAAAAACACATTTTTACAAAGCCAAGCAATGCTATATTTATAAACAACCTGCAAATTAACTGTAACCCTATCGATAAGGAAATAGATAGCCCTACCCGAAAACCAGTTAATAGCTCTATCCACTTACAGAAAAAACAAAACAAAACAAACAAACAAAAAAAACAGCAAAACAGCAGCACAAGAATACAAGACTATATTTCTCAGGTTTTAATCCTTCTTTGCAAACTTTACTCCCATGTCTTACAAAACTCTAGAGATTGCTCCCCTAGGCTGTTCACTTAATCATAAGGCAGCAGAAGTTACCTGGCATATCTAAAAGAACAGATTCTTAACTGAAGAGATTACCAGGAGTGAAAAAACTCTCTTCCCTACCTCTTTTCCAGCTCTTCTCAACTTTTAACCAAAGCAAAAGATGCAAAAAAGAAATAGCAGGTTCCCTGTCTTCCCTTGAGCTGGGCCAGTAACCATGAGTCCAGGTGAACAAAATAGTAGCAGCTACATATTCGAGAGCCACAAGTAAAATGTGTGAGAAGAGAAACTGTTGATTATTTTTCAAAGGTTAACTGTTTACTGTGAATAATTCATTACTATTATTTTAATCATAAGTACATTGTTTTATTGGTTTGTTGAAATGAAACTATCTACGGAAAAATACCTCATTCCAATTCTGTTTTAAAACTCAGTGCTAATTTCCCCACTGAGAGAAGGAAAGAAGTAAAAAATATGATCTTTCTTCTGTGGAAAGCTTTAATAAGATATTTCTAGTCTGAAGTTGGTGGCATCATTTATTTTCCTCTATCAGAAATTCCAGCTGAGGAGAAAGAAAGGACTTGGGTGGAAGAAAAGAATTTGCAAAATATAGGCCTAATGTTTTGAAAACAAATACACAAAAATAAACTAAAATAAGTTGAACTTCAGTGCCTTCGTGTGTCAATATTAAGGTTCACAACAAAAAGAAAGTCTGAAAGAGTTTTTTCCAAATAGACATTATTTTCCAGAAAAGATTTGGATTTGATTTGCATGCTTGGCATCCTCTTGCCTCTGAAATGAAGTATTTTGGATGCTTTGCAAGGCATTCTCAGAAGTCACCTGTGCTGGTACCATTTCTATTATTCCATATTTATGCACCACTGCTCACCTCCCACTGTTTACTCAATTTATGATAACACATATTTATAGCTGTTTTCACAACAAAATCATTTTGTGGCATACATTTCTCTGTAACCAAACTTTCCCAGGGGAAGCAGGTGGGATGTGAATCTTCTAGTTCCGTGCTTTAACATAATGCTGCATCACTAAACAAAAAGAGGGCAAATGAACTGTCATTTCCACTCAGATTAGCAGGTCTCAAAGTGAGAAGAGGTAGATTTTAAAACTAAGAATGATAAAGAATAAAGGAGGATGAAGAGAAGGCAAAGAAGATGAAGAAAGCATTCAATATCAACTTTTAAAATCAGTAGAAGCCAATGGGTTCAGGTTAGGAAGGCAATTAAGCTCAGTTCGTCCAAAGACACTGAGTCAGGAACAAGGAAGAAACTTACACTGATAGTTCCTTGGTGAGACAACTGGGCTTTGGAATCAGAGACACCAGGTCTAATCAGAGTTCTACTAGTTCTAACAGAACTTCGGGCAAGTTACTTAACCTCTCTAAAGCTCTGTTTCTGGACATACTAAGAGCACTTATATCAAGTTCATGGGCCCATACATATACACAGAGCTTGGTGTATTCTTGGCACACAGTAAACACTAAAAAATGGTAGCTATTATTATTGCAATGTGAAGGAAGAGGAAAAAGACTGAATGTAAGCTTCATGAGATCAGTAATTTTTGTCCAGTTTTGGTCACTGCCACATCCTAGCATGCCTAGCATGTAACAGGCACTCAAATATTTAATGATTTATCAAAATAAAAGTATAATACCTTTCAGAGCTATCACCTAGTCCATTATTTTGTAACATCTTCTGGATACGGCACCTCACAGCTTTGAGGGCCATATGGTCCATTTGAAAATAACTGTTGTTAAGATGTATGTTCTGTTGTGGCTTTTCATTTCACGCACAGATAGCAACCACTATAATCATCTTAAAACCTGAATCAATACATCCATACAGACATCTTTTCACTTCCTTTGGAGATATTAAAGCTTTTACTTTTAATATGTATGCATAAAGCTTTTACTTTTAATAGGTATGCAGGACAAATATTTGAAGAACATGCTGATGTTTGGTTTCACTCAAAGTTAACCATTTAGCTAAATAAATAATAAGTAACTGTTTTTGTCATCTTTCTCTCTCAAATGTAAATGCTATCACCTTGAATGAGCCAGAGAAAATAAAATCCACAGTTAGGTGACCTGGTGGTACACTGGGTTTTGATGTATTGCAAATTTCCAAAAGCAGTATTTGGGGAGCACAGTACATGTTACCTTTGCAGAATGCTCCATGGTGACCACCACTTTGGTTTTCGCACTGGACACTAAATCCATAGCACCTCCCATTCCTTTCACCATCTTCCCCTGCAAAACAAAAAATAAATAGCTCTGTATCTTTCACTTCTTTTGTATGTGACAGAACAAAATTAACTTGCAAAAATAAGCTACTAGAATCATTAAAAACTCATTGTCCTTCATTGCTTAGTGCTTGAAGTTCTATAACCTAATATTCTGTCACTCTATTATTCTGTGGTTGAAGGATAAAGTTCAGGATAAACATTACATCACTTTTATTAAGTGTGGCTAATATGATTTTCTTGACATTTTAGCAATAAGACAATCAGTGGATTAAAAAAAATTAAAAACCTTTCCAGAATTCTGGGACATTACTATTATTACACTATCAGATTGAAATCCAAACACCCCTGACATCCACTTCTTTTTAAACACAATCAACTCTACTGAGTCTTCAATTAAGGGCACTTTCTAAAGTACTCTTGGATTTCCTGCAGATTAAAATTCCATTATGTAGTAGTAGGCTGAGGCATGAATGGTGTTTTTCTAGTAATGGCTAATATGAAAGGTGGCTCTGTCTTTCTAACACTTGGCATTTATCTTGCGCTTAGAAAAATAAAATAAAAAACATTCTTGCTAAGCAAAAACAGAACACAGAAACAGAGTTCAGGATCATTTCACCATTATCATTCTATTTTTGATCATCTGGCCATCCCTTCATTCATTATACTTTTACCAACCACCTTCTATGTACCACATGCTCTGAAAAAGTCCATCCGTCTATTCTGTCTCCTGCTTACAGAGTTCTGGAAAAAGCAAGTGTTTCCAGAGATGATAAAATGATTCTTACTCAAGTATATTGAGGAGAAATGTCTTTGAACTGAAACCTCCTTAAAATTTTATTTATTTTTTAGCCCAAGTCCTCTTGCTGATTTGCCAGTAAAGTCTTAGAGGGCTCTTAGCTCCTTTCTGATAATGTTAGAGCTATAAGGAGATCAAGAAATGCACACAACATGGCTTTAAAACACGGTCTCGAATTCCATGATTTTGGAGACATTTTACAGGTCAATGAAACAGAACATGAACATGAATTAGATGAGCAGTATGAAGAAAAGAAGTAGTCACCACATTTTTGTGGTTTGGAATCTGTCAGTAAATAAGATAGATGGCAGCTGGCAACAGCTGGGGGACAAGGGATGAGGGTGGCAGGGGAGAGAATGCAGAGTACAAAATGAGCCTGGTTTCAGACCGTTTGAAGCAGAACATAATGTGGAAATGCATACTTTTAAACTTCTATAAGCAATGCCTTCATTCTTAGCTGCAACCCTAATAAACTGGGGCCAATTTATTAAGTTGGTCATAATATTTCTGTAGAGAACATTGATATCGTACAAAATATAAATAAGTCAGAGATGGAAGCAATCAATGCCTATCAAATTCTAATGAGAAAGTTTGAGATTTGTAGAGCAACAAAAGACACTAAAGCAACCCTATGATAAAATGTGTCAATCTGCTATGGTAAGAACATCCAGGCAGTCTCAGTTTCTATACATAGTGTCCTTGGCAGACTGAGGGGGCGAGCGCTGGAAGAATGAAAAGGCAGCAGCCAAAGAAAACCAGAAACCAAGCTAGAGAGTTAACAACTCTTTGAATTAAAAAAAAGTCCCTGAATTAGAATATACCACAGGCAAATTCTGTCCCCTGTGACAAAATGGTTACATAGGTAAAAACTTATGACAGCCTCTAACAAGAAGGAAGCCTGCCCAATTTAGATGAATCTGATTTATACATTTTAAATTACTGTCAATTAGTTTAGAAATATGTATAGAGGCCCTGCAGGGTACAAACCAGTGTGCTGGCAAGAATATAACACACTATGAAACATGGTAGACCAAGCATGTCTGTTTTTGTTAAAAACACTCTTGACTCAATATAAGTGAATAGCCTTCACTCAAAGAGATTCAGCTGGCTTGATGTCTCATTTCCAAAGCACATGTTACAACCTTTAAAGCACTATTTTGATTCTTAAATTTAATGCTTGTTTCCAAGAGTGAAAAATGCACAAGATTAGATGCAGAACACCTGAGATCTAGCCTGTTAACTATGAGTCAATGGCAAAACACCAAATCTCTCTGAATTTGTGTTCATTATCTGTACACCAGGAATAAGAATATCTGTCCTACCATAGAGCTGTGGTGAGCACTGTATGAGATGATGTATGCAAACGTGTAATAAATAGAGTTTATAAATGTATTCACTTATCTTCAATCAATTCAACTTACTGAATGTCTAGTATAAGTGTTGCTGTATACTAGGGTGCTAGAGTCAGATCAAAACAAGGTCCTTCTCCTGGAAAAGCTTGTTGCCTATGGAAGGAAAAGTATCCATGAATACTAAAAGACTCAGACTACACTTCCTTCCTCTAAAAGGAACATTTTCACCTCTCTCTTATCACAAAGTACAGATAAGTGTCTTTTCCCTAAGCCTTTATACTATTCAGTATGTAATGCTATCACAGTGAATTTCAACTGTTCTCTTTCCCTGCCTTCCCTCTTTCTCTTCTTCTCTCCATTATAAATATTTGGATGAGTGAGTGGATGAATGAATTAAACCAACAAAGGTATAACACTGAGGATGCAACTGCTAACTGTGGCTGGGAAAGCAGGCAGGGAAGGAAGTAGCTCAGGGAGATTCCCAAATGAGGGGATTCACACAAGTAGCCCATTAGGTGGTAAGAGCAATACTGTGAAAGATAAGAGCAGTATCTTTTAATAGCATTTCTAGCAGGTCACAGGAAAACCTTCAAATATCTGGTTTTTCTGCTTTTAGTGTGTTCACTGTATTGGAAACAGAAAATAAAATGTTTCCCTCCATTTCAATTCCCAAAGGATTTCTGAAACAGTCCATTACTAAAAAGAAGAAAAGGCGTTCTATTTATACCAGGAGGAAAATAAAACAGGGTTATACAAGGCATACTCCCTGACATAAGCGGGAAATGCATCATCATCCTTCACTCCAGCTTAGCTAGGCATTCTTTTGGGTCCCCACCACTTGCATCTCCCAGATCTCTATTCCAGTTAGGGGTGGCCATGTGCCTGAGTTCCAGACAATGGAAAAAATGGAGGTGACATCTATGATTTTCAGCTCTGGCCTACAAAAATCTCTTTCATGCAGTTCATGTTTTTTCACGTTCTGCAATCTGGACGCTGACATCCAAAGCGACTTTGGAAGATGGCTGAGTTTCCTTCAGCCTTGGTCCTTAAAGGACCATCTGTTGCACAGCCCACTTCTTTGGAACTACATTGCACCATTCAAAATGAGTAAAAAAATAAGTGCACAGGGTGCTAAGCCACTCAAACTGAAGGGTTTATTTGTTACAGAAGCTAGTATGACTAATATATTAAAGTGGTGCCCAAATTATATGGAAGGGTGAGAATTCAGTGTCAAATTAGAACTGTTATAGCTGCACAACAGAAGGGGATCTGAGCAAAGCTCTTAAGGGGACATTTTACTACTGCTCCCTGAGTGAGGTGACTATGTCAGATGCTGTCCTAGGCAGAGTAATTCACCTTTCTATCCAGATGTCCAACACACTGCTTGACATTTTGCAGAGGTAAAACATGATTGCTGAGTGAATAAAATGAGTGAGTGAATGAATGGATGGAAAGAATTTTGAGAAGATGAGAGCACTACAAGTTAAGTGAATAGCTGAACAGGGGAATATAGAGTCCACCCCCATCCCTCATCTTCATCCCCAAAATTCAACATCCTAATTCAACATACAGAACAAGAAGCTGATAAAATGGGGAGATTAAGGAGCTAAAAATATATCTTTAAATAAGTCACAGAGGGAAAGTGATACTTGGGGAAAATAGGCCTATAATGAAGAAGAGCTTCTGGGAATGATTGAAGCATTGGGCCAGCATGACACAAAGTATGGCTTTCTTTAAAATCTCATCAGCAAACATACATTTCTTAAAGGATGCAACTCTAGTTCTGAAATGCGTTCTGGCTAGCATAATGGAGAGATGATTGCTGGATGCTCATTTCATAGCCAACTCATCTTTTTGCTGTTAAGGATTGACCCTGATAGCAAGTATGGAAAGATTCTGCAATAAAATGAGCTAGCAATGCCGCATGCTCCATCACAACAGTTATACAACCTTTCTAAAGATACTGATTCAAGTATCCTCAATTCACAAGTATTTACTCAGAATCTATTATAAACCAGGCACCAAGATAGGAATTAGAAATAAAAGATGAATATGATGATCCACTTTTTTCTAGAAAATAGATTTAAGCTGAAATCAATAATTTCACCTATTTTGATCCTATTTCCTAATACTAGAATTTTAAAGAAAGTAAGAGAAAAACTATTATAAATTCAGTAACATTAAAAAGTCAACACATCAAAGTAT
The DNA here is from genome assembly GCF_000001405.40 of Homo sapiens. Classification (NCBI taxonomy): domain Eukaryota; kingdom Metazoa; phylum Chordata; class Mammalia; order Primates; family Hominidae; genus Homo; species Homo sapiens. The sequence goes on from NC_000005.10 coordinate 41,766,550, forward strand.
CAATATTACATTGTACTCCAAAAAAAAAAAAAAACAACAACAACAACAGGAATTCAAGTTGTAAACATGATCTTTGGTGATATTTTAAGGATTTTACAAAAAGGAAAAATGAATGCATTTGAATGGTTCTGTGAAATGCTGTTTAAAATAAAGTACAAAACACACTGAAAATCATTCTTGCCGTTACCTTTATCATTAGTACATAAACAGTAATGGCTCATTTCCAGATGTTACCTCTAAATATTCTGGTCTTAAGTGAGAAACAATTTATAATATATAGAAACAATTTTAAAAGCATTTTAAAGTAATGCTATATGCCATAGTAGAAAGTGTGAATCTATTGGAAGTCAAAGGGAAAGATCATTGTAGAATGATTTATTAATAAAACTAGCTCTTACTGCTCAATATTAAATACCAGAACATTAAGTACCCACCTCAATCCAAATGTAAGCCTCTTTATATCTGTCTTCCCCATTATTAAAAAATGCTCTAGAAAAGAAATAGTCCTCTAAGCATGCTCCTAGCTAAAGAGTAGGAGAGAGGAAAACTGAGAAAGATAACATTAATTTAAACATATAGTAACAGGTTATAAACACCTTTCTCTAGGAAAAATAAGAGACTTAAAATTTGCCTTAGTATAGCAGTTATAGCACAGTTACATGAGAATATTTCTCTTTTCTGTGTTACACTTTCTTTTAAAAAACCAAAAAAAGTTATTTTCAAAGATTAATGGCATTTTCTAGGACAGGTGAATTGATTATGTAAACCAACTAATATGGAACGAGAAATATAATTATATTCTCTATTGTTAGGTTAGCAAAATTACTTACAATAAAAATCAGTTATCAATCATTATAAGGGCTTTTCAAAAAAGCATGTCAAAAGAGCAGTATTCTGATAAACTCAAATTTTTATTTTAATAAGCTCTCTTGTTCCTGTTCTCTCAGGGATGCTCTATGTCATCAATTAGCCCCATTGCTCCAGTTTCTCCATCCTCTCTCCATGGCTCCTCTCTGCTAATTCCCTGGAGAGAGAAAATCTTGTTTCTGCTTGACTGTGCCCTTGAAGTGAGAACTCTACTCAGTCACGTCTCTAATAGTTAATCATCTGATTGAGTAGACACCTTGTGGTGTCTACTATATATCTATCTAGTATCTAATATATATGTGTGTGTATATATATATATATATATATATATATATAGTGTCTACTATATATCTGTCTACATTCCTATATCTATCTACTGCATATCACAGTGTCTTCCATTCACTCCTTGAAATCCTCCACTTAGGGGCTTCTATGGTCCTGGTTCCTCCTACTGCTATTGAGGCTTTCAGTTTTCTACCTAGCATCCTTTTTCCCAGAACACTTTATATGTTGGCCAAATTAACAGCTCTGTCCTCAGCTCTTGCCTACTTGTTCTCCAAGAGTGACTCCATCTAGTTTCATCATATGAACTGCCCCTGTCTCTGATGAGTCCTAAAACCACATTTCCAGCTAAGGTCTTTGCTGCAAGTTTCAGACTTCGATATCCAAAAGTGTCCCTGTCACCCTGTGGCACATCCTGTTAACTGATTCCCAAAATTGTTCCTTTATTCCTGAGCTCATAGTTAGGCTACATTTTCCAGCCTTCCTTGAAGTTACAATTGGTCACATGGAATAAGTTCTGGACAATGGAAAGTGAAAGTGATGTATACTACTTCCAGGTCTGGACCATAAAACCTTGCAAGAACAATCCTCCACATTCTTCTACCTTCCGCAAACTACAAGTTGAAAATGGTGGAGCTGTAGGATGGAAGGAATCTCAATCCCTGAATTACTGCACAGAAGAGAGCTGCCTGACAATTAGGGATACTCATTTGGTTCTAGGTGAATGAGAAATAAAAACTTCTGTTATATTAATACATGCCTCAGCTCAATATGATCCAAACTAAATTAAGTATCTTCATAAAGGCAAATCTCACCCACCTGCAAATTTCCTGGCTCAGTTAATGGCCAATCATCCACCTCAAGATCCAAATCAGAAACCTCCTTGTCTCCTGCCTCTCCCTCATAACCCACATCCAATCAGTCGCTCAACTACTAAGAACTCCACTTCTCCCAACATTTCTTGAGCTTGACCTTTTCTCATCCTAGCTAAGATTCCCATGATTTCTCCCTAAAGAGTTATAGTAGTCTCCTTACTGGTCAACATGTGTCCAGCTTTGTCCCTCTCTGTCCAACTTGCAGCCACAAAAACCGCCTCTCTAAAATGCGCATCTGAATACGTTGCTCCTCTGCATAAAACCCTTCAGCGCTTCAGGGTAAAGTCCAAGCACCTCAGCCTGGCATTCAAGGTCTGTAATAACCTGGACCCTCCCCTCTTCATTTCCTCACACCCCAGTTCCCATTTCCATGCCAGGAATAGTGAGTTGCTTGTACATAGCATATGGCTCCCACATGCCTTGAGGTTTCTCCTTCATACTATGAAGTGAGCTCCGGCTTATTCTTTATGTATCAATCATGATGACTTCTCTCAGGAAGTGTTCACAGACCTCTGTCCCACGCTATCCACATGATTATTTTAGGAACCTCTCACAGCATACTTGCATATTCCCATTTTAAAATTTACCACATTATCAGCTTTAAGATCAGGGCTGATGTTGTAGTGGCAGGTAGTGACAAGGCCATACAAGTAGTTATGATCTCTCCCTTATGAGACACCTCCCTTCTCTCTAACCACCCTTCCCCCCAAAATTTAATAATTAAAAACACAATAGGGAGCCTCCAAGACCCCATGCAGCTATGACTACCAGTGCTCACATCTGTTCTCAAATCTGTTCTGATTTCTCACATCTGTTCTGATTAATCAGTGCCTGTGCCTTACCACCTAATCAAGACCACCTGTCACAGGGCCAGGTGTGGTAGCTCACACCTGTAATCTGGACATTTTAGAGGCTGGGGTAGGAGGATCACTTAAGCCCGGGAGTTTAAGACCAGCCTGGGCAATATAGAAAGACCCTATCTCTACCAAAAAAAAAAAAAAAAAAAGTCACTAGATGGGATGATGTGTGCCTGTGGTCCCAGCTACTCGAGAAGCTGAGGCAGGAAAATCACTTGAGCCCAGCAAATCAAGGCCATGCTGAGCAGCCACTGGACTCCAACCTGGTCGACAGAGAGAAACCGTGACTCAAGTAAAAAAAAAATCACCTATCACAGATGTAGGATATCATCTTGCTTATTATTATTACTATTATTATTTTTGAGACAGAGTCTTGCTGTGTTGCCCAGGTTGGGGTACAGTGGCAGGATCTCCGCCTCCTGGATTCAAGTGATTCTTGTGCCTGAGCCTCCCAAGTAGCTGGGGTTACAGGCACGCGCCCACCATGCCCCACTAATTTTTTTATTTTTAATAGAGACGGGGTTTCACCATGTTGGTCAGGCTGGTCTCGAACTCCTGACCTCAGGTGATCCGCCTGCCTTGGCCTCCCAAAGTGTTGGGATTACAGGCGTGAGCCACCACGCCCAGCCCTTGCTCATTAGACTATGAGCCCTTTGCCTTCCCTGTTCACCTTCAACCCAGTGCAGTTGCTAATACATGATAGCTTGTTTTCACTATGTATTTAAGTAAACTGAATTCCATCTTCAAGTTTGTTTCTAAAAAATACAGAATCAAAAAGATATTAAGGTGTACTAATGAGAGTAATCAAAGCTAGGGACATTACCTACAGAGAAAATGATAGCAAGAAGAAAAAAAGAGGTGGCTAAAATAAAATGTAAAATTAAAACTTCACCTCAGGAAGTTGCAAAGCTATAGAGAAGAAAATATGGTGTCCTTCAAAATTGACCCTACTAAGGACATTTTTTAAATATCTTCTTCAGGGCTGAATGTTAAATAAATGTTATTTAATACATATCTGAACTACACTGAATTTGCTTTTTCAAGTGGGGAGAAAAATCATTTATAAGACACCCAAGGAAAAGTCCTAAGAAACTGGATACCCCAACTATTAATCATTAATTAAGCATCTACTTAATACCTGTTAGGTGTTCTGTGCTTTTCACTAAGCATACAAAACTCCTGCTTTTAATAGCTTATAGGTCTTGAATGCCCTCTCAATGTTTCTGAGGCCAAATTAAATAAAAAATGCAAATTCTAAAATCCTAAAACTACCACTTCTGTTTTCTTTCAAATATTCACAAAGGGTAAAATCCATTTTTATAAATTCCACTATAATAAATATAACTAACAGAACCACTGATGTGTATCAATTCAAAATGATTTTATGATAATTGTATACATTAGATTTGATAAATGTGCTATTTTCTGACTCCAGGCAGAATATTTGAAAATAAAAAATTACTTTACAGAAACTATCTATACTAGTTCATACCAGAAACTATACCAAAACCACATCAAGTTTCTCTAACACATTGTCTATTGCAAATGAACCTGAACAAACAAAAATGTAAGTGAAACTCACTTTATTACCATGATCAGAGTCTTCATTCATCTATTGTAAGATAGTCCAGACAAACCACTTTATGCAGGTTAGAAAATGTCACAAATGTAATAGGTTTGATTCTTAAAGAAATCAATTAACTTCAAATAAGAAAAATGAGTTCTGTTCCTAGCTATTAATTACACCAATTTCTCTCATTTTGTAAAATGTAAATACCATTCAAGAGGGTCTCCATAGTTCACTTATGAAACCTCATTGCTCCAAGAAAAAATTCCAATGCATACAAAATTGTCATTAATTATACAAGGTAATTAACTCCATCTCTGTATAAGAAATTAATAAGTATTTATTAAGTGAACAGTTAGAACTATGAAACCAATGTATTTTCTCTTCTCAAGGTACAATCAATGTGTGACAAAGTTTTTTTTGTTGTTATTAAGGCACTTTGGATTGGTTAAGCTCTTTGTATAAGGTCACATAGACTAACACTCTGATCTATTTGTTAGATTTTGAAAATGGACAGCAAGAGAAAAACGTACTCCTAGCTCTGTTCTGAAGCTGCAGTTGCAGTTTTCATAGAGTCTATTCATAATACTACAGAGATGAAAACAAACATCAGACAATATGGCTAAGTGAATTCAGCTTGTTTTATCAGGCCTCTTACAGAAGGCATTGATGGAAAGAGCATGACCAAGTGTTTCAGGATAAATAAAAAGGTACTCTAAGTTATTTGAGTTTATTGAATATAGCTAAGCACTGGAGCTTCTGGGCCTGTATACTACCCAGAAACAGAATAAATTACATATTTAAAAATCCAGGGATAAGTTATTTTCTTCCTTCCACTGAATCGCTGAGAGAAATGCATTAGAATCATATGAAATTGCTCACATAGGAGCATGTATGACCTGCAAATACAGGAATTTCATATGGTTGGTTCAACCTATGTTCTAATGGTGAGGTTTAAATGGTCACAATTACTATCACATAATTTTTTAAAGGTTTATACTTTTAGGAGGTCTCCAATAGTCATTACAAAATAGGAAACTAAAATACAAATGGAAAAACATCATTTATGTGTCTGCATGTACTAAAATATATTAATCTCCTCAACAACTCGTTCACATGGAATATGGAATTATTACTATTTATTTTGTCATCAGGAAATACTTGTTCTCAGAAAGTTTATTTTCTGATTCCTCAAAGAGGATGTGGGTTGGTTGGGGAGAAGGGGGAGGGAATGAGAACTAGAACCATGGGCAGCACATACTTGCTCCATCACCTCCTCCCACTGTCTGCAAAGCTCTAAGAGCACAATTAGACTTAATGTAATTACACCGCCATCACTGACAGGTGGATGAGATTAAAAAAAACAAAAAAAAAAAGAGAGAGAGAGTGACTGAAAGAACATTAATAAATTGAAATCATTACCAGTGTTTTTTTCCACAATAGAAAGGATCAGAAAGTAACACAGAAGATAAATTTTAAAGGTTAAAAAAAAAGCAGTTAAGAGCAATTGCAAAAGATCATGCTATGTATAATAAATGTACGTGCCCTATTAAGCAAGTATTATAGGACTGGGTGGAAGAATACAAAGTATTTTGATTCTACATTAAATTAATAACTACTGTTTATCTCAAGATGTCCTCTGGATTCAGTTGATGACCCCGTTTAATGACTGCTTAAGTACCTACTGGGAATTAATAGCTATGACATTCACAGCAAATTGATAACTCTGTGTTGGAGTCTTAATTTGTTCTCCTGTGCAAGCCTTACTCTGTGAAATAGGAACCCAGTGCTTTTCATATGTGGAGGCAAGTCTAACCACCGGTTTGCTAAGAATGCACACCCTACTCTCAGGACAAGGAGAACCATGGGCCTCCTAGGTAACATCATTCCACACAGACTCAGTGCATGGAATGAGTCTCAGGTCTGAGTCCCAAAAGGGAAAAGCACATCCTCCTTGTGAGAATGACCCATCTCTGGAGGCAACAGAGAATGCTGAAGCACAATGTCACTCTGGGAGGGTCCTATCATCACAGGCAGGAAAAACACAGTTTCTCCTTTCAACACCAAAACCAGTTAAAAGAACGACTTTGGGCGATTTGCCACAAAGTTAATATTTTTGAAAGATATAACAGGAGATTCAAAGAGCATTAATTTCTACCTTATCTTTTTAAGTCAACAGTGCCAGGCAATCTATAAGATGGGGGAAAAAAAGTGATGTGTCTTTAGAGCAAAGTAATAGTGAAACAAAAGCTTTGGTGAAGAACTTGGTAGTGCAGAAATCAAACTATTGAGAACAGCTGGGCATGGTGGCTCAAGCCTGCAATCTCAGCAATTTGGGAGGCCAAGGCAGGCAGATCACTGAAGCCCAGGAGTTCAAGACTAGCCTGGGCAACATGGTAAAACCCTGTCTCTACGAAAAAAAAAAAAAAGAAAAAAGAAAAAAAAATTAATTAGCTGGGTGTGGTTGCATGCACCTGTAGTATGAGCTACTTGGGAGGCTGAAGTGGGAGGATCACCTGAGCCCAGGAGGTCAAGGCTGCACTGAGTCATGACTGCACCAACCAACGCACTCCAGCCTGGGCTACAGAGTGAGACCTTATCCCTTCGCAACCCGCCCACCCCCACCCCTCTGCCAAAAAAAAATGAAAAACTGAGAATAGAATAGAAAATTGTTTTCAAAGTGAAATACAAAGAAAGATCAGAAGAGGTAAAAAGCATATATAGGAATATACAAACTTTAACTCATTTCTTGATAGGCCAATGTTTCAACTCCCTGAATTTCATAGGAGACCTTTTAAATTTCTGATCTTGATGGTTTCAGTAACGTTGACCATTCATAATATCAGATATGAATGTTAAATGTGTGAAAAAACAGTGTTTTAAAATCCCTGTGAATAAAAACCCTAGTTACTTCCATTTCATTTTATAGGGACCTAAGTTAAGGTACATGTTAAAGCTAGTACATTCTCAGATGAGAAGCAGGAGTTACAGTAAGTGAGAGGACTTTATTCCTTTTACAACATTACTATATAGCTATATGACAGATATGACCTCAGTCACATTCATCTGGAACTCAAGTGTGGCAAAATACTTGGTGGTGAGGTGTAATTGCTAAAATGTCACTATTTTTAATCCTAAGAATGCCATTTTCTAGGTCTGGTATTTGGAAGAAAACACATTCTGTTGATACCACCTTGAGACCGTTATTCAGTAAGGAGTTACTTTTTTCCTCTATCCTTAGGAAAATGGTCTAAAATGGAAAGTTGTTTATTATTTAAAACTGCATGAGCATGGGTTAATATGTGTGCATATATTACATAGCTCTGTCCATTGAGAAGGGCTAGAAGCAATGATAGCCCAGTAGCAACAAGCACACCTAGCACCCAGATCTTGGTTTTCTATATGTCGTTCTCTTATTAGAGAATTAGCTTTTGAAGAAAAAGTTGACTCTAGGGGCACAAGAAATATAAGATGAGCATCTTGTAGTAGCAGAAAGTAAGGAAGTGCTCAATGAAAAACAAAAAGAATGGAAGGACAACAAAGGGGTAGACCAGCAAACCTGAAAGAGCTCCCAATGGCTATGGCTGGAACAATGTGAGCATAAAAATAAACACAGGGCCAGGCACAGTGGCTCATGCCTGTAATCCCAGCACTCTGGGAAGTGGAGGCAGGTGGATCACGAGGTCAGGAGATCGAGAGCATCCTGGCTAACACGGTAAAACCCCATCTCTACTCAAAATACAAAAAATTAGCCGGGCGTGGCGGCATGCACCTGTAGCCCAGGCTACTAGGGAGGCTGAGGCAGGAGAATCGTTTGAACCCAGGAGGTGGAGGTTGCAGTGAGCCAAGATCACGCCACTGCACTCCAGCCTGGGTGACAGAGTGAAACTCTGTCTCAAAAAATAAAATAAATAAATAAGTGAATAAATAAATAACATAAACATGGTATTGTATTACAACCAAAATATAAAACATACTTGAGAACATATTGATATAAACATATGATTAAATAAATGGGAGAGAAGAGACAAATCTTCTCTCCAGAAGAATTGCAAAATACATAATACTTCTTCAACTGTTTATACTCAACACTTCTGACATCAAATATGTGGGGTTTTTCCTTACACCACCCAATTCTGTAACCAGCTGAGTGCCCAACAATTCAACTCACTTCTGACCCTAACTACCTGGAATTAGCACAGGACCCACAAGTTAAGGATTCAGTCTTACAAAACTGCTCCCCATTTCAAACCCTGATAGCAAGTCCAGGCCACCAGTACCTCTGACGAACCAGCTATAAAGTCAAGAGGTTTCTACAACCCCCGCTCAGCTTCAATAATTTGCTATAACAGCTCATAGGATTCAGGAAGGCATTTTACTTGCTATTATTGGTTTATTATGAAGGATACAACTAAGGAATGGCCCAATGGAAGAGATGTATAGGGCAAGGTTTGAGGGCAGGAGCACAGAGCTTCCATGCTGTATGCAGGTATGCCACTCTCCCAGAGCCCTGATGTGTTCAGCAACCCAGAAGCACTTAGAATCCTGTCGTTCAGGGGTTTTTATGGACATTTCATTACATAGGCATGATTAAGTCATTGGCCATTGGTGACTGAACTCAATCTCCAGACCCTCTCTCCTTCCTAGAGATTGTGTGTGGGGCTGAACTTTCCAACCCTCTAATCATGTCTTGGTCTGTCTGGCAAACAGCTCCATATTGAAGCTACTTAAGGGCCCACTGAGAGTCACATTAGCGTAAATTCAGGTATGGTTGAAAGGGGCTTATTATGAATAACAAAATGCTCCTATGGCCCTATCGCTCAGGAAATTCCAAACATTTTAGAAGCTCAGTGTCAGGAACTGGGGATCAAAGACAAAATATATTCCTTATCACAGTTTCCCTCCAAGAGGTAGAGCTTAATCCCCCTCCAGATCTTTGAGGGTGGACTAGGTACTAAATTGCTTCCACAGAGAACGAAGTAGGGAAGGGAAAAACTAGTAATTTTATATAGTGAGCAAACCTGGTAAGCACTACCTTCACCAAGTGATAAAGATTATCATCATGAGGGATGCAATGTAGGTATCCTATAACCCCTGATATAAGAAGGGCACTCTACTTCTATGATATTCTTTCTAAAAACCCATAACCCACATCTAATTATGAGAAAAACATCAGACAAATCCAGATTGGGGGACATTCTATATGACATCCAGTTAATACTTCAAGACTGACAAAGTTACGAAAAACAAGGAAAGACTGAGAAACTGGCACAGATCAGAGAAGGCTAGGGAGCTATGACAACTAAAAGCAATGCAGTACCCTGAACTGGATCTTGGAAAACTGGGTGGGGGGAATATGGAAACTCTGTACTATCTCTGTAGCTTTTCTGTGAATCTAAACTAATTTTAATTTTTACAACAAAAAATTTATTTAAAAAACTCAGTATGTGGCCTGTTCCTGTGTTTTTTTGTTTTTCATCAAAATGAAAACAAAATGGTTCTCAGATTTCCCTCAGTAAGGAGCAATCCTAGTAACTCTTTAAGCCTGTTGCTAAACGGCTTTGCAAAATCTGACTCAGAAAACAAGTGAATTTGAGAAAGTCAAATGAATCTGTGCTTTGTTCAACAATGATTTACTTTCTTGTAGTAACTGAACTTTATTTCTTTGCAGAATCCAACATTTACCAGAACAGAGTATGCTAGCATAACAAAGTCATGAGTTAGTCTCTGAATAAATAAGATAAATCTAAGAACGGCATGTGTGGGATTTTTGTTTTTATTCCCAATGGAAAAAACTTTACTATCCAATTCATTATGTTGATAAGCCTATCTTGCTGCTAGACATCTTAGATTCTGATAGAGCTTTGGAAAAAAAAATCATACACATCATTAGAACTTTATAAAACGATGTTCTTTGACCATATTGTTACCAGTGTGAGAAAATTGGAAATACAGACTGGACCTCTGTTCTATGACAAATGATGTACCATTTCTATTTTTTAATATTCTTATTTTTCTTGTTATGATCTACTTTGTTCATACTGAACATATTTTAATCAACTCAATTATATAAAGATAGTCCTCATCACCTAAAATGTGCTTGTAGAATGTGTAACAAGCTCTCCTTTACAAAAAAGGGGCCGGGTGCGGTGGCTTATGCCTGTAATCCCAGCACTTTGGGAGGGTGAGGTGGGTGGATCATGAGGTCAGGAGTTCGAGACCAGCCTGACCAACATGGTCAAACCCCGTCCCTACTAAAAATACAATTATTAGCCGGGCATGGTGGCATATGCCTGTAATGCCAGCTACTTAGGAGGCTGAGGCAGAAGAATTGCTTGAACCCGAGAGGTGGAGGTTGCAGTGAGCCGAGATCGTGCCACTGCACTCCAGCCTGGGCGACAAAGTGAGACTCTGTCTTAAAAAAAACCGTTCAATGAAGAAAAGCTAAATACATCACCTGAAGTCACAGAACAAGTCAGAAAAAAAACTGGCTGAAGTCTTTTCCCCAGCCTCCAGAAAGAGGTAATCGAATCCCCATAAAAGATGCTTCCTATTTTAAAATGTCCATTATGTTGAACTTATTGCACTATTTTTCTTTCTTATTGTTCCTAATCTGTTGGATGGTGTTAATTAATTTTGTTAAGAAGCACACAGCAAGCCTAGAGATGTCCTATGTACAATTTCTAAAAATACAGTCAGATCTTTCAGGACTAAAGTTACAAAGCTTTCCAATGTGCTTCTAAATAAACCATTCATCTTTTGCCAAACTGAAAGCCATGATTTATAAAAATTAAGTTTCCTAAAAACTACATGATTGTAAGCAGAAGTTACATTCAGGATGGAATTATGTTAGCAGATAAAGTTTCTAAGTGTTAATAAGTTTGTTTTCATGAAGTTATGGCAGTAAAAAAGAAAAATTTTGCCTTTTAATACAGCCATTTTTGTAATATTTGTGGATTAATTTTTCAGGGTCTGGTTATTTAGATCTGTCCTAGGCTACAATCATAATCCAGAAATATGCCAAACAGATAGTGAATGGCTAAAACATGTACTTGAGTCAAAGCTTATGAGGAGTCTGTGTCAGGCCTTCATGCAGAAGCTATTTACTTTAATTATGCACAAATGTAAAAAGATGGATTATCTAATTTTCTATTCATAACTATATTTAGAAATTGGTACTTACATAGCTAAATTTGGATAATGTAAAAAAGTTACAGATGGAATATCTTATTATCTAAAAATTTTCTATAAATCAAGTATTAGTACAAATACTCCAATGATCTACTAGAGCTATCAAATAGTAATATGGGTAGTGTTGAATTGACTGGAAACAAAGTTAAAAACTCTGCGTTTTACTTAAAATAATTCCACTACACTGGTTAAGAGGGGAGAGAGAACGGTAAATGTAAAATACTGATGATTTTGCCTGGCATTCAGTTTAGAGAGAAGAGGTCTGGAGATGGAAAACGCATGTTCACTCAGTCCCAATCCCATATTGCTTTCATAATGTGAATTTATCAAGATGACTCTAGGGTTTAAGGATATATGTCACATGTCATATGACCCCCAAATAAAAGCCAACTGCTCTATCTGGACCTTAACAATAACCATGATCATCTGTTCCAATGCTGATACCCATCTCAGCTGCTAGTATGATCGAGTGCTGCAAGTTCTTCAACAATGCCCCACCACATGCATTAGACAGGTAAGGAATGCACACAAGCTAGAAGCGGTCAATGTATCATTTCTGCAAGTAATAAAAGCACTTAAGGTTCTCTTTTTATTCTGAGTATAAATTTAATTGTATTCCTCAAGCTTTGACACAAAGTTCTTAGTTTTTATTAGTTTCTAGATAAGTTATAATTTGTCTTTCTTTTTTGATCCAACGCCCTTTGGGAGAAGAACATATGTTAGATTTTATGTGTTTTGCAACTTTTGACAAGGAAGTAAAATATACTCAGAAGCAATATTGGAATGTGATTTTCACCATAGCATTGACTTTCAGAAGCAAATCCTCATTAAAATAACTCTCCACATTTCAAAGCCTTTAAGATCACTATAGGCTAAATTATTAAATGTAGATTATTTCTAGGTCTTATACGTGTTAGAAGCCTGAACCAGGTAGAAAAATGTTGAAGTTTTACCACCTCTCAAATATCGATTTTTTTCTAAGTATTCAAAATTCCCCATTACATAGTAGCATCTTTAGAAATGTGTAAATCCACAGCTTAGAGGTTAAATTTTAGCTTTGGGTTCTGTTAGGGATTTATTGAATCCAAGAACTTGATTTCAGAGATCATATATGCACTGTCTGATAAGTTAGACTAGCCACATGTGGCTATATAAATCTGAATTAAACAAAATTAGAAATTGAGTTTGCCAGTTATACTAGCCACATTTCAAGTACTCAAAAGCCACATGTGGCTAATGGCTCCCATACTGTACAAGCACATATAGAATGTCTCCATCATCACAGTGAGTTTTCTGGACCATACTGTATTAGACCAACAGAGAGAAAGTAATCTGTATAAGGTCACAATTTGTTAGTAACAAAGCTAAAACTAGAATTCAGGTCTTTAAAATTCTATGCTTACTCACTTTCTACAAACCACACTGTCTCCAAGAACTAACACACAAAGAAAGTAAAAGATCCGAATACAATAACTAACAAGCTCAATCTTACATAAAATTATCTTATTTTCATGTAAAGTTTAGAAAAAAAAATCAAGTTACCTGGCCACCAAGAAAACCCAATAAATTCCAAAAAGCAATGTAAAGAGTAACTCCTCCAAGCCTTTAAAATTTGAAGAAAAAACACTTATGAAAAATTACTGGGCCAAAAAAGAAATCAAAACTGAAATTACAAGCTACCCAGAAATTAATGAAAATAAGAACTTTCTCAAAGATTATGACATGCAATTAAAATTATATTCAGAAAAACACAGAGCCTTAAATGATTTTATAATAAGGACTGCAAATAAAGTAAACATTTGAATTTACAAATGTAGAACTAGTGTAACATTAAAAAGTGAGTAAAAGTAAAGAAAATTAGTAAGTCTGAACATCTACAGCATTAGGATAAAGAGAAGATATAATAACAGTCTGAGGAAATTAAAGGTATACAAGAATATGACATGTTTTGGGTGAATGAATTTGAAAATCCAAAAGAAATGGATGCTTTTTGGAAAATGCAAATTAACAAAATTGCCACAAGAAGTGAGAAAATTTGAGATGAAAAGGCACGAGAATAACTTAAAAATTGTTAAAAATTGACTATTTGTATTAAAAAACTGATTCAACATCAATTTAAATAATGACATTGATAAATTCAGGGTGAAGAACTGTGATTAAACAGATGGAAACATACTGACTACATTCAACTGCCATTCAGTTTAAAAACTATAAGCAAAGGAGTAAAGGCAAACTGTTAGAACAGTATAAAGGACATTTACTAGAAGCACAAACAGCAAACATAATATTAAGTTAAAACTCTAATTCATCAAAATCAAGTTCCTCAATCACTACTATTTACATTGTTTTAATGATTAAATTCAAAATATTTTCAGATAAGAGAATTGTGTAGAGTGTCTAAGAATTTTTTTAAAATTATTATAGCTGATAAGAAAATTTAGTAAAATGAATAGGTATAAGAAATATAGAAATCAACAGTTTTCCTTTATATTAGCAATAGACATTTGGAAACTGAAATTGACTATTCAGCTCAAAATATTGACAAGAACTATAAAATAATGTAACAAATGTAATGGAGGTAAAATGAGACCTGGAGAGTAAACTATACCATGTTCCTGGACAGGATGACTTAACTAATGCAAACTCATTTAATTCTTCCCAAACCAAAATATTTCATGTTTCGTGTACTGCACTGACCTTATAGTACTGTCTCCCACATTTTTTTTTTTTTTTGAGACGGAGTCTCGCTCTGTCACCTAGGCTGCAGGGCAGTGGCGCGATCTTGGCTCACTGCAAGCTCTGCCTCCTGGGGTCACGCCATTCTCCTGCCTCAGCCTCCCAAGTAGCTGGGACTAAAGGCACCCACCACCACGCCCAGCTGATTTTGTATTTTTTTAGTAGAGACGGGGTTTCACCATGTTAGCCAGGATGGTCTTGATCTCCTGACCTCGTGATCTGCCCATCTCGGCCTCCCAAAGTGCTGGGATTACAGGTGTGAGCCACCAAGGCCGGCTTACTGTCTCCCATATCTTATTAACCTCATCATAGATATAAAAACATTCTCTGTACAGGAAAGGACTGTATTGGGTTTGCTTACCACTCTACCCTTCATTGTTAATACAACACCTAATACAAAAAGAAAACAAAATCTTAATTTTGTTGAATAAAAGCTATGCCATGGATCACATTTTACAAATAAGAAGCTGAGGTCTAGAAAGATAAAGTGACCGCAGGGACACAGCTGCTGCTTTTTTTTTTTTCCCTTCAACTTTTATTTTAAGTAGCAGGGTACATGTGCAGGATATGCAGGTTTGTTACATAGGTAAATGTGTGCCATGGTGTTTTGCCACATAGATCATCCCATCACCTAGGTATTAAGCCCAGCATCCATCAGCTATTCTTCCTGATACTCTCGCTCCCCCCATACCCCAACAGGCCCTCTGTATGTGTTGTTCCCCCAGTGGTGTCCATGTGTTTTCATCGTTCAGCTCCCACTTACAAGTGAGAATATGCAGTGTTTGGTTTTCTGTTCCTGCGTTAGTTTGCTGAGGATAATGGCTTCTGACTCAATCCAGGTCCCTGCAAAGAACATGATCTCGTTTCTTTATATGGCTGCATAGTATAGCATGGTATATATGTGCCACATTTTCTTTATTCAGTCTATAATTGGTGGGTATTTAGGTTGATTCCATGTCTTTACTATTGTGAACAGTGCAGTAATGAACATAACACACACGTTTCTTTATAACAGAATGATTTATGTTCCCATGGGTATATACCCAGCAATGGGATTGCTGAGTCAAATGGTATTTCTGCCTCTAGGTCTTTGAGGAATTGCCACACTGTCTTCCAAAATGGTTGAATTAATTTACACTCCCACCAACAGTGTAAAAGTGTTCCTTTTTCTCCACAATCTTGCCAGCATCTTTTTTTTTTTTTTTAATTTTTAGTAATAGTCATTGTGACTGGAGTGAGATGGTATCTCATTCTGGTTTTGATTTGCATTTCTCTAATGATCAGTGATGTTGAGCTTTTTTTTTTTTTTAAATGGAGTCTTGCTCTGCTGCCCAGGCTGGAGTGCAGTGGTGTGACCTCAGCTCAGTGCAACCTCCACCTCCTGGGTTCAAGTGATTCTCCTGCCTCAGCCTTCCAAGAAGCTGAGATTACAGGTGCATGCCACCATGCCTAGCAAATTTTTGTATTTTTGTAAAGATCGGGTTTCACTGTGTTGGCCAGGCTGGTCTTGAACTCCTGACCTGAAGTAATCCGCCTGCCTTAGCCCCCCAAAGTGCTGGGATTACAGGCATGAGCCACTGCCCCAGGAGCTTTTTTTCCTATTTCTTGGCCCATGTATGTCTTCTTTTGAGAAGTATCTGTTCATGTCCTTTGCCCACTTTTTAATGGGGTTAGTTTTTTTTTGTAAATATGCTTAAGTTCCTTCCAGACTCTGGATATTAGTCATTTTTCAGATGGATAGATTGCAAATATTTTCTCACATTCTGTAGGTTTTCTGTTCATCCTGATGATAGTTTTTGGATACAGCCACTTCTAAGCATATTTGAAAGAAACATGGAAGGTTCTTTGTATTGGGATGTTTTTCAAAGGTAAACTTTCCCCTGTGTAGTGGAAAGAGCATCCCTACAAAACTACAGACAGAAGAGATAGGTCCTAATATTGGCTTAGCTACTAATTAGAGTTTTGCAGCCTGAGCTGAGTCACTTCATTTCTCCTGATTCAGGTTTTCTGCAATTAACATTAGGGTGCTTATAGCTGAATGATATTAAAGAATTATATCCTTAATTCCTTACTGTTAGGTGGGATAACAGAATTGCAGTTTATGAAAAGAATCCTTTTATAAAGAAATTTGAAAATAATCTTTCAGATAATGCCGAAATGTTTATGGATAGAATATGTGCAGCATTTGCTTCAAAATAATCTGAGGAAAAGGGAAGTTGAGTACAGATGAAACAAGACTGACCATAAGTGGATAACTGTCTAAGCTGGATGTATGCATTTACTATTCTATTTTTATAGAGAGTTAATTTAAAGATTTTCTCAAAAGTGTTGATCAAGATGATCTCTAAACCAAAAGAATAGAGAAAGATTTCGCCAACTGGGAATGTGAAATTCAGTCATTTAATAAAATTTAGTCTTCAAGATTCATTAGCCTTTAGCTGCAGGGTCACCAGCAGTAATCATTAGCCCTTTGGTTTCATTCCCTGCTAAGTCATATCAGCAACACTATGATTTATCATATTATTAATAATGGGTTTCTAGGAAGCCTCATCTATCATTTTTAATGTTTCTTCTTCTCCTTTTAAGTGAGCTGTTTAATGAGAAGAGCCTGCTGCAGTCATACAAATGCATCATTAGCCAAAAGGATATTTATAACAAATATCAAACTCATTCATTGTTCATGAGAGAGACAGAGATCGACTGATTCAAAGATGACCAAAATCCCACTCTATGCAAAGAAGTCTGCCTTTCAACACCAGAGGAGATGGAGAATATTTGATTAAATTCTTACAAGAGTGTCTGGTAGGCAGTGTAGCAGCATGGTTTGGAATCAGGTATCTAGCTCACCTTTCTTTCAGTCTCTGTGTTGAACATACCCAAGTTCCAGTGAACAGTCAAAGTCTTAGAGGTAAGCAGTTGTTCAAAATATATCATATGAAGCACAGCAAGGAGAGAAATATTTTCTTTCCTCCTAAAAAAGACTCAGGTAGCAATCAAAAGGCAAAATCTCTGTAAGACTGTTGAAGATGGAGAAACTCTTTCACATTCTCATATCCTTTTGCTTCTGTCAAAGGTTAACATGTGTGAGGGCCTAGGCTGGGTGAGATGGCTTGCTAATGAATTTGCTTTTGTTCCTTTCGGATCTTAATCTTTTTAAAAATTATCTTCAGTATTCCTCCCTTTGCAATAATTCTGATATTTCTCCAATTGTGCTTCAGTGTTTCCCATTTAACAAGTATTGCAAGATAATTTTATAAACATTCTTTGTAGAGGGCCTGAAATTTTCCAAAGAATTCTTTGATTGGTAGATTATAAAAAACAAAATGGGTAAATAAAATGGATAAAGTACTTCATATATGACATTTAGGCTAATTATAAGTGACTGGGCAGTGGAGACTTTAGAATTTGGGTGAAAGCTTAAAGAAAACGGGATGCAGAAGAACAAACATGCAAATGGTCCACCTACAAAAAAATCCCACCATGAATAAGAGTCATATGTACTCAACATATATCCTTCAAACCACAACAGGCTTTATCCGACAATCATTTCTTCATAAGGCTTACAGAATGCTATACAGATTTTTATGTATTTTGCAGGTTGTTTTGCTTCCATTCTGAAAGGCAGTTAAATATCCCCAAAAGTACCTGTGGCAGAATGTGAAGCACATAAGAGCAAAGAAGACTGTAATTCCACTTCTCTTTTCATCACTTGCCACAGATGTGAACTTGAATAGTTAACTCCCTTGGCCTGAATCTCTTCATCTATAATAACAGGAATATTTGTATTTAACTCAGTGTTCTGTGAGGATAAAATGGCAATAAATATTCAGAACCTGGCCAGTGACATGTGCTTAATAATTGTTAGTTCCCTCCTTGTAAAAAATAGATTTAGAATTTAGCTGTGGCTTTTAAACCTTAATCACAGTTTTTAATCATTGACAGGATCTTTCAAGTAAGAGAAATTTTCCTGACAAAATGAATATGTCAAATATGTCAGTCTCTAAATATACCTTTAGTCTGAAAAATATTGGGTGTAAATAAGGAAACTAAACATTAGTTTTCAACATGTTTTCCAGATAGTCATAGATAAAAGTATTTTTGAATAACCAAATATAGCACCCAAGAAAAGTATAATAAATAGCTTATGTTTCTAATAACATCCTAAATTGGTGAATCACTAATAAAAAGTTGCCTTTCTAAAAAAAATGCATGCCCATTTGTTAAATCACTGTATAAGAGGAAATAATATTTTGCTCCTGGAAATTCTGAAGGCATTAAATGCATTTTCCAAACAGCACAGGAAGTAAAGGTCCATCCCAATGGGTCAGTATTTTTATTCCCTGTTAGGACAAACAGGGTTTGGCTGGGTTCTTCCACAGTCCTCTGTGGAAAACAGAACAGGCTAGGGGGAACTGCCTAGAGGTATTAGAACCATAGTTGGAAAACACCCTTATATGCACCAAGGCTTAGCTGAATATGAGCTTGAATTGGCAAATATGCTGGAAAAATATTGAAGAGTTTTTTTCCTCATTTTTAAAGATTACTTAAAAGACAGTTGACTGTTTAGAGCAAAAATAATAGCAAAGTATTATAAGATTTATATCACGTGCAGAATTAAATATGATAAATAGGGAGGATTAATGGCAACAAAAAAAGGCAGGCTCATGAGCAAAAGTGGTTGGTAACCAGATGTTAGATGAGATCTTGCTGTCTCACTTTTAACTGATAGAAGAGCTAGGGGATACCAGCATGTAGGATAGATGCTCAGAAGTAGAATTTACAAAGGAAATAGTCAAAAGCACATCCCAAGGCTCTTGGGACCCTCAGCAGGCTGAAGGAATACAGTATAGGAATAGCAAAGGTTTTGTATGAAGGATTTATTTCATGAAAAGTATTCTAACTACCCCTACATTTCTCAGCAACCAAGGAAGGGGTAAGGGTATGCCTGCTGCTCACTCCATTGACAAATCAGAGCCTGAAAGATGGGGAGTGCAGATAGGGAGTGCTGCCTGACTCTTACCTGAGAAAATTAAAGGGGCTGTTTTGCGGAAGTAACTACACTATCACTGGAGGCAGTAGAAGAAATGTGAGTGCTTCCCAGATGGGGGCCATGTGAGAGAGGAACAACCTCAACAGGTTAATGCTTTGTCAACAGGATAGCCCAGGAAGAGGGACTCCACCGGTAAGAGTCTATATGTTAAGTGGACCGCAGGAAAGTCAGAAGCTGCTGGGGAAGCATCCAGCCATCACCCATAGGAGCAGCCGCTGCAGGAGGAACCAAGAAGGGGGTCTCTAAAGACAACTGCTCACCCCACTCCACACACACAGAGAGAGGAAGGGATCAGCTTTAAATATTTTTATGGACCAGAGATCATGGAGCCAGCAAACAGGATTACCAGTCTCCTGCTATGTAAAATCTTTCCTGCCCTATTTCCTTGCCTTCCCTTTCTCTTGAATTTTGATCCTGGTGGGTGCCAAACAGTGAGCTGGAAGAGGAGGGGAGTAGAGAAAAAGCAAAAGCATACTATATAACCTTCTTCAAATGCAGGCAGACTGTAGCTGGGAGATCAAAAATGAGGAGATGCATTGCTTTTGAATGATTATTAAAGCATTTTTCACTGTTTTGGAATGGACCCTCTAATGTCTGAATGAAGACTGAGTTTATGAATTAAAGTCACTTAAGAGCTGTTTATTTTCCTAGAGTGAGCTGAAATGTCATGCAGCCTGAGTATTCATTAACAGCAGAGGAAAAGCTTCCCTAACAGAATAGGTTAAAGAGTACCACAGGAGATAAAAATAGCTGTATTTTATTCTATCCCACATTTAGAGCTTGTTCAAAATATTGTAAACAGAAGAAATGCACACACATTCACATACATGCTTGTTACAGTGGATCTCCTAAGATACATTCACTAACACAGAATACTCATTATCAATGTTGTTTTTTAATATAACTAAAGAGAGCAACACTGGAATTTGAAGAGAGATAATTGCTAGAAGCCAAAAGGAAGGTCTCCAAAACAAGAGAGAAAATGATTAAATGCCCTCCTGAAGAGTAAGGTACGGCTGCCCCTTAAACAATCCCAGAGAGCAGCTTTATAAAGAAATGCCAAATAACGCAAGAAAATAATATAGCTTTTAAAAAGCTGATACCAGTGTTGGTAATAGAGTAGAAACAGTGTGAGAGTAAACTGGGATAATTTTTCTGGCCAGTAACTCTGTGATATATCAAAATCCCTAAAATACTGACAAAGATATTCTATTTCTAGGGATTTGTACTAAGAAAACCATCAGTAAATACACAATGACATAAATTCAAACATGTTATTAATGATATTAAACAGTTAGAAAAATCAAACTGACATGAAAAAGTGGCTTTCGGACATTAGACCACACACAGTACGGGACTACCATTTCTGAAAGAAGGGAAGCCAACAAGATAGGTCTACAATTTCCCCCAGCTTACTGCCTGGAGAGAATTTGCAAGCTGCAGTACAGGAAGTCAAACTCAGCAATTTTGTTGGCTTCAGAGAGCCTGAGGCAACTACAATTTGAGATCTGAAAATACCAGAAAGGAGGTCATTATACAGAGTGAGAGCTCAGATTTGCAGAGGAAGAAGGTCTCAAGTCTTTAGCAGAGTATGAATATGTGCATATATGAGAAGAAATTAGTCAAAGCCTGAAAAAGAACCATTAAGCAAGCATTAGGCAAAAAAAAAAAAAAAAAAAAAAAAGCCCAAAACTAACACAGGTCTAGGAACAATTCACAATCCTACCAAACAGTGAGGAAAGATTTTGTAATATATGGAGCATCAGGCAGAGTCCTCCGAAGAAAACTTTCTCAGTAGTGGGGCTATA
This sequence comes from Homo sapiens, assembly GCF_000001405.40. NCBI lineage: Eukaryota > Metazoa > Chordata > Mammalia > Primates > Hominidae > Homo > Homo sapiens. The sequence goes on from NC_000005.10 coordinate 41,787,783, forward strand.
AATTAAACTGCAACTAAAGGCTACTCTCAACTAATCTTAACACAGCTTAAAAGCAAATATTGAAAAAGATCAACCTGAGAGACATCTATAGAATTTGTGCTACAACAAACATCAAAGGATGTCCTTCAAGCAGAAGGAAAAAAACATCAAATGGCAATCTAGATCTCTGCACAGAAAAAGTGCAACAAACAGAAAATATGTTGGAAAAATATAAAAGATTTTTCCTCATTTTCAAAGATTACTTAAAAAGATAGTCGAGTGTTTAGAGCAAAAATAATAGCGAAGTATAAGGTTTATGTCACATGCAGAATTAACTATCACTAAAGAACACACAATAAGGCAGAAAACAGAAGTTTACTATTGTATAATTCTTACATTATATATAAAGTGATATATTACTTGAAGTAGATTGTGATTAAAATATGTATATGGTAGACCCTAGAGAAGCCACTAAAAAGTAATCCAACAGTGAAGATAAAATACTCAAAAAATACGTAATTGATCCCAAAGAAATCAAAGGGCAAAAAGGACAGATGAAGTAAACAGAAAAAAAAATATCCTGATAGATTTAAACCCAACCATATTGATGACTACATTAATTGTAAATGGTCTAAACCTCCAATTATGATTTAGAGATTATAAGATAACAATCTAACTATATGATTACAAAAACCTACTTAAAAATAAAGGTGTTCATAGGTTACAGGCAGAAGAATGGAGAAACATACTTTGAAGAGTGACTATATCAGCATCAGACAGTAGACTTCAATAAAAGGAATATTATTGAAGAGACAAAATGACAGATCAATTCATTAAGAGAATGTAAGCTTAAATGTGTATAAATGCAAGTAGTAACAGCTCTAAAACAGATAAAGGAAAAAGTGGTATAACTGAAAGGAAAAACAGACAAATCCACAATTATAGCTGAAGATCTCAAGACTGCTCTCTCAGTAATTGACAAGACACAGAACACTTGAACAATACTAACTGCCCATTTGATCCAATTGGCACTTACAGAACACTGTACCCAACAAGAGCAGAATATATATTCAAGTGCAAATGGAACAGTCACTAAAATAGCCTACATTCTGGGCCATAAGCAAGTCTCAAATTTAAAAGGACTGAAACTATAAAGTGTGTTTTCTGACCTCAAAAGAATTAAACTGAAAAATTTTTAAAAAGTTATGTGGAAAATTACCAAATATTTGGAAACTGACACACCTTTAAATAAACAATGGGTCATACAAAAAATAACAAGGAAGATTAGAAAGTATTTTGAAGAGACTGAAACAACATAAAAATTTGTAGGATGTTACTTGCTTATATTAGAGAAAAAAGGTTTCAAATCAGTGATCTAAGGCAGAAGTTGGCAAATCTTTTCTGTAAAGGGCCAAACGGTAAATATTTTAGGCTTTGCAAGCCACACAGTTTCTATCCTAACTATTTAAAGCAGCCATAAACAATACGTAAATGAGTGGATATGGCTATGCTCCAAGAAAAATTTACAAAAATAGGCAGTGGGCCAGATTTGGTACATGCAACACAGTTTGCTGACCCCTGTTAGAATATCAGCTCCATAAATGCAGAGAATTTTGTCTGTTTTGTTAACTACTGCATCCCCAAAAACGTTGTCGTTTATATTTAACAGTGCCTGACCCTTAATATATGCCAGATCAATACATGTTGAATGAATTAGCGAATTTAATCCTCAGAACAAGCATGAGTTAAAAATTGTCATTTTACCAATGAATATACTACAACAGTGATATACTACATGATCAATAAGTAAAGAACCAGTATTTAAGCTCAAGTCTGTCTAATTCCAAAGTTTTATGAGCTTTCCACTACATTACACTAATAAGACAAAGGCATTACTAATTGTAAAAGTTTCATATGACCTCATATGGATTTTCCACCTGTTTTTCTTTTCCTGAGCCTCAGGACCAAATGGACAATACACTAAAGTTAAAACAATGTCTAGAGATTTATGCTTATTTCCTCACCTATGTCATAATATATTTAAATATCTATATTTTGGACTAACATTTGGATTACAATTGATGCAACTAAACAGACTGAATCTTCAACACAAACCCCCTTGTAGTTTTATAACCAGGAATACTAGTGACTTAACTTATTTAAAACAGGTAGCATGTCTAGAGAACCCAATCAATTTTATGTGCTCAGACATGTAGCACACAGGAGTATGACATTAATTAGTATTTATTCTTTTCAAATGCACAAAGATGTGAAAAATGTGAGGGAGAAAAGGAAAAAAATAAAAAAACACCAAAAGTGTCCCATTCTTTCTTGCCATAAGAATGCCTCATTCAATCCTCTCCACATAGAGGAGGGCTCTTGGCTCTTGTGCCACTCACGTACTGCAGCCCTGTCCAGTGGGCTGCTATTTTGTGCTTTCAATAACCAGCTCTCATAGCTGACCATACACATCTGCTTCCCTTCATAAGTCAATAATCAATGCCAGCTGTTCTCCAAAAATAGGCATTCAGAAAGCACTAGAGCAGCTCTGAATATAGATTCAGCGGACTGCACATCTTTCCATCATTTATTCGCTTGCCTGGGGTTTTACCATCATCACAATCAGCAGCGAGCTTGAAGGAGCCAACTACTGTTTTGTCAAGTTTTCCTCCTTTGGATGCTCAGGGTAGAATTGTTAAAAATCTGTGTACATGAGACCAACACTGCATACTAAGAAGCTATTAAACGGTAAGACAAATAGCATCCACACCGTTTGCTTGCCCTGAAGGCTTAATGTTTATTGTAATCTGATGCTATAATGATTGATGATAATGTCATGATGCTGAGAACTCATGGCTTACACAGCCATTGAAAGATTATTAAACTCAGGAAAAAGATAAAAGTAAATGAAAAATAATATAATAAAGCTGAATTTTTCAGCTTCTTGACTGCCAGATCTTGCAATAAAAACATATTTAAATTACATAAGTCAACAAATCTTTGGGACAAATAAAAATAGATTGCTTACTGAAATTACATAAGGAAGGTAAGCTGTATCTTTATCCATAACCAATAAAAGAAAAAAAATGTGTCCTCAAAGGGCTTAATTTTGGTGCTTGAATAGGGACTTAGGATAAGCAGGTTGTACTGGCTCCTGTAAAATCATCTCGCTTTTACCAGTGTATTTTAAGGTAAATATTTCCTCTTTAATTTTAAGTAATAGAGCATTACTTAATAGCCACTATTTAGAGAGTGCTTGCAGTGTTCACTTTTCATTTTCTTCTCACTTAATCCTAGCCAAAACATGTGCTTCAGATCACATAATTTGTAAGGGGTAGGGCTGAAATTAAAACCAAACTAAACCTCATGGACTTGATTCTGAAGCTGCCCTGAGTCTCAAACAATGAAAATATACATGGTGCATCACATACAAAGAAGTTAGGAAATGATTATCAGTTATGAAAGCAACAAAAAAAATGCTAATCAGAAGTAACACTACCAACTTCCATTACCAAAACAGTGGAACCAAACCCAGGAACACTTCTTATGCTTAATTTTTCTCAACTAGACTTCCATGATGTTCCTACAGAACTCCAGAGTTGTTCATCCCACTAGGTCCATTCCTTTGGGAACTCGTGGGCTCCAAGTTATATTGAGAAAAGTATAAAGTAATAAACATTTGTATTTTAATCATTCACAGGAATCTTAACAGGATATGTAAAAATATGGTACGCATTGGAAAAGCTTTCCTACAAATAACTACATAGTGTACACTACCACTATGAGAGCTTCCAGCCTTACTACATGCTAAATCATAATATAAACAAATCTTATACTGATATGAAGATGCCCATGTTCCCCGAAGGGAAGAAGATATTTAACACATTTCTGCTTCATACCCAGGACCACTGAGCAAATTGATTTCAAAAATCATTAGTCTAGAGAAATAGATGTATTTAAAACCCTATTGCTTTTGTTCATAGGACCCAATGCTTTTCTCTTCTTTGCCAGGTATCCGCAACTTCTTTTTTATTTTATTTATTTATTTTTTTTTTTATGAGACGGAGTCTCGCTCTTTCGCCCACAGGCTGGAGTGCAGTGGCGCGATCTCTGCTCACTGCAAGCTCCGCCTCCCGGGTGCACGCCATTCTCCTGCCTCAGCCTCTCGAGTAGCTGGGACTCAAGCGCATGCCACCACGCCCGGCTAATTTTTTGTATTTTTTAGCAGAGACGAGGTTTCACCATGTTAGCCAGGATGGTCTCAATCTCCTGACCTCGTGATCCACCCGCCTCGGCCTCCCAAAGTGCTGGGATTACAGGCGTGAGCCACTGCGTCCGGCCCGCAACTTCTTATAAGAACAATAACCTATTTACCAGGTACTAAGTGTCAAGCTCTGTGCTATGTACTTTGTATGCATTGTCACATGTATTCCTTCATATAGTCCTATAAAGTAGGTACTGTTATATGATTCCCATTTTTACAGATGAGGAAAAATAGGAAATTAGCTCAAGTTACACTGCCAGCAAGCGTCAGAAATAAGACTTTAATCCACAACTATCTCACTACAGGGCCTTGCTCTTACCTACTAAGCTAAGAGAACCAAATGAGACCCCTAAAATTATCTGTTCTCAAACCCTCACTTTATAGATGAGGGCATTTTAACCCAAAGAGCATAAGTGAAATGTTCAACATCACACCTTGATTACTGGTAGAGTCAGTGCTAAAACCCAGGGCTTGCTTTCCTATAGTCACTCTACTACCCCGTATGGCCCTTTTCTAAAATTTGAAAACAGAAATACATTGTAATATCCTACACAAGTATTTCCACAAACTTTCTATCTGACTCACTGTACGATGCTCAGGAGACCCTCCCTGATTTTTTTGAAGCAATCAAAAGCTGCTAACCCTTGTAACTATGGCTGATTCTGAAAGATCAGTATTTTTACAACTAAACTAACAATATAATCCACAATTTGCTAAGGGTTCTTATTATGATGGCTCAATGATGTTTTTCTCTTACATTTTAAAATGAAGTGAGTTGTAATCAATCTTTAATATGCTGGTTCTCAAACCTGGTCACATATCAGAACCACCTGAGTTGCTTTGAATGACCCAGTGTCCAGGCTACATCCCAGATTAATTAAATTAGAGACTACCTGGGCTGGAACCCAGGCATCAAAATTTCTTAAAACTCTGAGGTATTCTAATACACCACCAAGTTTGAAAACTAGGGCTTGAATAATTATTAAAACTTAAACATAACATTTCAGGTGGCATTAGATCAAATGAGCTAGACTAACATGATCTCTAGATCAAATGAGCTAGACTAACATGATCTCTAACATTGTTATCAACTACATTAATCCACCTTCCTCAAAAAATTATTAGAAAACAAATTTAAGAGATTTCAAGAAAACTGTCCTATCATAGACCACCAGCCTCAGTTATTTGACAAGATTCTTCTTAGCTTGTTCTATAGAGAAACATATGGAAATCCTTAAACACACACACAAAGAGCAACCGGGCTACCAGCCAAAATGAGCTCATAATCATAAACATACCCATTATTGTTTCCATGCACGTACTTGGGAAGCAACATCCTGGTCTATAATGAACTACACTCATGAATTAAGTCAGTGATAACAGTCCTCTTTCCAAAGCTAATTCTAAGAGGTTTCTTCCTTGATTTAGGTCACTATTAAATGACAACTGTGCATTTCATATTAAATGACAACTGTGCATTTCACAAGGATATTAAACTCTCACAGGTTTTGAATTCCATAGCAGAGGACAATGATTATTTATGGGGTCACATGACCAATCAAGATGATTTCAATCACTGATTAATAGAATTAACAATTAGCAAAGTTAATTAACAACGCTAACAAACTTGTTAATTGTTCTTCCTAGTTTAAAATTTTAGTTATGGTAAATATTTGTATTTCTTATTTTCAGAGTATAATTAGCCCTTTTTCTGTTTTTTAAGTCTTCTCTAACTTGGTTTCTTCTAAGCAAGAGGTTTCGGCTCTGACCTTGCCTACTTTTAGTCCCAAATGCACAGTAAATTGGCAAAGCTGAATACTTCTCAGTGCTTACTTAATTAAAATTTGATTCTAGTAAGAAATATATATTAAAATATTTCATTTTTAAAGAATCGTGATCTCATGGCCCTTTTTCTTAGTATTTAAAATATAATTATTCTGATCCAAACATAATTCAGAATAAAAAATGTCTACTTACAGGTATCATCCAGTTAGCCAGGTCACCATATTTGGAAACCTGCATCGCTCCTAGCATTGTCAGATCGACGTGTCCACTGAGAAAGAAAGAGGAAGAATAAAGTGAACCTCATAAGCTTTTGTCCCCTTTGCTTGAACTTGCCAGCAATTAGAATAACTTCATACCACCAAAATATACTTGCTTCCCCCACCACACAACTGATTTCCTAATAGATCAGCTCCATGCTGACAGAGAAATAATCACTAAAAATTCTTTTTGAAAAAAAAGTTACAGTATACATTGTTTCAATAACAAACTATGAACAGGTGTACACAGGAAGACTGTTTCCTTCAGTGAGGCAGAATGTGACTACTTGAACACAAACACTAGCTAGAAAGTGAACACAGTTTGAAGAAAATGTTAGAATCCTCAGAAAGCACCTTAGAAATGTTTATTTCAGTATGGTTGGCACAAAGGCATGGATTCCATTTTGGGGGTTCTTTTCCTAACAGTGGGCTGGATATTCAATGCCCAACATTCGATGTGAATAATTTCACACCCTGCAGCCGAACAAACTCCTGATAGTTTTCTGGCTGGGAAATGTGGCTGTGTTTCAGAGCCTTGCTAACACACTCAGACGATGACTCAGCTCATTCCATACTGTCTGAAACATGAGGGGCTCTGTTATTACATACCCTCTAATCATTGCAAATGATTCATCGCTGGAGAAAAAAGAGGCTCCTGGAAGAATAGTAACTGTTTCCTTGCCTAAACACACACACACACAAAAGAAAGAAAAGGCTATTAGATTTCTAAGAGTATCATGGTGAACAGAGGTCCACATCTTCTCCATTCCCAAAAGAACTTAAGCTCCCTTTACCAAAATGCAGTGACATAGCAGGTGGGGGGACACAGTAGGAACCTTTTGTGGTGGAAAGCATTTTGTCACTGACATTGCTCTTGCCTTTGCATGATGATAATGAAAAGCAGACCACTTTTAGTTTTCTTATTGTTTGGAAATTCTCTACAGCAGCAGTCCCCTTTTTGGTACCTCAGACCGGTTTTATGGAAGACAATTTTTCCACAGACTGGGGGATGGGGATGGTTTCAGGATAAAACTGTTGTTCCACATCAGCTTATCAAGCATTAGGTTATCATAAGGAACGGGCAACCTAGATCCCTCATATGCACAGTTTACAATGGGTTCAGTCGGGCTTCTATCAGAATCTAATGCTGCTGATGATTTGAGAGAAGGCCAAGCTTAGATGGTAATGCTCGTTTGCTCGCCTGCTGCTCACCTCCTGCTGTGCAGCCTGGTTCCTAACAGGCCATGGACCGGTACTGGTCCACAGCCCAGGGGTTAGGGACCCCTGTTCTACAGGAAATGCACCCCTCTATTGTCCATACCTCTCCAGCCTCTCGCCATCCCCATTCCCTTCACAATCCTCTGCTAAATACTACTTAGGAATGAGGAGGAAGGAAGTTCTGGGGTAACACCTGTCAGAATCTAATGCTACTGTAAGTCACTGAGACAGAGAGACTGTGGAATCAACATGAACATAAGAAGGAATGCAATTTTGAAGGGAATGACACAGGAGATGCACCGCAGTTTCTTTTTTTAATCAACAAATAACTTCAGTGATAAGAATAACTTCTGAGATGCTAATGTACAGCATATAGTATTAACTATAGTTAATACTATACTGTATAATTGAAATTTGCTAGAAAAGTAGATCTTAAGAGTTCTCACTACAAAAAAAGGTAACTCTGAGGTGATGGATGTGATAATTAATGATTGTGGTAATCATTTCACAATGTATATGTATATCAAATCATCACATTACACGTCTTAAATATAAACAATTTTTATTGGTTAAGTATATCTCAGTGAAGCTGGGGAGAAATAAAAATAAAATTAGAAAACACATATAGAAAAAAAGGACCCACCTAATTCCTTAATTTCATTTGGCCTGAACTCTCGACTTTTCATCTCTCTCCCCTTTTCTTTCTTTTTCTGACTCATCTGTACTCTCTTGCCCCATAAGCTTCTATTAAAACCACAGGATTTTCATAAAATCAGGGAATAACATGGTAATACTGGCCAATGTATCTAAGGTTAACTTCCAAGAGGTCCCCTTGGAAGGACATCTCCCAAGACTTACATCTCATAATGAGGTTCAGAGCTGGAAAAGATTTTCAAGGTCATCTACTCCCCATAGAACTAATAAAATCACCTGACTCATATCTAAGCTGCTCCCATCTTGTGATCTATTTCCTCTCTATTCAGGAGCTTCAGGGGCCTGGGAATAGCTTCTGGTCTCAACCAGGAAGGTGCTCACATACCACTGTGCCAAAGATAAGTCACCTGTTTTGAGAACACCCCATGCATGGCCTCAGTATAATAGGGCAGACAAAAAGAAAGAGAAGCAAAACTGTTATTCCAAAATTGGAATAGGAAATAGCTCCCAGAAACAAAAGGACCACAGGCAGTCTGAATATCCCTAGCTGTGCAACACAGTTATATCCTCAGATTCTCAAGTCTTTCCCGAAAGCTAACTTTTCCATCAATATCCCCCTCCATTAAAACTTGAGTATGGAGAAAGAGTAAGCTTATTTATAAATATATAAATACTTCATCTTGATATAAATATATATCTCTCGAGGGAGTTTTATTCCAAATGATAGAAATATTTTTGTATCTTTTAAAGTACACAAAATTGAAAAGTTTTGAAAATACTTCCTGGTATGGTTAGCAGGGGCTTTTAAACAGCATGTAAGACGTAGTGGATTAAATTAGATAATGCATACAAAGTCCTTACTCTAACTTGCCTGGCACAGAGAAAGGGCTTTATAAACGTCACCTTTTATTATTGCCATTTTTGTTATTCCTCTCTCCAAAGCTACTTATAAAAGAGATAATGCCATTGCCCCTCTAGGGACAAATGCCACAGGACCAAGCAATTGGCTTATATGGTGGGGTTGTATGGCCAGCCTGTGTGAGCTCTAGGTTTTAAGACAGGCATAACACAACTAAACCTTATTCTAGACACAATGTCTATAACCTGCAAATTCAGATCCTCATCAGTCCTGTGGGAAGTCAAGGAGGAGGAATTTGTAGGACAAAAAGGAAGAAAAACATTAAAAATTCCAGTTCTTTGTTTTTTAGAGGCTAAATAACACTGACTTCCAAAAGACAACCTGCACTGGCTGATAATACATAGAAGGCATATTTACCATGTTATAGGAAACTGAGATCAATGGGAAGAGCTTTGGATCTCCCTATATTATTTGTGAAGCATAGTTTTATTAAAGAGCCTAGAAAACAACTCTCTTGAAAAATCATTATCAAGGCCTCTGCTAATACATTACTGCATCTTAAAAATTACATTCTTTTGAAGCAAGGTTAATTTTCAGCATTTTTAAACATCCAATATCTAAACAAAAATAAGTATCCTAAAATTGAATCCATGATTTTCACATAGAATGTCCAAGTTTGGTCAAGAAAAGTCGTAACTAAAGGCAATCAACACAAAGAGGGCTTTCTTATTTGGCTATTCCTGATTGATTTGTCTCCTCCAATTTTTCTTTATGTATATCTCAATTTTTCATATTTGGGCAATAGAGTTATCAATTTCATGGTCACTGAGTCCTTTGGCTCACGATTTAACAGGTCATCCACACAATAGTAAATGCCTACTATATGCCTTAAACAGCGTTATAAACCAAATTTGGGTGATCTGAACTAGTGGTTTGCAAACTTTAACATTCATCAGAATCACATGGAAGATTTATGAAATGCATAGTTTCTAATTCAGTAAGTGTGGTGAGGTCTGAGAATTTCATTTCTAAAACATTTCCAGTGATGCTGACGCTGTGGGTCTGGGGACCACACTTAGACCACACTGCCCTAAGCAAAAGGAACTTACTATACAGCAAGACAGATGAACAAATAATTACAAGGCAAAATGTGATATGCTTCTCAGAGAGACACTAGATATGTTGTGGGTTTAGGGGAAGGGCATTTCTGAGCTACAGTAGGATTTGGAGAAGAAAAATGGGCTGGAACTTGAAGGATAGGCATAATGAATGTTGATAGAAAGTTATCAGTAAGGAGATGGGGATAAAAATGGAATGGAGCAGAATAAAATCTCATGAAAGACACACCAAGAGCAAAGACATGCAAAGAAGAGTATGAGCCATAATCAGAAAACACCCAGCAGTCCAGAATGGGTACACAAAAGTATCCTTGAAGGGTACAGCAAGACAGAAAGCCATAATGGTTGGTTGCAAACACTACAGAGATCTGGAATGCCATGTTATCTGTACTTTAGACTGCAGCCCTGTGATTCTTCAGATGTGATACATATACCTCTAGAGCAGAGTTTCTCCTGCTTAGCACTATTGAGCATTGGGGCTGGTTAACTCCAGCGGATAGGGAAACTGTCCTGGTTGCTGTGGGATGTTTATCAGCATCCCTGGCCTCTACCTACTAGATGTTACTCCCCCAGGTGTGACAATCAAAAATGTCCTCAGACATTGCCAAATGTCTCTGGGGGCAAAATCAGACCCCACCCCATTGAAAACGACTAGTGCAGAGAGGACATGGCAGGGGGCCAGGGATATTAAACATGGTTATTCTTTCTAAAGCAACTTTAATCAAAAGTTAAGTCATTTAAAATACTGTATATTAAAATAAGAAAACATTAAGAAATGAAGAATGCAAAATGCACAATACAGAAGCAAAAATATGAGACTTAGAAATTTCACAACTGCATTGGGTTACTCTAGGTTAGAGCCCAGATCTTGATGGGACCTCTGGAACATTCCTAGCACTGCTGTCTGCACCTCTGTGCAAGTCAGGTCATCAGCAGATATAACTCAGTGTATAGAGAAAAAGGCCAGGGGTCACAAGCAGGAGACTGGGTATGAACTCAGTCCCTAGCAATGTTATCTTGAACCCATCACTTCAATTTTCTGGACCTCAGTTTCCCAATTTGTATAACAAGGTTTCATTTGAGGTTCCAATGGTATAATACATGTGAAAAAGTATGCTCTAAGCCATGTAAAACTATACAACTGGTAGTTCATTTTTACATAACCTTATGAGACTTTTTTAAAAGAGATCCTTGGAAATAGTTATATTATTATTTTGAATTTTTATCATACCAATTATATCCAGAAACATAACTCTTTGTATTCAAAGAGATTTCCATAAAATGCTTTCAAACTAACACAAATAATGGGTTGATCTTGCAGATAACTTTGGGAATTGAGGAAACCACCAATTTATATTCTAGGCTCTCCAGCTTAAAGTATTTCCTAATTTAAAATCAAAAGTGTCAAAGTATCAAAAATCCCAAAAAGGACTTTGAAAAACTTATAATATTATTAAACTGACTTGGAGCTTGGCTTCCCATAAGCAATGAATTCTTGCTTTGTAAAGTAGTTTGTAAATGTGGCACTTCAAGTGTTGAAGTTGAAATATAAAATTGGTGGAAATATAAAATTGGTGGCTTCATTTGGACTGAGCTACTTCTAAGCTCTATGGAATCAGAAACACCTACTGTCCAACCACATTGAAAAAGTTAACAACTTTTCCAAAGAAAGTGGGTTTTATAAACTGAAGCCTGAAATTTGGAACATGCAGTTATTCATTTTGCAAATAACTCACTAACATCATAAATTAATTAAACCAAGCAGCAAATATTTTCACAGATCAATGAGCTATTGCTAAAGGGTACAGTACAATTAAATTACAGCCTTGGTTAAATGTCATTGCTTTATCACAGTAGGCCTTTCAGAGTTGAGTCGTGTTATCTAATTCAACTATTCAACCAGAAGCTGTTTCACTCCAAAAATTCTAAGTATCAAACATCAATTTTACTTGGCAGCTGGCCTTTATGTTCAGCTCATATTACCTGTCTTCTGAAATTTACACATACTATTTTTGAATGCAAAGTAAGAATAATAAAGAATAATAGTTTTGCGGGGGCAGAATGAATAAAAGGATACAGAAAATCATGCTAGAACCTAAAAATTAGCTTCTTATGGGCAGCTGCACTCCAGGGATGACATATGGCTCCAAAGTGGTGGCAGTGTTGCCTCAAGCATAGGCAGTGAAGATGGCCAAAAGACCTGACCTGTTCTTCCTCCTCTAGGCTGTTAATATATGAGGCTACATCTCAGTCAAAGAAAAGGCTAGTAATAAAAGGTAAAGCATATGCCTGTAAGAACAAAGGAGAAGACAAGGCTCTAGTCCCCAGTTCAACAAAACTATATTTATTACATTACTAGATCATACTTACCAGCAGAGTACCTCCTTAAGCACCTCTCCTGCTCCAATGAGAACTAGAAAATAGGAAGCATCACCACCAACAAAAACCCCAGTGTACCAGATCTTTTCTTTTTGCTGCTATGGATTCACTCCCACCCTTCTCTATCCTGAGAAGGCTGACCTACTTTGACTTGAGATTCGCCAGTGGGAAGCACAGGCAGGCAACCCAGCAGAGGACACTCTCCACCCAACCAGGTTGCTGTGATTTGACTGAGTTCCTCTACCAAAGGCCACAGTTCCTACTAAGTGGCCAGTTCCTCTACCAAAGGCCACAGTTCCATTAAGTGGCCTTTGGTAGAGGAACTCAGTGAAATCACAGCAACCTGTCCCATAAAGCCCAGAGGTGATAACTCCCTGTGGAATTTCACCATCCTTTCTTGGTCTCTTTTAATCCTGTCCATGCCCTTGTAAATTGTCCCTTCCTCTAACTCTCAATTACCCCATATAAGAGTGCTCTCTGTTCACAGGCAGGACCCTGACTGATTGATCCATCAAAGCTCTTCCATTAAATGTGCCTTCATCTGCATTTCCTCCTTTATCTTGGTCATTCCTGAATGAGGGGAGACCTCAAAAAAGCTTATCTCTCCTCCTCAACAATGAATACCATGGAGTGCTCTCCAGGAAAAGACAAAGAATTGAGTCCAAACTCTTATTATGTAGCACAAAATTAATAGCAAAGGGAAGGGCTAGAAATAAGTGAGCTTACCTGCATTGATGAGATCTGCATCAGCTTCATGTTGTCGTGGATATGGACCCTGTCAAATACAACATACATTCAATTAGTAAATGAAGATTCTCACTGAATCACATATTAGAACTATAATATAAATAACTTCCCTAAAAACCCTATAAATTTATCATCCGAAGACTTGAGGTAAACTTTTGAAAAATAATTCGGTTGTGTCCATGGCTCTGTTTCTTATGTTAGTCTTTTCTATACTAAAGTTGTGATTGGGCAAATGAAAAATATTTTCTAAAAATTACCAGTTTGAAAGAAATGCTATACTATTAGAAATACAAGTCCATAAAACAAAAAGTAATTATTTAGTCCCTACTATGAAAATGTATTAGAAATATAGGTCGGTAAAACTAATGTAGGCCAGGGCAGTGGCTCATGCCTGTAATCTCAGCATTTTGGGAGGCTGAAGCAGGAGGATCACTTGAGGCCAGTTCAAAACCAGGCTGGCCAACATAGTGACACCCCATTCTCTTAAAAATATAAAAATCAAAGAGGAAAAATTTAGTACCTACTATGCAGCCAATGTTATTCAAAAACTTTTCTGTGAGGATTAATGAATACAAACTACATCACATTATTTGGCTAGAAGGACCTGGAGAGGCAAAGTTTTAGCTTTCTGATTTGTAAAATGTAGGCCTGAATTTGGGTTTCTAATCTTACTCCTCACTACATCTAAGTTTTGATATACTTATGTCCTTATGTTCCTTTTGCACAGCTACTCTCAGTAAAGTTTTTAAATTTTTCCATATATTTTTATAATGTAACTCTATTTAAATAGGCCAAGTAGTTTAAGAATATCACATATATTCGATGAAAAGAGAGGAAACTATAAAAAAATAAAAGGCATACTATATAAGATGGAGCCAAAAATGAAGAAATATTGGCTGTGAAATTTTTACATACTTTCTAGAGAGGGACCAAAAATTTATCCTTTAAACTGAAGTGGCAACTAATGTTCAGAGCTATGTAAATTTTCCTTTAAACACTGGCCATGGATAATCCACAAATTTATTTCCCTTTTCTTCAAAACCAGGAATTTGATCACTCTAGATAATCTCTAAGGCACCTTAAAAATGCAAGTCTTTAACTTCCACATGAATCTGCTTTTATCCAAATATATATCATTTTTGTGTCTTTGAAAATGTCATGATTATTGCCTCAATCAGTATCAACTATACGCTCAGGATCATTATTTATTTTGAATTGTGAATACATTTTCCATATGCATAATTTCTATTGCATTAACAGTTATTATCTACTGAGAAATAAAAGATTATGAATAGGCAAACCAAATCCCTGCCATTGTTAATTAAATTAAAATGTCATACAGGAAGTAAAAAAATATGATTTTATTATACTAATGAAAAAATATGGCCTAACTAAGAAAACTGAGCTCATCTGGATGCTTAATCTTAAGGAAGAAAAAAATTTAACCTTTTGGACAGTAGAGCTTCAAAAGGAGAATGAGATGAGAACTTCTACAGCTTTTTGAGGCAATCAACTCAAACAATGTCCCTGTCCTAAAGTAGAAACCTTACTCTTCAGTTTCTCACTCTGAGGCTTACTTAATTTTATTTAACATAGAACTATTGACAACCTTCATTATCTTGTCCAACAACAGAAGGATGAGAAATAGTTTACACAGGAAATCATGAGGTCTCTCTGAATCAGGTTCCACATGGGAGACGCAGTCAGAAAGCCAGAGTCAGGAACGTACCATCTACTACATAAAATACAATACTACATTGCTTACATTTTAAGGGAAAAATTAAATATTTTATCATGATAAAAAGAAAAATAAGCTTGGGCACTTTATGCAACAACTCAGATTTCACTATGTGGGACGGATCCACTAAAATCTCAGGTTTCAGCATTATACAATTTATCCATGTAACCAAAAATCACTTGCACCCTAAAAGCTATTGAAATAAAAAAATTTAATAAAAAATTTCACAACATGAAATATCTCATTCTTCATTAAGACTGGATTTTAGAAAACAAATTTTCATCTTACCAAACCCAGAACTCCATTTTCACTTTGAAGATGAACAGTTATATTTGGGCTGATAAAATTGCTGGCCAGGAGAGGGATTCCTATGCCCAAATTAGCTGGAAAAAAAAGATGTTAAGGTCCAGCATATAAAAGGTAGAGAAGTTATACCATAAATCTTCTACATATACAGATCTGAACAGAAGCTTTATTTAAAGGTGGCTTACTCTGAATGTAATAAATGAATATATTCTCCAATCACCCATGGCGCATTATTTTGTAATTTTTCAAAAAAAAAGTCTCTAATTAGTCAGCTTTTTCAGTAACATTAATATCAAAGTAGTGGCCTCAGAAGCTAGCCATTTGTCACATTTTAACAAAAATGTAAGCACATTTTCATTAATGTGCTCTGCAAATTTGGGTTTATGTATTATAACTGATTTATTAAACACAGCTTGACTTTTAAAGAATGATTTTCACTATTCAAAACTCCTGCCAAAAGTAAAGATCGTTTTTCATCGTCTTTATTGATAAATGGAGTTACCGTTTTTAAATTTTAAAAAAGTTTTCTGACAATACCAAAATTTCTGCCTAAAAGTATATCAGATCCTTTGGGTCTCTATAGTAACATTCATTGGTAACTGAATTTTCTATGTGACATAAAAAGAAAAGTGGGGAGGAAATTAAATTTCAGCAAATACAATTGAGCTCATCGATAAAGGAGCTGTTGTTAAGGCATCAAAGAGTTAAATGAGGTTGTTGAATTGTCTTCCTTAAATGATCAAAACAGGAGTGATGATGATTACTACTCAATGGTGTGGGTTCAATCCTGCCTATCAACATAGGCAGGCTGATCAGATCAAAGATACTCACACTGCCTGGAACTACTGCCCACTACTGTCCACTACCACTGCACAACAAATACCTCACCAGAACTAGTACAAAGAATGATGGCACTCTGATGAGATTCTAACAGTGAAATCTTCACAAATCAAGGCCAGAGGAGGTTTATATATGGTGCCATATTATAAACTACAAAAGCCAGCAGTACAACTCAATGACCCAGGTCACTTCTTGTGGATAGAGTAAATCTATGAAGCTATGATTATAGCTACTGGGTTTACCTCTAGTGTTCTATCACAGTCTAGTATAGTGTTATTTGTAATTTATTTCTCAATAATGCACAGAACACATTAGGATACTAATTCCATTATGAGCAGGTGTTTTTAGGACAGAGCAACCCAAATTACAAGTCTGGTACCTCAACTCTTTCATCATATTATAGCATTCTCTCAGTTCTTTAATATTTTAAAGTCAAACACCAGGGAGGAAAAAAGTCTATGTATTTTGGGTTGAAAAAAAGTAGGAGATATGGAAAGACCACTTGCATAAACTGACTTGCAAATATTTTTCACAGGCAATACAATAACTGAATAAAGAACACCTAAAATCAGTATTATAGTCAGTGTTTAAATATCAATGGTAAGTCAGGATAAGACGGGTTGAGAAGTCCAGTGACCAACTTTTACCTACTAACTCAACTTGGTTGACACCACACCTTGCTGATACAAGAACTGGAAGAGCAGCAACATGCTATTCTTTTCCCCTATGTGAGTTTGCACCATAACACAAGGTATAAACTGAAAAATGAACAAAAATGAGGTAGAGGTAAAAAGAAAGGGAAAAAAGAAAAGTTCTCCCAGTCAAGATCACAGTCTGGAAGACTGACATTCATGGACCAGGGAAGCTCACAGAATGGAGACATTTGTCATGTCTCTCATTCTTTCTGTCCTAGGTCTTTTAAGTATGGCTTCACTGTATCCACCATTCAACAAACATTCATTTTATCATATGCGATCTGTATTTGTATGTGTTATTTGTATTATATAATTCAATGTCTACTGTAGTGAAAACTAGCAAAATGGTGAACAGATTTGTTATTTAAATGCATTCAAAATCCAAATATTAATTGCATTAATTATGTCTACTCTACCTCTTTTTTTGACAAAGTATCTAAAGCAGAATTTGAATCATTTGTTGAATACCCTCATAAAATATTAGATATAACAGGGTAATCACAGGATCTTTGTCAAGAGAATAAAAGGGTTGTTAAGAAGTTGGATCTTTCAATGAGTATGCAAATGTCAGGATAGACAGAAAGTAAATAGCACTGGTTATCACTAGGAATTCTGAGATTTGAAAACACTCATCTTGGGTAATCTCTTTTCCCAATAATCTCCCATTAAATGCAAGTTGTACTGAAATCTAATGGGTATTAGAAAATAGCTAAGCAAATTATTGATTGCCATTTTGTTTCAAGAAGGCAAAGAGATATCTGTCATGTATCTTGACACCTTTGGATTATATGCCACATTTTGTAAAAAAAAAAAAAAAATTGATTAATTACCTTAAAAGTTACCATAGACTAGAGATGACTCACTATGCAAGAGGTCTAATAGCCTGATCAATATGGGAAAAGCAAAGGCTATGTCTTTGCCCGGGCTCAGAAGGATAAAGGATACCATACATGCCATCCTCAAACTCAAGAGCGGCCCTCTTGATGATTCGTTCCCTTACGTCATCTCCAGGTTTAGCAGATTTGGCTTCCCCATCTCCCTCTTTCCGGATTGATAAACGCTTTAAATTAAACAGAAATAAATTATTCGTGGTTGAGGTATGCTTTGTATTTTATCACTGCTGAAATAAATTTTACTGGAAAAAAAGATGAGCTCTCTCCCATTGTTATGAGACAAATCTGCAATATACCAGATATTTAAAAAATACTATGGGTGATATTTGATGGTAGAAATAATTCTTTAGGAACTAAATGAAAGTGGTCAGATTTGTTTAAAGAGGAAGATACGCTGTTCAGTCTGTTTGAAGCAAATAATCTGTTACTATCACACTGTCTGCTCCTTCTGTTATTCTTCCAACTAAATTCTCCTCTGGTGCTCAGGGATTGGCCAGAAGAATGAAAGAGGAACAGACTTTGGGAATGTGTTTTTCAGGGCTGTCAGAATGTGTTTACCAGGTGTTGCTGCTGCCAATTGCCTGTTTCCACCTGCAAAGTCCAGACTATTTTTACCACAAATGCACCACAGGAATCATAGAAATACCCAGAAACCAGCCAGGAAACTATTTCCTCTATTAAGTCTCTTTGACACAAACTCTGGCTCGTGTTTGCAAAAGTCTCATCCTTTCTTCCTGGGCCCCTGACACTGGTTTTGTATTATAAAATGTCTTCCTGTTTGATATCTACAAGGTAGTGGGTATCTCTAGCACCCTACTGTATGTCTATTCTGTTGCTGATCCCTAGACACTTCTAAATCATGACAGTAATTCTGGTAGGGTGGCCATTGTCTACTCTCACTGGCTGATGATTTAGATATGTGTCCCCTCCAAATCTCAGGTTGAAATGTACTTTCCAATGTTGGAGATGCGGCCTAGTGGGAAGTGTTGGATCATGGATGCAGATCCCTTATGAATTGGCTTAGTGCCATCCCTTGGAAATGCAGGAGTTCTCCCTCTGTTCGTTTACACACGAGCTGGTTGTCTAAAGGAGCCTGGCACCTTCTCTCTCTCTCGCCTTGTGACATGCCTGCTTCCCCTTTTCCTTCTGCTCTGAGTAAAAGCTTCCTGAGGTCCTGACCAGAAGCAGATGCTGGTGCCATGCTTCACGTATAGCCCACAGAAGTGTGAGCCAAACAAACTTCTTTATAAATTACCCAGTCTCAGGTATTCTTTTACAGCAATGCAAAAGGGACTAACACACTGGCCTTAGAATACCTTCAATGCTCCTGGTACCTACACTCCTTGCCACAATCTCATACTCACCAGCTACCCACAGCCTGAAGCTAATTAGAATGACATTCTACACTCTAGAAAAGTGCAAAGCACCTTCAAGACAGACAATTCTGAACAATCAAACATTAAGATAAGACTACAGCAGGGATAAAACCACCAAAGACATGATTATTCTTATCTCCCCTCTAAGACAGCCAGAAAAACTACAGATCATAAATTAGGACAGTAGAAGCCTAGTAGACACAGCCTAGAGAATCTCATGGCATGGTGATACATATCTTGTGATGACAAGGCACTGTCAGCCTGCACAGAGGCATAGACCATCATATCCCCATGATGATAGACACATGAGAAGCTCTTACTAAGATCCAAGACCAGACTTTCTGCTCAGCTCTAGTTCCCCATCATCTCGAATGGCCCCAGGGATGCACTATCTCTGTAACTGGATCCATGAATACTGACAAAGCAGCTAAGTCAATTACCTCAATTCTTTTCTCATATTTTTCTCCCTTTATAAGGCGATGTACATAAATCTGAGGAATATGGATGTCTTCTGGAGCAAATGCTCCAATATCCACAATTTCTTCAACCTAGACAAAGAGAAATTTCTTTCAAAGTTAGTGAAAGCTTAAAGTGAACATTTTTAATTTTTTAAAAAGTATACACAACTTCACATACAACTTAGGCTGCAAACATATGACGGAATATGGACATATATCTATGTATGTATATGTATACATATAGGTAATGTCTATCACACCTCCTGGACCCACAAAAGAGAAGAAATTAAAGTGTATGCGTCTGAACAGAAAATACAGACCATTAGGCTCCAGAAGTTAGTCTTTGCTTAAAAGAGTCTCAGTTACAAATTTGTCAAATGGTTTGTCAGTACAGCAGCTTGAACTTTCACAAATTGCAGTTCAACTATGCAATGATAGCACATTCCTTAAACACAGATTTTCTAAATTAATGGGAAATTTATCATATCAAAGACAAAAATCTGTAATAACATCTGCTTGGTCAATTGAAGAGCTTTTTAAATATAGATACAAATGCTATTTGTAACAGTTGTAAATTATTCTTGTTAGCTTCCTAGGATCGTGATACAACTGCAATTGCTGAAATAATTTACTTAAAGACAGATAATTAATTCCAATATGGAAACTTCAAAACTGAAATATTAATTAATAACTAGAAATACTCAATTTAATTAGAATCAAAGTCATTCACCAAGAATAAGGTCATATAGCAATATGAAATGCCTCCACATTAGTCTGTTATTTTAGAATTAATTTAAAAGACAATTTTTCTATCAACATAAAACAGTTCAAAAGAACAAGGATCAAGAAAAACTAAACTCAACATTGTTGTGGTGAAAGAATTAGCTTTCTGGTGACACGCACGCACACAAACATACACACCTTTAAGTTGTGAGTACTCAGCTTAACAGATACAGTGTCCAAAACAAACGTTTGCTTCCATGAACTGACTTATACAAGGATAGTAGTATTGATTTTTGTTTCCTAAACTAATCACTGAAATCTGGAAATCTGTGAGGTTAAGTAGCCCTTCTTATGCTGTTCTACTACTATATGCCTTCACTAGGCTCCTCCTACAGTGCAAGAATACCAGGGCTTACAGAAGACATTTTACTTATTGTGCAATGCTCACAAATAGCTGAAAAAGGCAAGGACATGGTGGATAAAAGCTATCTTCTTTGATAAACAGAAAAATCAAACAAAAATTCCAAGGAAAGGTCAGAAAATATGTCGGCATCCAAGTTGAACTACTGGGTAGAGAGGCATCTGGGGATGAGTGAGGAGACAGGGAAAGTGGGGCCGAAGACCCCTTGCCACTGCACTCTATGTCCTCCCCTTGAAAACTCTGTATGCTCCAGTATTTTCTATTCGAGGTGGAGGTGGGGAATGCAGAGCAGCTAAGCACTACTGCTACCTCTTCAACTGGTTGGAACTTTCAGCCATTAGGGCTCATTCACATCTTTCCATATTCAGTTTTAGCCTTCAAAGAAGTTCTTGACTTTAAAAATGTGTTTATACATTAATCCAGTATCCTGAGGATAGACATGAAGATTTATTATTCATGAAAACACTAATCACAAAATTTATTATAATAATGAATTGAAAACAACTTTAATGTCAGCAATAGGGAAATGGTCAAATAAACATGGTGTAGCCATGTGATTAATCAATATTATGCACTCATAATATTTAATGATCTCATAATTTCATGTTTCATAAAATGCAAGATTTTGTATAAGTAAATAAAAATTTATAGAAATGCACTTTGGGATAGACAATTATTTATATACCTACAGAAAATAAAAGGAAACACACGGAAATGCTAAGAATTGTTATCTCTGGGTAATAGTACAAGTGGTTTTTGTTTTCCTTTTACTTTTATAATCAAAACTGAAACCCACAATGTTATTTTTTCAGAAGATGTGATAAACACTAAGTTTCTAAAACTAGAAAATCATAAGTGGAGCATGTGATAAATCTCACAATTAGTTTGACATGTACCAAAGAGGGCATGTTAAAAAGAAAATAGAGAGTCTAAGAAAAACTGAAGTTTCTAAACCCTAAAAGCAGTCACATTATGAACTAAACTAAGCAAACCCTTCTTGCCTGCACATTTGAAAATAATAATGTGAATTATTTTTCATGCCTAATATTGCTCCAAAAGGTCAGGCCCTCAAATCTCTTGCTATGATTGTGACAGCAGCTTCCTTTGGTCTTCCTGCCTTACCCTCTAGCAGGGGCAAAGAACATAATAAAAAAGGAAGAAAAAAAAGTATTGCTCACTTAAACTGAAAATGCTGATGGAAACCCGCCACTATTTTCTTTTGGTTCCATCAAAGAATGTTTCAACAGAAAACACCAAATCAAGACAAAGCTTCATTACCAAGGACAATTATATCATAACTCTCAGAACTAACAGAATGAATATGTCCTGGTAAAACAACTCCGATAAGCAAGAATCTAGCTAAACATAAACAATTCCATGTTTTGTCATCCTAATATAAATGGCTTTCAGACTGTAGAAAATGCATGTGCAGCATTTGTCAAAATAACAACACTCAACAGTATTGAAAACGTCTATACAAAAATCAAAGCTTTCTCAGAGTTGGTTAGCAGAGTTAATAGCTAAGAAAGAAAATATTTGAAGTACAAACCAAAAGAAGAAAACATGTTTTCAGACAATCTATGAAAAGAGTTTAAAAAAAAAAATGAAGAGGCAGAACTATCTTAATGCTAGCTATTGAAGGGACTGACTTCAGTGCCAGTTTCGTGTGATCTTGAGAACAATAAGGAAGGAGCAATGGGAGGATTAAAAAGTCTAGTGAGATCAGGCGATTTAAACATAAGCGTTAATGGAAAACCTGATGAGAAAATGATGACTAAAATGAGCTGGTTAGGACAAACATAAAAATAAAAGATCCCTTACTAAAGATGGCAGAGTTTTCCTCCTGAAGTTAGAAATGGGTAATAAAGAATAAAGGACAAAGGAAAAGCCTCAGGGCAAAGCAATGGGCAGATGTAAGTATCCTCAGGCAAGATCAAGATGGAAGAGAGGTAGCTAAGAACAACCCGGACTTCTCCATGGCACTATGAATAGTTCTCATGCCCCACCACTTGCTACAACCAGAAATCCAGACGTTTGAGGCTTCTCTAATTGGTACTTGTCTTTAGTCATTAACAGAAAAATAGACACTAGGAAATGTTGTTATTGATCTGAACTTTGTTTTAAAAGATTGCTTTCTCTGCACTGCACTCTTCCTACTTTATAACTGAAAACTTATTTTAAAGCTTAGAGAAGGATAAGAATTCATCCCTTGGTGACAATGTGTTTGTGATTGCTTGGCAAACATTATATCTCAGGTAAGAGAAAAGAGGAGCTGCAAGGCAATAACGTCCTCATTTTTTATTTTATTTTAGTGACAACCTCAATCTGTTATAGACACAAAAATGGACCCAACCCTAAATGGTGTTAGCGAAAAATTATACACACCTGCAAAACTCTGTGTACGATACAAAGTAAGGGCTGTTGAGGGGGAGGAAGAGGGAGACTCACATTCCAGGCTTTCTTCCTGACTCATTTTAAGTTTCAAAAAAGTTTAGGAGGAAACTTCTTTTGCCAAAAAGAAAAGAAAAAAAACAGACAACAAGCAATAATGTCTAGAATCATGAGAAACATTAACTCCAAAAGAGAGGGAAAAAAAAAAAAAGCAGCTGTGGAAGTCTAGAAAAATAAAAGGGGGAGACAATAAGCAATAAGAGAAGTTACAAGTTAAATGCAGAGGTGCTCTGGATGTTAAAATGAAGTAAAATGAGTAAAATGAAGAGGAAATGTGAGTAAGACCTCACGTTCAATAGATAAATAGGATAACTATAGTTAAAAATCTATTGTACCTCTCAAAGTTGCTAGAAGAGAATAATTTGAATGTGCTTAGCATAAAGAATAGATAAATATGGTAATGAATATCCCAATTACCCTGATTTTACCTTTATGTTATACGAATATGTCAAATTATCACAGGTACCCTGAAAACATACAGGTCTATCATGTATCAAAAAAGAAATAATTTTTTAAACAAGAGGCAATGTAGAGAAAGAGGAGGTCAGCATGTAAGGCATCTTTCTCAAAGATTCAAATGAAGAGAAAAAATCCAAAGGAGCAAGAAAGTGAATATATTCTTAGGCTTCATGCTAAGGAATGATAGGACCAGTACAAAAACACAGAAAAAAATGGTATGAAAGCTAAAAGGGCCAGAGACAGATACATATGGTCTTAGATGTCTATAAGGAAATGCACAAAGACTGAAAAGTTGAGGGGCTACCAATGAATTTGCAACCTTTAAAATGGTGGTACATATGGTTGCATAGTCATTGAAACCGAGTAGATGGGAGCTCATGCCAACAGACATTCCACAATGTCCAATGAAAATAAACCTAACAAAAAAGCATGTTCTGCCAAGAAAATATGCATAACACCTGGGATGCCACAGACCTAGGCATGAAGTGTGGTGAGGAATATTTAAAGTGAGTTTAAAAGGAGAAAGAATATCACACTTATGGTCATATAATGCCCAAAGATATAGATGTTATATTTGTAACAGAAGTGACAAAAATTGGCTCAAATAAGAGATGCCAATTATTTGAACATCTTCTATTCATCACAGTCTGCTGATAACTCTGTATTGCCTTCTGGTCATTTCTATCTTGCAGAATAAAAACACTGAGAGAAACCAAGATTCAGGACCTCTAACGAATAAGAATAAATTGCTTGGTAAAGTAGAAATGACAGAAATTTTGAGGAAAAAAATGACAACGTAAAATTGGAATTGGAAATAGACCAGGAAGTGAATCTTAAACGTACACAGAAATATATCCTGGTCTTTGAAGAAAAAAATTCAGTAAGTTCAGAGAAAAGAGAAGCAGGATCAAGAGGTCAGAAACTCAAAATCACAAATGGGCTTATGAAAGATGAGGATTGCAAAACTTCCATTCTGACAATATGAAAAAGGGTTATATTGATGAGGAAGAGAATTGCATATAAAGAAATGAATGTAACAACATGGATAGCTTTGTGTTTCTTCGTATTTTATCAGGGCTCCCACAAAAGAGACACGTATGACCTAGGACAAATGGAAGTCAAGAGACCTTAAGAGGTCTATCAAAAGATACAAAATCAGAATGAGATGAGGACTCCTCAAAATGCTCAAGATAAGGAAAGGGTGGCTCCTGGGGTGATTTTGTTTTTGCTGCCACTGCTGGAGAACTTGAAAATGATAATCACTACTGCTTGGGCAGAAGACAGGAAAAAACAGAGCAGTTCAATTTTATTTTTTTTCCTGACTTCACCAGGGAGAAAGAAAGTAGAACTAGTATGATTATGAAGAAATTCAATTCCAAGAAGAGCTACCCAGATTCTCTGTACTAATACTAGGCTGTAGACCCACAACATCTATATCCCAGGACCCTTAAAGAGCCTGAAGATACGATCACAGAATTACAGTCAAGCGAAAAATGGTAGAAGTGTCAACTGAGAGGCAAATATACTCCTTTCCAAAAGGGGGGCTCAATCTACAACAGTATTCTAAAATGGATTATTATATACATGGTCTAGATGGCCATAAAGAGAGAAAAGAATTGGACAGCAGTCTAAGTCTTCCACCCAATTAAATCATGTCATATGATCTTCATTAATTTGTGATCAGGCTAGAACATAAGTGGGCCAGGAAAAAAGCACAGTGTGTAGTTTCACAGAGCCTCTGACCAAGCCCTTCACATAAGAGTCTTATAGACATAGCAGGAAAATGTGACTTGAGCTCATTCACTTAAAATCAACAAATACAAACTAAGCACCTACTAGATTTGGCAAGGAAGAAAACAGAAAAGGTGTATGCTCTGGTGTACAGATAGGTAGACAAATACTTGAAGAACCATAAGTATATGGTGGCTTGATAAAGCCTTAGGGGGAAGTCTTCAGTGCTGTGGTTTTTATCTTTTGAGGGCAAATGTACTACTTTAAGAATCTCATGGGTCAATTCACATACACAAAGGTTTCTTTAGGTATAAAATCCTTTGAAAGATTCCATGGAATTATTCCACAGACATCTGTCCACTCCCATCCCCTAGCTCCAGCCTAGACCCCTGCTCTAATGGTTTGATGTCTTTGTCCTACGCTGTTCAGTCAACATATTTACAAGGCTTTAAATGAAGATAAGGAAGTCAGCATTATAGTTAAGGGGCAAGGGTTTGGGTGCATCCCTTTCTCTAACAGAGAAGACAGTCTGACGCTCATGCCTCCAAGTATTTACTAAAAGAGGTGACAAAAACCATATTCAGGGAGTTGAACCACTCTTTTAAATGCCCCAAGAATGGTATGCCCCTAGAACAAACCAATTACCTTTATGCCACAGTCATAAAGAGTCAGTTTTTCTTTCTTGCAATCAAGTGAGTTATTTCTTACCATTAAAACATAGTGCCTGACATAAAACTGTCTGGTTGTAGTAGCAAGAATAGTTGTATTTCATCTGATCATTAGCTTTCTTTTATATGTACTATTAACTATATAAATACTTTGATTTTTATTTGGCATCCCAGGCCTCACTCATGTTTGTCATTATAGTATCAATTTTTAGTCCAATCCTAGGGTCACTGTACAGTTCTACCATTCCTTTTCATTCTTATAGCTCTGTTCCTAATTGATGCTATCATGTATATTTATGTCTTATAAGCTATTTTAAATCATCTTTGGGAAAAAAAAAACAGGTAAAAACTAAACAGCACATTTATCAAATTGGAAACTGATCCAAGGCCAGAAAGAATAGCTAATTCAATGAAGACAGAAAATGATCTCTACTGGTTAGGGAAATAAAATGGGTCAGTGTCAACTGAATGAACTTCAGCAGGGATCAAAGTTCATATCATAAAATACCTGGCCTAATAGTTTTTTGAAATGCAAATAGAAAGGTTTAGCTAACCACCAGCACAAAGACTATTAAACATGACAGAAATATTCCAAACACCATGCTGCTATAGACACGTGCACATGTATGTTTATTGCGGCTCTATTCACAATAGCAAAGACTTAGAACCAACCCAAATGTCCAATAATGATAGACTGGATTAAGAAAATGTAGCACATATACACCATGGAATACTATGCAGCCATAAAAAAGGATGAGTTCATGTCCTTTGTAGGGACATGGATGAAATTGGAAATCATCATTCTCAATAAACTATCGCAAGAACAAAAAACCAAACACCGCATATTCTCACTCATAGGTGGGAATTGAACAATGAGAACACATGGACACAGGAAGGGGAACATCACACTCTGGGGACTGTTGTGGGGTGGGGGGAGGGGGGAGGGATAGCATTGGGAGATATACCTAATGCTAGATGACGAGTTAGTGGGTGCAGCGCACCAGCATGTCACATGTATACATATGTAACTAACCTGCACATTGTGCACATGTACCCTAAAACTTAAAGTATAATAATAAAAATAAATAAATAAATAAAAAGAGTCTTCCTTTCTCTGTTTGCTGTCCAGCCTCAAAGTTGGTGATAGCACCTTCAACCTAATGTATCTCATTACAAAACAAAAACAGTCCTTCCTCTCTACAATGTCTCATTGTAAAACGCAGGATGTGAAAAATGGATAAAACACTCTGAACTCTAGAGGAAAAGCTTTATCTGAAATAACTCAATTTGTTAAAATTGACTAGCAGCAAAATTAATAGCTTATATATTAAATCTTTATATTATACAACATCTGACCCATAATGATCTGAAAAAAGTAGAACTGTTACTTCATATACCATCCCAATTGTTTTTGTAATGTGGAAGAATTGTTTTAAAAAAATAAAAAATAAAAGCAGTCTAAGACAAGTATTTTCATTTCCACTGACTCAAACCAAGCTAAAATAGCAAAATACCAGCATTGATTAGACTAACACTTTATTTTTATTTTATTTTACTTTTTGAGATGAGATCTCATTATGTTGCCCAGGCTTGTCTCAAATTCCTGGGCTCAAGAGATTCTCCAGCCTCAGCCTCCTGAGCAGCTGGGATTACAGGCATGCACCACTATGCCCAGCTGCTAACATTTTTTGTTTGCCCAGAAATGCCAATCTTCTCTTTATGTGTGACTTAATAACATTCAGGCAATATTCTAAATATCTATATTTCATTTGTCATATCTCTTTTAAAAAAGAAATTTTATTAGGACTGTGGCAAATCCAGAGAAATAATTAAAATGAATACATCTACCCAAAGGAATTAAAATACATCTAACATGTTCATTCAAAGCACCAGTCTTATCTATAATAGTTTTTAAAAATTACACCATTATCATATACCCCAAGGAAAACAGGGAGACATAATATAATTAATAGAATTAAACAAGGAACATTTTTCAGTGAAGAGAGTCATAGAGAAACAGGAAGAGAAAAAGTTCGTGTTGGGTTTTTACAGCTACAGAAAGGCTGCCTATTGGTAATGCCAACTAAAATTTAAAATGTTACTCTAAGACTATTTCCAAATGTTACTCTAAGACTATTTGAGGCTGTTAATCATCCCTGAAGCACTTCATAGTGCAGGAACACAATACTTAACACATAAAATGCAAAATGGGATTGGGTTAAACCCTAGCATTTCCAGAACACAGTTAATGGCTGCTAAATCTAACAGATTTGATTTGAATTCAGCATGAGGATGACTCAACAGTCCCTAAATTTAAAATTGTTTAGCACGTGCATTAGAAGAGCTTTACTTTATTCATTTCATCTTTTAAATGTTCTCCACGTTTTCATTTCTCTAGAGCAGTAAGCAGAGTAGAATCCTACATATTTCATTAAGAAAATTAAGATGCCATGTTTGTTTTCCCTGATTTATATGAGGTAGATATAAAATGGAAAAATAAACTTTAAAACAAAATATTTCTTCCTCTCTGTGGTTCAGTTTTCAAAACTAGATCTTTAAGTCCTAAAGAAATTCAAACATGTTTATCACATTTCAACTATGACTTTAGCATGATGATCAAATGGCTCTTAGTACAAGTAGGGAGATGCACAATCAGTTTTACTGCTGGCAACACTTGGTTCCAGGCTTTTCTAACTCACTGAATTTCAGCATCTAGTCATCATGGGAAAGCAAGGCAAGTCTTAATTCTGGTGTTAAGTTAAATAATTCAAACTTAAAGCTTGTGGAATTTTAAATCATTCTGACCCTTGAGAGGAGTGTGGCTATGCAGCCGGGGTCACTTGGCATGCCGCTGCAACTTCTGCCTTTTTTTCCTATAAATAATTAGAAAGACCAAACAGCACTAGAGATAAGACCCCCTTAAGATCACTATCTCTCCTTATGAAGTAATAAACTAATCTTCCTTGAGTCATATCACTACAACATATGATCTGGTCTCATATGAAAAATGTTGTAGTACTGCTGGAATTTCTGTTCCTCTATGAGTGAAAACTTAACTTTTCAATGTTGGAATGCTAACCCCATTTGTTTAGAGTGTCTCCTCCGTGGCTACCCTCAGACTGTACTCAAACTCTATACTTAATCATATCTTCTGAATCTCATTATTTATAGTTGACAATAGCCATCATTCGGACAATGACTGAAATCTACCATGAGTAAAGCTGATCGAGGTCCCAAATCCAAAATATCTTCCTGGCATATAAACTCATTCCCAAAACTCAACACCATATTTGAAAACTTAAGTATGATGATTAAAAGAAGAGTAGGAATGGTTGATAAAGAACAGCAATTTATTGATGTCAATATTTAGTAAGGGACATTTTAGTCCATATGATTCTAATGCCATGTATTTCACTGAGCCTTCCTATAGTTAAAAAAAAAGACAGTATGATATAAAGAAAGTACTGGATTTGAAGTCAGAAGACATCGATTTGTGGTTTCAGCCCTAACATCATCTAATACTATGTTCTTACATGAATCACCTAAAGTCATTTCACCTTTAAAATGAAAAAGTTGAACTGTAAATGAAGCCTAATATTCTTCCCAGCACTTGCATGACCGTTAAGTCTATACTAGTTCCTAGACATTCTATTACAAGACCATAAAGTTTGCACATTATTGTGTAGTATCTTTCTAATTATTCTGGATATTGAACACTCTAGATTAATGTCATCTTACTGGACATATCTGTTAAATGCAAAACATGATTTTAGTTCCATGCCACGCAGCATATCTTCAATACCCCTCTGTACTTGTGTACTTGCTATATCCATCCTTTCCTGACCAAACAGGCTGTTGAATTTACAAGGCCAGTTTATTTGCCAATTCATTACTTTATAACCCTTTGTATAACTAGGTAACTACCATATGGCTTATTCTGCTTTTGCAGAGTAATAAAAGCTTACTGAATGAGACACACTATACCAGGCAGTATTAAAAGGCACACCTTGAGATAAAATGATCCCAGAGAAGTCAGAGGAAACTAGGCACAGTAATAAGGAAGGCAGTTACAGAACAGCTGGTGGCACATTATCAAGTCTCTCAATGCAGGACTGACAATGGCCTCAAATATAAAGCCATCAGGAAGAACCACTGAACATAAGGCATTTTTGCTTTCTTAGACCATGGCAGGATAATGTCAATCAAGTAAAATCCATAGAACATTTCTAAGCCTGCAAAGTGTTGTGTATGTTTTGAACCTGCTGACTCAGTGACTCAAATATCATTTAATGAGCAGCTATTATGTCCCAAGCATTGTGTTACATGCTGGGACTACAGAGATGAGTAAGACAAGGTCCTACAAAGTGCTCACAGTTTCATGGAGAAGACAGGTAACCAGAGTATCACAATAAAACATGAAAATAAGTGCAATAATAGAGGGAACATTCCACTAACCAGGCAGAAAATTAGCCACAAAAAGAGGGAGAACATTCTAGGCAGTAGGAATGTCAAGGGCAAAGGGTAGGGAAGGATGTGATCTCATGAGAGAATGTGAGGATGTGTTACTTGTCAAAGGACCTAGGGTACACAGGAAATAAAAGCATTGCATCAGAAGTTCAAAATTTTTATTCTGTGGAATGAGGAACCTAATTTTGGAAAAGCTATCAGAAATGGTAATAGCTAACTGAACAAAAAAGGAAATATGGCGTCCTTCACACTTCAAAAAATTCACAAGAGAGTTCACTTTAGCTAATGATGCTGGGACAGTCTCTTCTGATTATTGTGGCTTCTCACAAGAAAAAAATTTAACATATTGGCAATTACCTTTTCTCGCTTTTATTAATTTTTGGTTGTGTACCTGGATTTTCAAGGGGCCTAGTAAAAGGCCAGATATTTGCATATGTTCTAATATTAGGAGGCTGCCATATGCTGCATGCTCATACTACACTAATACATGGAAAAACGTGTTTATAAGACAAAAATTAACAAAAGGGGTCAATGAATCATATTTATCACTTTTTCCCACATTTCTTACTTAAATCATTTATATAAGCCATGACTTTAAGATGCCTTCTTTTAGCTTTGTCCTTGAACCAGAAAGATTTGAAAAGTGACTCGTTTAAAAAAAAAAAAAGAAAAAGAAAAAAAGCAACTAATTTTTCAAATGAAGCAATCTTGCATAAGCCCTAATTATCACTTCAGTATTTGTAGACTAGATCTATATTTGAAGTTGGAAAAAATACCATTTTTTGACAAGGTCTCTGGAAGGAGTAAGGAAAACCACTATTATTCTTAATCAGAGTGACTTTAAAATCATAAGTTATATTCTTAACACAAACATGAAATAAATCGATAAGTAGGTCAAAAGTTGTTAAACCAAAAGAGAGCAAAATTAGGAAAAGGAATCCATGTCATTCTTTGTATTAAGATAATTTTTTTTTAGGAGAACATCCCCTCAGTTTGTATCAGTGACAGTGTACCTTATTTAATAATCTTTCAGGAGGGAGTATCACGAACATTCTAAAACCATTAATATGCTAGTAATGCCCTCTGGCTCTTCCTTTTTTGGGGGGGATTGGGGGGGCAGGGGGATGGAGTTTCACTCGTTACCCAGGCTGGAGTGCAGCAGCAGGATCTCAGCTCACTGCAACCTCCGCCTCCCGGGTTCAAGCGATTCTCCTGCCTCAGCCTCCTGAGTAGCTGGGATTACAGGCATGCGCCACCACACCAACTAATTTTTGTATTTTTAGTAGAGACAGGGTTTCGCCACATTTGCCAGGCTGGTCTCGAACTCCTTACCTCAGGTGATCTGCCTGCCTCAGCCTCCCAAAGTGCTGAGATAACAGGCGTGAGCCACCTTCTTTTTTTTTTTTTTTTAAACACAATCTATGTCCTCATTTGCAACAAAATTGTTAATTATTTTGTGAGAAATCATGACTGTAAGTTTTAGAGAGCTATCTCAAAACAATGAATCAACAGCACTTGACTCACACCTTATTTTATGAAGGGGCTCTGTGGGTATAGCTGCTGGCCATGGTTACCTTCTCTCTGGGAATCTTACCCACATTTACTTCCGTAACTGGTTACTGCTCTGGGTTCAAAATGTTCTTCTTTTTCTAGTCTACTAACTACAGGCAATCAAGTTCTTATCCTGGGTCAAGCAGCCAGGAGGATTCTCCAGGAAGCTGGGTTCTAATCTAGAGTGCCTGGCTCCAGAGCACACATTTTAACCATACCCTGTACCTTTTCTTCCCTCACACAACTCCTCAACTAAGTGGGAGGTTTAAGAACACCTGGGAATAAAATAATAGTGACATTCCCATTAAAATAAGACACAAAATCACAAAAGAAATAGAGTCAATAAATATATGAAAAATATTCAATGTCTCTTGTCAAAGATATTGAGTTAAAACTATAGGGTGGCATTTTTCACCTAGCAAGTTATCAAGTGTTTAAAGTATAACATCCATGTTGTTGAGAGTAGTTCCAAATGATACTTTTATATATCACTGAGGGGTTATAATTGAAATTATCTTTCTAGAGAATGATTTCGCAATACTTTCCAAAACCTTAAAATGTTGATACTCATATAAAGAAAATCTACTTCTAGAAATGTGGTCAAATAATCAGACATGCACAAAAATAATAATCACTAAAGCATTAATAGTGAAAGATGGAAAACATGAAAGTCCAACAATAGAATTGTTGATATGTTTTACTATAACTTAAAATATCTTTCGTTAGGGATTAGTGAACTGCAAAAACATGCTTAATGTTTTATGTAATGAAATATATATTATAACTAAAATGGTCCCTATTTTATAAAAAGAAACATTAGGTATGGACAGTAATTAAAGAAAATCAAGCCAAGACACTTCCATGTTTTCTCTCAAGTCTCTTTGTTCCATGCAGAAAGTGTCTCCCCATCCCATTATGGCCCATCCTGACCCAAATGTCCCTAGACCTGTCAATCAAGATGGCAAGCGTAAAATGCCTTAAGTCTTCTCCTTCCTTCACAATTGACCTTACTTTTCTTGTTTATCTGCATAAACAAGGCCAAGAAGTGGAGAGGGATTGGGTGGGGTTAGTGCCATACACTCGCAGCAAACCACCACCATCAAGATCCCACAGCAATTACTATCTTTATCACTAAATTGGGCACTCACTGCTCTATGCACAACTTATTTTCAGGTTAGTCCTACCTCAACTAGATTGTAAGATGATCTAAAACAATCACAGTGTCTTATGTAGCAAATCCTTAACATTTGTATACCTAATAGCCATGTTGTTGACTACATCCCCAAGCAACTCTGAAAGTAGCAATTTGTAGTTTTGGTAAGCTAGAAACTTCACTCAATATGCAGCTGAAATGGACTTCAAAGCCAATTACCTGTCTCCCACATTTAACCAAAGTATTGTTTTTATCTACACAGGGACACACATGCAGTCACTTCCTGAAGAAAACATTGCCTCTTTATGAAAGTCAGTACACAGTGCCAATAAAGTGGTTCTTAGATGTTTAGGAAAAATATGAGAAATGAAATATAAAATTCAACAATGGCTCAGAATCAGAGCATGAACAAGTCTATCACATATTCTACATGGAAACAAAAATAGGCAATTTATTAATCTTTCAGGAAGCATTCCAACCAACATAGTGATTTAATTCCAAGGAGTGTAATTGCTGGATTATTTGGTAAGAGTTTGTTTATTTGTATAAGAAAACACCAAACTGCGAAAGAAGCTGTAGCATTTTGCATTCTCACCAGCAATGATTGAGTGCCTGTGATTTTACATCCTCGTCAGCATTTGGTTGTTAGTGTTCTGACTTTTAGCCATTCTAATAGGTGTGTAATGGCATTTCATTTAGGTTTGCAATTCCCTAATGATATGATGTTGAGCATCTTCTCATATGCTTATTTGCCATTTGTGTATCTTCTCTGGTAAGGTGCCTGTTCAGATTTTACCTATTTTGTGATAGGGTGATTTTCTTGTTGTTGAGTTTTAATTGTTTTTGCATATGTTTGACACCAGTCTTTTATAAGATACATGTTTCAAATATCTTCTCCCAAACCAGAGTTTGTCATTTTTTTCCCTGTACAGTGTCTTCCACAGAGTAGTAGTTTTTAATTTTAACGAAGTCCAACCTATCAAGTGTTTTTCTCTCAGGGATCATGTTTTTATCTAAAAAAGCATGGCCACTTTTTTCTTATTTCCGATGAGTTTTCTATTTTACACTTACATTTAGTTCTTTACTCCTTCTTGAGTTAGTTTTGTCAGTTATTTTAATAGAATTTAAATAAGAAATTGAGAACCAAAAAGGCAAAAAAGCACGCAGGTGACACGGATCTAGTAACTGCAGGAGGAACAAAGAGAAGTAAATGGAACTGGTGATGGGGCCAGGGGTTTCTCAGAGCTGGGATTCAGACCCCTACTGGGAGTGACAGGAGGCAGCCAGTACTGGTACTTCTGAAGCTCATGAGGCTAGTTCTGCGGTAGTGGTTTGGGGGTGGGAGGAGACCAGAAATAAGAACTGCCACACCATAAACACTAAGAATTTTTCTGTTTTTGTGGAGAACTGACCTCTTTATCATTATGGACTAGCCCTCTTTATCCCTAATAATTTTCCTTGCTCTGAAGTCTACTTTGTCTGAAATTAATACAACTGCTCCAACTTTTTTTGCTTTGTTGTGTTTTGAGACCATTTCACTCTTTTGCCCAGGCTGGAGTTCAATGATCTCAGCTCACTGCAACCTCCAACTCCCGGGTTCAAGCGATTCCCCTGACTCAGCCTCCCAAGTAGCCAGAATTACAGGCGTGTGCCACCATGCCCGGCTAATTTTTGTATTTTTAGTAGAGACGGCGTTTCACCATGTTCATCAGGCTGCTCTTGAACTCCAATCCACCTGCCTTAGCCTCCCAAAGTGCTGGGATTACAGGTCTGAGCCACCGTGCCCAGCCTAATTGCTCCAGCTTTCTTTTGATTAATGTTAGAATAATTTTTTACATTCATCTCTTTACTTGTAATTTGTGTCTGTATATTAAAGTGGATTTCTTATAGACAACATACAGCTGAGTCTTGTTTTTAATCCACTGTGAGTCTTAATTGTTCGGACCAGTAATGTTCAAATTATTTAGTCGGATTAATATCTACCATATTTGCTACTATTCTCATCATTGTCCTTGTTCTTTATTCTTTTTGCTCTCCACTCTTTTCTGCATTCTGTAGTTTTAATTAATCTTTTTCATACAATTCTTTTTCTGCTTTTTTTGTTACACTTGAGTTTGCAATATACATTTACAATTAATCCAAGTACTCTTTCAAATAACACTATATCACTTCACAGGTAGTGCAAATATCTTAAAACATGGTATCCCCAGCACTTGTCTCTTATAACATTACTATCATTCATTTCACTTGAAGGCAGGCCTTGTTAAAAAGAGAACGCTCTGGGTATATTTCAAAATGTCCACTTTTCCCCCCTCCCCTTGCCAGAAGCACAAGGAAATTTTCCTTTGGTCTTCACCAAAACTCTGGTAGGGATCCTAGACATAAAACTCACAGAAATATGAAGCCCCTCCCAAGACCAGACCACTCTGGAGTCTAACTCTCAAACTTGTCCACATGAGCCTCCAACAATTCATCAATTACAGTTTGAGCTTTTCTACCCCAGGACTGGTTCCCATGGAGATTTCTGCTACTAGGCTTCTGCTCCAGTCAGTTGTGATTCTCCGTATTAGCCTGTCTCTCTCCAATTTGGGTGGCAGTGGTTTGCCCTGTGACTTTAATCCTCTGACGGATCTAAGAATAATTGTTGATTTTTCAGTTTATTCATCTTTTTTCTTATTGTGAGAATGGGTGTGGCAACTTCCAACCTCCTGGCACGTTAGGCCTGAAATTGGAAGTGGCTATTTTTTAAATAATCATTACCAGTAGTTACTATATAGAATCCTAAAGTTTCTATCTTGAATTCAAACAACTATATAATACTATCTACCTCATTTTCAATTGGGGGGAAAAAAACATTCTGTCTTCCTAAATGTGAAGGTTCTCATTTTACAGCTTTTAGGAGATTATCCTATTTCATATTTTCTAAAAGGTTAACATTACTGAACAATTCTTAATTTTGCATTTATGAAAGTATTAACATTATCCTGGGGCTACACTAAGTTAACTGAAAAATTCAGTCAGCTAAAGGTCTATGAGCCTGCAAGTAAGGAGACTGTAAATTAGATAAAAATGTTAACATTGCAAAGCATAATGTAAAATGCACCTCAAAATATACCAACCGTCATTTGTTTTTGCTTCAGAACATAAGCTTTAGAGGCACAAAGAAATGTTTAGATCTTAACTCTTCCCCCTACCAATTTTGTTATCTTAAAGTCTTTCCTTATCCTCATTTGTTCTTCTATAAAATATACACAATAAAACCTACCTCACTGGGTTACTATAAAGTGCTTTACATGTAAGTGCATGGTATAAACAGAAGTTGTTGCTATTGTTGTTTTCATAATTATTAGGCTATATATCTCCTTCAACTTATATTACCATTATTGAAAATATTTCAAGTATAGCATCTACCACACTCTGTGTAAAGCACATCTTAGCTGTATAGAGTCTACTTGGACCATTTCACTGCCCCTATTTCCTGGGAATGAATTTCATTAAGAAAGTTTTCCATTCCATTTTCCTATCTCCTTATAAAACCTAGTCCTCAATTTACATATAAAATATTACCTTGTACATTAAAAACATAAACCAAAGAGGAAAAATAAGTGAAAACATTTTGAGTGCAAACATATTCAGATGCCAAGAGCACTGAACAAAAAACTATAAATAAAACAGCAGCTAAAATACTTTTTATAGCAGAAGCTGAGTTATAAAAATGTCTTTCAGATTCTACTTAATACTACTTTTATTTCTAAAGGTCTAATTCCAATTCTAAGAAGACAATTCAAGATGAATGAGTTTTGTAAATTCCTCAGAGAAAGTTAAATTACACCAAAACTTTCAAACTCATTCTTAATCTCATAGCTTTTTATAGTTAACCTGTATTCGCCTGAGTTTGGTAATAACGATGAAATTTTCTTCTGAGTTTTGTCTGTGTCGGCAAAGCTTTTCCAAAATTTAAAGTGAAATTCAAAACTGAACAGAACTTTTTCACAATACATGGCAAAACTTGTATCCTTTTCTGCAACTATTAAGGAAACTAAAATAGATTCTTTAAATGAATCACCCAGATCCTTTTCACAGAAGGCACAGAAAAGGTAGCAGGGTTCTTCACATTCCAGTTTAACTTTCCTCAGGTAGGATTTGTATTTAGAATTCTCTTCGAAGAACCCAAATATGTTCTCAGTGGCAGAAACACTGTATATTATCATTAAACTTCAAAGGCTGAATAAGAGAGAAGGTGACCTATACTTTTGGACATGAGTGGTTGAAGAATCTGAATGTGGACTTTGTTACTCAGTGGCAGAAACACTGTGTATTATCATTAAACTTGAAAAAGCTGAACCAGAGAAGGTAAACTCTAGTCTTAGACATGAGTGGACTTGATTTCTTCATGGAATAAACCACAGAGTAGAAGACCATTACATTCTAACAGTTAAGTAACTCTTGGTTCCTAGTCTTAGGAACTGTTAACTGTTTTAAAATATTCCATCCAAAAACAAAAAGATATTTTCATAATTCTATAAAAATTCAATAAGGCAAAGCTATCATAAGGAAGAAAAGAAAACACTTCCTTCCACATAACTTACATTTTGGACCTTAAGTCCCTCTGTGTTCAGGGAGTTGTATGCCCACAGGTGAACAGAAAGCATCAGTATCTGAGGCCCTCTTTATTTATGTCCCCAAAAGAACAACAGATGTGACTTTCATTCAAAAGAAGTCATATGGCTCTTGCCTCCTCTCTCATCACATGATCTCTTTGTGCACACCCACTCCTCCTCCAATTTAGGCCATGAGTGGAAGCAGCATGAGGCCCTCACCAGACACAGCTACCCAGTCTTGGACTTTGTACCCACTAAAATCATGAGCTAAGTAAACTTTTCTTTCTTAAAGAATAAAAAAGTCACAGTGGTTATTCAGCACAAGCAAGTTTTAAGCAGGAAATAACTTTAATCTTCATCCCAAACCAAAATATGTGAATCTTTTGAGCCAAAGTATAAAAAGAGATAAAATGGGTCATTAACTAATGCTCCATATTTCAAATACAAAGGCAGAGAGAGGTCATCAATTTGAGGGTGTACAACTCAAGCTATGAAGTGACAGATTTATAAGAACCTTGCTCTCGTGAAGGTGTCCATAATATTCCCCTCAAGAGTCATCACAGTTTTTGCTTGATGTAAGGTATCAGCATGTTTAAGTTGATTTTATGGACTTCAAATATTGGTTAGTTTTCTGAAGGATTTAAGCTAACAATATTTTTAAAACAAAATTTAGTTTTTTGATCATGCACTAAGATTTTAGGAATCGGAGGCATTATGGAATTTTTATTTTCTCAGATAAAGAACTTTGGAAGACAGGGAAAGGTTACAGAGGATGTGCCTTGCCAGCTGCCATTTACAATGTAGTTCAATAGTCATCATCACTGGGTCAATGAGAACAGTCATCTAAGGTTTATTAATCAAAGCAGCGGGAGGGATTAAGGTGAGCATGTAGCATTTTTAAGCTTTAGAAAACACACTGGAATGCTCTATCCCACTGATGCTCAAAATAAACCCATGAAATAAGCAAACAACAGAGGCTGTAAGGAAGACGAGATTCTAAAGTCATTTGTCTAAGGTTGCAAAAGTAGTGAGAAACAAATCTTAATCTCATATTCTGTTCAAAAAAAAAATGAAAAGAAAAAAGATAAGCCTCCTCAGGATTAGTCCCAGAGCTTCTTTCCCTAAGTGATCTTTTCCATTCCATAACCCTAACTCAAGTATTTGTGAATTATTCCCAATTGTATAACTACCTTTCCGACCTCCCCTCTAAGCACTACAATAATATATCCATCTGCACCTGCGTCACCACCATTTGAATGCCTAAGAAGCCAATCAATCCTAAGCGAGCTCTTGATTCACTCCAACAGGATCATCCCAGGTTTCCCCGTCTCAGTAAGTGATGTATCATTGCTCAAGCCAAGTGTAGGAGTGAATCTCTACCTTTCCTCTATCCAAGCTCTCCACATCTAAGGCCTGGGCATGTTGGATAGATTCCTCTTCCAACATACCGTATCTCTTAATGCTATCCTCCTCTCCACCACTCAAGTCCAAGCCACCATTCAAGCTCTCACCCAGATCACATCAGTCTCCTCATTGGTCTGCCCCTTTATGCCTCTAAAGTCTGTTCTACAAACAATACGCAAGCTAAAATTATGACCTTTCCAAATGCACTTAAAATCCAAGCTCCTACAAATGCCTATATACCTACCTACATTCAGATTTTTATAATTCCTACTTATACATATCCAGAAATAAAGCCTCGATATTGTCAGAGCAACCAGAAAGTCATAGAGAGACTCAGGACTTAATCCAAGTCTTCCAAGTGTCCTTTACATGCCATTCAACTGCCCAGTCATCGAGTCCAGGAAATTTATCTATGTCAGTTTTCTCATTTACAATATTGTAATAAAGCTGCTTCTCCTCCAACTTCACCTGGTGATTAGAGGATCCGATGAGATACTGTATGTGAAAGTGATTTGAAAAGCCCAAAGCATTATGCAAAGTAATATCAAACACAAGATACTGCGGAAATGGTGCTCAAGTGTGAAGTTCTGAACACTGTTTATAAGAAAGGGGAGTTAAATGAATCTAGCTAAAATAATTGACTTGCCATTCATCACTAACCTTGGCTGTTTCAATCCTTTTCTGCTGCTTAAGAGGATCGGTGCAAGACAAGAAAGCACATTGCTACCCTGGGTAAACTTCCTGATTTGAGGCTTTACCTTACCAACAAATAAGAAATAAATAAGTCTTACAAAAGTGTTTCTGACCAAAAAGAAAAGAGAGAGCTACAAGGCAGTTTAGAAAACTGGTGGGGGAAAAAAAGAGTAATCAGCCTCACCATCCTCAAAGTCTCTCCAACACTGTTCTTCCGCCTCCTAAGGTGCTGATGATACAGATGAAAAATCAGAGACATAGGGCCCTCCCAAACCCCAAGAACACAGCATGACTTCAACCCTGGACTATTTCTGTAGCTCTTGGAAACTCTGCCAGCCAGCAGGAGCTACAGCCACATGCTGGACACTAGTCAGGCTGGAGAAGATTCCACCCATCATCCTGGTTACTGACATTCATCTGGCTGTGCAATTTTTTTTTGTTTTGTTTTGTTTTTGAGATGGAGTTTTGCTCTTGTTGCCTAGGCTGGAGTGCACTGGCAAAATCTCCTCTCACTGCAACCTCCGCCTCCCAGGTTCAAGCAATTCTCCTGCCTCAGCCTCCCGAGTAGCTGGGATTACAGGCGCTTGCCACCATGCCTGGCTAATTTTTTTTTTTTTGCATTTTTAGTAGAGATGGGGTTTCACCATGTTGGCCAGGCTGGCCAACTGGTCTCGAACTCCTGACCTCAGGTGATCCACCCTCCTAGGCCTCCCAAATTGCTGGGATTACAGGCATGAGCCACTGCACATGGCCAGGCTACACATTTCTATACATGAGAAACTGGCCGTCAAGTATAAGTCAAATAACCAAGAAAAAGGCAAGTGCTTCTAATAAAATGAGTCCATCAATATGTAATTATATCATATTAATGTCAGATCTATTGACAGAGGCATCATGCTTTTAAAAGATGGCAGCAACTACAGCTGGATACACAAATTTTTTGCACAAGATCTTCCCTTCATAGAAGCCCCAAAACCAGTCCCACAAAATTGCAGTCATTTCTCGACATCTATACAAATTCACATTATTCTAATTAATTTTCTATTCATTGTCTTCAAATCAGTTATTTCAGTTCTATGTTGATCCTTTAAGAAATACTGAGTAATTTAATATATTCAGACTACAGAAATAGAAGTTATGCTGTAAATGAAGGGTCTGCACACTTTTTTCTGTGAAGGATTAAATAATATTTTAGGCTTTGCAGGGTACACACTGTTACATACTTTTTTAAAAAATGGTCTTTTCAAAATTTAAAAATATTCTTAGCTCTCAGACTGTATAAAAACAGGCCGTGGGCTGTATTTTGTCAATCCTTGTAAGTAATAACTGTGAACCAATATTACAGAGAAAAAAAAATGTTCTATACAACATGAATCAGCCTCTCTTTAATACAAGCCACACTAGTTCAACAGGCTCTCCTGATGTCCTGAATTAGGAAGTTCTATATTAGAGAAGGATGAGGAATATGCCCTATTTTTCACGAGGCAAAAAAATTCCACCCAGATATTTCTCTCTTCTTTAAGTGGTCAAGGATAAAAGATGTTCAATAAGGACTATGAAGTATCACTTATAATGTGCATATTTATAACATTTAAAAGCCTGGATTTACATAATACAGGTTAATAAAAACACAAATTTGAGGCCTGAAAAATTATAAAGACAAAAAGCCAAAAATAGCTAGGATAAAATTCACCAATCCATCAAGAAAGGGGGATATATTATTAAAATGACTTTCTTTTAGGATCTCTATATAAACTATAAAAAATAGCTCCAAAATTTTGTGAGGATAATGGCATACAAATGACTTGCTGTAATTGGTATTTTTACCTCACAATGCAATGAAGTCCATTGTACCTGAGATAATGGAACTCTCTCGCATTACTGCAGCATTGTTACCAAGCAACAAGAAATAAAATGTCAAGATTAACACTTTGTTTAATATATTTTTATCACCAATAAACTATTTCTATTCTGCTATTCTTCTGGGTGTAAATGGTCATTAAGCTAAGAATTATATTTGTTAATATACAAGTGTATGTAAAATAATGCAGTAAGTTAATACTAGGCATTCACCAAGTCCATATTTTTATATTTATTACTTCCTTGGTAGAAATAGCAAATATTAACGTAACAGTAATTCTATTAGGTTATTTTGCCAAACTACTCAACTACAATATGTCTTCATTGAGTACATCTTCATTAGCATCCAAAATTTTCAAACCAATCTAGCATTTCATGAAAATTCAAGGAAACGAATGAATTGTCTTTAAATACTTCAATACTCTTGAAACAAGTATGATCAGTCAGTTCATTCAGTATGCTTATGTTAGGACATTACATTTTCAAAGCACTCTATACCTGGCTAAATATGTGGCACAGAATTTACAGATCTCTTTAAGAATGATTTAGTAATCAATTTTAAAAAGTCCAAAAGCACAAGTAAAATATTATAACTGAAAAAGAATAAGGAAAATAAATGTAAGTTGAAGATTTTATATAATTTACCATGTCTAAAAAATCAAACTGTGTGAATGATATCCATCACTAACTACATCCATCCCAAAAGTTAGCACTTAGGAAGGTGATAGTATTCTGCCGAAGGACTAAGGATTCTTCAGAAAGGGTT
Organism: Homo sapiens; assembly: GCF_000001405.40. Taxonomy (NCBI): domain Eukaryota; kingdom Metazoa; phylum Chordata; class Mammalia; order Primates; family Hominidae; genus Homo; species Homo sapiens. The sequence goes on from NC_000005.10 coordinate 41,830,297, forward strand.
GGTGGAAGGAAGGTATTTCTTTTTTCCATATTGTATCAAACAGACACCTTTTTCTTTCTCTTAAAAGAACTTGTGTCAAGTGTTCAACTCAACTGGCTGATGTGAGTAGATTCAAGAAGATTAGGAACAGTTTTTTGCTAACCTCATTCTACGTAGCTAACTGAAATAGAGAGCTTTAACCAGGTAAATTCTAAAGTGCAGCAAAGAGCATGTAGCATAGTAAGTTCACATAGTGAATGCCAAATTTGACATTTCAGCCAAGTTCTTATAAATATGCCTCCATATGTCAGAGATGTTTGTGTGTGAATGAATTTCACACAGGAATGAGCCTGCGTATGGATGTGTGTGTTCTTGAAATGGGATCTAATGAAGTTTTTCAACATGGTGAGAAGTCTTTGTCTTATCTGGACAGAAGCTTCATTTTTCTTCCTATCCCAACATTCTTTTTATTGCCTCTTGAAAAATTATGAGTTCCACTGCTTTTAAAACTGTATCATTAGGCATTAGCAGTCTAAAGAATAAGAAAAATTTAAGAGAGAAGGAATTATGCTTACTCTTTAGGCATTTTCATTTCTCTAAAGCAAGAAGCATGATGCCCCAAATCTCTAAAACACTGATACATTAATTGGCCTGCTTAATAATGAAAATTAAATGTTCATAGGATCCACTTTAGTGCTTAAGTCACCTGGTTAAAATCTACTGCATTCCCACCTTCTATTGTAAAGTAAAACAACCAGCTTGATCACTTCTAAGATAATGTATGAGGAATTATTAACACAAAGCTCTCCAAACAGGGCCAGAGTCACAAATACCAGGAGGCTCCAATGTCAAAAGTCACAGTCTTTGAAAAACATATTGCCATTATTCTCAAGAAAGTTAATTCTCGTAAGACTCCACACCCTATGACCATGCAATGAAAAAAGTTTGTCATCCCTGTTCTCCAAACCACCAGGGAAGCTCTTGCCTCAGGCCTCTGCACGCACTACTCATTTGGCCCTAAAAGGCTCCACCATCAGTTAGCTGCAAATCTAGCTTCCTCTCTTTCTTGAGGCCTTTACTCAGAAGTCATCTCACCGAGGCCTTTCACTGTACCACCCTAAGTTTCAGTTTCTTTCCCTGAAATATCAGGTCCCTTTTCATGCTTTGTTTTTCCTCCCTTAACACAGCAATATCAAATATACTACATATTTTACTTATTATTCATCCTATTATCAAGATAGACCATCAGAATGTAAACTCCATGAGGGCAGTGAGTTTTGCTTTGTTCACTGCTGTATTTCCAGAACCTATAAAAATACCTAGTACACTAGAATTTGAGTATCAGTGAACTTTCCTTAAACTATCTTTGCACTGTAATATCTGGTACTTGCTTCAAATCAATTAGAGGAGGGAGAAGGCAAAGAGATGGGGATGTGAATGGGGCAGGAGTGACCATGGGTTGATAGTCATTGGAGCTAAGGTGTTGGGCTCAGGAAGGTACATTATACTCCTCTGCTTACTATTATATATGTTCATTATCCTCAAAAATAGACATTTAAAATGAAAATTTGTATTATCAGTTACACTGCAATCTTTACCTTTCCTCACTCACCAATCAGAAACACTACATGTCTGCTTGGCAGGATGGCAGACATACCCATGATCTTTTCCTCTGATTAACCTCCTAAAAAGAGATGGAGAGGTGGTGGAGCAAGATGGTGGAATTGAAGCCATTTGTCCACACCTCAGGAGCACCAAATTTTAACAACGATCTGTAAACAGAAAAGCACCATCACAAGAACCAAAAATCAGACAGCATTTGGGGAACTCACAGCACTGAAGGTAAGAATGCAGACCTGGCTGGCTTCGCCACCTGTTTATTGTAGAGCCCTAGGGCCTTGAGTTAAAATAGGTGGTAGTCAGGTAGTAGTTAACAGCAGGCCTTGGGCAAAACCCAGTGCTGTGCTGGCTTTAGGCCTGACCCACCACAGTCCCAGTGGTGGTGGCCATAGGGATGTGTTTGTATCACCACACCCCCAGTTCCAGGCGGTTCAGCACAGAGAGAGAGAGAGAGAGAGAGAGAGAGAGATTCCACTTGTTTGGAGGAAAGTAAGGGAAAAGAACAGCAGTCTCTACCTGGTAACCCAGAAAATTCTTCTGGATATTATCTAAGACCATCAAGACAATACCTCCTACAAGTTTACAAAAACCACAGCAATTATGGTTGGAGCCCAAGTCCCTTTGAATACCTAGAAAGCGTTCCCAAGGAAAGGCACTAACAAGACAAGACCACAAAGACTACAATAAATACCTAACCCTTTAATGCCCAGACACCAACAAACATCTACAGGCCTTGAGACAATCTAGGGAAGCATGACCTCACCAAACAAAATAAGGCACCGGGGACCAATCTTGGGGAAACAGAGATATGTGACCTTTCAGACAGAATTCAAAACAGCTGTTTTGAGGAAACACGAAGAAATCCAAGATAACAAAGAAGGAATTCAGAATTCTATCAGATAAATTTAACAGACTGAAATAATTTAAAAGAATCAAGCAGAAATTCTACATTTGAAAAATGCAACTGACATACTGCTGAATGCATCAGTCTCTTAAATAGCAGAACTGATCAAGCAGAAGAAAATCACTAAGCTTGAAGACAGGCTTATTGAAAATACAGTCAGAGGAGACAAAAGAAAAATAAAGAACAATGAAGCACACCTACAATATCTAGAAAATAGCCTCGAAAGGGCCAATACTAAGAGTTACTGGCTTTAAAGAAGAGGTAGAGAAAGAGATAGGAGTAGAAAAGTTTATTCAAAGGGATAACAAAATGTCCCAAACCTAGAGAAAGATAAACATTCAAGTACAAGAAGGTTATAGAACACCAAGCAAATTTAACCCAAGGAAGACTACCTCCAAAGCTACCTTTTGCGAGTTAATCAAATTCCCAAAAAATCAATGATAAAGAATTCCAAAAGCAGTAAGAGAAAAGAAACAACAGACAACAGAGCTCCAACATGTCTGGCAACAGACTTTTCAGTGGAAACATTACAAGCCAGGAAAGAGTAGCATGACATATTTAAAGGACTGAAGGAAAGAAACTTTTGCCCTAGAATAGTATATATGGCAAAATATCTTTCAAGCATGGAGGAGAAATAAAGAACTTCCAAGACAACCAAAATCAGAGGGATTTCATCAACACCAGACCTGTCCTACAAGAAGTGATAGAGGGAGTTCTTTGATCTGAAAAAAAAAAAAAAAGAATGTTAATGAGCAAACAAGAAATCATCTGAAGATACAAAACTCACTGGTAATAATAAGCACACATAGAAACACAGGATATTATTAACATTGCAACTGTGGTGTGTAAACACTCTTAAGCATAAAGACTAAAGAACCAATTAGAATAACTACAATAACTTTAAGACATAGCACAATAAGAAATTAAGAGAAACAAAAAGTTAAAAAGCATAGGGGTGAAGTAAAAGTGTAGAGTTTTGGCTGGATGCAGTGGCTCATGCCTGTAATCCCTGCACTTTTGGGAGGCCGAGGTGGGTAGATCACCTGAGGTCAGGAGTTCGAGACCAACTTGGCCAACGTGATGAAACCCTGTCTCTACTAAAAATACAAAAAATTAGTTGGGCGTGGTGGTGCGCACCTTTAATCCCAGCTACTTACGAGATCATGCCACTGTACTCCAGCCTGGGCAACAAGAGCAAAATTCCGTCTCAAAAAAAAAAAAGCATAGAGTTTGTATTAGTTTTCTTTTTGCTTATTTGTTTATGCAATTAGTGTTAAGTTTTCATCAGTTTAAAATAACGAGTTATAAGACAGTCTTTTCAAGCCTCATGCTAACATCAAATACAAAAAAAACTACAGATTCATAAAAAATAAAAAGCAAGAAATCAAAGCACCCCAAAGAAAAATCACCTTCACTAGAAGGAAGACAGGAAGGAAGGAAAGAAGAAAGAAGACCACAAAACAACCAGAAAACAAAAAACAAAATGGCACGAATAAGTCCCTACTTATCAATAATAACATTGACTGTAAATGGACTAAACTCTCCAATAAGACACAGTAGCTGAATGGATGAAAAAAGTTAAGACCCAGTGGTCTGTTGTCTACAAGAGACATGGTTCACCTATAAAGCTACACAGAGACCAAAAATAAAGGGATGGAAAAATATATCCCATGCCAATGGAAACCCACAAAAAAAAAAAAAAAAACAAAACAGAACAGGAGTAGCTATACTTACATCAGACAAAATAGATTTCAAGAGAAAAACTGTAAGAAGAGACAAAGAAGCTTATCATATAATGATAAAGGGGTCAATTCAGCAAGAGGATACAATGATTATAAATATATACACACCCAACACTGGGGCAGCCGGATACATAGAGCAAATATTATTAGAGCTAAAGAGAGACAGATTAAAATACAACAGCTGGAGACTTCCACACCCCATTTTCAGCACTGACAGATTTCTCAGGAAGAAAAGTCAGAGACATAGGACTTAATCTGCACTACAGAATGAACCTAATAGAGATCTACAGAACATTTCATCAGATAAAAATTACTAAGAGGAAAATTTACAGCTATAAGTGCCTACATCAAAAAAGAAAAAGAAATAACCTAATGATGTAACTTAAAGAACTAGAAAAGAGCAAACCAAACCCAAAACTAGTAAAAGAAATATAGATCAGAGCAGAAATAAATTTGAAATGAAGAAAATACAAAAGAACAATGAAACAAAAAGTTGGTATTTTGAGAAGATAAACAAAATTGACAAACCTTTAGCCAGACTAACAACGGTGGGGGTGGGGGTAGGGATGAAGACCCAAATAAAATCAGAGATGAAAAAGGGGACATTAAAACTCATAAGAAATTCAAAGAGTCGTTAGTGGCTACTAGGAGCAACTATATGCCAATAAATTGGAAAATCTAGAAGAAATGAATAAATTCCTAGACATATATAACCTATCAAGATTGAACCAGAAAGAAATTAAGAATCTGAACAGCCCAATAATCATAAATATATACACCTACTATGTATCCACAAAAATTTAAAAATTTTAAAACAATGGCACATGCCAGGCACCAGTATAGAACACAGAAGATACAGCTCCCTGAAGCCTGGCTCTTATAAATAAGTCTTAGAATATCACTTTTGAAAATAATTTTCTATATGTCCATTAACCTCTAATTCTTATATTAGATGGGTTCACCGATATTCAATTTATATTGTGATTCATAAACCACACAGGCTACAATAAATATTTGTGTGCACCAAATATCGTATCATCTAAGCAATTCTTTTACAGGCAAACATACCACAATATAAATACAATAAAAGTAATTATATTTATGTCATGATAAATGTACTTGTTTTGACTGAAAGCTGAAGTTAACTAAAATAGTTGAAAGGGCCTTGGGTAAACCTTTGCTGTCTCGTAAACTAGCCATGGCACAAGCCTGACAGCACAAAGAAATCCACAGCAGTGAGGTTATTTCAGTCACAGGCAGCCTCAGCAGCTTCAGTGGCTGAGTCAGACGACCTTTTCTGACAGCACGTGCATGCCAGGCTGCTTGCAGGAGACAAAGCATCAACAGTCTCCTGAGTGAAGCACTCTCATCCCTCCCCATAGGTTTTCTATTACAGGCTCCTTCAAAAAAAAACAGAAATAGGCCATTTCCAGAGAAACTTAGATGGTAGGTTATGCACACAGAAGACTAGCAGAGGGGCTCATAGGGAGTTGAGAGCTTAACACAATAACAGGATTCCTCCTGAGAAACAGCCAAATTAGTTCCCTTTGGAAGACTCAAGAGTCCTTGCTACTCCTTGTCATACACATGGAAGGCAACACCCAAGAGTCATTCCCTGGCTGGTTTTGCACTTGAACTTGTAAAGTTTATCAGGGAAGACTTCACCCTCACTCAAAGAGAGGGAGGTCCAGAAATAACACTGTCTGGACTGAAAAGAGAAACATCTCTCTAGCATGTGTGGCAATATGCGCCCATGTGCACTATTTTTCCCAAGTAGCTACCTAGGTCCATAAGAGGGGTAGGAAGATACAGCCAGCATCAACTGTGTCACAACTTTGTGGGGAAGCATGCAAATGGCTGCACATTTTAAGAAATATGAATGTAATGTTCATATTGGTTTTGTTAAAAACAGACATAAGTGATCACCTCTATGGTTTTACACAACTCATAAGTTTATCTAGAAAAGTGGTCCCCAGCTTTTTTGGCTGGTACTAGGGATCAGTTTTGTGGAAGACACTTTTTCCACAGATGGGGGTTGGGCAGGGACGTGGTTTTGGGATGAAACTGTTCCACCTCAGATCATCAGGCGTTAGTTAGATTCTCATAAGGAGCGAGCAACCTAGATCCCTCACATGCAGAGTTCATAACAGGGTTCCCACTCCTATGAGAATATAATGCCAGGGCTGATCTAACAGGAGGCAGAGCTCAGGCAGTAATGCTCACTCACCCACCACTCATCTCCCACTGTGCGGCCCAGTTCCTAACAGACCATGGGCCAGTACAGGTCCATGGCCTGAGGGTTGGGGCCCTTGGTCTAGAACACATCTGAAAACAAAACTTTGCCAAAAAGGACTAATGTTTCCCTTTTGCAGAGTCTAGAAATAAGTAACATCAAGGACAATTTGATTTTCTTTTAAATTCACAATAAACATACTCATTTACTTCTTGATGTAAAACATTTGCTGTAAATTATATAATTTAAAAATTATAAACAAAAAAGCAAGATGTATGTTCCTTTGCCACCCTGCTTCTAAATCCAAAACAAATTTAAGATGCCTAAGGGAATCTTAGTACTTTAAATATTTATAGTTCTATCCTCTTTAAAACTCAAGTCAAAACTCAAATCACCAGGGAGAAGAAAGGTTGAGAAGATGCAGCATTGTGGAGTGGGAAGATGCTGGCACAGAGCTTTAGGAGACAAGCTCTAATCCAGATTCCACAATTCAAAAGAAAGGAGATGAGCTAAGAGTTCTTTATTTAAGAAAAAAAAAAAAAGACGCCGTTGACTATGTTATATAGGGTGTAGTCACACTGTTATGCCTCCCACTGCTTAAGATACTATAGTACTAGAACAGACATTCAGTCACCACATTTAGAGAAATATGTAAAAAGCTTAAAGGTCAAAGAGGCTAGACAATCGAATGAAAAGAGTCCAAGAGAAAGACTGAATGAATGCACGGGGCCACTGAACACAGGATGATGCCTTTCTCAAAGACATCTCTAAGGTAGATGGTACTAGAACAAAAAAAAAAAAGACTACAATTGAAATAATTGTCAAGGAAGGTCTGGGATAGAAAAATAAGCTGGGCAAAAAAAAAAAAAAACTCCTTATTTGCTTGTATCTAATAGTTAGCAATGAAATGGACTACTTCTGGAGATTCAATATCTTCCAAGAGTTTAAAGCATCCATTGATAGATAACATGGAAGCATTTCATTACATAATGGAAAAGAGTAGACAGCCTGGAATCAGTTTCTCTGTGGGTCTCTCCTGGTTCCACCTAAGCTGTGTGACATTGGGTATATAACTTAACCTCTCTATGCCTTAAAGTCATCATCTCTAAAATAAAGATAATTATTATTCCTATCTCATAGGACTATTGTGAGAATTTAAAATAATGCACATAAGGAATACGGTAGTGACTAATACATCATAAATGCCTGAATAGTAGCTAACATTATTGGCATTTTGCATGCAGAAGAATATGCAGTTAACTTAATGATCCCTGAAGATTCCTCTTAAATGTTGCACTTCAGAGACCAGCTTATAATCATCCATCCCACTATGACTCCCATAAAAGAAAGCAAGATAGGGCTTGAAAAGTCATAGCAACCTGGAGGCCAGCGCAGGTAACGGAGTGCATAGGGTATAGCACAGAACAGGGGGCTGGAGGTCCAGGGTACTCACTGGACTCAAAATACAAATCACAAAGCCAAAACAGAGTTTCACATCAGAAAATGCCCAATCTAGGCACTAACCCCAATTCCAAATTATTTTCCACTTTTGAGAGCACAGTTCTTACAATTCAATCTATGGTCATGTTTCTACTATGTATACTATATGTTTCTACTATGAACAGGTGTCAGGGGTAGGCTTACAATAATCCTATAGTCCAAAGAGCTGTTTTGCTTATGTTCCTGTACTAGTATAACAGATTATTCTTGATCCTTCTAATCCAGCTTTGTCCAATAAAACTTCCTGCAATGATAATGTTTACTTGTGCTAATCAATACAGTAATCACTAGCCACATGTAGCTTTGCTTGATATGGGACTAGTATAAAGGTAAATTCAATTTCTCAGTCAATTTTTTTTTTTTTTTTTGAGACAGGGTCTCACTGTGTGGCCCAGGCTGGAGCCACAGTGACACAGTCACAGCTCACTGCAGCCTTGACCTCCTGGACTCAGGCGATCCTCAGACCTCAGCTCCTGGGTAGCTGGGACTTAGGCACATGCCACCACGTCTGGCTAATTTTTTGTAGACACAGGGTTTCACCATGTTGCCCTTGAACATCTAGGCTCAAGCGATCCACCTGCCTCAGCCTTCCAAAGTGCTGCGATAAATTAGGCCTGAGCCACTGTGCCATAATTTTAATTTTATAAGTCACATGTGGCTAGTGGCTACCATACTGGAGAGTGTAGTGAATTAGGAGTGGTTGCGCACATTACTGTATTGAAAGAGACCCTAATGTGTGTCTCGGCCTACCAGGAAAGCATTCTGTGATCCATCAGAGATGTCTGTTCCGGGACACAGGAGGGAAGCCTTTATTACATTTGCAGGCTTAGTTAAAGGATTTTCTCTCCTTAGGCCAAAAGAGAGCCTCTCTTTCCTAATACCTGCAATGATTCTTCAACACAAGGTTATTTTCTGCTCTTGTAAGAAATGAGATGAACTGAAAAGAACCAGATTATAACAGGAAAAATTTTAAAGAGAACTTCACCCAGGATAATGCATAACGCCCCTCTGTACTCTGGAAAGAAATACTGGTTTCTGACAGTTTTACAGAAATACAGGAAGTCAACAGGGTGTAAAACTATTGATTATTTTAAGCTATGCTGTAGGCCTTTTTTCAGTAATGCTATAGTTGTGTGCCACGGACAGGTCATTAAGATGGATGAATAAATTAAAGACAGGTTACACAGAAAGTGTAAGCCACACTATCCATTTTAAATTCAGAAAATGTAAAGCCATTGCAAAAGAAACCACCATGCCTCGGTTGAAAGTAACATATACTTCAGCAATTTAAAAATAGCACACTTCATTTTCCAAGAAAGGAACAAAACTCTAACATTTGATTGTTTCAAAATACACTGTACTGACTTCATGAAACATTATCTTGGCCTTGTAAAAATGAATCAAAAGATACCACATACAACACCTGCCATCATGAGAAAAATCAATCAGGAACCTATGTATTTTCAATTCCAGATCCCAATAGGGGTCCTATAAAGCCCTCCCAAGGAAAAACTACCTCAAACTCCCACGAAAATTGGGTTCCAAGTTGATCCTCAAAGCCTCAAGTTAAGAACCATTTGAAGTCTTCTTTGAGGTTCAATATGTTACAACCAAAATGGCACGGTTTTGGTATAAGCCCCTGTTTCTGCCCTGGGTCCTTAAGCCTGGAAAGGCTGCAGAATTATCCAAGCCCCTTCCAAACACTGAGATACCCAAAGGACAGTCAGTGCCTGAATTTGCTCTGAATTGAACCACATCAAAGTAGTTATATGTGCAATGCTCTTCCCTTAAAGAAATCACAAAATCTATCACAGTAAGATCATGAACTTCTTCTGACACATTTACTGTTTTCCAGGGATTCCACATACATAAATTCATCTTGGGATTTCATTCAAGGAGATCTATTTCATTTAAGGATCAAAAGACTTTTATAAGCTGGTCCCATTGCTTGATTCCCAAAGAGAGCATTCTAGTGAGACCCTATCTAACCAGAAAGCTGAAGTTACAGCAAAATTTTAACTATTATATATTTAGATAGAATGGATCCATTTCCAAAACAAAAAAAAAAGCTGTCATTGTTATCCATAAAACAAATGAACTGTGGTACTTTTTCTTGAATTAATACTTAACATCAAGTTAAATAATTAACACCAAGAATTCAAAAATAACCTCTTACCTCTACCACTGTGGTTTCTGCAGCTTTGCACATTGGCAAGTTGAAATTCCTTGCACTTTTCCTACAGGGGTGGAGGAGATAAGAAAGTGGGGGGGAAAAGACGAAAAATAAGCATCTCTGTCACCTTTAAGGTTTTATAGATTAGAATTTCTATGAACTAAGAATCTAAGAATCTTTCCAAAAAGAGTGTATCATATTTTCCATTAATAAAGTTTCATAAATATCTCATAAATTTTAAAAACCATAACTACTTTATTCAATGTATATAGTTTTGTTTTGAACAGGATTGAGGGAAAGAGGAACTATTTTTCACATTCAACATATAGCTACAACAAAAAAAGGAATATTAATAAATCTATCTTATTTGAAGTTAATTTCCCTTAATCTTTTAACAAGTATGCTTTGTCCCTATTAGTTAAATATTTCATTCAACCACTTGCTTTCATTAAAATATTAAGAAAGGAAAAGTAGCAAATGCTTCACATGAGAAGGTACAGTAATTACATTCTCTATTGAAGAGAAGCCTATTGCTGAAACTAAATGAAACATTCATTGATAATTTGTGAGTCAACTATAAAGATCATTCTGGAGAATCATTTTCTGATGAAGTTTTTGGAAGTATAACACCCACATCAGACCCCGAGGTGTAAAAATTTCTAGCAGGTGCCAATTTTGCCGATGGTTTTGCACTCTGATGTTCCTCAATACAGTTCCCCTAATGGTAAAAATTAAAACATATTTTTTGTCTCTGGGAATATACGTTGATGGCAGAATTTCTTTGGTAAAAGGAAGTAAGTCACAGCTATGTTTTACTAGCTCTTTTGAGCCACCAATATTTCTTTTGCTCAGATTGAAGAATGAGTACAGGAATAGGAGCATCCTTGAGAAAGGAGCCCTCGTGAACTTTCACAAGTTGCTGGGTTAGATCCCACCAGACATCCAGGCATCAAAAGCTCCAAGGGCAGAATGGTCAGAGGCAAAGGAGTCCCAAGTCCCCCACTTGAATAACCTAGACAGACTTCTGTTCCAGCTGTCCCACTAAATATGAAGTTAATCCTAAGGTCACTTGACCATTGGTGATGCAAGCTTTCATTTCACACCCGAACTCATTAACCACCAGCATAAAGTCAGTGCCCAGAATAGCCCTTGTGCAGCCTTCAAATACCAGAGCCAGGCACTGCAGCGCAGAATAAACATGGGAATATTTTCAATAATTCCTTTCTGTTTGGTAGTATACAATTTTGTTAATCTTTTTTAAAAAGCAACTAAACGTGTAAATATTACACAAACGTGTCAAATAAGGTAAAGATGATGTAAAATTACTCCTGTTATTGCCAAAATTAGTTGTACTTTAAAAAACTGGCTAAATTAAAGAAATCAAAGAGCATTAATATCACATAAGTCCTTCAGAAATAAAAAGTGATATGAGAGTATCACTGAGAACTTAACTGTAATTGCACCAAAGCTGCATTTGCTAAAGATTTAAAAATTGTTAATCGAAAGCAGCAAATGATAAATAAGCAAAAACAATGATTTCTGTAATCTGATAGGTAAAGTCTTCAAGATCAGTTTGGAAAACTCTTAAGTGTACACTCAAAGGTTTCATATTCCTCAAAAAACAACTATATAAATCTATAAATCCAAGATATAAATACTTAGTATGCTTAGAATAACCAAAAGATTTTAAAATCTATAAAGTCTGTGGCTGAGAGGATTGAAAATTCAGTATTATAAAGGTTAATCAATTTTTCAGATAGAACCTTTGTAAGCATTTCCTAGAAGACACCAAAAGGACTGAAGGACTGACCCCAATGATTATTAGCAGTATCTTTCCAGAGTATCAAATTAGCTTTGACATTTTAAGACAATACATGTAAATTACAATATCAATTAAATAAAATTGTATGATGTCACATTTTCTAAGCATGTAACTGGTCTTGGCAACTAAAATACACAAGGAGAAAAACAACTGCATGTGCCTATATAAAAGGGCATATAGATCCAAATATTTAACAAGCAGTGCAACATAGATATCGACCAGTCTAAACAGACTCCCACAAGTGGACATACCAGCAGCCCTGCACACACCTATATATGTGCAATACACATGGGCATGTATGATTTTGGGCCATTACGAAAATACATTTTTAAATTCCAAATTCACTCTGATGTCCATTTTTAGAGTTGCTGATATGCACGAGTGTTTTTAAAACTATCACAATACCTGAAAATCACGTTTCCTGCTCGGTCCGCCTTCCAGGCTTTCACCAAAGCAAAATCCCCTGTAATTGCTTCCTCCAAAATAAAGTGCTGACCATTGAACTCCCTCACCTGCAGAAGAGGGAGAAGGCATCATCAGGTATTTGCATAGGTCTTGATTGTGATAGAGGCACTCTGATAGAGGTAGATAATAAGGATACAAGCCTACTGAGGGAAAATTTCTCAGAGGGAAAAGCATCCCAGAGACTTCAAAGATAAGCAGTGTTAGGCAAGCAGGACTTAGTCAAAGTGGTCTAAGGGGAGCTAAGGAAACAGACAAGCAAAGGTCCAGTGACAAAAGAAAATTTGTGCATTTGAGGAACTGAAAGTTCTATGGCCTGAGGGATAGACTATTTTCATTTTACTATTTGTATGTACAGGTTGTATATTGAATGTGAAAAATAGTCCTTCTTTCCCTCTCCCCTGAAAAAACAGTTTGCATAAAATGGTCTATGTATTGTTTTCCTACATAAAATAGTTACAAAAATCTATCATTCAGCTATCCTCAATAACCTATATCACCTGTTGAGATTTTAAATGGGATTCACAGAATCAGTAAATTTGGAGAAAACCAACAAGCCCTATCTTCCCACCCATGAGCATAGTATATGTCTCCATTTACTGAGGTTTTCTTCGACCTCCTTCAATAGTTTTATTATTTTCTCCATAAAAGCTTTATTTTTTTTCTTAGGTTTATTTATAGGTACTTAGTGGTTTCTCTTGCTACTGTGAATGTTACATTTGCTCCTATCTACTCTTCTGACATTACTGATCTAGGGAATGCTATTGATTTTTATTTATGTTTATTGCCTTTTAATTATACTACCAATTTTGGAGGGAAGAACATAAAGCAAAACTGTCTTGCCATCATGTTCTTTTATTCTTGACGGTTTATTTCCGGGAATTAAAACAAGCATCCATTGCCACACTCCATCACTGCACAAAATGGAGCCATGTGAATGTAGAACTCCATTCTCATCCCTACCGCACCCCCTAGTGGAAAAACAGACTAAGTGCGTTTTACAAAAAGCTGCTATAGAAAATAGAAAATTTTGGTACATTTATTTCAACTATGGTTTGAAACAAAACCTTTCTTAAATAAAGGCTACTTTAAAGACATTAACCAAGTTGCCTGCTAGAAAAAAGATTAATGCACTTAGGGAATAACTGATGAATGAGGATCTTACTATAGGAACTAAGATAAATTATATGAAAGATATTTCTGAGCCACATATCAATATACAAAGTTATTTTGGAACGGCTTATGTATTTCAAAAATCACTGTAAATACCAACAATGATAGTTGAGTGTTTTACATACAGATCTAGAAAACTGGGGTAAATATATGCAAATGCAAGGCAAAGTCAATAAATAGGCTTCTTTTATATTCTAGTTACATAATTTTCTGATGTGTCTACATACCAGCTGTTGCTGAGTGTTAGTTTTACTGAAATTTAAAAATGGGGAAGGAGTTGGTTTTGTCAAACTAGCTATTATACTCACTTGAAAGAATTCTACATTTCGTAGTCACCACTTCCTCACTTTTTGGTTCTTTCTTGAATCTAATGAGATTTTCATCCCCTCTATTCCAAAAAGGAATAATTCTTAAAGTTGTCAATGACCTCTGTTTTTGCAAATCCAATGATTCAATTCCAGGCCCTGTATTACCAACCTCTTCACACTCAGTTGATCATTCCCTTCTTTTTAAAATTTCCCTTCTCTTTCAAATTGCCAGATGCCCCTGGGTTTCTTCTTTACTTACTAATCACTCTTTCCCATTTCTCTTTGCTGCTCCTTCTCTTCCCAATTTCTAAATGTCAACGAGGTGCTCTGCACTCAGCCCCTAGACACTCATCTAGTATACAGATTTAAATACTATATGCTGATGCCTCCAAAGTCTCTATCCTGGCTCTAGACTCTCCCCTGATATGACGTTCACTAAGCACCTCCTCTTGGAGTCTAATGAACGTCTCCAATGCACCATGTTCCAAACAGAGCTCTTTGATAAGGCCTGTGCTTCATTCATCTTACACAGTATGCTTGACTCCTCTTACACCCCTTACCTATCTACCAGTAAATCCTGTTGGCTCTACCATGAACATAACACCAATTTCAACCACTTCTCTCAAACTCCACTGTTACCACCTTGGTCTAGCCACCTTCCATTCCCTCCTAAATTAACACAACAGCCTCCTAAACCCTCTCTCGCTGCTTCTGCTCTTGGCTTCCTAGCAAAAAAAAAAAAAAAAGAACCACCACCCCAGCAGCCACAGTGATAGTTACAAAAGACAACTCAAATTACATCACTCTCACCCTTATTCAAAACTCCATAGGCTTCCCACTGCGTTCCGTAAAATTCAAACTTTGCATGAATTTGACTCCTGCCTCTCTTCAATCTCCATCCTTATCACTCTCTGCCTCATGTGCTGTTCCAGCCTCACCACCCTCCTGTTCCCCAAACACGGCAAGCCTGTAGCTGCCTCAGCACCTTGTACTTACTCTTCCTTCTGAACAGAGCACAAACCCTCTTATCTCCACTTGCCTCGTTCTCCTACCTTATTCAGGTCTCTACCAAGTGTCACCTCCCCAAAGAAGCTCTCCCTGGCCACCAGTCTGGAATATCAGCTGCCTGGCCAGTGATAATTAATTCTCTTTGCTGTTAATCTACTTGATTTGTCTTCACAGTACTTCCACTATAGACATTATGCATTTATTCATTCATTGTCAGTTCCTCCACTAGCAGGAGGACTTGATCTAGATCATTTTACCACAGTGCTTAGACCAGGGTTTGGCAAAGAGTAGGACCTCAATAAATAACACTAATTTAGAAATGAACTCACTTTTTCCTGCTTTAAGTAAAAAAAAAAAGTACTAAGAATTAAGAAATAAATTATCTGTCATATTCCTAGGGAATTCAGACAAAATTAAAAAACTACGAGTTTGAGGCACCTGATTCCAGGCAGAAATGAACCTAAGAAATATTTTAGTCTCATATTTTCACGAGGTGAATTAATTTTTCAACTTCTAGCAAGCTATCAAAGTATTTATCCCAAGTTTTCCGGGAACTTTATGAGATACTACTACAGTTCATTTTAACAATTAGGCTCCTGTCTTTTACTTTGTCAAGAAGCCTTTTAAACTTATTTAGACAGTAAAGGAAAAAGATCAAACATAAAAAACACATTTTTTATCTTAAAATATTTTAATGTAAAATTTATCATATAAAAATGTACAAAATATGCTTATGTAGCATTTTAAAAATATATGCAGTACTTATACATTTTTATAACACCAGCTTAAGAAATAGAACATTAATATTCAGTTTAAATCCCCCTGCATTCCCTCCCTAATTGCACTCATTTTCTGCCTTCCAATCCAGAAGTCTTCTCTTTATTTATTTATGTATGTATGTATGTATTTATTTATTTATTATTATTATACTTTAAGTTTTAGGGTACATGTGCACAATGTGCAGGTTAGTTACATATGTATACATGTGCCATGCTGGTGTGCTGCACCCACTAACTCGTCATCTAGCATTAGGGATATCTCCCAATGCTATCCCTCCCCCCTCCCCCCACCCCACAACAGTCCCCAGAGTGTGATGTTCCCCTTCCTGTGTCCATGTGTTCTCATTGTTCAATTCCCACCTATGAGTGAGAATATGCAGTGTTTGGTTTTTTGTTCTTGCGATAGTTTACTGAGAATGATGATTTCCAATTTCATCCATGTCCCTACAAAGGACATGAACTCATCATTTTTTATGGCTGCATAGTATTCCATGGTGTATATGTGCCACATTTTCTTAATCCAGTCTATCATTGTTGGACATTTGGGTTGGTTCCAAGTCTTTGCTATTGTGAATAATGCTGCAATAAACATACGTGTGCATGTGTCTTTAAAGCAGCATGATTTATAGTCCTTTGGGTAGATACCCAGTAATGGGATGGCTGGGTCAAATGGTATTTCTAGTTCTAGATCCCTGAGGAATCGCCACACTGACTTCCACAAGGGTTGAACTAGTTTATAGTCCCACCAACAGTGTAAAAGTATTCCTATTTCTCCACATCCTCTCCAGCACTTGTTGTTTCCTGACTTTTTAATGATTGCCATTCTAACTGGTGTGAGATGGTATCTCATTGTGGTTTTGATTTGCATTTCTCTGATGGCCAGTGATGGTGAGCATTTTTTCATGTTTTTTGGCTGCATAAATGTCTTCTTTTGAGAAGTGTCTGTTCATGTCCTTCGCCCACTTTTTGATGGGGTTGTTTTTTTCTTGTAAATTTGTTTTTGAAAGGATCAACAAAACTGATAGACCGCTAGCAAGACTAATAAAGAAAAAAAGAGAGAAGAATCAAATAGACGCAATAAAAAATGATAAAGGGGATATCACCACCGATCCCACAGAAATACAAACTACCATCAGAGAATACTACAAACACCTCTACGCAAATAAACTAGAAAATCTAGAAGAAATGGATAAATTCCTTGACACATACACTCTCCCAAGACTAAACCAGGAAGAAGTTGAATCTCTGAATAGACCAATAACAGGATCTGAAATTGTGGCAATAATCAATAGCTTACCAACCAAAAACAGTCCAGGACCAGATGGATTCACAGCTGAATCCTACCAGAGGTACAAGGAGGAACTGGTACCATTCCTTCTTAAACTATTCCAATCAATAGAAAAAGAGGGAATCCTCCCTAACTCATTTTATGAGGCCAGCATCATCCTGATACCAAAGCCAGGCAGAGACTCAACCAAAAAAGAGAATTTTAGACCAATATCCTTGATGAACATTGATGCAAAAATCCTCAATAAAATACTGGCAAACCGAATCCAGCAGCACATCAAAAAGCTTATCCACCATGATCAAGTGGGCTTCATCCCTGGGATGCAAGGCTGGTTCAATATACACAAATCAATAAATGTAATCCAGCATATAAACAGAACCAAAGACAAAAACCACATGATTATCTCAATAGATGCAGAAAAGACCGTGACAAAATTCAACAACCCTTCATGCTAAAAACTCTCAATAAATTAGGTATTGATGGGACATATCTCAAGATAATAAGAGCTATCTATGACAAACCCACAGCCAATATCATACTGAATGGGCAAAAACTGGAAGCATTCCCTTTGAAAACTGGCACAAGACAGGGATGCCCTCTCTCACCACTCCTATTCAACATAGTGTTGGAAGTTCTGGCCAGGGCAATTAGGCAGGAGAAGGAAATCAAGGGTATTCAATTAGGAAAAGAGGAAGTCAAATTGTCCCTGTTTGCAGACGACATGATTGTATATCTAGAAAACCCCACTGTCTCAGCCCAAAATCTCCTTAAGCTGATAAGCAACTTCAGCAAAGTCTCAGGATACAAAATCAATGTACAAAAATCACAAGCATTCTTATACACCAATAACAGACAAACAGAGAGCCAAATCATGAGTGAACTCCCATTCACAATTGCTTCAAAGAGAATAAAATACCTAGGAATCCAACTTTTACAAGGGATGTGAAGGACCTCTTCAAGGAGAACTACAAACCACTGCTCAAGGAAATAAAAGAGGATACAAACAAATGGAAGAATATTCCATGCTCATGGGTAGGAAGAATCAATATCGTGAAAATGGCCATACTGCCCAAGGTAATTTACAGATTCAATGCCATCCCCATCAAGCTACCAATGACTTTCTTCACAGAATTGGAAAAAAACTACTTTAAAGTTCATATGGAACCAAAAAAGAGCCCGCATCGCCAAGTCAATCCTAAGCCAAAAGAACAAAGCCGGAGGCATCACACTACCTGACTTCAAACTATACTACAAGGCTACAGTAACCAAAACAGCATGGTACTGGTACCAAAACAGAGATATAGATCAATGGAACAGAACAGAGCCCTCAGAAATAACACCGCATATCTACAACTATCTGATTTTTGACAAACCTGAGAAAAACAAGCAATGGGGAAAGGATTCCCTATTTAATAAATGGTGCTGGGAAAACTGGCTAGCCATATGTACAAAGCTGAAACTGGATCCCTTCCTTACACCTTATACAAAAATCAATTCAAGATGGATTAAAGACTTAAACGTTAGACCTAAAACCATAAAAACTCTAGAAGAAAACCTAGGCATTACCATTCAGGACATAGGCATGGGCAAGGACTTCATGTATAAAACACCAAAAGCAATGGCAACAAAAGCCAAAATTGACAAATGGGGTCTAATTAAACTAAAGAGCTTCTGCACAGCAAAAGAAACTACCATCAGAGTGAACAGGCAACCTACAAAATGGGAGAAAATTTTCGCAACCTACTCTTCGGACAAAGGGCTAATATCCAGAATCTAAAAAACACATTAATAAAAGCTTTGAATCCACATAGATCACTCTCAACAGAAAGATGTCTCCAGATGGAAGATGCAGCTGGAGATCAACAGTGAACATCAAAGGACATATTCAGTGACCTCCAATCTTCCCTCTGATCGTTCCTAGGAATGGGAGGGGCACAGCCAGCATCCCCATATGCAGAAAAGTGATAAGAGATCCCCTGATTTACTACGTTCACTTCCCCAGAGATGACTACAGCATTTCTGCAACCTGTGTTAACTTTCTTCGGCCATTTGGACAGGAAAATGGAAAGATACTAAAAAATACCGTAATGAAATACTGGCCAGTGTAATTTTTGAAATTTTCTCCAACCTGAGCATCTCAAATACCTTTATCTGAAATTCTACTCTTCTATAATATGCCTAGGATAGATGTACCCCATCCTACTCAGCATTTTAAATAGAAGTAGGTTATTCCATCAAAAGCTCAAATGTGTCCAAGATACAAAATAAATAGTGACCATATGAACTCTCTATTCTATCATAACAGTTCCTTTCAAGGTTTCAGACAAACATATTATTTCCTTGTTTTTTCTTCCTACAGTCACTTTAGGAAGGGCCTGAGCATAAAGAGTTTGCTAGCATGCATACCACAACTACTTTATTTTCCATATAAGCATAATCAGCAAGTATAACTGTTTCTCAATTTGTTAAAGCCTACCATAAAATCAGTTCAAGTAACTAACCTTGACTAGTACACCATATGTGGATTACACCATTTTTTCCTTCTTTTTATTGTAGTTTCTCTACGTGATTTTAAATGCTAGTGGATGCCCAGATTTAGCTAGAAATTTCACCTATTTATGAAAATGAATGAGTGCTTTTTCTCACATAGAGGTGATTTTATACTTATTTGCCCAATGATCCACCCAAAATCCCACGTGGAAAGAGGGATCCTGGTATAATCTGGTTAAGAGTGTTTCTTACCTCTCTTGGCTTACTGGCAATGGCAACACTGCCATCTTTGTTGTATTTGATGGGCGATCCTCCTTCTTGTACCAGGGTCCCATACCCTGTTGGGGTGTAAAATGCAGGAACTCCAGCCCCGCCTGCACGGATCCTCTCTGCAAGTGTGCCCTGCAAGTGAGCAACCAACACCCCATAAGTTCACTAAGCACACTTCTCTATGTGGACACAAACATTTAGACGTGGTTCCTACTATCTAGAGGCTTATAATTCTAAAAAGTAGCTAGCATTGTACATTAGCATACTTCACTAATATTGTATGCTAGAAGATCAATTTTAAGAAGTTACTGCCCCTCTAGAACCATTCTAAATCCACATTCAAAATGTAACCGCTTATTTGTATAGTCATGCATTGAGCTTCCATACCTCTCAATGATCTCTTGACACATTTAAATGTGTCTATTTTTGATATTCTAAGTCAATTTTAAAATCTGAATTATGAAACTTTAGTTATATATATTAAGTAATGCAGTTAAATTTTGTTTTATTTCATGATCTATGTTGGTATGGCCTAAATTTTATTCAAGTTAATAATGTAAAGTGTTTAAATTTTAGAGCTTATTTTAAACCATTTTCATAAATATTTTTATCTACAAATCGTCTAAGAAAAAAAACAAAGTGAAAAATACAGCATACTGGTAAATTGGTTTTTAAAAGCCAAGAGTACATCAAATTGTTTCAGAGTAGAAACAGCTGCAAGCAAAGTTACTTTGTATCTTCTTTTGATCATCATCTTTCCGATGGGTGACTCTTCTTCCTAGGTACCAGTGATTTCAAGACTAGTTTCCCTGGCTCTCTCACTCTCAACTGTTTTTCTACCCAGGTTTTCCCTAAGGAATCAACTCTGGCCCTGAACCTTGACACCCTTCCTAACCTTGACGCCTACTGTGATAGACTTGTTACAACAGTCTTACTAGAAAACTGACTGGCTAGTCAGTAGTTAAAAATTGGGGCTGGACACCATGGCTCATGCCTGTAAATCCCAGTGCTTTGGGAGGTGAAGGATCACTTGAGGCCAGGAGTTTGAGTCCAGCCTGGGCAACATAATGAGATCTGCCTCTTTAAGAAAAAAAAGAATTGGTTCATGGTATTAATGATGATGTGTTCATATTGTCCCAACCTTAAAAAGTATTTTCTACTTTAACAGGACTCTAAGTATTCAACTCAAAAAAGAAACTAACAGTTGGGACTTGAGACATTGAGTCATTCAAGTAGGTGGAATATTCTGGGGAAACAGAGACTTGGGGTATAACTGAAAATCTTCCAGATAACTGATTATCTAGCCAACGGAAAGAGATGACTCTACCTTGTGTTGTGAAGTTAGTAACATTTACAAAAAATTAAATCATCAAAATTACCATAACACTACCCCTTGCCTTAAAATATGTTTTATATATACCCTCCCTGAATACTCTCCTTCTATCATACCAGGTAAGGGCCTGAAAGTGGACTATTTCTGCAGATAGGCCTTCTGTAGGTGCCACCAGCTCCTTACCCTCACCCACCAAAGAACTCCTGATCCCCACCATCGATACTCCTCCCCCTAGCCTTCAGGCTGCAAAATAAGCTGCCAGAGCCAGTGTTTACTAACGGGCCACTAAGTTGGGGAAGGAGACACTGACCTCTCTTAGCCTGAGGAAAAACTGTAAAAAAAAAAATGATATATTAATGATGTACGTACTTTCTGACGAAATAAGGAGTAACATAAAAGATACCAAGGGTAATCAAAAGGTTAATTTTCAATAGTTCCACAACCCAAAGAATACTGTATCTTAACCTACCATGTGAAAAATACTGCTATGGACCGAACTGTGTTCTCCCCAAAATTCATATGTTGAATTCCTAGTCACCAGTGTGACTGTATTGAGATAGGGCCTATAAGGAGGTCATCAAGGTTGAAGGAAGTCAAAAAGGTTGGGCCCTGATCTGGTATGATTAGTGTTCCTACAAGAAGAGACACCCAGAGAGTGAGCATGCATGCTCTCCGCCATGCAAGAACCGTGAGAAGTCGGCCATCTGCAAGCCAAGGAGGACTTCCAAGCCTTCAGAACTGTGAGAAACTTCTGTTGTTTAAGCCACCAGTCTGTGATATTTTGTTATAGCAGCCTGAGCAGACTAAGACATCTTTGTTTTTTTTGTTTTTGTTTTTTCAAAAAACTGAGAAAATTGAGTAAATACCAAGCCCAGTGCAATGCTATGGTATGTACAGGTAACGGTGCTATAGAGTGACCAGGTGTGACTGCAACACGAGCCTCAGAATAGTTCCCATGTGTGCTTTCTAGACAAACACACCATGATTTCATTACTAATTTTTAAAAATCTACTAAATTATGTTATTACCAACTTGGCAAAGTCAGTAGCAATATTTTCTGTTGACTAAAATAAAGCGGAGTGGCTCAGTTCAAGAGCTGAGAGCAGAGCATGTCAAAATGAAAGAAGAGCAAACTGTAGACCCTCATTTTACTTAAAGATTTCAGAAAGTTTTCCTTTCTTTATGAATAACTCCAATTAGTTAAGAGATGACATAGAAAATGAGTGAAAAGTTGCTAGATTAATTATAGTAACTGCTTGCTTTGTAGTAACATCAGTTCCCTGGGAATCTAGGTTCTGATCCCAGCACTTACTCAGATATAGTCACATGCACCTTTCAAGGGCTTCACTCTGAAGTGTCTCAGCAAGACCAGATCACCCATAAATTTCTAGTTCTAAAATTCATAGAAATTGGAGAGGCATGGTGGCTTACACCTGTGAGGCCAAGGCAGGCGGCTCATTTGAGGTCAGGAGTTCGAGACCAGCCTGGCCAACATGGTGAAATCCCGTCTCTACTAAAAATACAGAAAACAAAAGTAGCTGGGCGTGGTGGCACATGCCTGTAATCTCAAATCTCAGCTTCTCAGGAGGCCGAGGCAGGAGAATTGCTTGAACTCGGGAGGTGGAGTTTGCAGTGAGCCGAGATCACACCGCCGCACTCCACCCTGGGTGACACAGTAAGACTCTGCCTCAAAAAAAAAAATAAAAATAAATTCCTATAAATTAACTTTTTAGGATGATTCTCAAACATTCCAGCAAATCCTTTTGTATGCTTCTGGCACAATACACATTACAGTGCCAAACTTAAAATCTTATCTTGCAGCCTGGATATCTTTTAGAAATATCTCTTTTTTCAGTACACAGTAGAAGAAAATATTAATCCTCCAGCAATCAACAGGTGTGAGTTAGAAACAAAATTCCCTGGTTTGGCAAAGTACTATTCCTTCTGCCTTACCTCTTTTGCACAAAGAAATTTCCACGGAGAAAAAAGGAATTTTTAAAGTAAGTTAGTATTATAAAAGAAAAGCAAATTTTCTCACCTGTGGTGTCAGCTCCACTTCTAATTCACCAGATAAGTACTGTCGTTCAAATTCTGCATTTTCTCCCACATATGAAGAGACCATGCGTTTTATCTGCTTGGACCGAAGCAAAAGCCCCAAACCAAAATTGTCAACCCTAGAAGGAAAATGAAGGGAGCTTACCAAAGAGCATCTGACAGAACACTATTACATCTTTTTAAAGAGATAAAACTTTGTTAATTTAAAGAAAAATAAATCCTTTCTTATAGGCATTTGATCCACATTCTTAGTCTCCCATAACCCCAAAACTTTTGCAAGGTAGCTATCCTTTTATTTTACAGTTGAGGAAACTAAAAGTCAAGAAGTTTAAGTTATTTTTTTGTGGGAGCGGGGCATGCACAGGGCAAGGTCTTGGGCAGTAAGGGACATACAGCCAATATTCACACCCATGTCAACCCTACAGTTTTACCCCGCACCTTTTGTTATTTTCACGGCTGCAGAGTGATTCTGAGTTAGAAGATAAGCAAAGAGATGAATTGGTTCTTGTCCTATGCTTTGAAGGAACACATAAATGCAGTGACAATATACTGACCCAAAATGAAGATTTGGATGGAGAAGCTCTTTCACTTCTAAAAAGGAGAGAGGGGCATTCTGGTATTTAAAAGAGAGATTAACATGCTCATTGAAATGTGGACCCAAATTATAAATAGCTATGAACATTTTCCCTATATCATAAATCTTTTGCTCAAGAAGATTTACACATTCTTAACAAAAACAAGCAAAAAAAAAATTAATCACAAGCCAGTGAAGAGTGTTAAGTGGAAACAATAATCCTGTATCTGTTAAATTATATATACTATAGTTTAATATCTTTATTATTTTAAAGCTGGCGCTCAATTTATTCTTAGAAATGGTATACACAGTGTTGACTTTATTTTTTCATTGGGTGAAGGTCTCCAGGTTTATGCCTTTCTTTATTTCTATTATTTTTCAAAGCAAAATATGCCTAGAATTTAAAGCAAAGTCAATGTAACAAGATAGATAACTGAATGAATTATTTTTCCATTTCAGTCACCTTAAAGACTGAAGATCATCTTCCATTCAAGAGTCAGAAATATTTTAACCAACTAGAGAAATAAAACATTTCTAAGATAAGAATACTTGACCTTAAGCTTTTTTTAATGGTGAAATTTTTTAATGACAAAATTTTTTTTTAATGGTGAAATATTTTTAATGGCGAAATATCTTTTAATGGCGAAATATTTTTTAATGGTGAAATTGTTTTAATGGGGAAGTATTTTTCGTAGCAAAACACTTTTAATGGCAAAAAGTATGATGAGACACCACCACAAACATGAAGGGATGGCTAAAAAAGAAAAAAATACCAAGTCTCGACAAAGATGTGAAACAATCAGAACTCTCATATGTGCCAAGGGGAATTTAAACTGAAATGACCACCTTGGAAAAACTGTTAGTACCTACTAATGTTCAATATATCCATATGCTATGGGTCAGCAATTCCATTCTGGGTCTATAACCAACAGAAATGCATACTTAGGTTCATCACAAGACATGTGCAAGAAAATTCATAGCAGCACTGTTCATTATGGCCAAAATTGGAGCCTCCCAAATGCTCATCAGCAAAATAGATAATTGTGGCATACTACATAATGAAGTGGGGTATAGCAGTGAGAATGACTCATCTATAACCATCAGTAACAATGGTTGAATCTCACAGAATAATGTTGAGCTAAAGCCAGACACAAGATTATACTCTGAAATATTCCTTTAATATGATGTTCAAAATCAGACAAAACAAATCTATGAGAATCAAAAGTAAGGCTAACGATTAATATTGGTAGTGGGAGAAGAGAACAGCGACTGGAAGGAGCAGGAAGAGGGCTTCCTGGGGTACTGGTCATGTTCCATTTATCTATCTGGGCATTGATGACATGGGTGTGCAGCTTGTAAAACTCCATCAAACTGTATTTATGAGATGTTCACTTTTCTATATTACTCCATACTATGCTTCAAGAAAGCCTTTTAAGAGACAGAAATGTAGTGATAAGGACCAGAGTGCTTCCTAGAAACAGAAGTTTTTATTTACAATCTCTCCCTCCTAATTCCTTTAGTGCTCTGATGGTTCCTTCCCTACAGAGCTTGTGTCATCTACACAGTTCATTCATCTGAAACTCCGTTACTGAGTGCTTATTCTACCACAGGTTTGTTAATTCATCTAAAACTCCCTTACTGAGTGCTTATTCTATCCCTGTGTCAGGCTCTGGAGCTACAATCATGAATAAGACCTGGTCCTGGGCAGCTTTGAAACTGAGAAAATAAACACGTAACCTATAATTACAACAGAGGGAGAGACATGCTAAGGGAATTAGGCACAAATTGTGATAATTCTGAAAATGGAGAACCCAACTTTTGGGGAGGAGAAAGATAGCAGAAAAAATCTTACAGGAGGTGGCACTTACACAGACATAGGAAAAAAGAAAACATCTCGAGAACAGTGTGTGGGGTGGAGGTGTAGAGAAAAACAGACAGATAGACAGCTTTGCAAAGATGCACTCAGGAAACTACATGTTCAGTGTTCCTGGAGTATGGACTGAGGGCAACAGCATGTGGGAGGGGAGAAGGCAGGACCAGTTGTGATCAGCCTTGTGGGATTTCATCCTGAAAGACAGGAAGTCCCTGTAAAAAGTTTTAAGCGGAAATATAACAGTATGATTAGCTGGAAAGCTTGAAAGATGAAAGGCCGGGATATCAATGAAGAGGCTCGAAGTAGTCCAAACAACCAACAGTGAGAGTCTGAGCAGTGGGAATGGGAATGGAGAAGGGAGAAATCAAGAGGGTCTTTGGGGGAAATAATTCATAAGACTTGTTGCCCATCCTGATGAAGCTGCAGACCCACTCCAGAATTCTGGCTTTGGTGATGGAATATAAAGAAAGTTGGTTGGGGGAAATTAACAAGCACTAGTGACGCCTACTTACTTGATCTGGAAAGGTGTTAAGTATGTGACAAACCACTGACATTTCTCCTGATGCCACCTGTTCTCCCAACTTCATTCCACTCTCCACTCTCATACTCCTCACACCGACAAGTGACCACTCCAGCTCAGCTGATTCCTTCCCAATTCTCAGAATTTCATTTCCAAACCTCTTTCCTACCCCCGGCACTCCTGACACAATGAACACTTCAAAGTGTCTAGGTAACAGGTAACTGTCAACCTCCTACTCAACGTGTTTTGCACCCCTAGCCTTCAAATGCTGAATCTGATAAGATTTCCCATCCACCATGGGTAGAAAAGAAATAGCTGCATGACTTACTCTCACTTGGTTCAAAAGAAAACTAATGCCTAAGTAACATAAGCATTTTCAAGAGTGTACTTTTGAGCTAGAATGCCCGGCAAGTTAAGAATACATTTGTCCACTAGAGGTCACCAGAGGCCTAAGGATTCCGTTGTTCAAGGGCTGTCTTCCCATTACTCTCAATGCACACAATGCCTTCTGAGTTTTTAACCTACTCCTAGTACCTGGCTAGGTCCCCACAATTCTATTCCCCCAAATTCAACTCCACTGCAGCCTTCCCATCTCACCTCATGGCAGGCTCACCTTACAGATCCTCAGCCCAAAACTAACGCAGCGATCTTTGACTTCTCTCACAAACTCCACATTGAATCTATCAGGAAATCCTGATTCCCCCTTCAAAGCCTATTCAAAATCTGGCCATTTCTCACTCTCTCCTTGGTACTCTGCACTATCTTGCCAGGGTACTGCAAACCCTCCCTGCTTCCCCTCCCACACAACATGGCAGCCAAAGCAAGCCATATAAAATGTAAGTCAGAACATATCACTGCTCTTGCTCACACCCTTGTGATGGTACTTTCATTCAGAGTAAAATTAAAGGTCTCCGGAGTGGCCTGCAAGGTCCCATGTGATCAGTTGCCCTTTGATGTCCCCAACCTCACTCCACCCATTCTCCTTTTGGCTCACTTCTCTTCCTCTCCTGGCCTCACCATCCCTCCAACATCTGGACCTCAGATGGCTGCCCTGTAGACTAAATTGAGGGGTCCCCTTGCCCTCTGGCTTCTGATTGGGTTCAGCCACTCTGACCGGGTTCACCCAATGGGAGGCACCATCAAGAGGATGTGGGTGAGGGGAAAATGTTGGGATTTATATTCCTCTGGCTCTCTCCCTGAGAAGTTACAGCCTATTGGATAACCCCCTCCATAAAGCTTTCTTCCAGGTCCTAGTAACAGCTCCCTGCCTTCACTCCTTCAGACCTGGGGCTGGTAACAGCACCCCTCCAATACAAATTCCAGTGTTCTTTATTACTCATTTTTCCCTCATCCCTGACCATTCCACTGAAAAGGCTCCCTTTGGTAAACTCCTCAACCACTCAGAAAATTCAATTACGTTTGATATCATCTACAGCCCAGACTAATAAAGTTGTAATAAAATAATTCATGAAGGTAGATATGATCCATTTTACTTTCTGTAGTTTAAAATATCTGAAACTCCTACAGGCCCATAGTAAAGCCAGAATATAGTTGGACACTGATTGACTTGGGAATTTTTCTAACTACTGTCTTCTGGATCTCTTTGGCTTTTCAACCCATTACCCATTTTAAGTTGGCTCTATTTGGAGATCACATCTCTTTATTCATTTGTTAGCTCTGAGAATCATTGTTTATATGGGCTTTGCTTTGTTTTTAGACTAGTATCCTGGCATAGCAATCAAGCAGTGCATAAGACGCTAGCCCCAGGTGCACTACCTGACCAGTTCTTCAGGTCTTGAAAATGCTGTCAGCTTACAATGAGAGTGTTTCTTGCCACATACTTTACAACCCAAATTTGGCAAGTGTATATCTTACCTATTATCAGACATTGATGATAAAAAATTAGTAAGACAAGTCCCTTACCTATAAAGGCTTACAAGATAAAGAAAAATAGATGTGATCTTTTGCAAATGGGGAACATATCATTTCTAATAGAGACATGTATATTAAACCATCTTATAGCTCTTTAATACTAAAGACAATGCTGATAAGACCTTCAAAAAGATGGGTGCTTTCCTTTAGTAGCCAACATTTTTTAGCATACTAAAGAGAGATGTGATCTTTTTCCTGCATCATAACAAACCTGGGTTTCAAACATTTTGGTGACTAGAAAAAGTCTAAGGCCAAGAATTCATTAATGAGACACATTATTATAAAGCAAAAAGATACCGCATCAGAGACAATGTTCTGGAAATATTTCCATGCTCTGAATCTGAAATTTAATTTGCTGATTTTCTGAAATCTCATTAATTGGCAATTCTTGTCAAAATAAGATAAACAAAAATAAAGTTGGGATCACTTACCAAGTTGTATTTCTTTTGTTTACTTTTCATTTTAGACATACTTAAATCTGGATTAGATAATTATATTTAATATATCAAGAGTACCAAAAACAAAATGCTTCATTTAAATATAAGGCTAATTTATGACATACAGTAATTTCCCCATCCCCCACCCAATCTGCAGTTTCATTTTCTATGTGGTTTCAATTACCCAGTCAACTGCAGTCCACAAATATTAAATGGAAAATTCCAGACATATAAAATTCATAAGTTTTAAGTTTTGCACCATTCTGAGTAACGAGATGAGCTATCATCATCCTACTCCATCCTGCCCGGGGTGTGAATCCTCCCTTTGTCCAGCACATCTACACTGTATATACTACTCTCCTGTTCTTCACTTAGTAGCCATGATGGTGATCAGATAGATTGCTGCAGTCTTTGCTGTGCTTGTGTTCAAGTAGTCCTTATCTTACTTAATAATGGCCCCAAAACACAAGAGTAGTGGTGCAGGCAACTTGGATATGCCAGAAAGAGGTCATAAAGTGCTTCCTTTAAGTGAAAGATCTAAGTAAGAATGAATCTTTTATCCATTAAATTTCAAAGAAAGAGAAAAATATCTGCTAGTTTTGCTGTCATATCTCAAACTGCAAAAGTTATAGCCACAGAGCATAATAAGAGCTTAGTTAAGATGGAAAAGACATTAAATTTGTGGGTGGAAGACAAACAGAAATACATTCCCATTGACAGCAATTGGGTTGAGTATTAGCCATGATTTCAGAACACAGGCCCCTCGAATAAGGGAGGACTTCTGTAGTTACATGAGACAAATGAAATCTTTCATGAGCTGAGCACAGAAGTTCAAGTATACATCCCAGGAATTGGTTAGCCCTTCCCAGACAAAATAACTAAATCCTAGGGAATGTCCATAATCAGCTCATGGCCTACATCTGATTATTAACTCCTTCAGAGCTGCAGCTTCCTCAACAAAGAACAAGGGCACAGCAGAGGGGTCACTGCCTTTATCTTGAGGTTCAAAGTCATTGGTACACAACCAGACATTTTAGAGTGATAGACTGACCATTGGGCTCTCAAAAAACTATTATACCTGACTAGTATAGTAATATATATATATATATATATATGTAATATATATATATATATATACACACACACACACACAAGTAATTATAGGTGTAGGTACATATGTATAATCAGATTTCTCAGCCTTTGTCATAACAGCATCTATTCTGCATCAAGAATTTTATATTGATCTGTAGTATCCCTTATAAGCATAAAGCTATCTGGAAAACTGAAAGTGCTGATAATCAAAAGTATGTATAATCAAGTCAAATTAAAGGGCATAAGATATGTTTAAGAGTTATCGAGTTGTCTTAAACAAGTTACTTCTCTATTTTCAGACGATCTGAAAAGTCAGTTAAACAAGGGACAGATGATTTCTACAATCCCATTCCCCTCCAACACACAGTAACTCTGAGACTCAGACTTACAGGCTCAGGACAGTAGGGAATACATAACTACTGTAAATAAAGGAGATTGGTAATGTAATATACATATATATCAAAGATAAGTAAAATTCAGCACACAAAGAAAGGCTAAAAGTCTCTAAAGGAACTCAAAAAGGGGCAAGATCAATAAAGACTAGAAAAGTTTCTATAATTGGATAAGGATACTTTGAGGATATACAACTTAAGTCTAATCCTGAGAGATGTGGATAGACAGGAAAGAGGAGGGACAGTCTCCCAGAAGGAAACAGACTCAGAAAAGGAAAAATGGGCACAAAAAAGTAGCATCAGTTTTACTTCCCAAATAACCTACACTATTTATTCTAAACTGCTTTTATAATTGGCTAAAATGCCAATTGGGTGATTAAAAATGTAAAATCCTTAAAGTCTTTAATTGTTGAGAGCTGATGACTTACCATTTTGTAAAAATAAAAATATGGCTTTTCCTAACATAGCTAAATGTACCTTAATGTGCATGCTATTATTAAAATGATGGCTTATTTCTGACCACTATAATATGCAATCCTATTATCTTAAGTGCTGGCTGCATATCCACCTTCCAAGACCAGCCATGTTTTTGTGATTAATGGTATCCCTTTATTTATGATCTAGAATGATGGCATTGCTAAAAGAAAGGGCTTTAAACAGATTTCAAATTGATGCCCACCTTGCTTTATAAATGATCTAATAAATAACATAAAACAATACATTTAAATTTTAAAATGCAAGACTTAATTTGAAGATATATATTCTAACTTCAATACATTTTAAGTTTAGAAAAATAAAAGCACATCACATTAAGATATAAAGTCTTAATTTATATCTTTATACTAGATGAAGCAAGTCTGCTTTACTTATGAAGGATGGTACCAAAAACATTTGGATAAATGTAACCACCCCTCTTGACCTTGTTAAACACTAGATTTTGATGCTTGGACATATTGCTCATGTGAATAGGAGAAAACTTCATTTCATTGATAAACTCTGTTTAAATATTAAGAATTGGCATTTCTCTCCAGCCAATTGTTTTTAAAATGCACACTTACCCTGCATTGTTGCTGACTGCAGTTAGTCCTTTTACTCCAGTTTTCAGTAAAGCATCTATAAGATTCTCTGGAATTCCACATAGCCCAAAACCTATATTAAGCCCAAAAAATAAACAATTTGTAAAGGGGGTAACAATGTTCTTTCAGAGAAGTGTGTGTTATTCTTTTTAAAAGGGAAATAAAACAAAGCACATTATTAGATCTACTAAGCAAAATACACAGATATATCTCAGCAGCTAAGTAAATGGTCATATAGCTGTATCCAAATGTTTTGCACCATTATATCACATATCACTGCCCAGTCTTTGAACCACAAGTATAAGCCAAGTGCAACCAGTTTATATGGCTACTCATTCCTCAGTTTGCACTTAACTATATATCTATTGTTTTCCTGCTTTGTAAATCAGTTTTTCTACAACTTTTTCAAGAATGTTAATATGTCTGAGTAGATTTTGCATAGTTGGAAGCCTAAGCCCAAAACTGTCATTTCTTTATATTTTCCATGATTACTCAAATTGTATTGGGTTTAAAATGAACATTCAATGACTTACTTGAATGAGTGGAGATCAATGCTAAAAATAATCCTTGACATTATTTATCAGAAGCAGGCAGCAAGTTGGGTGTGGGTGGCTCACGCCTGTAATCCCAGCGCTTTGGGAGGCCAAGGTGGGCAGATGACTAGAGGTCAGGAGTTTGAAACCAGACTGGCCAACATGGTGAAACCCCATCTCTACTAAAAATACAAAAATTAGCCAGGAGTGATGGTGGGTGCCTGTAATCCCAGCTACTCGGGAGGCTAAGGCAGGAGAATGGCTTGAACCCGAGAGGCAGAGGTTGCAGTAAACTGAGATCGCACCACTGCACTCCAGCCTGGGTGACAAAGTGAAACTCCCTCGAGAGTCCAAACAAGAAGCAGCAATAGAATTGGCAGTGGGGGAGGTCAATACATGTCTACGGGGTCTCTGAAGGTGTAAGCTTATGAGATTAATGCAAACATTTTAAGTTAAAAAATTGGGATCTAGGGATTTTTTTCAAAGCTATTAATAAAACCTGACTACTTTGAAGCTTCAGTTTTTCAAAACAGAAACACACAAATACACATACACACACACATGCACGCACACAGAGAAAGTAAAATATTAAGTGCTAAACCTTGCTAAACTTTTAGGAAGGAGACACTAATAAAATAGATGATATTATAATATGTACAATAAATAATGCATAATAAAATAATTATCATTTTTATACATCTTTGTCATTGTGATTTGCCTGCTTCATTTAAAAACATAAGGACATTACCATAACATGAAAACAGTGTTAGTACTCACCACCAACCAAAACCGTGGCACCATCAGGGATGTCTTTTACAGCTTCTACTGGATCTGTATAAAACTTGGTATGGCGATGAGCACTGGTGGAAAAGGAACAAACACATCCCTGAAATATTAAAAAAAAAAAATTGATAATCATTTGGAGATACAGCTTTACTTTGTGTGTGTAGCAATTTATTCAATTGATAGACAAATGATAATTTCATTATCTCCTTTATATATACACGTTTTTAATTGCCAGGTAATAACTGTATATAATGTATATATTTATACAGGTAATACATGTATATATTTATGGCATACATGGTGTTTTTATATGGATAGTAGACCCCCCTTATCCACAGTTTCCCTTTCTGAGGTCTGTCACCCCAGGAAAGTACGGTACAATAAGATTTGAGAGACAGAATGCATTCTTATAACTTTTATTACAGTATATTGTTATAACTGTTCTATTATTAGTTATTGTGACTAATGTCTCATAGTCTAATTTGTAAATTAAAATGAATGATACACATATGTAGGAAAAACAACTTATATAGGGTTTGGTACTACCCACAGGTCAGGCATCCACTGGGGTTTTGGAACATATTCCCCTTGGATAAGGGAGGATACTATATACATTGTTGAACAGCTAAATCAAGCTATTTATAAATGCACACACTTTTTTATGGTAAAAACACTTAAAAATCTCTAAGCAATTTTCTAGTATAAAATATATTATTAACCATAGTCGCCATGGTGTTCCGCAGATCTCTTGAATTTATTCCTCCTAAATAAAATTATGTATCCTTTGACCAACATCTCACCAACCCCTCACCCCCAGCCTCCATAACCACCATTTCACCTTTCTGTCTGTGATACTATCCCCCTCTTCAAAAGCCTGGCGCTTTAAGTGACTCATACTTAAAAGTAGGATGGATATTTTATCCACAGATTATCACTGAAGTCCCCTTGTAACAGATGTCTTCTATTACATAAGGGAAAGTTCTAACTCCATCATTTGTGGCCACCCAAAAGAATGAAAGTAGAAAGAAAAGTCCATATACTGGAATTCAAATTCATAGCAATGGTGTCATCAAGCATCAGTTTCTGGTAACCCAATCTTCCATTAATCAACAAGTATTTACTGTAAACCCACCATGTGTCAAGTCCTGTACTATTTATTCCAACACAGTTAAGTATTAAGACATGAGCACTGCTCTCTAAGAAATTAAAGCCAATATGAACAAAACACATACCTACAGAGTTGGGCCCCAGGTTCAATCTTAAATGTCAAAGAATGCCTCCTAGAGGGACAAAAACACCTTACAAAACAACTCATCCTCCTATGGGGCTTAAGGTTTATGGAGGCTACATAAAAGGAACAAACCATTATCTACAAGGAAGGTAAGTCTAGCCTTACCACTGTGTACTATTTGGTCCCAAATGAGTCACCTAGTGAATATTCATGAGCAATCAGTTGTAAACTTTTCCCTTTCCCCTACTTCATCCACACTATGCACAAAAGAAAACAAGAAAGCAGATTCTGTAGCAATCATTCATACTCAATATCACCTCTCCTTTATTCTCACTATACAGCCAGGCTAAAAAGAAAGAATAACATCTGAATCCTGATATACTGCTACCTTAACATGCCAGTTATGAGCTCACATCCACTGCCTAACAGTCTCCCAGACAGACACAACCTGAAGTGGTCAAGGTGACAGCATAAATATCCATCATTCTTTTCTTCCCCTAAAAATATGCCAGCACACTGCTCAAACCCTGAGAAATAAGTCTAGGCAGAGACAGAAAGGGCTTGAGCCACAAAGAGTTTTCCCTCTTTTCTATTCATCTGCTTCTGTTTTAAACATATATTTTTTAATATATTAGAAATTACAAGTGTGATAGCCTGAATAAACAGGCCAACAGAAGGATCGTAAGATAAAGTTGAGGATATCTCCTAGACACACTTAAAAAGTGCATATATCTAATCCAACCAATTCATTTCACAGGTCAAATTTTTGAAGCTTAGAAGGATCTTGTACTTTACCCAAAACTGTATTAAAGCAAGACCAGATCCAAGGTTTTATTTGGCCTTCTACCTCAGGGCCTTTCTACTACAATATGCTTCTCTCCATGTTTTTTGAAACCTCTCATACTCCACTTCTCATTTTTTGATATAAAATAAATCTTTGTGAGTGTTCTATTTCTTCCTGTATAACTCTGCTGTCATTACCTCCACCCAAAAGTGAAGAGTCAGGCCCTTATAGCTGGAAGGGGAAGAAAATTAAAGAGTTCATCCACAGCTCAACAGTCTGTGCAGTAAGATCACCCTAACTATTTCAATATGCTGAGAAACACAAATCCCACATAGAGAGGAAGTTGGAAGAAAACTCATTTCCCCTATATACCTATAGAGGCTTTTTACATTAAGGTATCCATTCCCTCAAGCATTTATCCTTTGAGTTACAATCCGAATACACTTGAAGCTATTTTTAAATGTACAATTAAGTTGCTATTGACTATAGTCACCCTATTGTGCTATCAAACAGAAGGTCTTATTCATTCTTTCTAATTTTTGGTACCCATTAACCCTCACTACCTCTCCCCTGCCCACAAATAAAAGCATATAACTACAGGCTTGTCAAGAATTCTATTTTTTTGTTTCATCTGATAGTTTTCACTACAGTTAGAAATTACCAAAGAGCTTGCCACACTCTCTGCAAAAAAATATACTTCAAAAGTATTTTAGGGAAGACATGTTTACCCAGATAATCAAAAGTTAAAAGCATAAAGTGAAGATGTTTTCCAGGTAATCTGAGAAGGGCTCAAGACAATGAAGAACCTGCAGGTACTTGTTTTTTTCATTATTCATATATTCAGTTAACAATATTTGTTGACATTTGATATCTATTTACTAACAGGTCAACTTATACTACAACAGATTGTATCCTAAGAAACCCAACATCTAGTTTAGGAGATAGTGTGCCATAATAGATCATGCTCTTGGGATCAAAAAATACCCTTGCTTCAAATTCCAATTCTGCCACAGTTGTATGAATCTAGGAAAATTACTTAACCACTGCATCTCTTTTTCATGGGGGGAGAAGGTATTTTAAGTTTACAAAAAGATGATAATTGTTTTCTAGGAATGTAGTAAGGATCAAATGATGTTATATACAGAAGCCCTGTTGCAGGACTATAGAAGATATCCAGGGGATACTAGCTTCCTTTGGAAAATGCAAACTTTTCTTCATTCTCCACTAGGGCAGTAAGATCAATTTGTCATTTATTGGAGTTTAGTTTTAATTTTAATTGTATATAAATGTATATATTTATGCAGGTAACAAATGTATATATTTATGGCATACATGGTGTTTTTATATGTACAGTAGACCCCCCCCCCCACCGCTTATCCACAGTTTCCCTGAGGTTATGTATGTATATAACATATTCTGATGTTATATACAGAAGCCCTGTGCCTGGACTATAGAAGATACTCAGGGGTTGTTAGCTTCCTTTGGAAAATGCAAACTTTTCTTCATTCTCTACCAGGGCAGTAAGACCAACTTGTCATTTATTGGAGTTTAGTTTTAATTTTTAACCACCTCACTCTACCCTATACACACACTCCACTGATTTTACAAAGAATGTTTTTAAACACAATTCATACTGTAGCAAATTAACCCAGGTGATCTTTGTTGAAGGTTTTCAAAAAGACATAGGCCTTAGCTTTAAGATTACTTTCACATGAGGTGATATTTATTTTGTCACCTTACAGTTAAATAAATGACAAGGAACAGCTGATATTGTCCAAGTATCACAGTTTGAGAAACAAAAGTGGGGAGAAGTTATATGGAGAGAAGTAAAGAGATACACGTTATAAAGAAAAGGCAGTAATATGTGAGTGGATACACTCACAGACCTGCAGAGCACGGCATCACTCCCAAGAGGTAGTGATGTGTGTGAAAATACTTTAGCTGTCCAGAAGAGGACCGGTGTCTACCAAAGGTAGAATTTTCACCTTGAACTAAACACTGCCAATTATGCACATGTGACAAGAATAAATCTCAAGGAGCTCACAGAGAGTTACAACACTAGGCAATTCTCTACAGCAGTGGTGTGCATTGTTATTGAGGGAACATACATGTTCTTCTCCAATGCTGGAGGGATACTCAGTGCTCCGAAGGAGCACAGATGAAGGAGTAATTCATTCTACCTGGTGGACTAGAAAACCAAAGTTTGCCAGGTGTTAAATACTTGTCAGGACAGTGATTCCAAACAAGGGAGCCACATGAGTAAGAGTTCAGCGATATGAAAAGGCTGTGTGGTTACAGACATGCGGGATCAGGTCTCATGGAGAGAGGTTCATGAAGATGAGGCTGGAGAAGCAGACTGAGGCAGTTTGTAAAAAGCCTTACAGACCACACTGCAGAGTTTCTTTTTTCTTTTCTTTTTAATTTTTTTATTTCCATAGGTTTTTGGGGAACAAGTAGTATTTGGTTACATGAGTAAGTTCTTTAGTGTTGATTTGTGACTTGATCATTCCATGACGAAGGGACAGCAAAGCTTTTGAAACAGATGTCACAACTCAAAGGAAGCCTGAATTAAGAAAGTGGTATGGAAACTCATTATTTCTTTCCTTCACTCATTTGTACCAACTATACAAAATACTGGGGCTACAAAGTTAAAATATTGAAAATAAAACCCAGACATAGCCCCTGCTATAATGAAACTTACAAACTAGCAAAGATAGTAGTCATTAAATAATTACAAAATTTTAAACACAATCATAGTATTTAATTGGGGAGCTATAAGGAAGAAACAGTTGCTGAGAAAGAATGCCAGGGACAGCACTGAGGAACATTTCAGAAAGAGGCACACATATGACACTTGGTGATCAATTGGAAGTGCAGCAAGGAGAAGAGAAGATGGTTCCAGGATTTCCAGCTTATATACTGGATGGATACTGGTGCTGTTAAGCACAGTGATAGAAGAACAAAACAAGGAATGGGAAAGCCACTTTATGGCTAGTTTGCTTTGGATCAGAAAGAGCTTTAAGCACCAACTGACATCCAAGTGAAGTTCACCAGTTGCACCAGAAGGACTGCAGCTCAGGAGAGTCAGAGGTTGGAAAGAGATTTGGGAAAAGACAGGGTCAAGGATGAATGGTGGGTAAAGTGTTAGTGGTACTCTTATAACCTTTTTCCCACTAATAATTTTCTATAGTGAAAATAGTATTAAATGCTCCCCACTGCCCCTCAGTAATAATGAAGAAAAGAAGATACCTCCCAATAGTCTATTTTCACCTAAGTCCATGCCAGATAACTCTGAAAGGGGCAGTCAGTCCCCAGACCAGCAGCATCAACATCACCTGGAACTTATCAATGCAAAGTTTAGGGCCCCACCCAGGACCTATTAAATTAGAAATTCTGGGGGTGGGTACAGCAATCTGTTTTAGAAAACCTCCAGGTAATGCTGATGCACTCTCAGGTCTGCGAGACACTGGGCCTGCCCATTATAAAAATGTTAAACATTTAAGAAAATAACTATCTCGTTTTAGCTGTTAGTTATGTTTAGTGGAAAAACTCAAGGTTTCTGTTTGCCTGGAGGGTTCTCTCATCCGTACTTTAAACATGTGTAGAATATCTGATCTATGCAGAGTAGTGTGTTTGTTGAGGGAGACTAAGTGTAAGGCATAAATATGGTCTCTGCCATCGGGGAACTGTCATCTGGTTGAGGAGACAATATACACATCTGAAAAGTTAAACAAGTAGATAAGTGGTACAGTTCAACAGAAGCAGCAGGTGAGGATTTAAAGTGCTAAACAATAAGGGCTGTAATCCCAGCACTTTGGGAGGCCGAGGCGGGCGGATCACGAGGTCAGGAGATCGAGACCATCCCAGCTAAAACGGTGAAACCCCGTCTCTACTAAAAATACAAAAAATTAGCCGGGCGTAGTGGCGGGCGCCTGTAGTCCCAGCTACTTGGGAGGCTGAGGCAGGAGAATGGCGTGAACCCGGGAGGCGGAGCTTGCAGTGAGCCGAGATCCCGCCACTGCACTCCAGCCTGGGCGACAGAGCGAGACTCCGTCTCAAAAAAAAAAAAACAATAAGGGCACTAAGAGCCACAAGCTAGGGGAATAGTGGAAGGCAGGAGTTAGACCTATGATAATCAAGCCTGACAGGGCTAAGTTTGAACTCTGTATGAACTTTTAATGAGATATAGCAGAACCCCTTATTTGCATCTCGTCCCTCTAAGATGAGGTTTGCTGAGCTTCGGAAATGGTTTAATGATATACTCAAGATGGAAAAGACTTGAAGTGAGTAAATTACAGTTGGGCAAATCAGTAACTGTCAAAAGAAGGAACGTTCCTGACCTCGGCCCAAGGGTATCGCTGTGCTCTGGTTTGTATTAGCTTCAGCACCGCTGCAATCTCACTGAAGGTCAAGTTCCCTTTTAATAATGCTTTATATATCCAAGTCTATCTGCAGTTATAAAAATGCTTCCTAAGAGGCATTTAAGAGTAAAATGGTCCAGTTCTGAACCATTCCCTAGCACCTACCGAAGGAGCTCAGTGGCTCCTCTGTGTTCTCAGCGGTCAGGGATTGGATGCAGGAAAGAGCAATGGGGCCAGGCAGGCACGCTTCAGGAGTAAGCACCGTGTGCATGGCACGCTGTCAAGCTCAGACCTATTACTGAATACCAAGGAAGAGGCTCCCGCGATTGAGACGGCGGGGATAAAGCCACCCTCCTGGACCTGGCGCTCTGGTCCTGTAATTCGCTCCTAGGGCTCCAGACAGGGGTGGGCTTACAAGCGAGGACAGTGCATAAGGCAAAACCACAAGTCAGTCCACGGTGGGAATGCCTCCGGATACCACTCGGTGGAGAGTCGGCAGTGGGGCACAAAAAGGATTTCAAAGGGCTCTGAAAACCGAAAGCCCCTAACCCGGATACGAGGGGCCTCGAGAGAAAGGTTTGTCCTCCCCTGCAGCCCAGGCGCGGGCCAGGGACACACCTCGGATGGTTTCCCAGCTTGGCCGGCAAGACGCCCTGGCGAGCGCTCCAGTCTACGGGGCAGCAGAGCCAAATAGGGAGGAGAGGATGGGAGCGGCATTCCACACCCGCCGCACCCGGCATCCAGCCCCGGTGAACTCGAGCAGAGCCATGGCTAACCCAGCCTCAGGTTCTGGGCCTCTAGAGGTTCCTCTGCCCAGAGATCCAACATCGGGGGCGCAAACCTACCCGCTGTTGCCTCACTCCTAAACCTCCATATACTGGCGCCCTCCTCCCCCCGTTCAGACCCTCAGAGTCCCTATCCAAGGGCGGGTGCCAGGAGGGAAGCCGACGAGCGCCAAAGGGCTCGGGAGCGCTGCCAGGAGTCCTCCCGCCCCTTCTCAGCCTCTCCGCGCGCTTCTTTATCGCGTCTCGCTCCATCAGGGAAGCGACTGCAGAACCAAGCAAAGGCGGTCATCCGAGGGGCCGGCGAGGCCAGGAACGCGTCGCCGCGTGTCCGTGACCAGGGCACCGCGCCACGGATGCCAGATCCCAGGCTGGAGAGAGCGGGTAGGGGCAGAGAAGAAAACGCGGGCACCACTCAGGGTTTGGTCCACGTTCTTCCTGCCCATGGCCTTCCTCTTCCCCCGCACTTTACCTTGTACCAGGTTGCCCCAGATCCGCGGGCAGAGGCGCAGAGCCGAAGCCCGGAGGAGAGGAGTTTGAGAGCCGCCATCTTCGGGCGGTGAGGCAGGAGGAGGCTGCGGGTTGGAGCGCGCGTTTGAGCGTCGGTGCGCGACTGCGAAGGAAACCCGGGCGGGCTGGAGGCTCGACAGCGCGTCGATGACGTCCTCCCGGCCTTTCGAGCCGCACGCCACCGGCGCGCTGCTGGCTGCTGCTTTTAAAAGAAGTGAGGCTGGGCGGGGCCCCGGCGGGGAGAAGAGGCTCTGTGCAGCCGGGGCGGATCGCGGGGAAGTTCCTCTCAGCGCCTCAGGTGTCTGGGCGTGTGCAGCTGTGTTGGCGCACACTTGCCGCTACAGCCCTTCTGTCAGCCCTTTAGCTTCGATGGGGCGCTGGTGGCCGCCTCCCCCTAGGTTGTGGATGAGTCTTGGCCTAGGGTTCAGGGCCCTCCGGCCGCGGGAGGATCTCCCGCCAAGCTTGTTGCTTTTCCAAGTTAGTGCCTGGCGTGTGTGTGGGCTGCATAGGGGCACCCCTCGAGGCCCCCTTCTCTTCTCCCGCCTGGACTGCGTTCACGTTTCTAACATTTCTCAGCCCCTTCTCCCCACATCTGGCCTTGGCTTACATAGAGTAAGTTTGCTGTGAGCACTTGCCTCGAACTGTCGGTCAAGAGGTGTGAGCAACAAGGCTTGCAGAGGAACAAGATTAAGACTGGACCTCTGTGACCTGAGTTTAGCACACCTTTTCTTCCCCATCATCCAAGTTTGCGAATTTCGGGCTCTTTCTCGCACTGGAGTCCCAGCAACCCCAGAGATTACTAAAGATGCAACCATAAAAGCAGTATATTGCTTTAACCTTAGGCAAGTTAGATAACTTCCCTAAGCCTCAGTGTCCTCATCTGCAAATTAGGATTGCTTGTGATACAACGTCATAACGTTTCTATGAGTTAATTCATGCAAAGTTTATGGCCTTATTATGAGGAGTCAATAAATGTTAGGCATTATTATAAGTTTATTCCATTGTAGCAGTTCATTGACATGGCACGTACATATTCGCCAAGCCTTGTCTTTTGACCAACTCCTTGAGGACATGAGCCACGACTGATTTCTCCAGAACTGTCTTTGCACTTAGCAGAGTGGAAAGACCAAGTGGAAGCTCAATAGCATTTTATTTGATTAAGGCCTGACCAAGTTCTGAGAATGTGATGTTAGTTTTGAACCAAAGCAAAGCACACAAAAATTAAATGAGATCTTAGCTTCCTTAGCAAATACAGTAAGGTAATGAACAGTGAAGATGCAGTTCAAAGTTTGTCCATAAAATCATTTGCCCTTTCATGGTATTCTTTTAACTCTGAACTTTTTTTTTTCCTGTAAATATTATAATTTTAGTCAAAATCAGTTAAGGAGTAAGATACCAAGTTAGACTATTCAATTACACTGGAGAAATTAACTTATTGCTAGTTGGTATTTCAACACATTTTAAGAAGTTGGATTGGGGGGAAATTCAAGTACTGTAACTAAAGTCCCATAACTAGTGATAATTTAGCATATAGCAGCTGTTGTACCTTTAACTTACACAATGTGAAAAAAACTAGCATTCCAATTGAGTCTGCTTTTCCACTTTTGCCCATTGCGATTGGGTCTGCTTTTCCACTTTTGCCCTTCCACAGGGCACATGAAATGGAAAAACTGCATTGGCAACTTTGCCGGTGGTCATATGACTGACTCTTGGCTGGTCTCACTTTGTTGCTCTTGGCTGAGGAAGACACATTTTAAATGTTGCATGCTATGTGACTAAGTCTCCTGAGAAAATCACCCTAATTACTGTATGGTCAAAACACACTGTACTGTATTTTTGATGACTGTGACTTCATTTTATACTTTTTAAATAATGTGCAAGTCTCTTCAACTTGAATAAATTAGATTACAAATTACAAAAAAAGTTCTTATGTGCTGATTTCACTTCTAGTTACACAAAGGCACTTCAATTTTAATTGGTGTGCAAAATTTTACTTCTTTTAAATATCTGAACTTTTCCGAACTAGTAAGGATATTTCCCACTTGCTTTGAAAGGCAGTTTCTGGCAAATATGTTATATTCTGGAAACCTTTCTTTGTGGAATCTTACAGTTTAACTTCCACACTTTTAAAAACTGGGAGAATTGGATTCAAAGCCTTTAAACAAAAGGTCTGATTCCAGTCATGCAATGAGGAAAGATTTTTTTGTTTGTTTTTTTGTATTTTTTTTTGTTTTTTTGTATTATGTTATGATACGTATGTGTATGTGTGGGTGTGGGTGTACATACACCAAGTCATGTGCTACATAACATTTTGGTCAATAATGGACAGCATATATGATGGTGGTCCCATAAGATTATAATAACATATTTTACTGTAGCTTTTTTATGTTTAGAAATGTTTAGCCATGTGCAGTGGCCCACGCCTGCAATCCCAGCACTTTGGGTGGCCAAGGCAAGTGGATCGCTTGAGCCCAGGAGTTCGAGACCAGCCTAGGCAACATGGTGAAACCCCGTCTCTACAAAAACAGACAAACAAAAAAATTAGCTGGTGTGGTGGAGCACACCTGTAGCCAGCTACTGGGGTGGGGTGGGCAGTGGGGACTGAGTAAGGAGGATTGCTTGAGCCTGGGAGGCAGAGGTTGCAGTGAGCCGAGATTGCTCCTCTGCATGCCAGAGCAAGACTCTGTCTCAAAATAAAAGAAAGAACAGAAAAATTTAAATACACAAATAACTACCATTATGTTACAATTGCCTACTAAATATTGTACAGTAACATGCTGTACAAGTTTGTAGCCTAGGAGCATAAGCCATACCATATAGCCTAGGTGTGTAGTAGGTTAGACCATCCAGGTTTATGTCAGTATATTCTGTATTAGCACAATGACAAAATAGCCTAGCATCTCATTTCTCAGAACCTGTCTTTGTCATTAAGCAAGGCATGACTGTGTGGCACCATTTTATCAGATACATGCAGGTAATGTGTCAGAGTTTATTAGATTGTAAATTATTCTCTGTTTTAAGGAGTTTCATTTTAATTCTCCTAAAATATGATGCATTAGCATATCTCATTAGTGCAAGATATGACATCCTATTCTCACAGTTGATGGTGTACTCCCCAGGATGATAACCAGGGGCATCTGAAGACTTGTTTTTCAAATGTTGATTAACTGGTTTCACTAGAAATAGCAGTTTTTAAGTAGGTCATTTGAGTCACTTATAAAAGTGCATGCGTGCTTCATTTTATCACAATAGTCCTTTAATATATGGAGAACATAGTCCTTCAAACAATTTGCTTCTAGTAGGTTTGAAGGACATAAATCTGAAATTTCACATAAATCTGTAAATCTAAGTATTGTTTTATAGTGCAAGACACCCATTAATTTGCATATTTTGCAAGCTTATTTTCATAGATCCTTTAAAGGAGTCCCTTGTATTAACTAGTGTGTATTTAATATTTGTTCAATGATTAAAGAAAAAATAGATTGATTTTTATAAAGTGTAGTTTTCTCAGAAAAAAAGTAAAATAAATGCATGAGATACTTGGAGAGGGCTTAAGGCCTGGAATGAAATTGAAAATTATGATAAGATACTAAGGAAACCTAAAAGAGTAAAATGCACCAGAGTGATCTTGTATACATTCAAGACTGATCACTTTATTTCTGCTTAAAACCTGTCATTGGTTTTCCCCACTGCCTTTGAGATCCAAAGTTCATACTTAATAACATGACATAGAAGAGGATCATCTCTTCTGGTCTTCCTTTCCCCCACACGTCTGCTTTATATTTCAAACTATATGTGCCTCTTGATTTTTACACAGTGAATTTGCACAACCTCAGAATCAAGTGTTGACAGCAAAATAATAAAGAGCAGGAATTCTGTGGTTAGGCTTCTAGGGTTCAAGTCTCAGCTCTGCAGTCTCTAGCTATACGGCCTTCTGTGGTGCAGTAGTTAAGCAGGGCTTACAGAATGTCAAGATGTAAGGTAATCTCTAGATCAATATTTGCATTATTCAGGTGTTAAAAGATTATACATTATTAATTATTTCCCAGATGCTATCTTAGTCCATTCTTGCTGCTACAACAAAATATCTTAGGCTGGGTAAGTTACAAGAAGAAATGTATTTCTCACAGTTCTGGAGGCTGGAAAGTCCAAGATCAAGGCACCAGCATATTGAATATGTTAAATTAAATTAAATTTGGCCAAAAGCTGCTTCCATACTTTGGAATTCTGCATAGCAAACTGCACCTAAGTTAGTGTTTAAATAAACCTTACTTAAGAGTATGTTCTTGTAACAGATAGCTGAGTCTCAGCTAATTACAGCAGCCAGGTTTCATCCAATCACATACTACCAACTAATAAGACCATGTCCACATAAGGCAAATGCCACATTGCATTGTGCCCAAATAAGGCAAATGCTGGGCCATAATCAATCAAGCTGTTTCTGTACCTCAATTCCTCTTTCTGCCTATAAATACTGCCTGCTCACATTGCTGAGTGGGGCTTTCTGAACCTCTACTGGTTCAGAGTGCTGCCTGATTCATGAATTGTTCTTTGCTCAAATAAACTCTGCTAAAGTTAATTTGTCTAAAGTTTTTCTTTTAACAAGGGTCTGATGAGAGCCTGTT
Source organism: Homo sapiens (assembly GCF_000001405.40). Taxonomy (NCBI): domain Eukaryota; kingdom Metazoa; phylum Chordata; class Mammalia; order Primates; family Hominidae; genus Homo; species Homo sapiens. The sequence continues at coordinate 41,874,944 of NC_000005.10, forward strand.
CCTCATAGATTATACCTTCTCTGTGTCCTCACATAATGGAAGGGGCAGAAGACATAAACAGTTCCCTTGTACCTCTTCTATAAGGGCACTAGTCACATTCATGAGCTCTCATGATTTAATCACTCTGAAAAGCCCCATATCTTAATACTATCACACTGGCAATTAAGTGTCAACATATGAATTTGGGGAGGACACATTCAAACCACAGCAGGTGCTTTGGTTACTGAAAACATAAAGTAAACTGAAAAATTTACTTAATAAACTGAAAAAAATAAGGCAAGATTCAAACCCTGGACCATATGTTATTAAAAGCTGCTATTTCTTTATACCTCCCTCTTTCTGAGATATCTTTGAATCTTACCCCAACTCTCCAGTTTCACTCATTCTGCACTACTTCAGGGCCTCAGTTTCAGTTTCTCTCATCTGAATTATTTCAGTTTCCTTCCAAATGAATTTCCATTCTCCCTCAATTTAAACATACTTAAAATTATTATTTCAAATACAGGATCTGGTCTTCTCACATCTTTTTCTAAAATATTTCAAGAAATGCTCAAAGGCTGCAAGTGAAGTCCAACATTCAATTATAGGCAAGATTTTGTTTAATCTAGCCTCAACAAATCATGTGGCCTTAAGGGCTCTGCAGAGGTACTTCAGGGGCTATGCAAACATTATATTTTGAAATTAAATTTTAGATTACATTTTTACTATTCTATCAACACTAACAAAAGGAGCATGCACACTCAATTGTGATCTATCTTTGATTTAAAAGTATTAAAAATTACCAGATTGTGGCTGGGCATGGTGGCTCACACCTGTAATCCCAGCACATTGGGAAGCAAAGGTGGGCAGATCACCTGAGGTTAGGAGTTCCAGACCAGCCTGGCCAACATGGTGAAACCCCATCTCTACTAAAAATAAAAAATTAGCCTGGCATATGGCACATGTACTCCAAGCTACTCTGGAGTCTGAGGCAGGAGAATCACTTGAACCTGGGAGATGAAGGTTGCAGCGAGCTGAGATTGCACCATGTACTCCAGCCTGGGTGACAGAGCGAGATTCCATCTCAAAAAAAAAAACAAAAAACAAAAAAAAAAAAACAGACCAGATTGTGCAGTTGGGAGACAAACCTTAGATTAAAGGTTCCTCATCATCAAATTTCCTATATTTGAATATATAAAATATGTCATTGATAAAGATGTTTGTAGCTCTGTATTTATCTTTTTATCATTTAGACCTCTGCATTTTGACTCACTTAAATTTATATAAGTATATAATACTTTGAGGCTCTGGTCAGAGACATGTACTGCCTAGAATTATTTCTTATCACAGCATTGTAGTTGTTCAAAAAGAGCATATAAAACACTTCATGATAATATTGTACTATAAATAGTTTTAGAGATTATTTTCCATTTTGGCTACATCTTGTCTGACATTTACATATGTGAACAAGAGGTAATTGACATTATTAGTTATTGACCACTGAAGCAAACATTTCCTGCTACTTTTCTTTCAAGCTTCTGATCTACTTTAATTGAAGCATATACTGAAATTCTGGGACAAGCTGCAGTGTGAATCAGAACTTTCTTATTATTGTGCAGCCAAACAGAAATAAAATAAGCAAAATATCAGATATAACTCCATGGCTGCAATATTTAGCTTCTCCGAAGAGCTTCATTATTCTCATTTTTTCCATGTATAACAGGAAAATATTTCACAATTAAAATGATAAAATGCATTTAAACTGTAAAGTACCACTTTTACACATTGTATATGTTGGGTTCTAAATACAATTTTATTTGAAAGGGTGACTCATATTAAATATGTTTGAAAATTATGGCTTTAGCTAAATTCGACTACTTTCTGCTCCCTGCACATACCAAGCACCTTCTGACAGGGAGCCTTTGCTAAAGCCTTTTTTTCTGTGCCAGCTGAGCAAACTCCTACTCCTCTTTCAAGACTCAGATCAAATGTCACTCCTCTGTGTACCTTGACTGTTCACACTCCGAATTCCACCTCTTAAAAAACTATATTCTTTTACTTTGTGCTCTCAGGGCCCTTGGTCACCTGGATTATGAGCTTATTAAGTTTTGTTCATTTTTGTATCTATAGTGTCCTAGGATTTCTTTTAAGCATAGAGCAGTTCAACAAATATCAGTTGTGTTGACTTGACTTGGGTAACCCTTTTTTGCTGCCTTAATACAAGCCATGAACTTAACCTGTGTCTCTCAGCTCAGCTCTTTAAATTGAATACTTTCTTTCTAATCATGATGTGATAGTAGTAATTATTTACATTTTCATTGTCTTTTACAGCTTACTTTGTGCTCACCATCATCCTTTGGCCTTTCTTCTCTAACACAGTTCCTGTATCCAGCCTCATGCTTTGCTGTGCCTGTAACTGTCTTCTCCCCACAGATAACCTGTCATTGAAGTACATGAAGAAAATAGTCAAATAGTGAGTTACAAATTGTACTTCCCTCTTTCAAATGGTCCCTGTTTCCCTCATTATTATTTTCTTCCCTTGTGAATATTCCATTTGGTTAAATCTTTTTCACAATAAAGTAACCCAAACCAAGTATGATATTTTGGCTACATGATCCCGCTGTTTATGTTCCCAGACAACCAGTAACACCTGCAATAATACATTTCAAAAAAAATACTGCCAAGAGATTGTGACACCCTGGCTCAGTAGAATACATCAGGGTCACTTATAAATATCCAACCACAGAGAAATGATTCATTACATTATAGTGCATCATCTTGAAAAACTATTATGCCACTATTAAAAAGTAAAAATTTCAAATTGTATGTGGAAATGGTTAGGATAAGGGTAAAAGTCAGAATTCAAATTGTATTATATAAGGATTACAACCATGTATTATATGTTTTTGCAAAATAAATGAAAAGACCATCTAAAAGTGAGGAAAAAATCAATACAATGAGGGCAAGAATTTAGGTACTTTTATTTAAACTATTGTACAGCTTTTATTTAACTTTTAAAAGCACTGGACATATAGTTTTAGTATGAGAGTTCTAAATATACATGTCAGATGTATATTTGGTTGCTTGAAAGAGGTATTTGCACACCAATGTTCATTGCACTATTCACAATAGTCAGAATGTGGAAACAACCTAAATGTTGATAAATGGATGAATAGATAAAGAAAATGTGGTATATACATACAACAGAATACTGTTTAGCCTTAAAACAGAAGAAAATCTTGCCATGTGTGACAACATGGATGAGCATTGAGGATATTATGCTAATTGAAATAAGCTAGTCACAGAGGAACAAATACTGTATGATTCCAATAACAAGGTATCCAGGAGTTCTAGTCAAACTCCTAGAAACAGAGCAGAATGGTGGTTGTCAGGGGCTATAGGGAGGAGGAACTCGGGAGTTCCTATACAGATTTCAGTTACAGAAGGTGAGTAAGTTCTAGAGACCTATACAGCACTATGCCTGTAGTTAGTAATACTGTATCGTATAGTTAAAAACATGTTAAGAGGTTAGATCCCATGTTTAGTGTTCTTACCACAATAATATATATATTATTTGGTTGCCAACTTTTGCCTTCTCTAGTCTGAACCTGTGAACCCAGGGGAATGTTTCAGGATAATAGATGCTGTGTTTCACATCACATACTAATATTTCCTTTGGCTGCCAATTCAGAAAATGGAATAACAGGATAATCTTTCAATATGCACTTCTCTGTAGGCGAATGAGGGTGGTAGCCTTCAGTGAAATAAAGCCATTAAGTTGGAAAACCAAAGAATCAACAATATAGAAATCCCTCCTCACTTGTAAATCATTAATGAACATTAACCATTTACTAGTGGCTTTGAACTGTGACTTGAAACACCGCTACTCTCTAGCCAGATCTATATCTATGGGTTTTCTATCTATCTCAGATTTACTCTACAGTCATTTGTTGATGTCTAGGAAAAACCTCCTGAGTGTTAAAATGATAAAACTGATTATTTCACTGGCTACTCCTAAAACATAATCAGTACAAAAGTATTGAACTGCTATTCACTGGAATGCAGCCAGGAAAGTACTGGGAGAAAAGTAAGTGCTATGGTCTGAATGTTTATGTTTCCCTTTCAAAATTCACATGTTAAAATCCTCACTCCTAAAGCAATGGTGTTAGGAAATGAGGCCTTTGTAAGGTGATTAGATCATGGGAGTGGAGTTCTCATGAATGGGATCAGTGCCTTTATCTGTGTCTTTATCACCAAATCTGCTAGTGCCTTGATCTTGGGCTCCCCAGCCTCCAGAATTGTGAGAAATAAAATTGCTGCTGTTCATAACAGCACACTACTGAGTTTATGGTATTTTATTACAGTAACCAAAACAGACTAAGATAACAAGGGTCACAGAATTTGTAATGAGCTTTTAATGACCAGATGTGGAAGAAAGGCAAAGCAAATTTTAACAGCACTCAGACTTCATTCCCCGTTTTCAATAATAAACTTGGATGAAAAATTGGTTTTATATCAATATCTTATGACAATTATGAATCTTCACTATTTTTATTCTCTGCACGTTTTAGAGCAGTGATGTAAAAACTTTTGTTTGTGTCATCAATGTAAATGTATGTGGAAGTTGTATCCTACACGTACATATATATATGTAAAGTATGTATATGTTTATTTTTTATAAATTAAATACATTTACTACAGTACATTTTAAACACAATTTTGAAAGATTAGTTAAAAACAAATATAAACAGACCTTGTTTTATTTTTTTCCAGTGTGCCCATGGGTTTTCCTGAGTACTTCCTACAGGGTATGCAGTCCACTCTGAAGATCACAGCCTAGGACCATAAGTATGCAGTGAATATCTTAAAGACAATAAAGCTCTATCCACAGAATTCTGAGGATGGAGCTGATGCTGGAAAATCAGTATTCTCTTAGGCAATGTTACATCATCTCCTTATAACTATGCTACATGCTCTCAGTATTATTTATATCATCTTTCCTTCCCTTCCACCCAACAGTCTCATTTCAAGAGATTTAACCTAAAAAGATACAAGAACAGGTGCACATATATATATGGACAAGGTTATGCATCACAGCAATTTTTAAAACAGCAACAAAAATAATAGCAATATGGTTAAATGTGTCAATCATGTATTGGCCTATAAAAGTATGCTATTTCATTAGTCTATAGACTAATTGGGCTACAGACTAACCATTAAATGCTTTCCTTCATGTGGCACTATACTAAGTGTTAGGAATTCAATTGTGAATAAGACAACAGACATGGTCCCAGATCTCCGGGAGTTTATGTCTTATGAGGAGATGAAGACTGAACAAGGATACACGCATTCTTATGCAGGGTATTGTCAATGAGAAATACAGAGTGTTAAGAATCTGTGTGACAGGCTGACCCAAGTTGAGGAGGGGTGGTCAAGGAAGACTTACTGTAGGAATCATCTTTAAATTAGAATCTTAAGAATCAGAAGAAATACTAGGTGAAAGGAGAGTGGGAAACATTGCAGTTAGGACAATGTATACAAATCATTGACATTGAAAAAAAGTATGGTGGGTATAAGAAATAAAATCCAGAATGAGTAATGGTGGACAGGGTACAGGTTTTGTAGGACTTTGTAAATTATGTTAAGGATCTGTTGACAAAAAGAGTCAAACTCTAAAATATTTGAAGATAATAATTTTGAGCCAAATATGAGTGACCAATGGCCCATGACACAGTGCTCAGGAGATCCTGAGAACATGTGCCCAAGGAGGTCAGGCTACAGCTGGACTTTATACATTTTAGGGAGACATAAGATATTAGTCAATACATAAAAGATGTACATAGGTTTGGTCCAGAAAGACCAAAAGTGGGGGTTTCCAGGTCATCAGTGAATTCAAAGATCTGATTGGCACTTGGTTATTGTCTAAAAACTTTGAACCAATAGAAAGGAATGTCTGGGTCTTCAAGATTAGGGGCTGTGGAGACCAAGGTTTTATCATGCAGACAAAGTCTCCAGGTAGCAGGCCTCTGAGATAATAGATTGTAAATATTTCTTACCAGACTTAAAGAATCTGTTCTATGAGTAATTCCAAAAGGGTACAGGATATAATGATGCATGTCTGGCTCTCCCTTCATATCATGGCCTGAACTAGTTTTTTCAGGTTAACTTTGGAATGCCCTTGGCTGAGAGGAAGGATCCATTCAGATGACTGCATGGCTTAGAATTTTATTTTTGGTTTACATTCTCTCCCTTCTGGCCAATATTTGCCAGATGCAACATCAGTGGCCACCAAACTTTTATTTTGTCCCATAGCATTGCCAGGGTGGCATGGCTGCCTGCCCCAGGTCCATCCTGCCCCTCAGTTGAACCCCAATGGCCAAGAGACTTAGTGCCAAAAGACTTATAGCTAGATTAAATGTTCTAGGCTAGACAGGAATGGACGTGGACAGGCATTTATTAACTCTTACATTTTTTTTAAGTAATATAACAGCGAACAAACAAAAAGCCTAAAGCAAGGATACAAAATTGACTTACCTTTAACTTCTATGCATTGAACTATTGTAATCTCAGCTTTAGTTACAGACTTGTAGCAATTAGCATAAAAACGTAGCATAATAAAACATAAGCGTTGGTAAAACCTTTTAAGCTAAGGAATTTAGGGATTTTGTTATGTCACAATGCTTTTTGCAGTCTTTTAGTAATTTGTTCTAAGATGGCTAATAAAATTTTTTAAATAAATATATACATATATATATATGCATGAATCACACAACTGGGAGTATTATACCCAGGAGACTTTGTCATGAGGTATCTTTATAGCCTTTCAGTAATAATTTTATTTTAATTCTATAGGAAGCAGTAAATTGTTTATAGTTGGGATGGATGAAAAGGTGCCACATAGTAGCTCAGAAAGCAAAGTTCCTTATTTTCCAGCTGTTTAGGCATTTGTGTACCCATCCTTGATTTGCAGGGTCTGAACAAATTCTATTCCTCAAAACCGGCCCTTAAAATCTCACATGCCCACCACTTTTGCAGTAGTTTCTGGACCTGGAGGGAGAGTTCTTGTATAGTTTTAGCAGCAGGAGATTTGTAGTGAAAAACAGATTGGGCCCAGTGGGATTCCAAATGAGTGTAATTCAAAGGCTTTGTCAAATCATCTCTGGTCTTCAAAATACCACAATTCTGGTTTTCTTGGAAGGAGTAAAGCTGTGAGAGATAAATAACATTAATAATTTGACAATTAAAAAGAGAATGTATGTGTCAGAACAGAAAAAGTGACCTATTCGATTAGGGTGCTAACAAAAAACATGGAGAAAAATTATAACCTGGTTCATCTTTAGAGGATTATTATAGCTAAGGAATAACTCATGATTTAATCTGCAATCAAAAGAAAAGTCAGGGCTACAATCTAGTAACAGGGGTTATAGTTTTCCTTTAAAATAATTTTTCTTTCCAGCCCTCCTTTTCTACTAAGGAAAAGTTATAGTAAGACCAATTTGTGTGTAAAATAAGTTTTAGGCTTATTACACTTGGCCTGACTTTTCGCATAAAGTGCAGGAGGAATTGATTGGTCATATAGGCTCTTATCAAGTTGGCTTTGCTGGAACCTTACCTAAAAATACTTATTCTAGCCAAAACCTTGGTAAAATAACTAGTGTCTCCAATTGTCTTATTTTAAAAGAAAATACTCTTACTAAATTTATGCAAATAACTATTGTCATAAAATCACAAGCAGTGTTTAAATTTTGGAGAACTCATAGAGAGAAAGGTACATTTGTTCACAGAAACATACTTTACCCAATTGCTTTAAACTATAACTAACTCACTAAATACCACATGTTCTCACTTATAAGTGGGAGCTGAATAATGATAATGTTAGTGACAATGAGCCACACGGGTCTAGAGCAACCTCAATTCTTGCCTTTTCAGAAGAAAGAATTCTACCGAGGAGGCATAAGGCAGAAGGAGAGATCAAGGCAAGTTTTAGAGCACGAATGAAAGTTGACTAAAAAGCTTTAGAGCAGGGACAAAAGAAAGTACACTTGGGAGAGGGCCAAGCCAGCAACATGAAGAACAGGTGCGTGGTTTGACCTTTTGACTTGGGGTTTTATACGATGGCATGCTTCTGGGGTCTTGCATCCCTTCTCCCCTGATTCTTCCCTTGGGGTGGGCTGTCTGCATGCTCAGTGGCCTGCCAAAACTTGGGAGGTGAGCATGCAGAGTGTATTTACTGGAATTGTTTGCATGTTCTCTTGAGGCATTATTCCCTTACCAGTGAAATGTCCCTAGAAATTCATATAGAATGTCATATACCAGTTAAGCTCCACAATTTTTGCCTCTTACTGTGCATGCTTGAGCTCACTAGCCCAACTACTGAGATCTTATCAGGAAGCTGCTGATGGCCAGTTTCAGGCGTTTTTATCTATTGGGAGACTGCCTTTCCCTGGCCCTGGCTGTGACCAATTACTATTGTTGAGACAGAGTTTAATAACCTCCTGACCATCACCTGATAGTTGCCAGACAATCCTGGTGGTGCGGGGGAGCTCGCCTAGCCTGCTCATGTCAGACTAGCTACTTACTATAACAAGAACACATGGACACATAGAGGGAAGCAACACACACTGGGGCCTATCAAAGGGTGGAGAGTGAGAGGAGGGAGATGATCAGGAAAAATAACTAATGGGTACTAGGCTGGGTGATGAAATAATCTGTATAACAAACACCCATGAGACAAATTTCCCTATGTAACAAACCTGCACATGTACCCCTGAACTTAAAATGAAAGTTAAAAAAAAAATTTTACTCATGTCTGTAATCCCAGCACTTTGGGAGGCCGAGGCGGGCAGATCACTTGAGCTCAAGAGTTCAAGACCACCCTGGAAAACATGGCAAAACCCTTTCTTTACAAAAAAATACAAAAATTCGCCAGATGCAGTGGTGTGGGCCTGTATTCCTGGCTACTTGGGAGGCTGAGGTGGGAGAATTGCTTGAGCCTGGGAGGCAGAGGTTGCAGTGAGCCGGGATTGTGCCACTGCACTCCAGCCTGAAGTGCCAGAATCTGTCTCAAAAAATTTATAAGTAAATAAAAATACATGACTCAAAAGAAAAAGATTTCCTTGATTCTTATTTAACCAGAGCTGCAGCCTTCCAAAGAAAATATCTCTTTGGTCACCTGGGCACTGCCATTCACAAGCCAAGCAGCTTTACACGTCTTTAGTTTTATAGTACTAGATGGGGAAACATCCCCCAGTCAGATACAATACCCATTTTCATAAGATGTTTAGGCAAAGGAGTCACAACCAGTTTACATAAAGGATGTTTAAACATCTCAAATTTCATAATTTCATAATCCTTTCAACCTTTACATTTTTATGTTCTGGTCCCAGGAAATTTTCTTCTCTACTGCCAGATCATTTTACCTTTTCTGGTGAAAAAAATTTGGGCTCCTAGCAGGGAGTTGAGCCAAGGAACTCAGGCCCTTTTTTGCAGTCTATATCTATCTTAATTTGCCTCAACATTGCCCCAGGCAATGTCAGCTTTCTCATTATAACCTTCGCCTTTTGATTTTTTTTTAAATTTCTTCAATCCAGGGCAAATGCAGACAACTAGTTTGAGGTCCCATAAATGTTGGGGAACCAGCAGGGGTTCCCCATTGGTCCACCCAACCTTTGATTGTTATTAACCCCATCCATTTTTATTTTATTAATTTCATTTCTTAATAATCATCTAAATCTTTAGATGATTATTAAGTCAAAGGATTCATCCCTTCTGGGACGTCCCCTTCTGGGACTAGTCCTTTGACTCCCTTTCTCCTGTCTCCTTTTTTGTTTTGTTTTGTTAATTATCCTAATGTTTTATTAGCATCTGTAAGAATTTGATAAGGCTTCTCAAACAGTTGTTTGATTCAGTAGTAGTAATGTCACCCACGGTGCCCATGTAGAAGGGGCCCTCTTAACCCCAGCATTTATCATGACCTGGGTAATAGGCATATGAAGTGGGAGAATATCCCACTCATCATAAAGCCAGTCCCACACGGCTTGAATATGAAGCATATAAGCTGCTTCATCTGGGGTGTTCCACTTGGCAATTTATAGGGATAGTTAGGAATTCCCCTTCTCAGGGTAAACAGAAATTAAGGTGGTGTTTATTCTGTCCAATAGGCTGGTCATTCTCTCAGGAATAATCTCTTGTGCACCTGGATCATATGTACTCATCAGCAATTGTTTAATAGTGAGCTGTGGGTCATGCATCAACCCAAACATGCTCTTTTATTCTGTTGCAGTTAAAACTAAAGATACTGTCCATAAAGTAGTATTTTTACAGTCCATTATAGTAAAGGTTTCTCAGGAAGCTGAGGATAACAATCTACAAAATGAAACAATTCCTTTGCATTATACACTATGGTTTTAATAGTTACTTGGTTTTTGCCCTTTTCACACATTGATTATCTTTTTAGTAACTACAGGTCTCAGAGGTAACTTTTGTTACCCTGGCTTAATTTTTCCTTATGTGGGTAGCTTTGAGGCTGGTGGCCTGAGCTGAGACAGACTCTGATCTGAGCTTCCTCCAGCCTTAGGGCCCAACCCAGCACTCTCTTACTTTCATTTTAGCTATTACAGATAACAATAAATAAGAGATTGAATGTTTTTTTTTTTTTAATTAGTTTTCATTTCCTTATGCATTCAGTAAACTAACTCCCTGGGAGTATGAGTATAATCCATCTCTAAATTCCATTGGGAACTTTTACTCTTTTGTAATTGAATGCAGCCCAGCTGCAGCTCCTTAAGATGTGTGACCATGTGGCTACCCAAGTGTCAGGGTTTCTTATTCCCCACCTTTCAATTTTTCTCTTTATCCATTTAGTTTTATTTATATAATTTTTTTCTTTATTTTAAAGTGACAGCCTCTAAACTAGAAAAAATACATTTCTTTTAGCAAAAATCACATCCTTGTGTTTTTATGAACTTCATCAAAAACACTTTTAACTCATCCGCTATTTTAACTCTTAGTATAACTCAAATTCCCAGTGGAAAAAAATTGAGGTAACTTAATTTAACATGACTCTAAGATTTCAAACCACTGGAGAGAATTTTGAGATTAAATTTATCAAATTAATCTTTTCAAGTATAACTATAGTCATACAAACTAAAAGTCATCAGAGGTAGATTGCTTTTATTAGTCTGATAAGCATTTACTTTTCTTCAAGCCAATTGATTAGGGCTCTCATAGAATTTGATAGTGAAGTATCACTTCCGCATGACACATATAAACATGTAGACATAAGGCAGATCCTATGAGATTTTTCATTTTCCTGTTTTTAAAAATTCTCACCCTTACTTTAGACTACTAATTTTTTAAAAAAATTAAAAACAAACATTGAAGAAGAGAATTACCACCACAGGCCTTCTCAAAAGGGAGCTGAAGCAGCAGTATACAGCAGAAGTTAAACTGAAATATCAATATGAAGAATTTCAAAAAGAAACAGATTATATAGTTTAAAACTTAAAATCTTCTTGTATTATGAGTAAGTCAATTTCAATAAAATATTGTTCTAACCAATCCTTTAGTTTTGTATTAGTGTATTTTTAATATCAAAGTTGAGTTTCCAGAAAGACTTAAAATTTCCCTTTATTATAGCCAACTTAATTATATAACTTTTTAAAATAAATTTTTTAACTAACCTATTAAAATGTACACAGACCATTTACAACATGTTTGGACTTTCTGGTTTATCCTAAAAACCCCTCTTTCTTTAACAACTAGTCATTTTATTTTAGGATAAAAATTTATCATACAAGATTCTTTCTCATAGCCTTTTCTACCAAAAATACTTCTTTATATTTATAAGTTTCTTTACATCCATCTCCTAGTTCCTTCTACCTTGTTTTATATATAACCTTTAAATAGTTTTTGAATTAGATAAAAAGTATTTACATTTTAATAAGAACACTGTTTTAGAAAAATATTTTTCTATAATTTTTAATTGAAAATTACCCAAACATTTAATGAATATTTATTATTTAAAATAACTTTAGATTCTAAATTTGTATGACAAGTTTGTTTGCAAGCATTTATTCCATTACATTTACCCAATTATTTATTTTTAATAGCTTACCTAGATTATTCATGAAAACTGTGATAGTCATCATTTAGTGTTATTTCCCTGTTAACCATTTTTATAGCCTATGAATTTCAGGTGTTTACCTATGTGAGAAACTTAAGGTTAAATATATGGGTATTTTACCAATAACTTAGGATTTAGCTATTTTCATTAAACCAACAATATTAAAAGTCTCCTATATCAAAAAATACACAAGCAAAGATCATTCTGTTTTGAGCTGGGTTTATACTTTTTTAATTCATTTGGCAAGTTTTGACACCTTATAGTATCTGTCAGGGTACATATGAAACTGCTTAATCAATAAATGCAAACAAAAATGCTGACAATTCTTAAGACATCTCTAATATTACTTTACCAATAATTTTAAAGCCAGGTTATTTATTAAAGATTTTAGTTAAGTCACATGAACTTAAAAAACATTTGGGCTTATTATTCACTTAATTTATGACTACTCCTTAACTTTAAGCCAATTTGGTACCTTGTGGTAACAACACATAAAATACAGTATGTAAACATAAATACATACATAGGCACTCATAAAAAGATCATATAGCTTTTACTTCAGAACTCCAGCCATGAGATGCTAATACAAACTCATCAGTTTAAAAAAAAAGTGATTGGATCCAAACAGTCGTTTTTATCTCAATAGAAGAGTAACAGCAGAAAAGAAAATAGAGAACTTAGGAACTCTATAGTTAGTTGAAGGTCAGCCTCTGGACTCCAGATTTTCCCTTGATGTAATTTGTCCATGAGTTTAAAGTGTGCACAGCAGACCATGATATGTACAGAGCTAGAAAAACTGGCATGCCCTGGAACCTTTCCATTTTACACAAACACTTGCAAGTAGAGGTGCCATAGAACCATTGAGGTGCCTGAAAGGGGGTCGTTCTCATTATCTTTCTTCATTCTTAGATTTTCTCTTTCTTACCTTTTTTTCCCTAAAAGAAGTATCTGAGTTGTGGCTTAGGGTTTAGTGTGGCGGATCAATGTGTGCTGATTGTGGGCAGGATTCCAGTGTTTCACCACTGAATCATTTTTGCCCTCTTACATATTTCAGTTTCTCTCTCTTGAGGTCTAGCACCTTTGAGATGGTCCAAAACACATAGTGATCAGGTCTTACATGTGTTTCCTAGATAAGGCTTTTTGAACTAAGTTTTTGGGGAGGTTCTCTGTAGGGCCACCATATGTCATGGGGGTCAATGCCCCAGATACTCCCATTCAGCCTGTGGTCACCCAGGGGTGCCTTTCCGCTGAGAGGAGCAAAATGCTCCTTTTCTTCAGAGCTGAGGAGCTCAGTGTCTTATTTATCTGTGAAAATAACACTTCAGTTTCTCATGCCAATGCACAGACAGGTCAACTGAGTTTAATTTGGGGAGAAAAAACAATGGAGAAGACCCTTTAGAATGCACCTTCAAACTGGAAACCAAGTGGGGGGTCTCAAAAGGGGGTCATTCTCCTTATCTTTAGAAAAGGGCAATTAAGAAATCCCTTTAGAATGTACCTCTAAACTAGAAATTAGGATCTTACACAACAACTTCCTTGGGGAAAATAAAACCCAGCTCAGAATAAACCAAGGACCATCAACCAGAGAGAGGTCCAGGGCTCAGGAGGATGTACCTGTTCCACTGGAGAAGATTAAAGTCAGGACTTCGAATGAAATTTGCTTTCTTCTTTGCACATTTCTGAATGATTTTATTCTGTGTACAAATCATTTTACAGGGGCAAAATATATTTTCTATAAATGTTTACCTCTATTTAAATCCTTTTAAAATGGCAGGAATATGTCTTTTTGTGCCTTTCTAATGCCCTCTGACCTCTTACCTAGTATTTAGGCTTACCTAAGCAGGCCAACTTTTCAGGTGAGAAAGTAGAATCAATTTGACAAAAAAAAGTGCTTCTGAAGACGTTTGTGCTAAGACAGTAGTCTAATAGTTTAGGTCATGCTTAGCTTTACATCCTCTAAACTAAAGTTTGGGAAGACAAACATTCTTTCTTGCCAGATCACTTATAAGTAAATGCGTGTACCCATCAAATCATTGAGGTATAAAGAAACAAGATACCCTCCGTCTATTACCCTGCTGGATATTATCATCTAATCCAGAGGTCAACAAGATTTTTCTGCAAAGGACCAGATAGCAAATATTTGTACTATTATGTGCCATACAGTCTCTGTCTCAAGTATTCAACTCTGCCTTTGTAGGACAAAAATAACCATAAATTATATGTTACAAATTATGCAAGGTTGTGTTCTTAGAAAATTTTATTTACAAAAACAGTTTGGCTGGATTTTGTCAGCAGGCCATAGTTTACCACACTTAAATTATAATCCATCAAAATAAACTTTTTTAGAATGTGGAATATTAAGGTTCAGTCTCTGCATAAAAATCAACAACCAGAGGAGAGACTTGTGCACAACAGTATGAGGATCTCATGGACCCACTCCCTAGGGAAATGGGTTAAAATTATTTTTTGAAAGACTCAACTGTATAGAGTTTCTGAAAATGGCCTAAAAGACATGTAGCAAATAAGAAATGTTTATTCCAGAAAATCTGTAAAAATCTGGCAGAGCAAAACCAAACACTGACATTGGCATTTGCAGCCAGAGAAAGTGAGGCATTTATTTCAGGACTCCAAGCACGGAGAATCAGGTAGGATGCTTAAGACCAGAATTCCTCAGTGGCCTACATGCAGGGGTTTTAAAGGCAAGGAGGCAGAGTTACAGGCAAAGCCATAACTCAATACATGGAGGCTATACATCTATTTGGTCTAAAGAGGTGGGGCATCTTGCAGCAAGGGGTCACACGTTATTGGGAGATTTAAAGATTCTCGGATTTGTGATTGGTTAAAGAAGCGAAGGTTTGTCTAAAAACTTGAGGTCAGCAGAAAGGAATATTATGCTCTGGACTTTGGGCATGACTGTCCAGGATCCGCAAGAAGAAGTTTAGAACAAAGAACAGTGCTCTAAGTTCAGTCTTCAGTTCTCACTTATCTGAAGTCTGTATGCCAACAGATAGCATTTTCCATTTTGTGGAGGTCTAGGTTTCTGAAAAACAATTCAGGAACATATGTTAAGGTGTTATCTTTAGTTTCTATAGGGAAGCAAACATTTTGTGACTCTAATTTCCTTCACTGTTGTTTTAAGCTACCTTCTTGTTTATCAAGTTGCTCATTTACTACTCAAGGCTAGCTAGGTCCTTGGAATTTTCCTTGAAGGAACTCAAGATTTTCCTTTATTACCATGCTTATGGGGGCGTGGAAGGCCCCTAAAAAGGGTCTTTGCTCCATTTCAGGTTCATTGATGATAAAAGCTGTAAACCAAAAATAAAATTTTAAGTCCCACAACTAACTTAATGGACCTCCCTTCCAACTAAGGGGATTCCAAGGAAACATGAAAAACTATTAATAGTTGAGGCCAAGATGGCAAGAGAGGGAGTCAGACATGCTTCATTATACCCTCTCCCTTTGGGAGTTTAGACACAACTGAACAGCGTTAGCATTAAAAATAGAGATCCTAAGACTGACAGAGCAGACTCTTTGTAGCAATGTGTTACCAACTCAAACCTGATTGTGGTATAACATCATATGATAGATAAGAGGCCCTAAAAGAAATAAAAGTATTTTACTCCAAAATGTATTTCTTTTTTTGTTTTTTTCTTTTTCTTTTGCTCTGCCAACCAGGCTGGAGTGCAGTGGCACGATCTTGGCTCACTCTAACCTCTCCCTCCCAGGTTCAAGCAATTCTCATGCCTCAGCTTCCCAAGTAGCTGGAATTACAGGCCCATACCACCACGAATGGCTAATTTTTGTATTTTTAGTAGAGATGGGGTTTCACCATGTTGGTCAGGCTGGTCTCAAACTCCTGACCTCAAGTGATCTGCCCACCTCAGCCTCCCAAAGTGCTGGGATTACAGGCATGCCACCACACCTAGCCCCAAAATACGTTTCTTTAACATATTTTGGAATAGTCCTGCAAGTCTGCCTCATGTGGGGAAAACATACATTCTATAGAAAATTCCCTTCCCTTTCCAGGTATTTTCCTGATCTACAAGTGATTTAACAAGGAGTCTGAAAACTTTTAAGGCCCAATTAGAGACATTTACCATCTATTCCCTCTGAAGCCCAGTACCCGGAAGCTTTATCTACATAACAAGAACCTTGGCTTCTATAACCTCCTTTATCTTAACCACAAGCATTTCTTTCTGCTGACTT
The DNA here is from genome assembly GCF_000001405.40 of Homo sapiens. Classification (NCBI taxonomy): domain Eukaryota; kingdom Metazoa; phylum Chordata; class Mammalia; order Primates; family Hominidae; genus Homo; species Homo sapiens. The sequence goes on from NC_000005.10 coordinate 41,891,253, forward strand.
CAACTCTATAGGCAAAGCTTAACTCTTTCAACCAATTGTCAATCAAGAAACCTTCAAATCCACCTATCACCTGGAAGCCACCCCCATCCCTTGGAGATGTCCTGCCTTTATGGGCTGAACCAATGTATTCTTTACATATATTAGTTTATGTCTTTGCCTGTAACTTCTGTCTCCCTAAAATGTATAAAATCAAACTGTAACTCAGTCACCTTGGGCACATGTTCTCAGGACCAGAGGTAGTGTTATGACTCAGAATAAACCTCATCAAATATTTTTCAGAGTTTGACCTTCTCTGTCAACAAAGCAAAAGGCAACTGGAAGGTGATTAGTAGTTTCATTGGAGATATAAGGTAAACTGTAGGTCTGCTAGTTTGTTGGAGAGAACCAGAGGAAGAGGCAGCTGTGGGGAGATCACAAGGGGTCAGAATAAATCTCAATAACTGACGACAGGAACTATTCCTTCAAAGGAGCCCCTTTAGATTGATTTGGTCTGTGGAGCTATTTATGCCCTCAAGGCATTGCTGGAAACAACAGAACACTAACTAGAAGTTACTAGTGCTTGATAGTTAAGATGTGGTCAGGGAAAGACATAATCAAAAAGTGACCTAACCACAGCAACTGTCATCTAAAAGTGACTCTGAAAGTATCACAAAGGCTGGGCCCTGATGGGCATCAGAGGCTTCACACTGGGGCTTGGGGGTTGTGGGGATGGATATAAATTCTGTTAAAACAATGCTGCTGGTCACTAAGCAAATAGCAATAACAAAGTATGGGCAGGGGGTGAGAACAGCACTCAGAGTTGCTACAGTTTATTACCTAAAATGTTGAGTTTTCAACAAAAAAATTATGAGACATGCAAAGACACAGAAAATTATGATGCTTATAGCAGGAAAAAAAAATCAGGCAACAAAACTGCCTGTGAGAGTAACCAGATGTGAGATTTCAATAGTAGCTATTATAAATATGTTCAAACAACTAAAGGAAATCATGATTTAAAAAGTAACATGAGATGACCATGTCACATCAAACAGAGGTTACAAATAAATAGAAACAGGCCAAGTGCAGTGGCCCATGACTATAATCTCCCAGCACTTGGAGATGCCAAGGCAGGAGGATTGCTTGAGCCCAGTTGTTCAAAACCAGCCTGGGCAACAAAGTGAGACCCTATCTCTACAAAAATTTTAAAAATTAGCCAGACATGGTGGCATGCATCTGTAGTCCCAGCTACTCAGGAGGCTGAGGGAGGAGGATCACTTGAGCCAGGGAGGTTGAGGCTGCAGTGTGCTATGATCTCACCACTGCTTTCTAGCATGGGTGACAGAGCAAGACCTTGCCTCTAGGGAAATAAAAACAGAAATAGAAATAATAAAAGAGAACCCAATGAAAATAATGGAATTTTCAATAAAGTATAATTTACATGAAAAATTCATACAGGGGCTCAACAGTAGATTTCAACTGATAGAAGAAAGAATTTACAAACTCAAGCATATATCAATAGATTCTACAATCCAAAAAATAGAAAGAAAAATAAACCAGGAAGAATGAACAGAGCCACAGAGAAATGTGAAAAACATAGGGCAATGACGTATGTATAGTGGAGGTACTAGAAAGAGAAGAGAGAGAAAAAGGAGCAAAAAATATTCAAAGAAACAAGGGCTGAAGCTGGGCGTGGTGGCTCACACCTGTAATCCCAGCATGTTGGGAGCCCAAGGTGGGCAGATCACTTGAGGCCAGGAGTTCAAGACCAGCCTGGCCAACCTGGTGAAACCCAATCTCTACTAAAAATACAAAAACTAATTGTGCATGGTGGCATACGCCTGTAATTCCAGCTACTTGGGAGGCTGAGGCACGAGAGTCGCTTGAGCCTGGGAGGCTGAGATTGCAGTGAGCCAAGATCACACCCATTGTACTCCAGCCTGGAGGACAGAGTGAAAATGTCTCAAAAAAAAAAAAAAAAGGAAAGGAAAGGAAATGAAGGGGAGGGGAAGGGAGGGGAAGGAGGAAGGGAAGGGAAGGGAGGTGAAAGAGAGAGAGAGAGAGAAAAGGAAAAGAAAAGAAAACAAAAGAAAGAAAAGGTTGAACACTGAAGAAATTTATTTATTGAAAGGCAATCTGGACAACCAGGAAGCTCAATAACTCTAAGCAGGAATAGTGTAAAGAAATCCACACAAAGACACATCGTGATAAAAATAATGAAAGTCAAAGATCAAGAGACAATCTGCAAAATATCAAGAGAAAAATGACTTGTCACTTACAAGGGAAGCTTAGTGATATTAAGAGCTTACTTGTCAGCAGAAATAGTGGAAAACATAAGATAGTGGTATAACATATTCAAAGTATTCAAAAAACAAGGTCAATCATGAATCCTACACCCAACAAAGCTGTCTTTCAAAAATGAAAGCAAAATAAAGACAGACCTTCCCCAAGAAACAAAACTGAAAATGTTTACTGTTGTCAGACTTGCTATATAAGAAATAATAAAGGGAGTTCTTCAGGCTGGAACTAAATTACCCAGACAGTAATTGTCAGAAAATATTTGTAAAACATACCTCTCATAAGGTACTTGTATCTAGAATATATAAAGAACTATTATAAGTTGGTTATTAAAATATTAATAACCTAATTTAAAGTGGGCAAAAGATCTGAATGGACATTTTTCCGAAGAAGATATGTAAATGACCAATGAGCACATACAAAGATATTCAACATAATTATTCATCAGGGAAATTCACATCAAAACCAATGAGATACCACTTCATGTGGACAAGAATGGCTTGTGAGAATGGCCACTAATCAAAAAGTGACATAATAACAAATGTTGGCAAGGATGTGGAGAAATTAGAACCTTCATAGACTGCTGGTGGGGATGCAGAATGACGTAGCCACTTTGAAAAACAGTCTGTCAGTACCTCAAAAATTAAACATAGAGTTGCCATATGGCATGCAATTCAACTGGTATGTATATATCCAACAAAAGTGAAAACATGTGTCTTCACAAAAATGTGTATGGGAATGTTTCTAGCAGCATTATTCATAATAACTAAAGGTGAAAGCAACTCAAATGCCCATCAGCTGGTGACTAGATGAACAAAACATGGTATATCCAAACAATGGAATCTAATTCAGCCACAAAAAGAAATGCAGTACCAATATGAGGTACAAAATAGATGAACTTCAAAAACATTATACTAAATGAAAAAAGCCTGCCACAAATGGCCATTTATTATATGATTCCATTTACATGAAATGCAGCGCAAATACAGACCATTTCCTTTATTGTGGAAAGTTGTATTGGACAGAGCTGTTCTGCCTGATAGTAAGGGAAAAGGTGGTTTCTTTTAGGCTTAAATAGTTTCTAAAATTAAATCTTGTAAGAGCTGGCATCAAACCAGTAGACATTAAATTCTTAGGCAAGAAGCTAGGATATAGATTTTTTGGTACAGATTAGAGACAGATCTGCATAACTGAAAAATCAACTGAGGAGATGGGTATGTTAGTTTTTTATTGCTTCAGTGACATACTACTACGCCTTTAATAGCTTAAAACAACACAGATTTATTATCTTATTAGTTCTATAGGTTGGAAGTCCAGCCTAGGGCTCATTGGGCTCCAATTTAAATATTGGGCTTCTTTGAGAAAATACCAAATGATAGATGTTCCTAGTGCTGCCTGAGGGCCCCCCCACACCCGGATGTCCTGGAAAAAGAAGCCTTGGTTTCCACAGAGGTTTCTGCGGCAGCATTTGGTCCAAGTCTCAGATCTTGTGAAGGAATTAAAGACAAGGGATGCCTTCCTATCACCAAGCTGTGCCACCTGGATCAAGTCCACAAGGGAGATCTTTCTGTTTTCCCTACCCATTCAGTAGTCTGAGATCATCTACTATTTCCTGGGAATATTCCTCAAAGACAAGGTTTTAAAGATTACACCCCTGCAAAAGCAGATTCATGCTGTCCAGCTGACCAGGAACAATGCATTTTTCACTATCTTGGACTATAAGCAACATATCATCTGTGTGTGAAGTGCTCCAAGGAAGTAGCCACTGCCATCAATGAGACCGTCATCCTTGCACAGCTCTCTGTAAGTCCCATGCAGTGAAGCTACTGGAGGAACAAGATTGGCAAACTCCACATTGTCCCTTGAAAGGTAATAGGCAGCTGTAACTCTGTGCTGGTACTCCTCACCCCTGCCACCAAAGAAGCTGCTAATAATGGCCGGTATCCTCAACTACTACATTTTAGCCACGGGATTGCAATACCACCCTGGGCAACTTCACCAAAGCCACCTTTGATGCCATCTACAAGACCTATAGTTATCTCACTCCAATCTCTGGGAAGCCTCTGTCTGCTTAACAAGAATTCACTGACCCACACCAGAGTGTCCATGCAGAGGATTCAGGCTCTGGCTGTGACCACCACACTAATGTCTTTATACAAGAAAAATAAGGTGATTTAATTAAGCCATTAAAAATTGCTGGTAGTGCTTTATTTTTTCTGGAGTATATAGGTTAAGATATCCAGATCCTAATACTTAAGACCTTTGAATGTTACTTTGTATGACGAAAGGAACTTTGCAAATGTTATTAAGTTAAGGATCTTGAGATGGGAATATTATCAATAATAATCAAAGACAGGAGACAGTGCAGACTGTACTTCTGTAGTGTTTGGATGTTGGGACTTACATAGAGAATAGAAAGGAGCCAGAGAGAAATTCAGGGTCAAGAGATTGGAGAGATTTGAAGATTTTTAAGGTAGACTCACTCATTTAATATAAATGTTAATGAATTAACTCATTAGCATTTAATAATTTGACAAATATTTAAGTGTTCACTATAGGCAAGTCAGTGGTGTGTGCAAGAGATGCAACCATGCATGAGGTATTCACTCTACCCTCAAGGAGTTTACTATCTGAGGAGAATGCACCAGAAGAAACTGACTAGGGACAAGTAAGAGAACTGTTAGGCAGCATCAATGATCCAGCTCAATTTACAGTGGCAGCAATCTATGTGCAAATGAGGCTGTTGTGCCGCAGAGTTCACCACCTGAATGGCAGGGCAAAGAAACATTGATTGAAGATTTGCTGGATTTTACGGGTTAAAAGGATATGGAACTGAGAGTGCTGAAAAGATAAGGAACTGAGGGTTTTGGCTTAAGTGATCAATCATGTGACTCAAGCTACAAAAAGAGGGAACAGAGGCCAGAAGGGAGTTAAAAAGATTGGGAGAAAATGTTGCCAAAAGGTTTTCTAGATGAAAGATCTCTTATGGTATGAGATCATGAGAGAAGATGCAGTCAGAGATTGGGCTCTAGAGTTTAAGATTTCTGAGATCCACAGCATGGCTTGCTGGCTACAAGGACATTGGACTGTCTTAGGATTATGGCAGGATTTAGGGTAAAGATAAATAATTTAACCCCAGATTCACTGGCTTTACTGGATATGAGCAAGGAATCCAGAAGTGTAGTCAGGGAGCTTGACCTCATAGCCGATAAAGCATGGATTAATAGGTGTTCGCTGGACCAAATTTCCATCTAATTTTGAAAATATGGAGGCATCTTGTAATGTTGGAGCAAAAGTTACAGGAAGTAGAGTGAAAGGTGGGAGGAGGGTGGTTGTTGGAAAGAATCTTGGGAGAGGGAGTTCAGGATAGTAAGGAGATGAAGGCATGAAAGCAGGTTGGAGACTGTAAAGCTTCCACTGTATGAAGGCTGTAGGGCTAAGAAATATGCTTATAATTGACAGACTTCAAAGGATTTAACCTGGGCATAAGTTGTGTTTTTTGTTGCTGTTGTTGTTTTTGAGACAAGGTCTCACTCTATGTGTAGGCTAAGGTGCAGTGGTACCATCTTAGCTCACTGCAGCCTCAAACTTCTGGGATCAAGCAATCCTACCACCTTAGCTTCCCAGGTAGCTAGGTCTACAGGCATGTGCCACCACACTGGCTAATTTTTTAATTTTCTGTTTTGACAAATTCTTGCTATGTTGCCCAGGCTGGTCTAGAACTCTAGGGCTCGAGCAATTATCTCACCTCGTCCTGCCAAAATGCTGGGATTACAGGCAGAAGCCACCATGCCCATTCATAAATTGTTTTAAGCCGGAGACAATTATATTATTAAAGCCAATAAAGTAAAAGGAGGAAACTTTCTAGTTTGAATACAAGAAAGAGTATTTAATTCAGGCAGTTCTCTGATATTGTATTACATGACCTCTTTATTTTTATCAATTAATTGAAGATACAAACTAAAATTTATAAATGTTGTGCATGGCCAAACTACATTAATGCTGTCTTTAAATCTCCAAAGTTAATATGATCAACATTGTGCAATGGAATGGAGAGAACTTTGACTTCAACAGATTAAGAATTTAGAAAGTAGGTGATGGAGTTTTCTTGTTAATAGGCACAAAGCAGTGTTCTTGGGCTTTAACTTTGTGCTAAATTAATGGCCAATTCCTACTGATTTTACCTCTTAATAATATTTATTTTATCATGTCCCTCTTGCCCTCCTATGCTGATACTATCCTTGTTTAGGCCATCATCCTCTCTCTCCCGGATTACTTTAAAAGCCTCCCCACTGGTCTCCCTCTCTTTAGACTTAAACCTACTAGTTCATCTTCCTTACCACCAGTGTATCTTTCAGACATCTAACCTTGTCATTATCCTACTGAAAGCCATTCCAGTCTCTCCACTGTCTACAGCTGAGAGTACAAACTCTTTATCATGGCATCACATCGGCTCTATAATGTGTCCCCTATCAACTTTTTCAATTTAACTTTTTTCCTTGCTGCCAGTAGGTTCCCATCTAATCAAATGCAGTATATCCTATTTTTTAAAACAGTAATCCTCCATTAAAAAAATTACTAGATATCTGTCTAAAGTATATGCCTGTTCTGTGCTTGACAAATTAGTTTCAGAGTAATTAATCTTAAATGGGTTGGCATTTATACATGGTTATTCCACTATTGACAACTGGATTATTTTAGGAATTACATACAGTTATATTGGAGCTACAACCTTTGAATTTGTGCATAGGAATTGCTATGGATGAAGTTTCAGATGCCCAGTATGGGACACATTTTTTAACAGCTTTATTGAGATATAATTCACATCCCATATAACTCATTCATTTAAAGTATACATTTCAATGGTTTTAGGATATTCACATATATTGCAACAATCACAATTTTATTTTATTTTTTATTATTTTTTAATTTTTCACATCCTCATGAGGCATCTGACATCACCACAATTTCAGAATATCTTACCCTCTCCTCAAAAAAACCCTGTGTCCTTTAGCCATCATCTTCGTATACCCCATCTACCTTAACGCAGAGCAAGCATTAATCTACTCTCTGTCTCTATGGAATTTGCATATCATGGGCATCTAATATAAATGGAATCATATGACATGGTCTCTTGTGTATGGCTTTTTCACATACCATAATGTATTTAATATTTAGATTCTAGCATGTGTCAGTACTTCATTTGTATAACAATAATATTTTATTGTATGGTTATATCACATTTTGCTTCTCAGTTCATTGACATTGAGGTTGTTTCCAACTTTTGGCTATTATGAATAATACTGCCATGAACATTTGTGTAAAAATTTTTGTGTAGCTATATATTTGAATATCTCTTCAGTATATAGCTAGGAATGGAATTGCTGCATGTCTGAGTCTGGGTTGCTATAACAAAATACAATAAACTGGGTGGTTTACAAAAAGCCCAGAAATTTGTTTCTCACAGTTTTGGAGGCTGGAAAGCCTAAGATCAAGGCATTGGCAGATTCCATGTCTGGTTAGGGCCCTCTTATTAGACAATCGTCTTTTATCTGTGTCCTCACATAGTGGAGAGTTTGAGAGATCTCTCTGAGGCCTCTTTTATAATCCTATTCATGGGGGCTCCACCCTGGTGACCTAGTCACCTCCAAATGCCACACTTCTTAACACTATCATCTTGGGGATTAGGATTTCAACATATGAATCTGCTTCAGGGCCAGTGGGGGCACATAAACATTCAACCCATTGCACTGGGTCATATGATTACTCTATAACTAACGTTTTGAGGAACTTCCAGCTGTTTTTCAAAATGGCTGCACCATTTTACCCCACCAGCAGTGTATTAGAGTTCCAATTTCTCCACATTGTTGTCAACGTGTTTTTTTACCTGAGTTTTTTATTATAGCCATCCTAGTGGATATGAAGTGGTATCTTATTGTGGTCTTGATTTGCATTTCCCTAACGCCTAATGATGTTAAACGTCGTTCCATGTGCAAATTGGCTATTTTTTTTTTTCAATGGAGAACTACTTATTCAAATCCTCTGCATGTTTTTAATTGGATTATTATATTTCTACTATTTCATTGTAGGAATTCCTTGCATATTCTGGATACTAGTCTCTTATCATGTATATGCTTTGCAAATATTTTCTCCTATTCTGCAAGTTGTCTTTTTACTTTCTTGATAGTGTCCTTTGAAGCACTGAAGTTCTTAATTTTTAGTAAGTTTAATTTATCTATGTTTTCTTTTGTTGCTGCTTTTTTTTTCTTGGTGTCATAGCTAGGAAACCATTTATGCTATTATTTCTTCAAATATTCTTTTGACTTAGCTGCCACTTTGATTTCAGATTTCTTACTGCCAGAGCTGTGAGCAAATAAATTTCTGTTGTTTTTAAGCAACATAGTTTGTGGTATTTTTTTTTTCTTACAGCAGCCACAAGAAACTACCTCTGTTGGCCTCATCACCTTCTCTTTCTCATTTTTCCCCAAGGAAGAAATAGGTCATCTGATTGAGTGTGGCTCTAGGGAGTATCCCTTCATTCCCCTCCCCTACCTGCCAGTGGCTGTCATCAATCTGTGGTATTCCTTGGTGCATCACTCTAATCATTGCCTCCATCTTATATCTGTGTCTTCTCTTCTGTCCCTTCTAAAGATATTTGCCATTGGATTTAGGACTCACCTAGATAATCCAGGATGATCTTATTTCAAGATAATTAAATTAGTTACATCTGCAAAGACCCTTTTCCTATATAAGGCCACATCCACAGGTTCTGGGGTTTACGACATGGACATATCTTTTTGGAGGCCACCATTCAACCACCGCAATTACTCTCATGGTGGTCTCTCCATATGGAAACATGGGGGAAGGGAGAAAAGTTCTACTTTAACTTATGCTTAGTGTAGCATTTGTAAAAAATAAAAGAAAATTAAAAAATTAAAAGTCATCTATATGTGCACCCATTGTATGAGTTTATTATTCATAATTAATATTCTCTCAAATTTTGGATTCATAAACCCAGATTAAAACAAGCTTGTCTGGCACCGTGGCTCACACCTGTAATCCCAACACTTTTGTAGGCTGAGGCAGGTGGAACTCTTGAGCTCAGGAGTTTGAGACCAGCCTGGGCAACATGTCGAAACCCCATATTTACAAAAAAACACAAAACTTAGCCAGGCATTGTGGCATGCACCTGTAGTCTCAACAATTTAGGAGCTGAGGTGGGGGGATCACTTGGACCTGGGAGGCAGAGCCAAGATCACTCCAGTGCACTCCATCTTGGGTGACAGAGTGAGACTCTGTCTCAACAAAAACAAAAAGAAAAATATAAACCAAAACTAAAGCTCTACTCTGTGTACTGTTATACTTATTTTTATTTAATAAGAAATTATGATAATCTTAATCTGTCAATAGATATGGAGATAAAACATAATTTTTAATGCCTACAGCATATCCTGCTGCATAAATATACCAAAACTTATTGAATCAATCTCCTCTGACAGATATCTGTGTTATTTCCAAATGTTCACAATTATGAACAAAATTGTGGTGAACCTCCTTGTTTTATTGAGCTTTACACACTTCTCCAGCTGTTGTCTTAGGATAAATAACTGGATCAGTTATTTTTAAAGGCTTTAATACATAATTCATCCTTCAGTAGTTTGTATAAAAGTATATTCCTAACAACAGTGTATGAGACTGAGTGCTTAAGATTTTGGGTATTACCCATCTTTTTTTTTTTTTTTTTTTTTTTTTTTGAGACGGAGTCTCGTTCTATCACCCAGGCTGGAGTGCAGTGGCGGGATCTCGGCTCACTGCAAGCTCCGCCTCCCGGGTTCACGCCATTCTCCTGCCTCAGCCTCCCAAGTAGCTGGGACTACAGGCGCCCGCCACTACGCCCGGCTAATTTTTTTGTATTTTTAGTAGAGACGGGGTTTCACCGTTTTAGCCGGGATGGTCTCGATCTCCTGACCTCGTGATCCGCCCGCCTCGGCCTCCCAAAGTGCTGGGATTACAGGCGTGAGCCACCGCGCCCGGCCTACCCATCTTTTAAATTGAGTATATTCTAGTTAGGATTTTTGCAAATATATTCATGATATTTGTTTGTTGTGTCTCCTTTTGTATCATTTTTGTCACAAAGCTTGGTGTTTACCATAGAGGGCTAAAAATTAGAATCACACTCATAGCTAGAGAGAAATACTTTATTAGGAGCCTGGTAAATATGAAAGAGTCTTAACGTCAGGACTCAGTGCTCCTTGGTAGTTCAAACAGACAAGACTGGCTTAGCCTGATAGAGCCAGAAGAAATGTAGCAGAGTCTGGAGAGATTGAGCAAAGATGGCAAGGAAGAAGTTATGGGGGTAAGGGTGATTTTATTATGTTTCAATATTTTACAGTTCACTTAAACTTTGAACTAAATAAAATGCATTAACAAACATGAAGTTTCTACATTTGACCACGACATTAACTAGGGAAAGAGAACATAAAGGAAAACAAGAAAAAGACTTTGAAGTATTGGAAACACACTCCACTAAAATGTTTTTATTTTTTATTTTTATTTATTTATGTTTTGGGACAGAGTCTCTCTCTGTAACCCAGACAGGAGTGCAGTGGTGCGATCTCGGTTCACTGAAATGGCCACCTCCTGGGTTCAAGCAATTCTCCTGCCTCAGCCTCCTGAGCAGCTGTCACTGCAGTCATGTGCCACCATGCCTGGCTAATTTTTTTGTATTTTTAGTAGAGAAGGGGTTTCACTATGTTGGCCAGGCTGGTTTTGAACCCCTGACCTCAGGTGATCTGCCTGCCTACATCTCCCAAAGTGCTGGGATTACAGGCATGAGCCATTATACCTGGCCTAAAATGTTTTCAATAGCCACATTTATGGAGAGGGAACAGATAAAGCTGTGGTTGTAATAAAAGGGCCTTTTGAATATTTGACTCTAAATGTTTATTTTAAAAAGGAACCCTTGATTCAAATGGCGATCCAAGATCACTTCGAAATCATGAGCAAGATCTCCCAGACCCAAATCTCATGGCTAGAAAATGGATGACCTGATTACATAGATCCTAAGATGTCTTTTATAAAAGCCTGAGAAGAACAGTGGACCTGAGAGTAAAACACTTCTGCAGAGATAATTTGTAGATCCACAGTCAAAATATTTCAGCTGTGCCTTTGTCTGTTGCCCACATGTCCAGGTAATTCTTTTAAGTAGTTTAAGAATGGTAAATTACACATTTTCTAGGAGACTGAAAATTCCTAATCAAAGGTTAATTATTTTTTGAAAATTATTTTTTGAAAAGTTTAGTAAAATCTTCTGAAGGCTTCATTTAGTTCTACATCTTGTAGAAGATTCAGAAGGCATCAGGTGTAACCTTCTGCTCTTTTCTCTATCCATTGCTGGCTCCCTACTTTCATTTTGAATTTATCCCTATTTCCCTATTTTTCCCCCTTTGTGTACAGATACGATCATTCTCCACCCTACCTTCCAGCACTTGCCCCTCTTCAACTACCACCTTCTCCATCCCTTGTTGAGAAAGCCTTCTCTCAACTTCTTGTTTATACTTAGATTCTTTTTTTCCTCACCTACAATTCCCACACTATTGAATAATTGTCTACTCCCACAGACCACATCATATCCCCTTGCCATCTTGCTTGTTGACAAGAGTGCATATGTGCCAGGCACTGTATGAGGCACCAAGGACACAAAATACATGATTCCTGTCCTCTATATTTAGGGTGAATTGTCAGAAGAAACTGGTATTACAAAGGTCAGTTAGAGAGTCATTGTGGTCAATCACTTATAAATCACAATACACTTTTTCTCTATTTTTAGTATTTTTCTATTACATATAAAAAACTACCTTCCATGAGAAACAATAGGATGGAGATTATTCAAGATATAGTGTGTCAAACTGAGAAATGAATACACAGAGTTAACGATTTGTTTGACCAGAGGCAAGAAAGCATTCACAGAATGCAAAGTGAAGTTAGACTTGCTGACTGAGTGCTTTGAAACTCCCGATTGAGAGGATGAACCTCATGCACAATTAGCGCCTTAAGGGAAGGTCTTGAGATGAAAGAAAAATGAAAATAGTTTTGTGGCCGCAGAATTTACTACCACTGGACGCAAGATGTCTAAAGTACTTTAAATGTGAACTCCAAGGGAGGTCAGAGATAAATTCGACTGCTAAAAATCAGATTTACAAAAGCAATATTCAACCATGTAGACTGGCAACTCCACTAGTGTTTGGAGCTCCCCATCCAGATGTACAACAAACTCTTGGAGACTTGGATGTGTTACACAGGGGGCCGGTCGGGTTTCCATTTAGGACCAGGAGATTATAATCACTTTATTTTAGCAACCTCCTTACTACAAGGCCAAAACTGACAGTCCTCTCTCCAGACCCTCGCGTCCGCCCTCCAGACTGTGCTTCCCGCGCCGGACAGGGAAGTGGGAGTGCGGACGACAATCCGCATCCTGCCAGCCAGACGTCACCAAGCTGTCTTCCAAGAGGCAGGCGGAGAGAGCTGACTTCCGATTGGGTCAGCCGAGGGGCACGGCTGGCTCCCTATTGGCTTACAGGAGGGGGCTAGAGAGAGGCGTGTCTCAACGTCACACCCGCCCCTAGTCTCCTTGCTGCTCAGGATTATGGGAGGGAAGGGAAGTCCAGGAGGGAAAAATGACCCGGAAAGACCTTTGCCGGCCTGGGCCAGCCCTCTTCCGGAGCTGATGTCTCCTCCCACCAACCAGGAGAGGTCCGCCCTAGGCCCCGCCCGTGCCGGGGGATCAGGTGATTGCGGGCCAACACGGTCACGTGACCGGGGCGCACCCGCCGATTGTGGCCATGGCGGCCGCAGTCTCTAGTGTGGTGAGACGAGTGGAAGAGCTCGGGGATCTGGCTCAGGCCCACATACAGCAACTTAGCGAAGCTGCCGGTGAAGATGGTGAGGGAGCGGAGGAGAGGGAGGCGGGCGGGGCAGACGGCGCTAAGGTACTGGCGCTCGATGGCTGTGAGGGCTAGAGGCTGAGGCCTGTGTTCCTTTGGGTCCCAGGCCGCAGGTGGTTACCCGAGGTCTGTCGCTTCTGAGCCCCTCTGCGCCATCGATTGCCCACTTCCCAGAACTCACAATGCCAAGGCGTTGTCTTCGAAAACCGCATTATTCAGAACCCATGGAAAATCTGTCTAGATCCGTGCTGGTGTAAACTGTCTCGGTAGCGATTGGAAGAAGGGCAGAATCTAAATAAAATACAGAAGTTTAAATAAATGGCTAAGATGAATGATAACACTCAAATTAGTTATGGTGGTTTGCATCCTGTAAAGATAAAAAGACATGTATAACAGTTCCACTTTTTCATTGCTGCGTTGTAATTTGCGTTTTACGTTTTGGATTCAAAACAACATTCTATAGAAGAGCTTTACATTGGTGTGTAGACTATTCTGCCCCATACATCATGCCAGTTCTCACAAGGGCTCTGTTAAGTATTGGCATACTTGTTTTGGAAAGGTCTAAGCTGTTAGGAAAAACTGGGCTAGGGAATTGCCTCAACCTTCTGAATTTAAGTCCAATTCTTTTCATTACGTCTCAGCTGCCTTTAGGTTCTACATTATTCCTTTTTGAGTTTGAGCAATTACTACAGATAGTTTTTAAAATTCTGTGGACTGACTCATATCATCGGACTCATAGGAAAACAGTGGTGGAACATTTTCTTAAGCGATTGAATAGTTGGTGAATTTGTTATTAAATAGGGTCTATGATGAAATGCCTTAGTTTCAGTGAATATTTTTTGCCAGATTATCATTTATCAGGAGTGTTTTGTTTTGTTTTGTTTTTAGAGGCAGAGTATCATTCTGTTGCTCAGGCTGGAGCCCCTCTAGTAGTGGGACAACAGGCGCACACCATCTCGCCCGGCTAACTTTGGCATATTTTGTAGAAACGGGGTTCACCATGTCATCCAGGTTGGTCCTGAACTCCTGGGCTCAAGCATTCCACCCGCTTTGGCTTCCCAAAGTGCTGGGATTACAGGCGTGAGCCACTGTGCCAGGCCAGGAGTGTGTTCTTTAAAGACCTACAGACCACCCTGAAGCCGACTTATATTTTGGTCTGTGGATTCACATGAATAATTCTTGGGTAGTAGGAGCTATTAACTTGAAAGTTATCTATGTTACCTCTAATTCCAGATTCACTTGAACCAGTCCAAAGAGACCAAAGAATGTTTTTTATTCACTTATCACTGAACTAAAAAGCCATTCTCATTTCCCTTGGAAGAGTTCTTTAATCTGGAATGAATCAGAGCTGGAAATAAAAGTCATGTGCTATATATGGAATTCTTGTTTGAAGGCTTTATACTTCTGAAAATTTACTAAAATAAAATGACAATGTTAGTGGTCCACATTATGAGCCGTTGATCAGCATGGAAATCAGTTCAATCTTAAAAATATTACAAGATTTATGAACTTTAATTAAAACAAGATTTCATGTACTTGAATTGAATTTGGCATTATTTTTCCACGCAACAAGAATAATATACATTCAAACTTTGTTCTTTAATGTAATGAGTATATATTTATACTAGGATATAAGGGTTTGATGATTTCCATTGTCTTCTTCAGATTAGATGAGATACAGCCAGACATTATTTCATCTAAGAATGCGTCTTTAAATTTCTAGCCAATTTTTGTTAATTTATTTCTCATCATACAAGCACAATCTGTTTACTCTATGGAAGTACGTCATGAGGGAGTTTTTCCACAGATTATATAAGAATCAGTTTCATCTTTTGCTTTGCCAGTCATTACTTTGACTAAATAGTTCTAGTCAAAATACTGCATTTTATGGGCTTTTCCAAAGTGTGAGTTATGCCACCACCACACCCCTGCCACAGTAATTATGTCATCAATTTATGTGACATACTCTTTCAGCAATGGTTTAGTGAGTTCAATGCAAATCTTTACATTGAAAATAATCCTGCAAGTTAAACAAAATATCAACACACTCTCTAAAGAAGCACCTAAGGCATGTCATATTCCATGTAATTTCAGTTTATAGTAGAATCTTTTTCTACATTGTGTGGATGTCACTTCTGGGCTAATGAGAGGTGGAAGGACAGTGCTAAGAAGTAGATTTCAACTCAAGTGAAAGTGGATCTTACAGCAGTCAAAATGCAATCTCAGGCTTTACCTGAGAAGACTTAAGGCAGCAGTCACATGATTGCCAACAGACATAACCTGATGGTGCTTTTGCTCCAACAATGAACACCTTATCTGTGTAACTCCTGAGGCTGGATCAGGTAGGCCTACACCAAATGCTACACTATCTGTTCATTGGCCCATGAAGAAGAAAGGGATATATTTTAGAATATCAGACTATGTTTCAGAAGGGAAGCACTGAGAGGTAAACTCAGAGAGTTTAGTGTCTTGATTATGGGTGTATCTAAATTTGACTTCATGAAGTGCTGCAGAAGGGTGGATAGTACCTTGAAGTGGACACATAAGAAAAGGTGAAATCACAGAAGCAACAAAGGGATTATGACATTAGAGAAAGGGAAAAAAAATCAGGAGATGGTGAAGGCGGAGGGAGGGTGAATTGTGATTAGAGGACTTATTAGAAGTATTTAGTTCCTTTTCTTCCAGGTTTTGAGGAAATGAGGTAATTTGTTTCTAAGTTTTTAAAGGAATTAAATACACAGATGTATTATGTAATTTTAATTGTAGTAGATATAAACAATTATAAAATTGCTCATAATGCTGGCATTTTGTAAGGAATTTGATTTGGTCAATCATGGTCTTTTGAATAACATTTGCAACTACATTTATGAAATCTTAAGTTTTCAGTGGAAGCCCTTTCTGTATATTTATGTATATTATTTGTATATTCCAGTAAGTTTTAAATTTGTTTAATTATTTTGAGTGCATTATCATAAAAGAAGCATAATGAGAATACAGACTGCATTTAAGAAATGGCAAGAGTGACTCTAGAAAGTTTTCAGTATTTTGCTTTGTAGGAAAAATTTTCATGATAAATTTACTTAATTAGGATTAGGCATTATGAGATATTTCATGTTTTAGATAAGATATTATTACTATAATTCTGTTTCTCCATATGTCATAATATTATTTCATCTTGTCATTTCATCTTCATACATAATGTGTTTTTTGTTTAAATAACACTCTGAAACTAGGTGAAGTAATCCTCATGTTTTTATTTCTTATAGATCACTTTTTAATTCGGGCCTCTGCAGCATTAGAAAAATTGAAACTCCTGTGTGGAGAAGAGAAAGAATGTTCAAATCCATCAAATCTTCTAGAACTTTACACACAGGTACTGAAAGAGTGGTGGACTCTGGCATTTTATGAGGGCAGGTTGTTTATTTAGATGATTGACTCCAACTTTAGGTAAAATGAAATCAGTTTATTCTATATTTCAAGTGTTTAATTTTGTCCAAAAAACTATGAATAAAACACAAAAACTTAAAACTTTGAGGTAGTATGAAAAGAAGTAAGATTTATTAGATGTGTTAATAAGAAAAGTCAGGAAGAAAATCTTACAGATAACGGAATTGTTTTCCTTTAGAGATAATTGAACAGGACACTAGTGTGTGCAATGTCCAATCTCTTGAAAGTTTCAGAGGGAGCAGGGGAGTATATAAGGGCCCTGACTTTTTTTTTTTCCCCTGAAATTTACCTTCCCTAGGATTCTCAATATTATTCTCCCTGCTAGTGTCATGCATATCTATGTGATTTTTCTATTCACCCACTTTTTTTTTTAACTTTCCTTTCCAAATCAGGCTGCTGTGTGGACAACACCTTTTTTTCTTGGTTTTCTGAAACACTGCTGAGGCATGCTAACATCAAGAAATGTAATTTTATTATGGTAACTAACATCTATATAGCACTTTGTAGTTGATAGAGTGTTTTCATGTGCCCTTTTTGGATTGCTAAGGGATAATAAAACTGAAGTGGTTACAGAAAGTACAGTACACTTAGTTAGGCTTCCAAAGTGCCCATTTATAGCATTTAAATGCTTGGTGCTGTTCTTCCTGTTAGGAAATTTCTAAAGATAGCTTCTGCCTTCAAACACCATGGATGAGTAAGCCTAACAGCTACTCACAAACCACAGAGAACTGTTTTAAGTTTGGCAGGTATTTTGCTTGGTTTTCTTTCTGTTCAGAAGACTCTGTGCTTGTCTGTATGTGTTTTATGTCATCTCATTTTTTTCACGAGAGTGTTCCAGACATTTTAACTTACTGGAATAAGGCAAAAGACCTAGAGATACAGATTTCAATTTTAAGATCCTCTTAAACCCTATTGATGGTTCTGAATCAACAGATCACCTTTCATATGATGATGAAATCATATATGATGATCTCTCCTTACTGGCTTAGGCCTTTCGCACGATAACATTTACTCCTCATGTTCACAGAAAGTAAAGCACTAACTGGGTGCTAGGTAACGTTTCTAGTACCTTACATATGTTAATTAATTTTTTACTCCAACAAGGAACTTTGAAAGGTATTTTAGTCCAATTTATCATTTAGCCAATTAAGAAACTGAGGCTCAAAAAAGGTAAAATTGACTTGTCTTTGGTTAGTTAAGTGATTAGTGGTAGAACTGACCCTAGAACCCAGTTTCCTTAGTCTTAGTTCAATAGATTAAAAAAGGAAAAAGGATTGGGGAGTTTTAATATGCTTTAACAGCATCTCTAATAATTAGGAATACTGGGGGCTTAGTGTTTGAGTTGCATATGTTGATGGTATGCTTCCTCTATTGGGTGGCAGGATACATACGCCCCTCACGCTGGCTCTGTATTTGGGAACACAAATCCTTTGAAGGTTCAAAACTGGAAGTAGTGACCTTAACTTGATACAGCAGGCATTTAGAAAATTTTCAGGGGTTATATAAGTAGTAGAATATAATAATTACCTTTTTCATAATTATATATGATTAAATTCTGTAAATTAAAACAAAGCTCTATTTTCTTTTTTGAGGGAAAGAAAGATTATCATTAATTCAGCACTTTAGTGAAATACCTATGAAGTTTTCTTTAAAATCTTTCTCAAATTATATTTACATCTAGACATTTTGCCTACTTCTCAAATTTACATACTGAGCTAGAAGATTTAAATGTGTAATAAAGCACCTATGTGTGCAAGGTTAGACTGTAAGAATTGTTTTTTTTCAATTTTAAGTCATTGATAGATATCTTTCTTTTTTTTTTTTTTTAGGCTATTTTGGACATGACATATTTTGAGGAGAACAAGCTAGTAGATGAAGATTTTCCTGAAGACTCTTCTTCACAGAAAGTAAAAGAGCTGATTAGTTTTCTTTCAGAACCAGAAATTTTAGTAAAGGAAAATAATATGCATCCAAAAGTAAGTTTTACATTCCTGTTAATTATGATGGAATATTGCTGGTACTTGCTGTCCTGCTTTTTGGAGTCTATATTTTTTTCTTCTTGATTGTATCTTTGTTTCTTAAATTAAGATTGGAAGAGGGAGATAAAAGAGCTTAACACTTCAGACCAATGTTGCAACAAAAGTATCATATTTTACTAAATGTATTTCAGAATATTTGCATAATAGAATTGTAATAGCTGTGCCTAATCATTTTTTTTAATATAGATATTCCCATTTCGACCCCCTTTACTTTTGCAGATGCTGTTTTCTTGAAGGTCACTATTAATCTAATTACCACGTCTGTTCTTACAGTCCTTATTCTCTCGAACATTTGCTCCCCTTCTTAATGTTGATCACCCCCTCCCTCTGAGACCCTGCATGCTTCTTTTCCACTTCTTCATCTCTGAAATGTCTTCTCTTGCTAGCAACTGTTCTGCCTTCCATTCTAGAAACACAGGTACTAGCCAGGGATGTCTCTTTCATCACCGATAGTCTCTATTCTGTCTTTGCTTGATAACCTGTTCACAGGCTTTGTACTGTCATCTCTATTTGGATAATCCTATGATTTGTATATCTAGTCCTGGATACTCTTTGAAGCAAATAATTTCTCATCTTTAACTGCCTGCTGACTGTTTACTTAGATATATTTTTTTTCTCTATTTATTTATCAGGGGAGGCTGTGGAAACATCTCCAAATTTCAATGACAAGCCACTTTAAAAATTTTGATTTATTAAAATTATTTTTGGGTGTAAATTTTCATTATTTTATTCCAGCGGTAGTAGAAATAGATATGATCTCACTTCAAGTAATGTATTTGTGAAAAGTTACCTTTTTAATGAGATGATGACTGCTTATATTGCAAACCTGTTAGGGGAATTTGCTAGTAAAAATATTTTTTAAATTATTTTGTAAAACTACTAGTAAATTGAAGTTATTTTAATTTTCATGTATTAATAGAATTGCATATTTATAATTGATTGAAAATAAGGCCTCCCTGTGTAAGCAGCTAAACAAAGGGAACATTTTGTGACTTGAGAATGTTTTTAATCGATGAGTTTTTGAAATTTAACTTCAACTTTTATAGACATCCAGTTTCCCTTTTTAGCTATGTCTTTTTTTGTGTGTTTCAGCACTGCAATTTGCTTGGGGATGAGCTACTGGAATGTCTCTCTTGGAGACGAGGAGCCCTGCTGTATATGTATTGTCATTCTCTTACCAAAAGAAGAGAGTGGCTCTTAAGAAAATCCAGTTTGCTTAAAAAGGTAAGAAGACATTCCTTACACATTTTTCATTGTTGACATTTAGAGGTTTCAAAAAGCTGTCTTTGTTGTACTACTAAGAGTAGTGGATCAAAGGGTCTGAGTTTGTATTCTGTGTCTTTTATTTACTAGCTGGGTAATCATAAATAAATTGGGCTTGTTGTGAAGACTAAATCAGATAACATGTGAAAGCACTTTGTAATCTGCGAAGTTCTTTTTTTAAGGATTTGTATTGTTTTAAATATAAGATAAACTATATTAATTTCTAAACTTTTAAAAAATTTTTGTCCTGAAAGAAACACTTGACTGTGAGCCTGTCAGCAGATCACTTCTAAGGAACTCACATGACCCTGCTTCTAGAAAATTGTGGCCCTCTGATTCACTTGACCATTATGACTGAATCATTAAATCCAAAATATGAGTCTTGGTATTGTATCACTAAGGATTCTAACTTGGGTTAAATGTACACACAATTTAGGTGGGCTTGAAATGCGAGGCCACACTTGCAGATATAAAAGTTTGATCATAATATTTCTAAATTATAACCACATACATGTTTTTAATACATTGTTGTTGAGCACATCTTTATTATCTTTATTCTTTTCTTCCTCTGATAACATCTTTAACAAGTATATTACTGAAATGTGTTTCTGGTTAATGTCTTCTTTTTTTTTAGTACTCTTTTTTACTACTAGAGCATTTCAAGGGGTATATTTATATTAGCAGAGTCTTGGGATGGTGGGTCTTTATACCATTGAAATAGAATAGCTGTAAGCTATGCCTATATATTAACCAATTTTCTCTTGAGTAAAGAATGGAAAATATTAGTATTTGAAGTTTATATATCTCTGCATATAATACTTTCAATTCTTTGGCTCTGACTTTTATTTAGTACCTTCTTGATGGAATCAGTTACTTGCTACAGATGCTAAATTATCGATGTCCTATCCAGTTAAATGAAGGAGTTTCTTTCCAAGATCTAGACACAGCTAAATTACTGAGTGCAGGTAATGTGATCTCTCATTAAATTTTCTAAGTGTTTTAAAGCTTCTTAAGATTTTAGGAAGTTTGTTAGATTTCACTCTGATTTAAATAAATGTCAAGGTAGATTATAGACAAAAAAGTAATAAGTAATAAAGGGTTTATATAAAATTCAAAGATAAAATCTTTTGATGTAATACAGAAAAATATTTCTAATCCCTTGTGTTTAGTAATTTTGGAAGTTATGTATTGTGTTCCTTCTGCTCATTTTGCATCCTCACACAGCCCTGTAATTAGTCTGTTTTCACACTGCTATAAAGATACTACCTGAGACTGGGTAATTTATAAACAAGAGAGGTTTAATTGACTCTCAGTTCCACATGGCTGGGAAGGTGTCAGGAAACTTACAATCATGGTGGAAGGGGAAGCAGGCATGTCTTAAATGGCAGCAGGTGAGACAGAGCATGTGTGAGTGCAAGAAAAACTATCATTTATAAAACCATCAGATCTCATGAGAATTCACTCACTATCACGAGAACAGAATGAGGGAAACCACCCACATGATCCCGTCACCTCCCACCAGCTTCCTCCCTCAACACCTGGGGATTATGATTCAAGATGAGATTTGGGTGGGGACACAGAGCCAAACATATCAAGCCTCTGTCAGCATATTATCAGTACTAGATTTGGCTACTTGTAACCGAATGGAAGTAACTTTTCAACAAGGTAGACATTTAGTGATCTTTCGCACAGTAAAGGTCCAGAGCTGGTACAGTGGCTCCATCTCATCATGTTCTTACCTTTTTCCTCCATTCTTCTTTAAAACCAGACCCCCTCTTCATGGGGAGGCACTTTATATAGAACATAATATAAATGATACTTTCCAGACTGTGCAGCATGCATCTCTGTTTAGGACATTGCTTTTATTCTCAGTATCCCAAGATGTTCCTGGAGCTCCTTCAATCTCACCTGTGTTTCAGGCTACAGGAATGGCAAAAGGGAATTTCAGCCAAGTCTGTTCCTTTAGACCATCATTCTCAGAAGTTTCTTACAACCTCCATTTCACTGGCCAGAATTTAATCAGATTACTTTACTTAGCTATAAGGAAACCTGGGAAGTATAGTCCTTAACCTGATACATTGCCATCCCAAATAAAATTAAGATTCTTTACTAAGAAGGGGGTATTGGGGAGAATGAATACTGGTTGGCAACTATAAATTTCTGCCACAAGCGTCTGTGTACTTGAAAATTCTAGGAACTGAATATAGAGCATCATCTGGGTTTTAGACTTGTGTGTGAGGAGAGAAGAACCACTTACTTTTACCATCTCCTTATAAATGGAAGAACTGAGATCCAGGTAAATGCAAGTGAATTGTTCAAGGTCATATAGCTGCAAGTAACATTAGATCACATGTGTAAACCTTTTTATACTTCATCTGAAGTTTTGATGGGAAAAAAATGAAATGTGAAGAATAATTAGAGTACCTCTTTGGAAATATTCTAGTATATTAAATATGTTTTAATTCTTCCTGTTTCTTTGTTAGCCTCTCCTGGATTGTTCTATTTGAAAGCATTTCATAGAAAAAAAATAGTGATTTAAGTGACCTGATGGCCAAAAATTATTACTTTCTGCTCATTTAGACAAATATTTTATTCTAAAACAACTTATTGTGAATACAAAAAGCTCCCTCAGTGGGCATGACATTTTGACAAACATAGGATATTTGATGTAATTATGGCAAGTATATACTAGTTATTAGTTATTTCAGATAACTAGGAACCAATCAGAGGCATTGAAAATGGCTTTTAAAAAATTTCTATTTATACACATGGACTGATTAAATTGAATTCTTAATGTGGGACACTTTAAAAGAAAAAGGTGGGGGTAGGCACTACAGCTCATTTAGAACCAAAGGGAGTGGCACAAATCACCTGTTTTCCTAATTCTCCCATTTCCAGTTATAAAGTAAGACATTCTCATAACCTGGAGTTTTTTCTTCAGGAAGCATGTAATATTGGTGGCGTCTCTTTGTCATACTTTGAATTTACTAGCTCCTAGTTTCAGTTGGTTCTTCAACAAGGGAATTAAAAGGGTCAGATAGGGTAGCATTTTCCAGGCAAAAAGACACAGTATAGGCACCATAGCAGTTTGCTACATACTGTCCTAAGTCCTCTTAGGGTGTCGGCCTTTTGTTCTCATCTAAAGAAGTTTGCGCTTGAACCTAGGAGGCGGAGGTTGCAGTGAACCAAGATCTCACCACTGCATTCCAGCCTGGGGGATAGAGCCAGACTCTGTCTCAAACAAAACAAAACAAAACAAAACAAAACAAAACAAAACAAAACAAACATAAGTTTGCCTCCTTTAGGAGGCCAAGGCAGGATGATCACTTGAGAAAACTGGCGCCAGGAGTTCAAGACATAGTGAGACATCATCTCTGCAAAAACTAAAAAAAAAAAAAAAAATTAGCCAGGCGTGGTGGTGCATGACTGTAGTTCCAGCTACATGGCAGGCTGAGGTTGGAGAATCAGTTGAGCCCAGGAGTTTGAGGCTGCAGTGAGCCCTGATCGCACAGCTGCACTCTAGCCTGGGTAACAGAGTGAGACCCTGTCTGAGAAAAAAGAAAAAAAGGCTGCTTTGCCCAAATGTATCTATCTGAACACGATTAGATTAGAAGCCAGGAAACCTACTTTTCATAGGCTGAATTACTCCTAAGTCCTAATTTGAGAGGCTCAAATTATTTTTTGTTAGTCCATATAAAATACAATTCTGAGTAATTCTTAGCATTTAGGGAGAAAAGTTCTATATGAGACATCAAATTTTCTGTGGCTAGATCTTGGTGATAATTTACCTAATTTTAGATAAAACTCAAAACTGTGTATGGTTTTTGTTACTTTTTCTAAGGTAAGATAATCATATTGTTGTTTAGACATTATCTGTATATCATTAAATTTTATGCAGTAAGCCCTTGTATCTCACCTCTGAGTCTCATTCTTCTGTGAAATGGGGCCAGAGAATTTTAATCTTTGGACATGGCCTTATCAGATAAAAGGGTTATAAAAATTGCATTGTCAGAATAAACCTGGAATCACATGGAGGTAAATAAAAAACTGTCCAACTTTTACACCCTTTGTTTATGCCCTTAATACCACTGAGGAGCCTCCCACCCCTACAAATCAGAGCTGGTATCACAAAAGGTTGTATGAGTGGGAGGAGTGTGATGAAGAGAGGTTGGGTTAATGGGTACAAACATACAGTTAGAAAGAAGGAATAAGTTCTGAAGGCAAAAGTTTGAGAACCACTATTTATCATATAGCCATTTGTATTAGTCCGTTTTCATGCTGCCAATAAAGACATACCCAAGACTGGGAAGAAAAAATAGGTTTAATGGACTCACAGTTCCTCGTTGCTGGGAGGCCTCATAATCATGGCAGAAGGCAGAAGGCACTTCTTACATGGCGGTGGCAAGAGAGAAGGAGAGAGAAGTGAAAGCGGAAACCCCTTATAAAACTATTAGATCTCTTGAGACTTATTCATTACCACAAGAACAGTATGGGGGAAACCGCCTCCATGATTCAGTTATCTCCCACTGGGTCCCTCCCACAACACATGGGAATTATGAGGGTACAATTCAAGATGAGATTTGGATGGGGACACAGAGCCAAACCATATCACCATTCATTCAGCTATTCTGCTGAGCCTGTTGTTTCTCTTGCTACTCTTTATAAGCAGAAATTGAGGTGAAGTGAAGGTGAAAACTGTAGGAACAAATTTTGATACTTTAAAAAGCTTGCAATAGATTCAAACAGAAACTACCACTATTTTGAAAGTTGAATTTTTCATATCCAGTGCCATCATAGTCACTTTTGTTGAATCATATTAGGTGAACAACAGACATTGTGATGCTCATTTATTTGAAGTAATCTTTTCTAATCACAGAAGCACATTAGAATCCATCATTTATTTTTTCTTCAATGGCTTTAAGAAGTTACATTTTTATTTCTTTTATGTTCTTTAGGAAAATTCAGGAATTAAGTAGGGGATGCAAACTCCTTATTTTTCAGATTTAAAACCTGAGATTCAAAGAGCTTTGGTGACTTGCCCAAAGACACAAAGCCAGTAATTTATACCCAGATCTTTTTTATTCTAGGTTTATTTGTCTTTCTGCCAAATTAATATACTTTATGCACCATAAATATTTAATTATATAATTGCCTACTGGAAAAACTACCCATAAGAAGAAAGAGTTCAACTTTTGATGAAAATTCTGCAGCATACTCTCTTTTTTTCTGGTAATACAAAGCATCTTGGAAATAACACCTTTAATAATTTAAAATTGTATGGACTCTCAGGCATGATTATGCATGATAATTTCTTAGACTTTTAGAGAATATAAGAGGTCTAGGATACTTGACTTTAGCTATATGAATTATCCTAGAGCATACCCCAAAATAAAGGGTGTGTCCATGGATGTAATTCAGGGAGTTTATAAGTACTCTGAAATTGACTGCAGAATTTGGGGTGTATATTCTGGGAGAAGTTCTATTCCTTAAATTAGATTCTCAAAGAAGTTATAGAGTGGACCCCAAAAAGGTCAAAAACACCTAAATGGTTCTCTAAAAAAATTCTCTGGTACTCTGTTTTTCTTTTTGTAATGGGCCTCCTTTATCAGTAAAATCGATATTAAAAAATGCTAATTAAATGAAGATTGTGTTAGTCATATTTGGCTTTTGTGTTACTGTTAAAGTGAGAATAGAAAATGCTTAATGACAAAAGGAACTTTAATTAGAGTTTAGTTAATAACTACGGTTTCTTTTTAAGCTTTTAATTCTAATCTGTCAACCTAAATGACTTTCCCAGGAATATTTAGTGACATTCATCTGCTGGCTATGATGTACAGTGGAGAAATGTGTTACTGGGGATCGAAGTATTGTGCTGATCAGCAACCAGAAAATCATGAAGTGGATACTAGTGTGTCTGGAGCGGGCTGCACTACATACAAGGAACCCTTGGATTTCCGAGAAGTAGGAGAAAAAATCTTGAAAAAGTATGTATCTGTGTGTGAAGGACCCCTGAAAGAACAAGAATGGAATACAACGAATGCAAAACAAATTTTAAACTTCTTTCATCATCGCTGTAACTAGTAAGTTCATCTAGTCCTTTTCAAATAGAAAAACAACAAAACCCATGAAATGGAAAAGAGAGTTCCAAAAAAGAAGACCTGTTGATACTGAATATGAGAACATTACACTGCATAAAGATATCCAGCTTGGGTACCCTACTAAAACAACATCACCATCTTTTTCATTATATATTAGTAAACCTATGAAGGGATGATTCTTTAATTTCTAAAGTGTTGTTCAAACTCACCTTAAAATACAGATGTTATGTCACTAATAATGAGTAGTAACCCAATTTAGCTTTACAAAGATTTTTTCTATTACTTTTTTTTTTTATTGTGGTATATGTAACACAAGTTTACCATTTTTATCATCTTTAGATTATTTTTAAATCTCACTACCTTGAAGTTTGCCATGCTTCAGAAATTAAAGTCAAGTTACTTCACTGCTTTGAATACATACTATGGATATAAATGTAGGCAAAATGAAAGATTATGACTAATATTCAGATTCCATTTTCAATAAGGTAAATAATGAAAGATCTCACAAAGGAATCATTGTGTTTAATTATTTTGCCATGTATTACTAATTGTATTTAAAATTTCTACTTCCCTTAGGCATTTTATAAAAATTTAAAAATTATTTTTCTATTTTGTTTAAAAGACAATGCATGGCTTTTCAAGTGAGTAATGAAGATAAAAACCAAGCTAGGTTAGTCTACCATTAGTTCATATGTTTTTGTAGCACATCTTTTCATAACATACTGAAATTTTAATGTTTTTTGCCTTTAATAATAGGGGTGAGTGTTAAAGGCCAGAGAGCCTAACTTGATATCTTGCTCATGGTCTTTCTGTCTACCTCAACTCCTGTTGTCATCTTTGGATGATCTTTCTGATACCTTGCTGATACCTTGGACTTCTGCCCAGTGACTTTATTACATTCCAGCAGCTTACTCCCGTGGCCGCACTTTGAATGTCACCACCTTGAGTTTCTCTTTCTGGTAAAATTTCAGTAACTGATAACTGCCCTCTTTTCAGTTTTTTCACTTCCTTATTTTATTGACTTTTCTCTCCTTTATGCTCATTCCACATTCTTCAGTTCCTTCTTACCCCCTTTTCTTGACTGCTCCCCTTCCTCCTAAACTGTCAGCCCCTTTCAGGCTTTCTTCCCTATCCACCCTCAGCTTTATGGGATACTATATGAACTAATCTCACCAGTTATTCTTCTTTCCCTGGTCTTTTAGTCTAGTCCTTTGGCAAGCCCTCAACCTCAGATTAATCCTATTTATTATCTACCTTTTCGGGGATGCTGAGTTCTTTGTGATGGGTAGTCCTTCAAAGTAGAATCACTACAAGTGTCTCACTTCAGCCTTAGAAAAGCCCTCAATGTAAACCTTATGTTTGTTACTAGGGTGGCCTCTCTCCCATTTCCCGCTGTGGCTGAGCCAAACTTCATTACTTTCCTTAGGCCCTCTGCCCCTCCCCTAGCATATGGCTCTTTCTCCTATTGAACAGAAAATTGAGACTATGAAGAGGTCAACTTGTATTTACCAACTTTACTCATTTTCCCATTTTAGAGGAAAAGAGGTTGCCTGCTTCCTATCAAAGGCGACTCTGTGCTACATGTTGGTTTCATCTTCGCTGTCTCTCTCATTTCCCCACAAAGTGTTGTCTCACTTTCTGCCTACCTTTTAGGTATTGATCTTCACTATATTTTTTTCTCTCTCTCTCTTTTTTTTTTTTACTTTACATATTTTATACAATGTCATTCATAACTATGGCTTCTTTTACCACCTGTAATAACAGACTGAGTCTCAAACCTGTAACTTGTATCCTGACTTATCTCTTGCTTTCTAAACCTTGTTTCTAACTGTCTATCAAATATCTTCATTAGACATCCCACAGTAATTTTAAGCTCAGTGTTTCCAAACGTCAAGTCCTCATCTGTTATATAAAATCCTTTCTGCTTTGTAAGTTTTCTCTTTTTGGGATTTTCCGCAGATCAGGGCAACACAGAATGACTACCTTCCCAGCCATGTCTCTGCAGTCATCCTGTGTAATCATGTTCTAGTCCAGTGTTGCTCAAACAGTTAAAATCCAGGCTGCTTTTGGTAAACATACAAATTCTGATATAGAGCCTCTGTGGCAAAGGGAATTTCTCAGTTCCTGCCCCAGCCCCCTTGTTTATCATTACACAGCTAAGATTTTTATTTAACTTAGCATTTTAGCAAGTTTTCTTATGAAAATACCTTTGTGCTTTCTAAGTATAAAGATTTAAATTATTTTTAATACGGTTTTTAGAACCACAGACTATCCCTCTTTTTAGAGCATCCTGATCAATTGCAAGTACTTCCACTTCTTCCCTAAATGCGCTTTGTGTGTTTTCCACCTCAGTAGCCTTGCACACATCATTACTTCTGCATCCTTCTTTGTGACCAAGTGAATACCTACCTACCTCTTAGGACTCAGCTTCAGTGATTCTGTTTTCATAGGCTTTTTAAAGCCCTTTTCAGTCAAATTAGATGCTCCTTTGTTCTGGTCCTTTACTCTTCCCCTCCCATGTTGTCGCACTGATCACACTGCTTTGTAATTATTTTCTTTATTGTTGGTAAACTCCATATTTTAAAAATTTACCTGTATACATAGTGCTTAATGCATGGTAGGCCCTTAGTAATGTTTTTGAATTAATGAGGCATGATTCTAAATGCCAAACTTTGCACAAAAAGTTGTTGCTATTGGATTCCAAACTGCTATGCCCTCTATACCAGTGGCTGACAAGGCATATAGGGATATATGCCATCCTGAGAGGAGTAAAGTGTTTAGATTCTGAACCTGAGAAAAGAGAACTTTCTCTTAAGAAGTTGGAAACTTCATTTTACCTTCGTGACCCTGGTAGACCACTTGGTCTCACTGGTTGGTACAATTATGAGGGTAGTACTGGGTGCTTTTTATACAACTTTCCATCCCCCACACAGTTGGAGAATAATTTGTAGACCATGGCAGTTAAAATGCTTTTTACTCTGGTGTATTATAGAATAATGAACACATTTTTATATATGTTAAAGCCTGCTAAATCATTCACTTAGAATGAAGTAACCTCAAGGTACCAAATACCCCACATAAGGAAAGTACTACACTAAATTCACTCAACTATTGTATGCCTACCATATGCCAGATTTTATCCTAGACCCTGAGGATATAGCTTTTTAAAACCCCCTCCTGTTTCAGAGCTTATATTCTAGTGGAGGAAGTTAGACAAGCATTTTAAGTAATAAATGTATAGAGAGTGTCAAGTGATGAGTACCATGAAGAAGAATAAATGAGGGTAAGGGGCTAGTGTGATAGGGAGAGGGGTGGGATGCCATCATATTTAGGGGTGGTTGGGAACTGTCTACTGCTTTAGCATTTGTGTCTTCAAATTTCTCTCCTTTGGTTATATACCTTGCGTATTCCGCACATT
Source organism: Homo sapiens (assembly GCF_000001405.40). Taxonomy (NCBI): domain Eukaryota; kingdom Metazoa; phylum Chordata; class Mammalia; order Primates; family Hominidae; genus Homo; species Homo sapiens. The sequence continues at coordinate 41,920,735 of NC_000005.10, forward strand.
GATAAAGTTTCTTTCTTACAGAAGTTCTGATATTGAATTAAGGAATGGGTCACTACTTAAGACTTTATCATTTCAGCTACACATAAAAGGTTTCTCTCCCCTATGGATTTTGCTAATGGTTGAGTGATACCTAAAGGCCTTGTTGCATTTTTTACACTTGGGGTTTCTCTTCGGTTTGAATTCTCTCATGGTTACCAAAACTCTGTTAAAGGACTTTTCACAGTCGTTAAATGTGTATGGCTCTTTCCCAATATGAATTTTTTTGATGTTAACTAGGCTTTTAGACTTAGTTAAAGACCTGTGTGCTCTGCTGCATTTATAGGGTTTTGGGCTGCTGAGAATAATTGATGCTGATTAAGGTGCAAATCATGACTAAAGACTTTTCTTTCTTCTTTTGCATATAGTAGAGTGAGGTGAGGGTCGTGGCTAAAACCCCACAATAACTTTACATTCCTAGCTTTACAGTCTTGCTGTGAATTCTCTGGTGTTCATTAAAGTGTGAGCTGTGTTAAAAGGCATTCTTAGATTCATTTTAACCACATTTTTAAAAACTCACAGTTGGTTAACATGATGGTTTCAGATTGCTTGCCTCTTTTCTCTTTCTACCTTACAGGGCTCCTTTTCTAGCTTAAATAAGGGTACTCCATCTGCCACAGAATCCAGGATTCTATAGTTTTTTAGTTTCACTTCCCTATGTTCTTTTTTTTTTTTTAATTTTTAACAATGAGATGATACCATGTTACAGCGGTATTACATTAAGATACATTTAATATAGCCACAATTAAAGTATGTATTATGTATTTATGCTGGTGTTCTTTCATGTTATTTCTTCTAGTGAAAATTTCCAAGTAAACTGTTATTGAGCATATACATTTTTAAAAAAATAAAACCATACACCCCTACTTGTTGCTTGTTTTATATTTGGCTGTTGCATCAGAATTAAAACTTTTATCATCTCAGTTTACTATTTTAACTTCTGAATGTTATTTCTTCTGGTCCTAATAACTTTTAAAGATGGGGTAATATAGTGGTTAGGATTCTGAGCTCTGGAGCCAGAAGGCCTGAGTTTAATCATAGCCCTGCCATTTATAATACTAACTGTGTGACTCTCTTTAAGTTATTTAATCTTCCTGTGCTGCCTTATCTTATTTTTAAGGCAGTAATAGTACCTACCTCAAGGATATTGAAGATAAATAAGTTAATATTCAGAGTGCTTTAGTTCAGTGTGTAGTATATAAGAGCACAAGAGAATTAGCTATTTCTAGACTGTTTCCCTTAATGTCTAGTTCTGTATATAGGCATACCTCATTTAGCATGCTGACTCATTAGCCAGACAATTGAATGACAAACTTGTTGGCCAGGAAAGCACTGCCTTTTCCTTAGTTCAAGTCATGCCGGTCTTTCTAGGTGGGAAGCAGACTTCAGAGAAGAAATCAGGACTTGGATAGGCATCTCAAATGTTTTTTGTGGATATGACTGGAAGAAAACATCCAATTAATTTTCAAAACATTTTCAGCCCTCCCTCAAAATATATATAAAACCCACTGTATTGAGATGTACTAGTCATCTAAATATGTTATACATATCCTATTTAAAACTGGATTTTTTAATCAGCCTGATTGCCTTGGCTTCTGATACCTTTTGGTCTAATTCTTAACTCACAAGTCAGAAGCATTCAATGAAATACTGGTTATTTAAATTTAAATACTATACTTAAAAATAGGTTATTCTAAATCCTTGTATAGCCACATGATTGAGTAGTATGTACCTGTAAAAATCCATGAGGTATATTTCTGTTTAACGCTACAGAGTGGTCTTATTAAGTAAAAACAAAATGGAGAAGGTATATATATATATGTGTGTGTGTGTGTGTGTGTATGTATCATATTTAAGAAAGGGAATATAAAAGTGCGTGTGTGTGTGTAGTTAAAAAAAAGAAACAATGGACCCATAACCAAAACTTTAAAAAATGGTTACTTATGGTGGAGGCAGGAGGAGAGGAACCAGATGGAAAGGACCAGGATGGAAGCTAGATTTCTCAGAATATATCTTGAATTTTCAACATTTGACTTTGGTACATATGTTATTCTAAAACGAGATTTAAGCAAAGTTAAGAAAAGCCCTACAAGTCCAAAGCAAAATGAAACAGACGACCTGCATTGCATATCAAGTTGATGGCTTGAATACACAGGTATGTTTCAGTTATCTTTAAAGCATAGTAATTTGTATGTCCATTCTTAATGGGATATATCCAAGGGCAAAAAGAAATGTGAAGAAATCTTAAACTCTTCAGTAATTAAATTGTTAATCATAACTATGTTAATATAATTAGAAATGAGGATTTTTAGTGTATGAGAAAAGATACATACAAAATCAAAGAGTAAAAACAATCTGTAATCCTAAATTTGAATGGGAAATAACACGAAGTTATGTTTTCTCTATATAAAAGACACTAGAAAGGCCTGGAAACCATGTTCAAATACCATTCCCGTCAAAATGAGCCAGAGTTTTCTGGAAATATAGCTAATTCTGGCTTGAGCAGGACAATCAAATGACTGACGGAAAATTTTTCTTTAATTCAGCTAATAAAAGGAATTATAGAACTAGAATACTAACATTTTATAACTTGTAAGCAAATAATATTCATTGATAAATGCTCTATCTTTGAGGTGAAAAACTTACAGGAAATTTGAATGGATCAGCCCAGTGAAACCACTGATCACTCCGAACATTAGAAAATGAGAATGACTTGTAGCTTTCAGTCTCAGTATATAATACCATTTACGAATGTGTTAAAGACACTATTGAGATGCCATTAATAGTGTGCAGGCCGTGTTCAGTGGGTCACACTTGTAATCCTAGCACTTTGGAAGGCCACAGCAGGAGGATCACTTGAGCCTGGGAGGTCGAGACCAGCCTGGAAAACATGGTGAAACTCCATCTCTACTAACAAAAAAAAAAAAAAAAGAAGAAGAAGAATATAGAAAAAAGAAAGTCCAGAGTGGTCCAGAAAGACCAACCTGCTTTCTTTAACAAATATCAAGGGAAAATAAAGGAGGGGGAGCTATACAATGAAACTTAAGCTTTAAGAGTATCCGTAATGTGTGACCCTTGTTGGGCTATGATTCAAACAAATCAAATGTGAAAAATTATTTTCAAAGCAGATGGGGAAGTTAAACACTGACTCGGTATTTGGTGATTTTAATGAATTAAAATTGCTTAGGTACAGTGGTCTGTTTCTTAAAATCTGTTTTTTTTAGGGACGGATACTGAGATATTTACAGATGATAGGTCTGGGATTTGTTTCAAAAGGATCCAGAATTGGGGGTGTAGTATTAGGTGAGTATAGCAACAGCACAAGATTAACCAGGTGTTGGTAATGGAATCTTGGATACTGGGCACACAGGAGCATATTATTCACTCTCCTTTTATAAATGTTCAAAATTTTCCGTAATAAAGTTTTTCTCATTCATTTAACAGATATCATTTTAATACTTTATACTTGAACTGATTTTTTTTCTTGCTCTAGTTCGTTTTTTGCTCTCAAAGTAAATCGTGTCCTAGAAAGTGATGAGAAATGCCATATGGTTAATCCGTGGTCCTTGTCCAGATTGCCTCCCAAAAACGAGGCTGCAATTTTATTGGTTATTGGCCCCTACCAACAACATGCAAATAATAAAATGTAATGAAACTTAAACTTGTATGTTACAGAGCCTTGCAGAACCTTAGTTATCAGGCTTTCTTGGATTCTGTTGACATTTAGATCCTCAGAGATTTACTTTTTGAATGTATACATACCCAGTTCTATGTAACAGATTAACTTGTAATACGTTCTCTTAAAGCACTTTTAAAGTAAGCCCAAAGTAAGTAGAATGGGCATCTGGTTTGAGAATTAAAAAACTCACTAGTGGGATTTCAACACCACCACATCTGGGTTCTTCTAGCCGTTTTTTGCCGCCCTTGCAAATTTTAAATGTGCTTATATTTTTGCATAGTGGGTCCAGACTTCTCATTTTGGCAAAAGGTTCTTTGTAATTGGCCCGCTGACTGCCTCTCTAGTCTGTTTTTGCTGATACTCAAGAAAATAAATGGTAACTTGGTGATTGAGGAAATAACACACACAAAAAACACCCCATACGTAGTATGGTAGTGCTGAAAAGGAAGCAAGTGGTTATTAAGCCCAAGACAGTGGCAGAGGTCTATCGAACAAGCGGAGTCGCCTAGGACCAGGCATAGTGGAAATGATCCCGGAGAGAACATCTTGAATGAAGCCAGGAAGTCAGCGGGCCAGAGGTTGTACAGGGGCTCTGCGGTTGGCGTGGCTGAGGTTGAGGCCACAAGTTACTGGGGAAGTTAATTGTTGACAGGAGCTTCGTACTCGGCTCACAGCCACGCACAGTGGGCTTCCTCCCAGTACCCGCCCTTGCCCCTGGGCCTAACCCTGCCCTGGAGGCGGACTCGCGGGAGAAGCGGGAGGCGGAACGCCCGAGGGCGCCCTCGGCTGGCGCGGAGCTGCGCAGGAGGCTGACGCGCTAGCGTGGCTCTAAGACGCGTCACCCACGCTGCGGGCAAGCCATGGCGGGAAGCGAGCCGCGCAGCGGAACAAACTCGCCGCCGCCGCCCTTCAGCGACTGGGGCCGCCTGGAGGCGGCCATCCTCAGCGGCTGGAAGACCTTCTGGCAGTCAGTGAGCAAGGAGAGGGTGGCGCGTACGACCTCACGGGAGGAGGTGGATGAGGCGGCCAGCACCCTGACGCGGCTGCCGGTGAGCGTCGGCCGCAGGCCGCGGAGGACAGTGGGGCCGGCCCGGGCCGGAGGGACCTCCCCTGGAGCCCCCCGGGGCCTGGGGAACTCTCGCGCCCCGGCCTGGGTCTGGCTCCGTCCATGCAGCCATTCCTGGCAGTGTAGTCACCGAGAAGCTACAGTTGATCAGAAGCGTCTTGGCGTGGACCCTGGTGCTCCGCAGGGGGCCCGAACATCTCAGGGAAGCACCTTCATGGGGCCCCTGGGGACCCTCCCGATCGCCCTCAGGTTTTCCACCCGCCAAAACAGGCACATGTGACTAGGACACCCTGAATGTCCGGTTACGGAAATGAGACAGTTCCCAACTTGCTGATTAGCTTGGGAAAGCATTCCAGCGTCCCTGTTCCCAGCGTCTTTGATTCCGGATCACTGTACCAAAACACTTGGAGGGCCAAGGTTTTTACCCTCTCAAGAGGACATTGTGCCTGTGGCTGTTATTGTGTATTTGAAGAAACAAAACGGCCCCTCAGTTGAAAATAAATGACTTAAGTTACAAGTGCCTCAAGTTACATCAAGGCCACGAGAATGACACACATAACTTATTGTTAAACTTTGGGGTAGATAGGTAAATGAAGAGAACAAAAATTATTGAAAATTATTACAATTCTTTGTCTCATTTGGACTATTGACACCTCTCTCCAATGTGTATATCAACGTGAAAGCTGCAGGTTTAGAATGCCTCCAAGTTTCTCCTTGCAGAGGTTTTTCATAACATTTTAATAGATTCTGTAGAGGAACTAAGATGACAAATTTACGGCCGGGCGCGGTGGCTCACGCCTGTAATCCCAGCACTTTGGGAGACCCAGGTGGGCGGATCACGAGGTCAGGAGATCAAGACCATCCTGGCTAACACGGTGAAACCCCGTCTCTACTAAAAATATAAAAAATTAGCCGGGCTTGGTGGCAGGCGCCTGTAGTCCCAGCTACTTGGGAGGCTGAGGCAGGAGCATGGCGTGAACCTGGGAGACGGAGCTTGCAGTGAGCCGAGATCTTGCCACTGCACTCCAGCCTGGGCGACAGAGCGAGACTGTGTCTCAAAAAAGAAAAAGACAAATGTACACTCTTTGATTTGGTCTGATGATAAAATCAGATAAAGGTTGATATGGGTTTTATTTTGAAGGACAAATTATTTCCTTAACTAATTTATGTAACTAACTGGTATATCCAAATATCTCTGAGGAAAAATTAAAGGAACTGGTGATTTTGCTGGAAAAATAGCAAGACAGTGGTTGCTTTTTCAGGAATGTTTCAGGTGTTTCAGAAATTAAATGTTTAACAACTACGAAACTAAAATGTTCAGTTATGATCCTTTGCTGATAGCAGGAAAATAATAGATTTAATTATTAATGGTAGATTTAGTTATTAAAAATACTAGTCAGTTGACCTTTTGTTATTTATTTGTTGATTATGTGGTTTATCACCCAAAAACTATTTTCTTCATTCCTTTTTCCTACCTGCTGCTTTCTTCTGTTTCAGATTGATGTACAGCTATATATTTTGTCCTTTCTTTCACCTCATGATCTGTGTCAGTTGGGAAGTACAAATCATTATTGGAATGAAACTGTAAGAGATCCAATTCTGTGGAGATACTTTTTGTTGAGGGATCTTCCTTCTTGGTCTTCTGTTGACTGGAAGTCTCTTCCAGATCTAGAAATCTTAAAAAAGCCTATATCTGAGGTCACTGATGGTGCATTTTTTGACTACATGGCAGTGTAAGTATCTAGTTTTATGAATTAAAAAGAAGCTATTAAATTTTCCTGTATTACTAGTCAATATCCAAGTTAATCCTGACCCTGCTACTGATTTGTTGCGTGGATTTGGGGTCTAATTGTTCTCGTCAAAACTGGGAGTTAAATGACTTCCTTCATAGGACCCTTTCAGCTTTAATATTTTATTATTTCCCTGTGGTGCCTAACCAGTATTTGAATAATTATAAGTAGTATAGATGGCAAGAAGTAAAAGACTTCTTAAAAGTCTCATGATCTTTAGAACAATTGTCATTTTGTTAAATAAGTAAATACTTTTCCGTATTCAGAAAAAGGATGATCAGAGACCCCTGTTGTTTGGCAGGGAAGAAGAAAACCATTCTAAAGGCTCTGAGAAATAAGATTATATTAGCACCGAAAAGCACTGACATTTTTTAATATTGCGTAGGTGAGATAATTAATGTTACTGAGCAACTGCAGTGTACTGGATTCTACGAGGGATGCTTTATGTATGTTTTACTCATTTAATCCTCATGCAACAAGAAGGTGTTATCTTTGTATCCCAGATGTGGAATTAAGGTTCATGGAGGTTATGTGATTTGCCTAAAGTCATATAGCTTGTAAGGGACTATTCAGACTGGAACCCCATTATGCTACCTCAAAGATATATAATGACATTATATATCTGGATATAGCTTGTTTTTCTGAGAAACTCAAATTTAACGCATTATTTTAAAAATTTCAAAATATTTATTCTTTAAAAATTGTTGTGCTTGACTCAGTAGCAAAATACAGAATTTTTTTTTCAAATTTTGAGTTATTCAGAGCCTTTCCTTATTCTAATACAGATGCCATTATGTCAAGTGTTGTGAGACTATTTGATTCAAAGGTGTGTTGTCTGTTATAGATAATCTCAGCAAGTGCTGCTGTATCTCACTTGCTAGGCAATACCTGTACAATAGCTAACCATTGCATCAAGTGTATATGAGGCTGTGGAATTAGATTTTGCCCAGGGAATAGTAATAATAGTAACTACCATTTATGGTCATATAAAGTACTTATCATTTTTACAACCCTGAGTTATTTCTTTCTTTTCTTTTTTTTTTTTTTGAGACGGAGTCTTGCTCTGTCGCCCAGGCTGGAGTGCAGTGGAGCGATCTCGGCTCACTGCAAGCTCCGCCTCCTGGGTTCACGCCATTCTCCTGCCTTATCCTCCCGAGTAGCTGGGACTAGAGGCACCCGCCACCACGCCTGGCTAATTTTTTGTATTTTTAGTAGAGACGGGGTTTCACCGTGTTACCCAGGATGGTCTTGATCTCCTGACCTCGTGATCCACCCACCTTGGCCTCCCAAAGTGCTGGGATTACAGGCGTGAGCCACTGCGCCCGGCCAACCCTGAGTTATTTCTGTTGCTCAAATAATACAGATGAAGAAACTGAAATTCAGACTGTAAGTGGCTCATATAACTAAAAGTAGTGAGGCTTGGTCAGGTCTATCCAGCTTCAAAGTTGTTTTGTGTTTGTTTTTTCCCCTTCATGAGTTACAAGGTTTCTAATAAAAGGATTTTGTTAGGTTAGTGATTTTGTTAACCAGCTTGACTTATTTGAAGGACTTTAGGTTTTATTTTGATTTGGGCAACTTTTAATTTTTGATAAAATGCATAATTGGTACTTTAGAGATTTATAGCTATTGCAAGAAACGGAATTGTTTTACATCATTCTTAGTTTGCTAGGTTTGCTGCAAGGATCATTTGAGCCTCCCTCATTTAACTCTTACTAAACTGTTATATTTGAGGCTATTAATAGAAGTACCCAAGACATTTGAAATTTGGTTATATTGGTAGTGTTAGCAATTTTTTTGGTTTGTTTGTTTTTTACCTGTAGGGATATTGTGCTAACTATCTGTGTGTAGCTTATCTTTAGTGCTGAGTTTCTCAATCTTGGCACTATTGACATTTTGAGCCAAATAATTCTTTGTTCTGGGGCCTGCCCTATGCATTGTAGGATTAATGTTTAGCAGCATCCTTGGCCTCTGCTAACTTCTTCTCCCCTCCCCAGTTGTGACAATAAACTTGTTGTTCAGACATTGCCAAATGTTCCAGGGGGGCAGGGATAAACCTCCTAGGGTTGAGAACCTTTATGTAGTAAAATTTCACCATTCAAATGTTCCATGAGAGAATCTAAATTAAAGATTAGAAAGTAAGTAACCACTTCATGGGGGAAGAGTTCCTTAGCTTCTGGGCCACTCCCACCCCCATGGCACCTTGTGCTTTTCCCTGTCAGAGCACTCCACATACATATTATAAAGGTGTCTGTCTATTGTTCTCCTGGAGGATTGGGACTATATAATCATTGTATCCATTGTGTCTAGCAAGTACTCAATAAATTATATATTTTTGAATGAATAACTGGCTGTTTTCTGTGTTAATGTTCTAATTGTGACAATTTTTTACAGCTATAGAATGTGCTGTCCATACACAAGAAGAGCTTCAAAATCCAGCCGTCCTATGTATGGAGCTGTCACTTCTTTTTTACACTCCCTGATCATTCAGAATGAACCACGATTTGCTATGTTTGGACCAGGTTTGGAAGAATTGAATACCTCTTTGGTGTTGAGCTTGATGTCTTCAGAGGAACTTTGCCCAACAGCTGGTTTGCCTCAGAGGCAGATTGATGGTAATTTTCATGTTAATCTACAGTTAATTCAAACACTTTGAGCTTGACATTCTTGTTAAAAAGAAAGAAATTCATTTTAAATTAATTATTTGCTATAATGAAGTACAGTACTTTGGTTGTTGGGAGCCCTACCAGGTTCCACTGAACTGACAGAATTAATTTACTTACTATAAGAAAGCTTCCTCTTAATTCCTCAAATTTGTACAATCCAGCCTTTAAGATTATGTGAAAATAAATTATTTGTTGTCAAGATGTTGCATTTGTACAGTGGGATATCATATTTATCATGTTTGAAAAAGCAGAAAAAATTGAGCATCTGTGTGGAGAGTATTTTGATATGTATTGGAATTCAAAAGATTTAAATCATCACCTTCCCCTCTTTCTATTAAAAAAAATGCATAAATATTTGGCAAGGCAGGATAAATAGTAAATGTAAGTAATAATAAAATTTAGCCTTTGCTTTACTTATTTATTGAGAGCCAGCCCCTATAAGTGAGATGATAGGGATGCAGATTTAGAACAATGTCTCTGTTTGCCTTCAAGATAGGTGTAGGTGAGGACATAGACAAGTGTACAGATAACTAGAATATGATGTATTTAGTTCCTGGGTAGAAAGGTAACGGTCAAAGAAGGCTCCATATTGATGATGTCTCATATGAGTCACTAGGGTGAATAGTTGTAGGCCATCACAAAAAGACAGTAAAGGTGTTCCAGGCAGCGAGAACTACATTTTTTTCTTTCTTTCTTTCTTTCTTTTTTTTTTTTTTTGAGATGGAGTCTCACTCAGTTGCCCAGGCTGGAGTGCAGTGGCGCGATCTCGGCTCACTGCCAGCTCCGCCTCCCGGGTTCACACCATTCTCCCGAGTAGCTGGGACTACAGGCGCCCACCACTACGCCTGGCTAATTTTTTTGGTATTTTTAGTAGAGACGGGGTTTCACTGTGTTAGCCAGGATGGTCTCGATCTCATGACCTCGTGATCCGCCCACCTGGGTCTCCCAAAGTGCTGGGATTACAGGCGTGAGCCACCGCGCCCGGCGGAGAACTACATTTCTAAAAGCACAAAGCTCTGGATGTAGAGGACACATTTGAAGTATCACTGTGTATCTAGAAAGAGTGGAGCTATGTGAAAAGACACATATGTACCATGCTTAAGCATTTGGGAGCTGCTGGAGGATTTTAAGTAGAGGATTGAGATGATCAAGGTTGCATGTTAGAAAGATTACTCAGGCTCTTGAGTGAAGAATTGATTAGAAGGGGCTAAAGATATGGAGACCCATTAAGAAGCCACTGTAATGTTATGATTAAAATATGAAGAGGATCTGAACTCTAAGTCACTGTTAGTGAAGATGAGAGAAGAGAATGAATAGTAAGGATATAAAATTGACAGAATAAATGTATTAGCAGTAATAAGGATGGCTCCAGGTTTCTGACTTGAGTTTTTTGTTGGATGATAGAGGATTCACTAGGGTAATAAATCACTGGAGAAGTTAAGAAAAATTTGGAAGGGGCAGGTAACAGTAAGATCTGTATAGGGAGAATGGCAGCTATTCTTTGGAATATGTTGACTTTGATAACTCCATGGAAGATCCAAGTAGAGATACCTACTATAAGCAAATCTGCTAGAATGGAAGCTCCATGAAGGTAAGAGTCTTGTCCACTTTATTTTTAGCTATATCTGTGGTGCCAGGCACATAACAGGCACTCTCTGTATATTTGGTGAATGAGTGAATGACTTGATGGATTACTGTATGCATCCAGCTCTCAAGAGCAAGATCTGGGCTAGAAAATCGAGATTTGGGAGTCATACGGAGTCCACATGGACTTGGAAGTTTTTGAGGATGGAGAGGAAGATTGGAGACAGGTGCTGAAATGTTCAGTTTATGTTTGGGGGAAGTGACTATTAAATGGAGATTCATAAGTAATAACGACAAAGAAGGAAAGAGTGCTACAGCTGAATGATGTGTTTCTCAAGTAGAAGGATTTTTTTCAGAGGGTTGGTGAGTAATTGTTTAGATATGGCATTGGGAGTTAAGAGAACATGAATCCCACCTCTTTACCTTGAGTTTTGAGAAAATAAGCATCTTTGCTACTTGAGAGTTCACTGCAGGAGAAGCCTCACCTAGGGGTAGGCCAATTTCAAGTGTGGCTATTAGGTCAAAGGAACACCTCAAGAAGAGGTTGAGGAAATGGGGAAGTTTGATGGTTATAAAATGTCAATTCCATTTTCCAGAGAGCAGCTGAAGTGATTGTTTTAAAATTTCAATTTATGGCTCACACTCAGCAAGACGAGAGAATATGGGGTTACATAATTGGCAAAGAAGGGCAGAACAGTATGGCGACTATATTGGGCTGAAGTTAGACGTGTTGAGAGGGTAATCTCTGGGAGTGCAGCTGATGAAAACAAAGATCAGAAACATGGTAAAGTTTGATTCTGTGGTCTCTGTGAAACATGCACCAGACCTGGTGGCTGGAGGACTAGGATCACATGGCCTGGCATGGTTGCAGTCTTAGTACTTAAGAGCCCTGTGTGTGTGTTGCCTAGAATGATGACATGAGATGGTATGGCATAGCTTATTTAAACAAATAAATTAGTTATAATGCAGGAATTAAGAGTATGAAAGGCTGGAGTTGTCTCTAATGAGGTTAGTAGGGACCAGATATTATGGTTTTATTTCTTCATCTGAAGGGCAATGGCTTTGTAGAGAAGACAATTAGATACCATTATTAAAAAATTCTTCCAACTGATGTCAGAGGAAAGGATAATAGGAGGCAAGAAGATATAGGAGACTGGTTAGAAGTGATTGCAGAGGCCCGGGTGAGTGATGATGACAATGTGAACTAAAGTGTGGTCATGGGGATACAGAGAACTGAACAGATCTAGAAGAACATTTATATAACAGGATGAAGTAGAGCCATGGAAGCCCAGAAGGGTCTTTTGAGGAGGCAAAAGGAGAACCAGCCACTTAGTGTTAACACAGTCCAAGGAGGGAAGAGGTTAAGAAAGAAGGACAAATAACAGTGGCTAATGATTCAGATACAAAGCAGTAAGAAGCTAATATTTAGCACTTGTGGTTTACTAGTCACCCTACTAGGAGTTTTACATGTATGATCTCGTTTAATCTTCCCAGTAAACCTAAGAAGAATATATTAGTTCAACTTCTTTTTGGTGTCAAACTGAGGGATACAAATACATGGCTATAAGTGAGAAATTCAGAATTATAATCCAACTCTGACGAATTCTAAATTTCAGTATCTTCAGTATTTTCTCAATTTACTAATGTTCTCTTGGCAACTCCTCAGTAATTTATTATTATTTTTTGAGACAAGGTCTCTGTTACCCAGGCTGGAGTACAGTGGCATGATCATGGCTCACTGCAGCTTTGAACTCCCTGGCTCAAGTGATCCTCCTACCTCAGCCTCCCAAGTACCTGGGAAACAGGCATGGGCCACCATGCCTGGATAATTGTTTTGTATTTTTTGTAGAGATGAGGTTCTCACTATGTTGTCTAGGTTGGTCTTGAACTCTTAGCCTCAAGTGATTCTTCCACCTCAGCCTCCCAAATTGTTGGGATTACAGATGTGAGCCACTGTGCCTGCCCCCCCCATCAATTTAAAAACAGCTTTTCAGAGGGGGAGAAAGACACTTAATTGAATGTATACATTGATTATTAGACTAATGAGAAACATAAAAATATGAAAATGAGTCTTAGTCTTGAGGATAAATAGTAGTAGCTGTGATTATGCAGCTGCTACTGATAAGATGATAAAGTTGTTGATGATAGTGATGATGATATAAGGACTGTTATAAGCCTTGCAGTTTTTTTCTTTCTCTGTATTTTTATTGTCATGTGAATGAAAGTTACATACGGTATCTTTTCTTCAACGTATACATTTTATTTCAACTCTATGTATAAGTTGTTATAGAATTTTTTCTTTACTCTTTTTGCTTTCACCGGGTAATTTTCAGTGTGATCTTTTGCTATTTTTATTAATGATTTGTTTTGGTAACTGTGATTTTCTTTCTTAGGTATTGGATCAGGAGTCAATTTTCAGTTGAACAACCAACATAAATTCAACATTCTAATCTTATATTCAACTACCAGGTAAGGCTACATACTTGGTGGCTTAACTGAAACATCAGAACTAAAACATTTCAGGTGAGTGGAGCCTGTTTAGTGTCTTTTTATATTCTGTCTTTACAATTTTTTTTCTAGAAAGGAAAGAGATAGAGCAAGGGAAGAGCATACAAGTGCAGTTAACAAGATGTTCAGTCGACACAATGAAGGTGATGATCAACAAGGAAGCCGGTACAGTGTGATTCCACAGATTCAAAAAGTGTGTGAAGTTGTAGATGGGTTCATCTATGTTGCAAATGCTGAAGCTCATAAAAGTAAGTACTCATATGTACATTTTTAAGCACATTGTTCTTTTCAAAGCAAATGGAAAATACCTTTTTAGACTTTACTGTGGCTTCTTAAGAATATGATGGCTTATTTTATCAATGTGATTTTCTGACCCTTACTATTAATAGTGTGTTCTCACACTTTTGTGTGTATTAGGATCACCTGGGAAGCTTGTTAAACATGTTAACAAGCTGATTCCTACCCTGGTGGATTTTATTCCTAGATTTGGGTTGTGTGAATCAGATTTGGGCATCTGTTTTTTCCAAGCACCCAGGGAATTCTGATGCATTCCAAAGTTTGGTACTAGAGCTATACAATATTTTTTTGCTTTATGCTTCTGCATTTTTTTGATACTGACATTTTGTCTGCTTCTGGCTTTATTCAAATAATCTATGCAAATAACTATGAAAAATTTTATCTTTGTTTTATCCAAATAGTAAAGAGATGTGATGGTAGGGTGTTAAGTAGATTAGTTGAGAACACTATTCATATATTCTGAATAATTGCCATTCAGAATGCTATTTTTGTGTGAAATCAAAATATCATTGGGCCATGAGCTAGTATTATAATATCTTTCCCAAATCCTTTGTGAACAAGGTAGAATATAAATACATAATATATTGTATATATATTATAGTTCTCTAATACACTGGTTTGAATTTCTATTCAATTTATTTTCCCTGTGATCTGTTAGGCATGAAAGCAGTTGCAATTACTTTCTGTTATTACAGGGCTATCTATAAAAAGAAAACTTAGAAGCAAAATAAAAGATAAGTTCATTTAACAAATAGTGTTTTAGTTCCTACAGGCATGTTGCAGTTACAATTGGGAACTAAAACAGATATAGCCCCTACTTTTATCTAGTTTTCCAATCTGCTCCTATAAAACAAGCACACAAAAAATAAATTAAAAAAATTTACAAGACACAAAGAGACTATACTCACTTATCAGCTTTTTCCCACTGGCCTCTACTAGGTGCTCATGTAAAAGGTTAGTGGTAAGGCAGGAGACCTATGAGTGCCCTCCTTGGTGGTACAGGCATGCATGTGATGACCAGCTGGTGCTTGAAGACAGGTATATCCTCCTGCTTTCTATATCCTTTTCTCAATGAAGCCAAAGTTGTTTTCCACAGACAAAAGTTGACTGCTGCTGTCTCAAGGGAGATAGAAACAAAAGCTGTCTTAGGGGAGGAGCAGGAATTCCACTTGTACCAAGGATCTTGCACTGATACAAATTAAATGTTTGCTGACTCTGGAGGAGAGGCAGGAAATTTGCAGTGGAGACCTTTCTACCAATACAGGGCAGAATTCAGCAGTCATGCTGGAACACTGAGAAAGCCTGCAGCACTGAGGCTCTGGTGCACAGGGCCTACCTAAGGCCTGAGGCTGGAATGAGAAAACTGAGAAATCTCCATGTCCCTACCAATTAAGGAGCAACAGCAGACTACTGCAGGGATGGGGGAAGGGTGTGGAGAGGCTCTCCTTGCCTCTTCCCCATAACCCCCATGGCACAGTTAACAAGATAGGCTGAAAGCTGAGAACAAGTAGAAACTCTGAGAAAGAAACTCTGGTACTCCAGTGCTGTTACTGAGAACAAGATAGGCAGCAGCATGCTGCTGGAAGAATTTAAAGTCTGTGTGTTACAAAGTTAACTATAGCAATAAAAGCCAAATCCAGCTCAACTACAGACTAGTTTGATTCAGCCTACTGCATTAATACCCTGACCGAAGTATGATGCCTGTTTTTAGGAGTAAATCCTTTTTACCTCAGTCTTTATTGCTCTTCTACATAAAACACCTAACATTAAATCTAAAAATTATGAGACACTCACAAAATCAAAATGAAATGATACATTGTCATGAGATAAGGCAGTCAGTTGAACTGGACCAGAGATGGTCAGCATGTTGGTATTCTCAGAAAGGGACATTAAAATAACTGATTAAGAGATCTAGGTCAGGTACAGTGGCTCTGGGAGGCCAAGGCGGGCAGATTGCTTGAGCCCAGGAGTTTGACACCAGCCTGGGCAACATGGCAAAATTTTGCCTCTACCAAGAATACCAAAAATTAGCCAGGCATGGTGGCACGTGCCTGTAGTCGCAACTACTTGGGAGGCTGAGGCAGGAGAATCGCTTGAGCCTGGGAGGCAGAGGTTACGTGAGCTGAAATCACACCACTGTACTCCAGCCTGGGTGACAGAGCGAGACCCTGTCCCCAACCCACAAAAAAATGAGAGATTGAGAGAGACCTAGTGGAAAAGGTGGACAATATGTGTGAACAGATAGATTTTTCAGCAGAGAAAAGGAAGCTGTTTTGAAAAAGTAAAACAAGCATGCTAGATATGAAAATATGACAACAGATGAATAGTTCCTTCAGTGGGCATATTAGCAAAGGAAAGAATCATTGAAAGTGAAGTTAAGTCATTCAGAATTATCCAAATTAAAACACAAAGAGAAAAAAAAGTAAGAGCAAGGAACAGAGTGAGAGTTGGGGGAATCTATCCAGTGATCTAACTCAGGGGTCAGGAAACTTTCTTAAAGGGACAAATAGTAAATATTGTAGGCTTATGAACCATACAGTTTTTTTGTTTTTTTTTTACAATCACTTAGCTCTGCTATTGCAGTGCAAAAGCAGCAGAGACAATACGTAAATGAATGGACAGACTGTTTTCCAATAAAAATTTATTTAGAAAAATTGACCCACAGAATGTAGTAGGCTGACCCCTGATCTAACTTATCTGTAATTGGAGTCCCAAAACATGAAGGGAGAGAGAAAAGGGGAAAAGGAATTTTTGAACAGATAATGGCCAGAATTATCTCAAAATTATGGAAAGACAACAAACCACAGATTGAAGATGCTCAGAGAATGCCAAGCATAAATACAAAGAAAAATACATCTAGGCACATCATAGTCAAACTGATAAAAATCAGAGATAAAGAGAACATCTTTAACGCAGCCAGAAAAAATGAAAACATACATACAGGCCAAGATAATAGTGACGGCAAATTTCCTGTCAGAATTGCTGCAGGATAGAAACCAATAAAGAGAAATCTTTATAGTACTGCAAGGGGGAAAAAACATCCTATATCTAGCAAAAATATTTTTTTGAAAATAAAGGCAATGTTAAGACTTTTTCAGACAAACAGAAGTTCAATGTCTTAGTTCATTTGTGCCACTGTAACAGAATACCCCAGACCTGTATATCAGTCCATTTCTGTTTTTAGATTATGGAGACATCTGAATGGTACTGTGATTTTTTTCCCTCTGGCTTCACCTAAATCCCTATTCTCCCAAGACTACTTAGTCTAATTTTATTACAGATCAATAAATGAATTTTTAAAGAACAGAAATTTATTTCTCACAGTTTTGGACACTAGGGAGTCCAAGATTAAGGCACCAGCATCTGGTGTCTGGTGAGTGCCTTTCTTGCTGATTTCTTACTTGGCAGAAGGCAGAAAGGGAAGCGGGAGACAAACATTGCATTCTCACATGACAGAAGAGGGAAAGACAGGGCTGCAAGCCGTTTTTAATGGCAATATTAATCTACTTATAAGAGTAAAGCCCTTATGACCTAAACAACTCCCAAAGACACCCCTTCCTGCAACACTCTTGCATTGGGGTTTAAATGTGCAACACATGAATTTTGAGAAACACATTTGAACATAGCACTGAGAAAATTGATTGTTAACAGATCTTCACTATAAGAAATCTTAAAGGAAGCTCTTTAGGCAGAAGACTATGATAACAGATGGAAATTTGCATCTACTGAAAAAGATGAAGACTCCTGGGATGGAAACAATGGAGCTATATATAAAAGGTTTTTTTCTAATTTTAATAAAAAAAACTAATAGTGTATTATACATGTATGACATTTTAAAGAAAAATATGTGATATAGAACACATCATGGAAGAGAGAACATTTAAGTATATTATACTGTAAGTTTCTTCTATATGTGAAATGGCATAATATTTAAAGGTAGACTTACAAATTAAAAATGTGTATTACATATACTTCAACAGCTACTAAAAAATGTATAATGAAGTTGTAACTAAGCCAGTAGTGGATATAAAATGGAACCATTAAAAAACTCAGTCCAAAAGAAGGTAGGCAAAGAGAGAAGAAGGAACAAAGAATAGACGGACAAGTCAAAATCTAAGACGTATAGGATACATTTAAATGCACCTTGTTGATAAGTACATTAAATGTTTATTAATTTTCAATTTCTATTAACAAATTACCTCAAATTTAATAGTTTAAAACAACTATTTTTTTAGCTCACAGTTCTCTATGTCAGAAGTCTGGAAATGGTAGTACTGAGTTCTCTGGATAGGGCCTCTTGGGCTGAAATTTGTGTATCATATGGTTGCATCCTTTTCTGGAGGCTCTGGGAAAGAATTTGCTTCCGAGATCATTCAAGTTATTAGCTGAATTCAGTTCCTTATTGTTGTAGGACTGACCTTCCTGTTTTCTTGCTAGCTGTCAGCTGGGGGCTGTTATCAGCTTCTAGAGGTCACCTATATTCCTTCCCATGTGACTCCCTCCATCTTCCAATCCAGCAATGGAGAATCTCCCTGCATTGAATCTTTCAACAAGAAGAGCCGCTTTTAAGGTCTCACCTGATTAGTCAGGCTCAATGAAGATTACCTGTCTTTCTTAAAGTCAACCGTGTCTTAAAGCCTAATCATGGGAGTGATGCCCCATCTTATTTGTAGGTTCTTCAGACACTAAAGAGGGAAGGGATTATGCAAGGGTTTGGAACATTGAGGCTATCTTAAAATTCTGCCTACCACAAAATGCAGATGGTCCAAACACTCCAATAGAAGGTTGAGATTGTTGGTATTCATAAAAAAAGCTAAACTCTACTATATGCCTACATTTTGAAAGTAAGCCCTTTGAATGAAAGGGTAGTGACATCTACAGAATTTGTGAAAGGAACTACCTGTATCAAGCATTTTTGCTTTTAAACTGTGGAGACATCTGAAGAGTACTGTGATTTTTTTCCCTCAGTTTATGTTTGGATCCTGGTAAATTTTTGTTCCCTCGCTTTGTTAGTTTTTTATTTTATTATTTTCAAAACTATTAAAAGTAATGCAAATTAAGGGTTTTGACTTACATTCCTTAGGACATGAATGGCAAGATGAATTTTCTCATATTATGGCAATGACAGATCCAGCCTTTGGGTCTTCGGGAAGACCATTGTTGGTTTTATCTTGTATTTCTCAAGGGGATGTAAAAAGAATGCCCTGTTTTTATTTGGCTCATGAGCTGCATCTGAATCTTCTAAATCACCCATGGCTGGTAAGATCATTTATACTCTAGTGACAAAAATTTTATTTTGCACTCTATTTTCTATTTGATTTTATTTTTTAAATTCATCTTCTTTAATGAAATGGCATTCTAAAGTCAATTTTAATAGCTTAATCTATGGAAGCTATTTGATTGGTGATAATAAATGTTAGCTGATCAATTGTGTCTTACTTGCCTCTTCTCTCATACAGTGAGATAACAATTGGGGATTTTTTTTTTTTTTTTTTTTTTTTTTTTTTGTTGAGACAGGGTCTCACTTTGTTGCTCAGGCTGGAGTGCAGTGGCACGATCACAGCTTGCTGCAACCTCAACCTCTTGGGCTCAGGTGATCCCTCCACCTCAGCCTCCCAGGTACCTGGGACTACAGGTGTGTGCCAGCACACCCAGATAATTTTTTGTATTTTTTGTAGAGATGGGGTTTCTCCATGTTGCCCAGGCTGATCTCGAACTCCTAGGCTCAAACCATCTGCCTGCCTCGGCCTCCCAAAGTGCTGGGATTACAGGTGTGAGCCATCATGCTCAGCCAGGTTGTTTTTTTTTAGATGCCACTATTATGTTTTTTATAATATCAATGTATTATGCTTTATGGATCATCAAAGTTATATGTTCCATCTTATAGTTTATTGCTTTCTAAAATATATTTTATTTATTTTTTTGTGACAGGGTCTCGCTCTCACCCAGGCTGTAGTGCAGTGGTGCAATTTTGGCTCACTCCAACCTCTGCCTCCTGGGTTCAAGTGATTCTCATGCCTCAGCCTCCCAAGTAGCTGGGATTACAGGCATGTGCCACCACACCTGGCTAATTTTTGTATTTTTAGTAGAGACAGGGTTTCACCATGTTGGCCAGGCTGGTCCCGGATTCCTGGCTTCAAGTGATCCACCCGCCATGGCTTCCCAAAGTGCTGGGATTACAGGCATGAGCCACCGTGCCCAGCCCTAAAATACATTTTAATTATGGCATTCTTTCTTCAAACAAAACCTGACATGATAACCCCTGAGTAAAACAGATAAAGAAAAATTAAAGTTGGAAACCTTTTGCGGAAAAAGTAAGAGAATTTTCTTTGTTCCCCTTCCATCTCTTCCCTGGAGCTCCAAAGACTCTTTGGAATGAAGTTTGAAAACTACTAATAAAGTTTCCCCTTCTGAATGGTGGCAATTTTAGCTTTACCATTAGGAGGAGTGGCAGTCTTCAAGACACATTTTTGCAACAGGATGTCACACATATGACTAACTGGGTCACTAAAAAATGTTTTAGTTTTCAAAGTGGATCCTTTGGAGGAATTTTTTCCCCTCATACATGGAAGCAAGTCATGGAAATGGTAGTTCTTTCCATTTCCAAAGCTGAATTCCAAGGCAAATAAACTTTATATTGGTAATAGTTACAAGAGAGATGATCATATTTTTATCTAAGTGCTCTACAAAACAAAACTTGAGCAACTTATCCAAAGTTTATTGGGATTTTTAAAAGTTCTGTTATCTTTTTAGTGTCTAGAAAAATGTCCCTCCTACTCATAAGATTTTGGACTTAGTTTCTTACTAACAACATTCTCTCTTATGTATTCCGAGGTCCAGGATACAGAGGCTGAAACTCTGACTGGTTTTTTGAATGGCATTGAGTGGATTCTTGAAGAAGTGGAATCTAAGCGTGCAAGATGATTCTCTTTTCAGATCTTGGGAACTGAAACCATTTGAAATTTATTACTAAGGTCGTGATGTGAATATTTGCTCAGTCAGCCCACCTTGTCCTGCCTTTTTGCAGATAGGCTTTCATTTGGACAGCTATAACTGCTGTGTTTTTTATATTATTTTTACTCTTTACCATAAATCAATTACAAGAAAAGAGTTTCAGTCCTAGTATTTAGCCCCAAAATGAACCTTTAAACATTTTTTTGGTAATTTTTATATTTTCTGTCTTTTTAAAAATATTAAATTCTGGAAAAAACAAGTTTGTGCCTCTCATTCCCTGAGTTTCTATTCTTTTGGGTATAAAGATTGCCTTAGTGAGAAATAGCAAATTTGCTAAACTTTCTATTCAGTCTTTTCAAGGGTTCATAAGTGGTTATCAGAAAAGAAATTTTTATCTATTCTTAATAAATACACTGCTTAAAGACTGAAAAATGTACTGGAATTGCATTTAATATTATGGCCATACAATCTGTCTTTTATTATGAAACAGTAGAAAGCAAGCTTATATCATATTTAATACTGCTTTAGTGAAAAATAACTTTTCCTGATAGTTCTTACTATTTTCAGATAACTTCGCAAGCTCATAAGATACTAAAGCCAAATTCTATTCCATACTCAGAGTGAAAACTTCCCAGAGACTTGTATGTATCATATTACTTCCTTCCACAAATGGCTTATACTCGGCAGAAGAAACACCCTAATATCTCACTGGAACTCAGCAATTTTAAGATTATAGTAAAAGCCATAAATATCTATATATAGTTTATATAAGTTCCATATTTAAATGTATTTCTGTTTTGGACAGAAAGTTTGTAACATATATTATACATATAATTGTATTTAGTCTCTTTTAGGTCAGTGCTATTACTGTTTTAACCTTTTTGTTGAGGGGGCAGAATTTTGCCTAATGGACTATTGGGTTTAGGAGACCTTCGAGAAAGACCTATGAACATATGGTTTCACATTTGTCAGAATGTTTACTTAGATATTTGTAGTTTTACTATGGTGAGGCATTATTAATATTTCTAATAATAATCCAAAGTTATGATAGAAGAGTGGTTTAATTTATTAAGTACCAATGGAAGCAGAACAATGCTTTTATATCAGCTATCTTTTTTTAAAATGGCATTTCAGTTCTATAATTAAGATATTATATCTGATGAATGGAGAAAATGAAATAGTGTAGTATCAAATTCTAGGTCACTCACCAGATTTAAACTAGTACCTTATGCTCTTTTTTTCTTATAGCACACTCCAGTATTTATAATCTAGATTTTTGTTAAAGCAAGATACATTTATTTTTCTAGTTTTTAGTTTAATTTTCCAGAGTCCCAATCAAATCTTTTTTTCCTCCTCTATACACTATGAAATTTATCTCTCTTATATTAACTCATTTTTGTATGGTCTTTTCCTAGTCCTAATTATCTTTGGATAGGACTTGCTGCATGTCTTGGGGTTCTCCCCACTCTATTTGCAGCATGAGATATAATTTATTATATTTGATCCTTGATGATTTTGACAAGTACATGAGCCATTTGCATTTTAGATGTTTTTCTCCATATAATTATGGGTAACAAAAGAGATTTTTAAAATTACTAATTATGAGGATACTGTAAAATTTACAAAATCTTCAAATGTTGGAGCTAAGACTAAATGCTAGCCTTTATGACAGCTGTGTCAGGCAATGTGTATAATACTTTGTATACATAAACTTTAAATCTCAGAAAAACCTTATAAAGCCACTAGTATTATCCTCATTTTTTAGGTAAAGAAATTGAGACCCAGAGAAAAGAATTCTATTATAATTCAAGTCCATATCATGGTATAGGTAGCAAAGAAGACATTAGACTTGGAGTCCGAAAATCCTCTTATCCAAGTTAAAAAGAGCTACAGGCTATTTTGATGTTTAATTAAAAAATCAATTTCCTGGACTCTAGTGTGGTTCACTAAATTCTCATCAGTGCTATATTAGCATTATCCAGGGATGAACAAACCAAAATTGTTATGCATGCAACCTCTGGAGTTGAGAATGACCTAACCCAAATTTCCACTCTGCCAATTTTTATTGACATGGCCACAAGTAAGTCCCTTAAATTCTGAATCTCAGTTTTCTCATGTACAAAATGAGAACAATAATACCTACCTTGGACATAAGTTTTGCTTTATCAAAAACTGATGTAAGCATCTGCATAAGTACTTCTCTGTGGGAAGGCCTCAACTTCAGTACTAACGTTCTAAGAGTTTTTATGGGTTTTTCAATGTCACTCTCTGAAATGATTATCCTGACATAAAACAACTATTTTATAGGTATGTTTAGATGGTCATATAAAAAGTGTCACTGTTTAATCATATAAACTCTATCGCCACTATTGAAAATTACTTGAAAATTGTGCCTCTATATAGTTTGTGAACTGCATGTGCATATTAATAACTGTTAATGGACTGAATTTTGTTTCCCCAAATTCATATATTGCAGTCCTAACTCCCAGTACACCTCACAATGTGACTGTATTTGGAGACAGGGCCTTCAAAGAGAGAATTAAGGTTAAATGAGGTCATATAGGTGGCCCTAATCCAATAGAAGAGGAAAAGACACAAGGGATGTTTATAGACAGACAAAAGACCACATGAGGACATAGTGAGAAGGTGGCCATCTGCAAGCCAAGGAGAAAAGCCTCAGGAGAAACCAAACCTGTTGACACTTTCATCTTAAACTTCTAGAGTCCAGAATTGTGAGAAAATAAATTTCTGTTGTTTAAGACACTCGGTCTATGGTGTTTCATCATGGCAGCCCTAGCACACTAAAATGGTAACCCAATGCTATTTTGCACTAAAATGGTAACCGAATGCTATTTTGTAACGATCTCAGGCTGTCATTTTGTAGAAATCAAATGGAAGTTCTTATTTAACATATTGAAGCATCCAGTTCTACAACTGCAATTAAAATAAGCGTTTACTAAAAGAATATTTGTTTTACTTATACCTAGAGAAAGTACAATTCTCCATATTGTCAAAATAATTTTTCTAAATCATGACAGATGTGTAGTTCCTCTGTTGAGAAACGTTCAATGGTTCACTATTACCTCTAGGATAAGGCCTAAAATTTCTAGCCTGATAGCACTATAGAAGAGAGAAACTTTCTCAGCCTGTTTGTTATTTTTAGTGACACAGGAAAACTTAGTGTTTGTGAAATTATGATTCTTTACCATCATGATGAATTACAATATCAAACATTACTCATAAATTATTCCTAAATAAGTCAGATAAAAAATGAGACTACATAAATGTTAGAAGTCTTTTCCTTTTACCAAATATTCCATATTTAGCAGTCATAGGAAATGTGAAAATAATAAAGTTCAATTTTTAGTGCGTTCCCACTATATATATGCCAGGTCTTGTGCAGTTTCAGGATAACCAAAACAACAGCAATTTAGAGCCATTAGCACAAATTGCTTCTTCAGCAACTTGCTCTTTTAGCTAAGGTTACGATTGTACTCATGCAGTATTTTGCAATGGCACATAAGTTGATGAAATGTAGTCCACAACCAAGTAGATACTTCACTGGACAGGAAACGAAAGAAGCAAGGGTCTTAACTCCAATTAGCAAAGTTTCTATCTGAAACATTTAAAATGATAGCAGAAGTGATGAGAGTCTGGGGGAGATCTAAGCTTTCTAGGAAGGATTTGACAAGTTGTGTCAAGAGCCTTAGAGCTATTAAATGTTCTAGCCTAATAATTTTATTTCTAAGATCTTATCTTCAGGAAACTGTCATTAACATGCACAAAGCTACAGCTAAAAAGATAGTCAATGAAGCACAATTTCTAATTTATGGTAGCAACATTTTTTTAAAAAAAGTGTAAGAGACCAATCTAAGAAACTTTCAATACAACTATGTAAAGGAATACTATGTGAGCTTTATGAAAGTGATTGTTTATTCTATTTTGTTCCTTGCTTAGTATATATCATTAAGAACAGTGGTTGGAACATAGTAGATGCTTGGTAAATATTTTTAGAATGAATAATGAATAAATGGCTAAATGTGGACATTAAAAATAATGCTTTTAATTACTTAAATACATAAAATATTCACAATCTATTTTTGTAGGGAGACCCCCTGAAACTATTGCTATGGAATAAAGATGAAATGCTCCTGATTATTGTAAATACAAAATTGCATGCAGGGTTGGGTAAAGACAATGCCAGGTTGGACTGCCAGAATGAGACAACAGCACGCGATGTGCTTCCCCCTGCAGAGAGCCTATGAATGGACATGCAGTCAGGGAGGTTTCACATCACCAAGATTCCTATCCCAGAAAAGCCGACGTTCATAGCTCTGGGAATGGAATGCGACCCTTATGGAGAGCCTATAAATGGATATGTGGGGGACGCCTGTCCATATGGATAAGATAGGGCTATATCTCATCTTGCCATGGCTCTTCTAGGCCTCTTTAGGGTTAAGGCATACTCCCTTCTGAAAATTTCTGGTCTAACCGGTTGTCTAGCTTCACAACCTATGGATTGTTTGTAACCAGCTTTTGCTGCAACTGTTACTGCTGATTAATATCTTGCTAATCATAGGTTATGGAAAGACTGTGTTTCTGTTTTAAGGCTCTGTTAGAAATTACTGATGCACACACTATATTGTAAATTCTTATCCCTGTATACTGTACTTCTGCATACAGATGTTATGTTACAGAATTACTTCATCCCCATGTGACCATCTCACCTCATAATCAAATGACCTTAAATCCCTCACTAACCTACCCACGCCCTCACTAAACTTAATAATAAATGCTGGCATATCCAGTGCATTGTTGGCACCATGGGACCAAAAGGTGGTGACACCCCTGGACCCAGCTTTCACTGTCTTGTGTGTGTCTATTATTTCCCGACCTGCCGATCTGCCTGGGAACAAAGAGAGAGCCCCGTTGCATTGCAGGCTGCTGGCCAGATCCCGCAATATATTTTTAAGTAAAAAGCAGATTATAGAATTGTGTTTATAATGTGGCCACTGTCATGTCTATTCACCTGTTATTGTGTTCTCCAGATAAAAGGGCATAAATCACAATTGAAAAATGCATTTGCCTGTTGAGAATCAACATATTAAAACTTTTTTAGCTGGTCGAATAATATGCATCAGCAGAAATCCTTCAAATATGTCAATAGAAAAAGTAGGGCACTCTGCTTGCTGAAAAGCACTTGCCTTGAGTAATTTTCCATTGCAGAAACGATCTATTTCATGACTTTTCAAGACTCCTAGTCAATTAGAAACAAGTAAGCAAGCTTAAACAATTTTACATGCCAAGTGATATCTAAAAATACTCCCCTTGGATCAACTACCATTATGACAAATAACTTCACATAGTTTTTGACTAGCTTTCTTTTACCAAAAAAACAAAAACAAGAAGTCAAGCCTTCCCCCAAACATCCCCACCAAGAATTTCTATCCATAGCATTAAAATTCAAAAATATTTGTTTTGATCAGAAGGTTCAATAGAAGACCCCACACTGTCTCTTCTGCTTTCTTCATTTACTGTCAAACATTGAAATGCAATGGTACAAAAGCATATGGCTTCTTCAAGATTTCAAGTATAGCCACAATGCACCCATAATTTCAATCCCTAAATACTCAGAATCAAAAGTTAATAGACATCATTGCTCACAAGTTTCCAAATAAAGGACCATTTATATTCTGATTTCATCAGGAGACCTTGGATTCACTGCCTAAGCTAATACTATTGTATTGAATAAATAGGTGATACATAATATATTCCAACAGAACACAAAGAGCCCTAGAAAAAAATTGAAATCTTATTGTGTAAGACAGGGATATTTCCTCCTTAGAGACAATAACAAATGAGACTGGGGCAAATGAAAGTACCTGGAATATTTGAGGTACAAAGGAAATGAAAAAAGATCATGATGTATGTTCTTAACTACCTTCATCAATTAAGAGATAAAATCACCTACCTGTCAAAGATGAGAAGGCAGGATTGGGTTTAGGCTGACAGAGGAAGGATTAAAATGAGGCATAGAACAGCTGTTGTGAGAAATATACCAGTATCCAAAGGAGATGAATAGATTGTTAAGTAGAAATGAAGAACCATTTGAATTTGAATAGCAGGAAGCTGAGCAGGTTAGCATGGTTTAGAAATTTCTCAACTAATATTCAGGACTCCAGAAGTGGAAGCCAAGAGTGTATTTTGTGGAAGTTAATCAGGCTTAAGCTTTCACAAGAGGAGCCCAGAGGATTGTCCAGAAGGGAAAGACTGGGGAGTAGTGGGAAAATATCATCAGCCTAGTATAGGCTAGAAGTACATTCAAGCATTAATGGGAGGAGGCAGGAAATTGGGAGAACATGGATAGTAACTAAGCTGCCACTTCTGTAAGATAAAATGAGAGAGGTAGTCATATGTAGGCTGTGGTCAAAGTGAGAAAGCTTATAGTTTAAGGTATTGGAGGATGAGAGTTTTGAGTGATGATAGTTTCTACAGTGTAATCATGGGAGGCTGACATCAATATGATCAGTGCTTTCCTTGAGGCTCAAGAAGTAGGGATCAGGTATCACAAGGGACCCTAACATAAGTGTTGACTCACCCAAGACGGTGATGGGGCAGAGAGAGGCAAGCTACTCAATTAAGTTGGTGTTATTCAATAGAACTCTCTACAGCAATAAAAAAGTTCTGTAGCTGCAATGTCCGATCTGATTAGTCTCTAGCTATTAAGATTTTAAAAGTACTTAGTGCAACTGAGGAACTAAATTTTACATTTTATTTAATTTTAAATGACCTTATTGTTAGCCACATGTGGCTAGTGGCTACAATCTTTTTTTTTTTTTTTTTGAGATGGAGTCTCGCTCATCGCCCAGGCTGGAGTGCAGTGGCGCAAACTCAGCTCACTGCAAGCTCTGCCTCCCAGGTTCACACCATTCTCCTGCCTCAGCCTCCCAAGTAGCTGAGACTACAGGCGGCTGCCACCACGCCCGGCTAATTTTTTGTATTTTTAGTAGAGACGGGGTTTCACCCTGTTAGCCAGGATGGTCTTGAGCTCCTGACCTCGTGATCTGCCCATCTCGGCCTCCCAAAGTACTGGGATTACAGGTGTGACCCACCGCGCCTGGCCACTAGTGGCTACTATCTTAAACAGTGCAGCATCCAGGGAATGTAATATATTTTCTTTGTTTATCATAGTCTATCTTTTAATATTATACTACTTTACATATAACGAATGAACGTTACAGCAGTAGAATTTCCCCTCTCCTCCCTTTGGTGATACCGTTGTCATACAGTTTAATTCTTCATGTATTATAAACACTATGATATATTATTTTGCTTTTATCAGTCAATAATCTTTAAAAGAAATTAAGATAGTCTTTCATATATACTCATATTTTTGCCATTTTTAGCATTCTGTATTTTCTAAGTAGATACAATTTTTTTCTGCTATAATTTCCCTTCAGTGAAAAGAATGCTTCATTTATATTCCTTTTAGTGCAGTTCTGCTGGTAACAAAATCTCGCTGTTTCTGTATGCCTCCAAAAAGCTTATCCACAACTATCAGGTCGGCTTCATCCTGGGGTTGCAAGGCTGGTTCAACATAGGCAAATCAATAAACGTAATCCATCACATAAACAGAACCAATGACAAAAACGACATGATTATCTCAATAGAGGCAGAAAAAGCCTTTGACAAAATTCAACAACTCTTCATGCTAAAACCTCTCGATAAACTAGGTATTGATGGAACATATCTCAAAATAATAAGAGCTATTTATGACAAACGCACAGCCTATATCATACTGAATGGGCAAAAACTGGAAGCATTCCCTTTGAAAACAGGCATAAGACAAGGATGCCCTCTCTCACCACTCCTATTCAACATAGTAATGGAAGTTCTGGCCAGGGCAATCAGGCAAGAGAAAGAAATAAAGGGTATTCAATTAGAAAAGAGGAAGTCAAATTGTCTCTATTTGCAGATGACATGATTGTATGTATGAGTTAGAAAACCTCATCGTCTCAGCCCAAAATCTCCTTAAGCTGATAAGCAACTTCAGCAAAGTCTCAGGATACAAAATCAATGTGCAAAAATCACAAGCATTCTTATACACCAATAACAGACAAACAGCCAAATCATGAGTGAACTCCCATTCACAATTGCTTCAAAGAGAATAAAATACCTAGGAATCCAACTTACAAGGGATGTGAAGGACCTCTTCAAGGAGAACTACAAACCACGGCTCAAGGAAATAAGAGAGGACACAAACAAATGGAAAAATATTCCATGCTCATGGATAGGAAGAATCAATATCGTGAAAATGGCCATACTGCCCAAGGTATTTTACAGATTCAATGCTATCCCAATCAAGCTACCATCGACTTTCTTCACAGATTTGGAAAAAACTACTTTAAAGTTCATATGGAATCAAAAAAGAGCTCACATAGCTAAGACAATCCCAAGCAAAAAGAACAAAGCTGGAAGCATCATGCTACCTGACTTCAAACTATACTACAAGGCTACAGTAACCAAAACAGCATGGTACTGGTACCAAAACAGATATATAGACCAATGGAACAGAACAGAGCCCTCAGAAATAATGCCACATATCTACAACCATCTGATCTTTGACAAACCTGACAAAAACAAGCAATAGGGAAAGGATTCCCTATTTAATAAATGGTGTTGGGAAAACTGGCTAGCTGTATGTAGAAAGCTGAAACTGGATCCCTTCCTTACACCTTATACAAAAATTAACTCAAGATGGATTAAAAACTTAAATGTAAGACCTAAAACCATAAAAACCCTAGAAGAAAACCTAGGCAATACCATTCAGGACATAGGCATGGGTAAAGACTTCATGACGAAAACACCAAAAGCAATGGCAACAAAAGCCAAAATAGACAAATGGGATCTAGTTAAACTAAAGAGCTTCTGCACAGGAAAAGAAACTATCATCAGAGTGAACAGGCCACCTACAGAATGGGACAAAAATTTTGCAATCTATTCATCTGACAAGGGCTAATACCCAGAATCTACAAAGACCTTAGACAAATTTATGAGAAAAAAACAAACAACCCCATCAAAAAGTGGGCAAAGGATAAGATCAGACACTTCTCAAAAGAAGACATTTATGCAGCCAACAAACATGGAAAAAAGCTCATCATCACTGGTCATTAGAGAAATGCAAATCAAAACCACAGTGAGATACCATCTCACGCCAGTTAGAACAGCAATCATTACAGAGTCAGGAAACAACAGATTCTAGAGAGGATGTGGAGAAATAGGAATGCGTTTACACTGTTGGTGGGAGTGTAAATTAGTTCAACCATTGTGGAAGACAGTGTGGTGATTTCTCAAGGATCTAGAACTAGAAATACTATTTGACCCAGCAATCCCATTACTGAGTATATACTCAAAGGATTATAAATCATTCTACTATAAAGACACATGCACACATATGTTTATTGCAGCACTGTTCACAATAGCAAATGCTTGGAACCACCCAAATGCCCATCAATGATAGAATGGATAAATAAAATGTGCCACATATACACCATGGAATACTCTGCAGCCATAAAAAAGGAAGAGTTCATGTCCTTTGCAGGGGCATGGATGAAGTTGGAAACCATCATTCTCAGCAAACTAACACAAGAACAGAAAACCAAACACCACATGTTCTCATTCGTAAGTGGGAGTTGAGCAATGAGAACACATGGACACAGGGAGGTGAACATCACACACCGGGGCCTGTTGGGGGGTAGGGGGCTAAGGGAGGGATAGCATTAGGAGAAATACGTAATGTAGATGACTGGTTGACGGGTGCAGCAAACCACCATGGCAAGTGTATACCTATGTAAGAAACCTGCACGTTCTGCACGTGTACCCCAGAACTTAAAGTATAATGATAAAAATAAAAATGTTGTAAAAAAGGAGAAACTGATGATTTTTTTTCATCAACCTTATTTCCATCTTGCTTAAATGCATGTGGAAGAACAGCTTTAACACTATTCAGCGGTTCTTCCTACCCATTCAGTGGCCTGAGCAGTGGGAGGGCAAACCAGCCTTCGGTGGCAGGCTGAGTGCTCCAGTGTTCAGTAGGTAACTGCTGAATAGGCACAAAGCACACATGCAACCTGCACACCTTCAGGCCATTCTGAAACCTCACACTAAGTAGCAGTGAACTCAGGTGCTGAAGAAGTCTGTTCGCCCTGAAATTCCTCCTTGGTCACAGCTTTTTCAGCAGCAACCTGCTCTTTCTTTTCAATCTTTTCAGGATGTTTGTAGAAGTAGAGATAAGTCATAATCTCCCATGGGTGTTCACAGGAGATGGCGCCAAGCACGTGCATAACTTCTTGGCCACCATCCACCACATCAGGCCCACTGAGTGAGCTGCTGTTGCATGGGGTGGCAATGTCCACATAGCATGGAGGAAAACCTGTGTGACCTAGAGCAATGGTAGACAGGTTAGCATAACATGCCTCTATGAGAGGCTTGTGGTCAGCCCTGGAATCAGTAACCACCAGCAATGTAACTCCTGTAAGGCTGCCTGGATCTGGTTAATGAAGTTTCCAGGAGGAAATGATCATCAACAGGAGTAGCTCCAATGGCAGCAGTAAACTTCAGCACAGCCTGGTGGTCAGTATTCCTGGAGGATATGACACTGACATCAGCAGGGTTTCCAATCACAGCAATGACACGAGCTGCCAGCAGAAGCCTCTAGGTCCTCTTCAGATTTATGATGCAGATGCTATCACTTTTTCTTTTGTAGAGGTACTGTTCCATTTGGAAGTCAAGGATGGTGCCACCTGAGTGGGTTCAAACTACAAGAAATTTGAGGACATTTTCTGTCCTCCTTCATTTTCAGGACATCAAGGGCTCTGAACATTGTGAAAATTTCCCTTTAAGTTATGCCACAAATCTAGAACAACTCCATATGGATCTCTCCACAGTGCAAAGCTGTGGGAAGGTTTTAAACTGAAAATTTAGTATATTTAATAAAGATAGGAGAATTCAGAAGATATATTGATCTATTTCCTCTTGAGTAGGAATTTGTTGTTCGTGCCTTTCAAATAATGTGTCCATTTATAAAAATTGACTAATTTATATAATATATTGGCATGAAGTTGTTTGTAATACCCTTATTACCTTTTTAACAATAGTATAACCCAGTGATTAATATATTTACAATTCAGTAGTTAGTACTATTCAGTTATTACATATGGGTAACCATCAACACAGTCAATTTGAGAACATTTACATCACCTCAAAAAGGAACTTTGTGCCTTTTAGCTGTAAATACCCTATCTTCCCATGTCCTGTCCACTCTCTCCTAGCCCGAGGCAACCACTAATATAGTTTCTGTCTCTATAGACTTACCCATTGTGGACATTTACTGTAAATGAAATCATAAAATATGTAATATTTTATCTGTGTTTTAGTTTAAGTATTTTCTGTTGGCCTCTTTTTGAGTTTACTATTCTTTTCTTCTTTGTCTAGTCTCCTATTATACCTGTCAATTTTAAACAATTTTAGGTGTATTTTTGAGTTCTAAAATTTTCATTTTGTTATTTTTAGTTTCCCTTTCTCTGCTAAAGTTTTTCCTCTCATTAATCATTCTTTCAACTCTATTCTATCAGTTTTTTTCTTTTTTTATGTCATTTTTGTGAATGCTTTCATTGATTATTTTTTCTTTTTCTTCTTATTATACTTTAAGTTTTAGGGTACATGTGCACAATGTGCAGGTTAGTTACATATGTATACATGTGCCATGCTGGTGTGCTGCACCCATTAACTCGTCATTTAGCATTAGGTATATCTCCTAATGCTATCCCTCCCCCGTCCCCCCACCCCACAACAGTCCCCAGAGTGTGATATTCCCCTTCCTGTGTCCATGTGTTCTCATTGTTCAGTTCCCATCTATGAGTGAGAACATGTGGTGTTTGGTTTTTTGTCCTTGCGATAGTTTACTGAGAATGTTGATTTCCAATTTCATCCATGTCCCTACAAAG
Organism: Homo sapiens; assembly: GCF_000001405.40. Taxonomy (NCBI): domain Eukaryota; kingdom Metazoa; phylum Chordata; class Mammalia; order Primates; family Hominidae; genus Homo; species Homo sapiens. The sequence goes on from NC_000005.10 coordinate 41,953,317, forward strand.
GACATGAACTCATCATTTTTTATGGCTGCATAGTATTCCGTGGTGTATATGTGCCACATTTTCTTAATCCAGTCTATCATTGTTGGACATTTGGGTTGGTTCCAAGTCTTTGCTATTGTGAATAGTGCCACAATAAACATATGTGTGCACATGTCTTTATAGCAGCATGATTTATAGTCCTTTGGGTGTATACCCAGTAATGGGATGGCTGGGTCAAATGGTATTTCTAGTTCTAGATCCCTGAGGAATCGCCACACTGACTTCCACAATGGTTGAACTAGTTTACAGTCCCACCAACAGTGTAAAAGTGTTCCTATTTCTCCACATCCTCTCCAGCACCTGTTGTTTCCTGACTTTTTAATGATTGCCATTCTAACTGGTGTGAGCTGGTATCTCATTGTGGTTTTGATTTGCATTTCTCTGATGGCCAGTGATGATGAGCATTTTTTCATGTGTCTTTTGGCTGCATAAATGTCTTCTTTTGAGAAGTGTCTGTTCATATCCTTTGCCCACTTTTTGATGGGGTTGTTTGTTTTTTTCTTGTAAATTTGTTGGAGTTCATTGTAGATTCTGGATATTAGCCCTTTGTCAGATGAGTAGGTTGCGAAGAAAACCTGAAGAAAAGTTTAAAATCTCTGAATAAGTAAACTAGCATTCTGGATTCAAGGTTATTAAATTCTAATCTGAAACATTTACTGACAGACCAGTTGGCCCTTCAAAGTGTTGAGGTTAATTACAGAATATGGCTAAAAAGAAAATAAAGCATAGAATTTCAGAGTTGTAACATTCTATCAGGTTCTTCAATATAAAAGTCAAATAATTTTCAGTTCCTACAATTTTTTTTTCGAATACTACAGAGGAAGAAATGCCTAAATTTACCCAAATAGTCTTCTCATTTGAATAAAAAAATTTAAGGAAATATTTAAAACTTACATTATTATTTTTACTTTGAAAGTAAATGGCAAACTTGAAATATTTTAAAGAGTAAAAACTTTATGAGATGCTACTATTAACATTTGTTGTTTAATGTAAGTGATAGAAACAATAACAATTCTATTAGGAATGTTATGCAATTCTCCTTTTTCTACTTCATTGTTATGCAATTTGAAATATGAATTTTCAATTAAGTTGCTTTGCCATCAGACCTGTATAACCACTCTCCTCAAAGCAGCACCCCTGACTGTAGCACTGAATCATATAATCATAATGCATCATCTACAGCTGGCCAATCCCTCCATTCTGAATTTATAGTAAAATAACTTACAGCTATTTGAACAACAGCTAGTGGTCTGGCTTCAAATTTGCAATCAGAAATGTTTGTAAATTACTCGTGTTGCCTTTTGTTACATATTTTTTCAGTGTGCTTTTCAGGAAACAGGATATTACTTTTTATTTAAATCTCTTCATAATTATTGATTGTGATGCATATGTTTAGCTGAAGTGAAGGGGGTATATCAAAAAGGGAGACGTCAGAAATTAATTACAGTTGTTAATTAAGTTGTTAACATTTTCTGCTGAAAGATAAAACATAGACACTAAATATGAAACTGATAGATAATGTGTGTGTCTGTTTCTTCACTTCTAGAGGAATTCTAGAGAAAGCAGGTAAGGCTTTGGTACTTAGAAAAACTATAATTCAAAAATTTCCAAAATATTTGGCATCTAAAAGAGTTTTTAGTTGCTCTATGACACTCCCTCTCCAGAGTAGAAGGTGATCACAGGGAATGCAGGAATGTCTGGTCCTAAAGGAAAGTAGTGTCAGAGAAGAATTTTACAAAGGGCTAAAGAAAGTAGGTAAATGGATAAGTACATGTGTACAGTCAATGTACTTTCACACATCTCTAAGCTTCTGCTTATAGTTTTGCCTATTCACAAAATTCGTACCTTTTATTTATATTATATTCTAAATTCAATATATCATATAGAATCTGGAAAGATATTGGAACTGGCCTAAAGGGAAACATCAGGATTTCAATCATTATGTACAGGTTACATAGATTTAGTATATTTAAAAAAGAATGATACAAAGATTTCTGTTTCCAGTGAAGATGAAGGGTAAATTTGGAGGGAGCAGATTTACCTTACACATAAACAACAAAAAAATGAACAATATTTATGAAACGATTTTCAAGACTTCAAACATCAAGTAATAAAAGATAGTGATTCCTTAAGAGATGTGAAACATGTGATGAGACCTATGAATACCCTAGAGTTTCTAGGTCATAGCAAAAGGAGATAAAACACAGACAAAGCCTGGCAGTCACTCTAAAGTTGAGAAGATAAAACTGGGGATCTGACGAGGCCACAGGAGTTAAAGTTCATAGGGCGGAGTAGACAGAGTATTACAAAAGAGAGTGCTGCCTAGCGAGTGAGCCAGTTCCAGAGATCTTCAGAGTCTCCCTTGCATTTTCAGCTGACTGCTGATCAGTGCATGAGTAGGAGAAAACTACCCAAGGATGAAGAAAGAACCACCAGAAAGAATGAAAGGAAATAATACCTGGGGCTTACACACGGCACCAACCAGCATGGGAAATTTCATAATTCATGTTGAAAGTTCTCAGAAGTGGTTGGCCTCGGTAGTAGAAAAATCAACTCTAGACTCAATACTGCTCTGCTTCTTCCTAGTGACACCTACAAGGAAGACCAGAATGGATTAAAGTTTTTCTAATTAACTTAGCATCCCAGATCAACGTTTAAGAATATTTATAGGATTACAAAAATATTAAGATCTAACAAGATAAAATTCATAGTGTCATCCATTCAGTTAAAAATCACTGTCATACAAAGAAAGATTATAATCTATAAGCAGGAGAAAACCTATCAATAATAAAAACCAATCCAGATGTAATACAGAAGATATAATTATTAGACAAGGACTATAACTATACACCCTATGTTCAAGAAGCTGGAGTAAGGATTGGACACATTAAATAGAAACATAGAAGACAGCAAAAAGGCCCAAATTGGGCTTCTGGACATATAAATTACAATACTTGAAATGAAAAACACACTGGATGTGATTAATGACAGATTAGAGGTTGTAGAAATAAATGATTGTTGAACTTGAAGATGCAGCAAATATATTTTATATCCAAATGAAACAGAGAGAAATTGACTGAAAACATTAAAGAGCATTAGTGAGTGTTTGATATTTCTTATAATGCAGGTCTGCTGGAGATGAAGTAAATTCTTTCAGTTTTCATCTGCTTCCAAAATGCCTTTATTTTGACTTCATTTTTATAGATTTTTTTTGGTTGGATATAGATTTACAGACTAACAGTTTTTCCCCCAGCAATTTAAAGATGATATTTCATTGTTCTGTTTCTTACAATTTTTTTTCTGATAAGAAGTCAGCTGTCATTATTTTTCCTTGTATGTAATTTTTTTTTCTTCTTCTTTTTTTTTTTTTTTTTAAAGATGGTATTTTGCTCTGTCACCCAGGCTGGAGTGCAGTGGCGAGATCTCAGCCCATTGCAACTTCCACCTCTCTGGTCCAAGTGATTCTCCTGCCTCAGCCTCCCAAGTAGCTGGGATTACAGGCACACACCACTGCAAATGGCTAATTTTTGTATTTTAGTAGAGACTGGGTTTCACCATGTTGGCCAGGCTGGTCTCGAACTCCTGACCTTAGGTGATCCACCTGCCTCAGCCTCCCAAAGTGCTGGGATTACAGGCTTAAGCCCCTGCGCCTGGCCTTTTTTTCTTTGATTTCAATATTTTCTAATGATTTCTATATTGTAGGGCTCTCACCATGATGGAGTGAGGTGTGGTTTTCTTTGTATTTACTATTACTAGATTTCATTCAACTTCTAAGATCTGTGGTTGATGTCTTTCATCAGTTTTGGAAAATTGCCATCCATTATTTCTTTCAATATTTATTCTGGTCTATTCTATCTTCTTGTTCTGGGACTCCAACTACACATATGATAACTTATTTGATAATCTATAACAGTTTGGATGTCCTTATTCTTTTCCTTTACAGTTTTTTCTCTTTGTGTTTTAGTCTGAATAATTTATGTTTTCTACAAATTCACTGATTCCTTCCTCTGATTATTAGCATGCTGAATAATTATAATTATTTAATTATGATTATATTATACTTATATAATACGATTTCTATAATTATATAATTATATTATAATTATATTAACTATATTAATAACAATAATTATAATAATCCTTGCTCTGATTATTAGTATGCTGAATATTTAGCATAATGAATCCATCAACATAATTATGTATCTATTATTTCATCTTTCATTTCTAGGATCTTCATCTGGTTCTTTTTCATAGGTTTCAATTCTATGATAAAATTCCCTATGTGTACACTTTTTCCACGAGATCCTTTAATATATTTATCATATTTTAAAGTCCCTCTTTGATAATTTTAACACTTGGGCCATCTTTGGATTGAGATTTGTTGACTTTTTCCTCTCTTGACAATGGATCACATTTTCTTCTTTCTTCCATACCTCATATTTTATATTGGAAATTTGATATTATATATAATAGAACAATACACTGAAGCAAATACATTTACACTCAGAAAAAGGCACATTATTTCTTTTTCAGACAACTAACGTGGAGATATGAGTTAATCTAGTCCATAATTTAGTTGGGTCTGGGCTTGTTTCTTTTTAAAATTTTATGTACTTTTAAATCGATGAGTAAAATTATATATGCTTATGGGGCACAATAAGATGTTTTAATATATATATGCATTGTAGAATGGCTAAATCAAGCTATTTAACATATACGTTATCTCACATACTTATTTTTTATGTTAAGAATTCTTAAATCTAGTCTGTTAACAAATTTTTTTTTTTTTTTTTTTTTGAGACGGAGTCTCGCTCTGTCACCCAGGCTGGAGTGCAGTGGCGCAATCTCAGCTCACTGCAAGCTCCGCCTCCCGGGTTCACGCCATTCTCCTGCCTCAGCCTCCTGAGTAGCTGGGACTATAGGCGCCCGCCACCACACCTGGCTAATTTTTTGTACTTTTAGTAGAGACAGGGTTTCACCATGTTAGCCAGGATGGTCTCGATCTCCTGACCTCGTGATCGCCCACCTTGTCCTCCCAAAGTGCTGGGATTATAGGCGTGAGCAGCCCTGCCAGCCAGCAATTTTTAGGTATACAATAAGTTGTTATTAATTGTAGTAAACATGAGTACAATAGAGCTCTTGAATTCATTCCTCTTGTCTAACCGAAATTTTGTGACCTATGACCAACATCTCCCCAATCTCACCATCCCCCTTCTTCTGGTAACCACCATTTAACTCTGTTTTTATAAATTTGGCTTTTTTACATTCCACATGTAAGTGAGATCATGCAGTATTTGTCTTTCTGCATTTGGCTTATTTCACTTAATATAATGTACTCCAGGTTCATCCATGTTATCACAAATAACAAGATTTCCTTCTTTTCAAAGAATGGAACAGTATTCCATTGTATATACACATAGAATTTTTTTAAATTCGTTTATCTGTTGATGGACTTAGGATGATTTCACATTTTGGCTGTTGTAAATAATGCTGCGACAAATAAGGGAGTGCAAATATCTCTTTGACATACTGATTTCATATCCTTTGGATACAGATCCAGTAGCAGGATTGCTGGATCATATGGTAGTTCTATTTTTATATTTTTAAGGAAACGCCATACTGGTTTTCATAATGACTGTACTAATTTACATTCCAACCAACAACATACAAAAGTTCTTTTCTCTGCATCCTCACCTACATTTGTTATCTTCTTTCTTCTTGATAGTAGCCATTCTAACAGATGTGAGATGATCTCTCACTGTAGTTCTATTTGCATTTCTCTGATTAGTGGTGTTGAGCATTTTTTATACACCCATTAGCCATCCGTATATCTTCTTTTGAGAAATGTCAGTTCAAGTTTTTTGCTCAGTTTCAAGTCAGGTTATTTGTTTTCTTACTATTTAATTGTTTGAGTTTCTTATATCTTTTGGATATTAACTCCTTATGAGATCTATGGTGTTCAGATATTTTCTCCCATCCCATATGTTGTCTCTTTACTCTGTTGACTTTTTTTCTTTGTTTTGCGAAAGTTTTTCACTTTGGTAGAATTCTATTTATCTTCTTGTTGCCTGTGCTTTAGGGCCGTATTTTAAAAAGTCCTTGCCTAGATAAATGCCATGGAGCTTTCCCTCCATTTTTTTCCAGTAGTGTTATAGTTTTTGGTATTATATTTGTCTTTAATCCATTTTAGATCAATTTTTGCATGTGCTTTGAGACGATGGTCTATTTTCATTTTTCTGCATGTGAAAATTCAGTCTTTATTGAAGAAACTCTTCCCTATTGTGAGTTCTTGACATCTTTGCCAAAAATTGACAATAAATATGTGGATTTATTCCTGGACTCTCTATTCTGCTTCATTGGTCAAGGTGTCTATTTTTATGCCAGTACCAGGCTGTTTTAATTACTATAATTCTCTAGTAGATTTTGAAATAAGGTAGTGTGATGCCTCCTGCTTTGTTCTTTTTGCTCAATATTGCTTTGGCTATTCAGTCTTTTGTGGTTTCATATAAATTTTAGGATTTTTTTTCTATTTCTATGAAAAATGTCATTGGAATTTGTATAGGGATTTTTTTGAATGTGTAGATCTCTTTGGGTAGAATGGGCATTTTAAAAACATTAATTCTTCCAATCCATTAACATGGGATATCTTTTTATTTATTTGTGCATTGTTCAATTTTCTTCATTAGCGTATTATAGTTTTCTGTGTACAGATCTTTCACCTTCTTAGGTGAATATATCCCTAAGTATTTTATTTATTTGGTGGCTATAATTAATGGAATTGTTTTCTTGATTTTTTTATTTACAGCTTTTTGTTAACGTGTAGAAATACTACTGATTTCTGTATGTTGATTTTGTATTCTGCAACTTTATTGAATTTATTAGTTTTAACAGTTTTTTTTGGCAGAGTCCTTAGGGTTTTCTATATATAATGTAATCTATGAACAGAAATAATTTAACTTTTTTCTTTCTGATTTGGATGCCTTTATTTTTCTTTTGTCTAGCTTGCTCTGTCTATAAATTCCAGTACTATATTGAACAGAAGTGTCAATAATGAACATTCTTGTCTTACTTCTGATCTTAGAGGAAAAACTTTCAACTTTTCACCATTGAGTACGATATTAGCTGTGGGCTTCTCATATATGGTCTTTATTGTGTTGAGGTACATTTCTTCTATATATCTCATTTGTTGGGAGTTTTATGATGAAAGGATGTTGAATTTTGTTTGTGCCTTTTCTGCACTAATTGAGATGATTATATGGTTTTTGTCCTTTATTCTGTTAATGTATTATATCACATTTATTGTTTGATCATGGTGAATTATTCTGGTGTTGATGTTCTCTATTGCATTTTTCATTTCATTCATTGTGATGTTCAGCTCCAGAATTTCTGTTTGTTTTTGTTTTACAATTTTAATCTCTTTGATAAATTTTTTATTTTGGTCTTTTTTTATTTTATTGTATTATTTCTCTGTATTTTCTTGAAGTTTATGGAATTTCCTTAAAATAATAATTTTGAATTATTTATTAGGCAAGTTTGAATATTTACATTTGGAGTTCATATATCTTCATTGGGGTAGTTACTGAAAAATTGTGTTCTTTTGATGGTGTTATGTCTCCTTGGTTGTTTTGTTTCTTCTTGCCTTCTATTGATGTCTGCAGATTTGGTGGAGTATTCTCCTCTTCCTTACTTTACGTGCTAATTTTTCTGTGGAAAGATCTCTCCCTATAGGGAGGTCAGAGGCCGTTTCTGCGTGGGGTGCAGTGATTTGTCACCAATGGGGTCAAAGCTGTGTATTCACCTCAACATCCCTGTCTGCTGAGGTCAATGTTGATGAAGGTTACAGGCATCTTCAGTGGCCAATGGTGTGGATATCCACAGTGGCAGTGAAAGTCATTGCAGTGTTTGATGGTGATGGCTGCTAAGGTCCTCCCAATCTTTTTTTCTCTCACTGGGGAAGTTGTGGCTGAAGAGATTCCTCTTCACACTGGGTCTACTTTGCAGTCCCACTCAAGTTGGCAGTGGCACTGGTGTCTGATCATGGTGCTCATGGAGTAGTCACTAAGTTGAGGCCTAAAGCATGAGCATGCCTGGAGGGACTATGGTTCTGGAATCCAGAATGATAATGGCACAGGTGTCTAGGGCTCAGGGACCCCTGCTCCCCTGTCAGTAACAGCATGTGATGTGCAGGTGCTTGTGCAGCAGCCATAGAGTTAAGCATGGGAGCACAGGCTTATGCAGAGTTAAAGTGGCTCTGAAGTCAAGGTAGAGACAAGATCCCTATGGTATCTAAGTCAGTACCTGGAATGAAACTATGTGCAGAAAGAGTTTGGCTCTGGGTCCCAGAGTGCTAACTAGCTCAATATGGCTTATGGGCAGGGCACTTGTATGGTTGGGAGAGGTGTCAGCTTCTTGGGTGGTGGAGAAGTGTGCAGACACATCTCCTTTTCTGGCGTTCCTGGACAAGAACAGCTGTTTGTTGCCTTAGTGGCAAAAGTAGCCAGTGTCCCCTATGGAGCTGACTGCTAGGAAACTCAATGGTTCCTGCCATGCAACTGATAGCAACAGCCTTTGTCTTTCTTCTTTGTTCCTTGCTCTCTCCTGGCATCTCAAGTATGCTAATTTCACCAGCAATCTTTTCTATGTGCATATTCCCAATATTTTTGCTCCACTCTGTTGCCACAGACTCTTTAGTGGGCCTTTCAGACTTCTCTGGGATATTTTGGTTTGTGGCTAGCTGTCTGTATTTGTTTATTTGTAGGTGAATGAAGGCTGGTACCTCCTACTCTGCCATTTTGATTATGTTTTGATATATGCATATGAAAGTTTCTTTAGACTTATTTTACCACAGGCTGCAAATAATTTGAGAATGGGATCTGTGCCTTCGTTTTAGCTAGATTTGGGACCTGAGCATCTGAAGGATTTGTTTCCATTTTTTTGTTTTGCTTTCAGTCTTTCTCAGTCCCTGCTTGTCTGCATCTCAGAGGGATTCTTATTAGCTATCCTGCCTTAGCTTCCACCAAAATCAACCAATGCATCAGTGGGGGCCCTGAGTGCCTAGAGAATTTTGTTCAGGTTTTTGTGTTGCCTGAAGACTCCAGCAATCCCCCTACACTTGCATCTCAGAGGAGAGTTTATCTTAGCTTTCCTGCTCTTCTCTTAGCCACAGGTCATCACTGTCTTTTACTCAGTGTAAAGCCCAGAGGGTTTATCTTCGTTCTTATGCCTTGCCCTTAGATTTCATGAGGTCCTGCACACTGTGTGTCAGTGCGGCAAGTCTCTTCCAGTATTCCTGACCCTCTTCCACCAAAGGTAAGTGCCTCCTACCTTGTACTGGGTGTGAAGTTCAAACACTTGAAAGTTTCTCTTAGCATTCCTACCCCGGCCCAATATTTCTCATGAGTACTCTGTGAATGCCTCTGAAAAGTGTTGGCAAGTGGCATACTCTCTGTTCTGGGGACTCCAAATCATCATGCCATCCCACACTTGGTCAATAAAAATTCCTTAAATGTTCATCAGTTTTCTCATTTCCCATTTATCTGACAGCTTTCTCCCTTTTCCACTGATTCACCAAAAATGACAGAAACTGTTAGATTTCTTCACTCCAAAGAGAGGTGTGTAACTTTTTGGATTTTAAGTCATTAGGTTTTATCCCTCATTCTTAGCACTCTGATAAATTTTTTTCAAACCATGACTTTACATATTATCTGGCTGGTTACTGTTGTTAGGTTGGGAATGACATTTTCTTGTGACTTTTTACATTCTAAGCAGAAGGTAATACCTGATAGTTTACATATAAATGATCATTTTTCTCTTTCAACATATATACACACACATATATAATATATATACTATATATACACACACTACACATAATATATATGCTATATATGTTGATTAAAAATGTTTTGAAATTATTCTTTTAGAATATATTGGAGGTATTAATCTTTTTTTTAAATACCTTCGGTGGTAGGAAATCTTTCACTAATTCCAAAATTACATCTGCTCTAAAATAAGAGTGACATTCAAAACCAAGTTTGTAAATAATGGTGGTGATTAATTATGTTTTTTGTACAGTTGACTCTTGAACAACGTGAGGGTTAGGGCTGATCCCCCACATTGTCAAACATCTTTCCCAAAACTTAGCTACTAATAACCTACTTTGACCAGAAGTCTTACTGATAATGTAAACAGTCAATTAACATATATTTTGTATACGTATTTTGTCTTGTATTCTTACAATTAAAAAACTAGAGAAAATAAAATGTTATCAAGAAAATCACAAGAAAGGGAAAATATATTTACTATCCATTAAGTGGAAGTGAATCATCATAAAATTCTTCATCTTCATTGTCTTCATATTGAGTAGGCTAAGGAGGAGCAGGAAGAGGAAGGGTTGGTCTTGATGTCTTGGGGTAGCAGAGATGGAATAAAATCCATGTATATGTGGACCTGTGCAGTTTAAACCTACATGGTTCACAGGTCAACTGTAATGAAATAATTAGAATTTTTTTTTAAAGGCTAGTCAACTGAAGCAGTGAGTGTGGAAAAAGAACAAATAAATCTGCAACTGGTTGTGATCGGTTAGTTGTAAACACCATTGCACTCAGAGCAGTCAGGATGATTTTTTATGCTTCTTCTAGGTACCTTTTGAAGGCAATATTACACAAGCAATTCAAAATTGATTTTGAGTGATGGCAGCATCATTGAAATAAGGAAATTCCTCTGATGTTGACTGTTTAATTATGAGTAGTAAACAAAAGCAAATATCTAGAAAGATGTAATTTTCAAATATATTTTCATTGCTCATGTATCCAGCCTTGAACATTTGTTGTTAAAATTACTTTAAAATATTTCAGATTTTAGTCTTTCTTGTACTCTGAATAATCCAATGCCAATTGATAATATATGGTTTGCCATTTTATTGCTTTCTTTGTAAATGCAAAAAGAGATTGATTTTTTTTTACTTTACTTGAAAGTATATCATAGGCATCTTCACCTTATTAACAACTTAGAGTGATTTCTCTTTTTTTCATACCACAGCAGACAGATGTGTTTTAATAAAAAAAAACCTTTAATCAGAAAGTCTGATTAAAATCAATATTAACTCAAACTCTTAAAAATATTTTGGAAAAGACAACAGGATACATCACAGAAAAGCAGGCAGCTGCTGAAAATTCTTTGGTGGAAAAGTAACTTGCATACTTATCCAAGCCACAAAATGATTTTCAAGCCAAGTGTTTTTTTTTTTTTTTCAAAAATAGATTTTAAGATACATCAAAGATGATGAGCATTTTTTCATGGGTCTTTTGGCTGCATAAATGTCTTCTTTTGAGAAGTGTCTGTTCATATCCTTCGCCCACTTGTTGATGGGGTTGTTTGTTTTTTTCTTGTAAATTTGTTGGAGTTCATTGTAGGTTCTGGATATTAGCCCTTTGTCAGATGAGTAGATTGCAAAAATTTTCTCCCATTCTGTAGGTTGCCTGTGCACTCTGATGGTAGTTTCTTTTGCTGTGCAGAAGCTCTTTAGTTTAACTAGATCCCATTTGTCAATTTTGGCTTTTGTTGCCATTGCTTTTGGTGTTTTAGACATGAAGTCCTTGCCCATGCCTATGTCCTGAATGGTATTGCCTAGGTTTTCTTCTAGGGTTTTTATGGTTTTAGGTCTAACATTTAAGTTTTTTATCCATCTTGAATTAATTTTTGTATAAGGTGTAAGGAAGGGATCCAGTTTCAGCTTTCTACATATGGCTAGCCAGTTTTCCCAGCACCATTTATGAAATAGGGAATCCTTTCCCCATTTCTTGTTTTTCTCAGGTTTGTCAAAGATCAGATGGTTGTAGACATGCAGCATTATTTCTGAGGGCTCTGTTCTGTTCCATTGATCTATATCTCTGTTTTGGTACCAGTACCATGCTGTTTTTGTTACTGTAGCCTTGCAGTATAGTTTGAAGTCAGGTAGCATGATGCCTCCAGCTTTGTTCTTTTGGCTTAGGATTGACTTGGCAATATGGGCTCTTTTTTGGTTCCATATGAACTTTAAAGTATTTTTTTCCAATTCTGTGAAGAAAGTCATTGGTAGCTTGATGGGGATGGCATTGAATCTATAAATTACCTCGGGCAGTATGGCCACTTTAACTATATTGATTCTTCCTACCCATGAGCATGGAATGTTCTTCCATTTGTTTGTATCCTCTTTTATTTCATGAAAAAATGCTCATCATCACTGGACATCAGAGAAATGCAAATCAAAACCACAATGAGATACCATCTCACACCAGTTAGAATGGCGATCATTAAAAAGTCAGTAAACAACAGATACTGGAGAGGATGTGGAGAAATAGGAGCAATTTTACACTGTTGGTGGGACTGTAAACTAGTTCAACCATTGTGGAAGTCAGTGTGGCGATTCCTCAGGGATCTAGAATTAGAAATACCATTACTGGGTATACACCCAAAGGATTATAAATCGTGCTGCTATAAAGACACATGAACACGTATGTTTATTGTGGCACTATTCACAATAGCAAAGACTTGGAACCAACCCAAATGTCCAACCATGATAGTCTGGATTAAGAAAATGTGGGACATACACCATGGAATACTATGCAGCCATTAAAAATGATGAGTTCGTGTCCTTTGTAGGGACATGGATGAAGCTGGAAACCATCACTCTCAGCAAACTATCACAAGGACAAAAAACCAAACACTGCATATTCTCGCTCATAGGTGGGAATTGAACAATGAGAACACATGGACACAGGAAGGGGAACATCACACACCAGGGCCTGTTGTGGGGTGGGGGCAAGGGGGAGGATAGCATTTGGAGATATACCTAATGTTAAATGATGAGTTACTGGGTGCAGCACACCAACATGGCACATATATACATATGTAACTAACCTGCACGTTGTGCACACGTACCCTAAAACTTAAAGTATAATAAAAAATAAAAATAATCCTACTTATAATTAAAAAAAAGATACACCAAAGAAACTATACAGATATTCCCTAACAACACAAAACTTTAACAATGAAGTTAAACTGTATAGCAAAAGCCAAGTATGACAATACACATGAATAATTTATAAAATAAACCTTTAAATCCTAGAAAACTAAAGTGGGGAGATCTTACTAAGGGGTAACATACATAAAATGAGGACTAAAAGCAAGGAACAATCCTTAACACTTTCCCAATGACTGACTAAACCTCAAAAAGACAACTTAGGAAAATGATTAACATGTAGTTTTTATTTTTTTCCTAGCCGGTTCAGTTCTACTTAGACAGACCTGGTTACCAATCGATACGTATATAGATTATTTTTTTCTTTCTACTCAGTTACTACCATTTTTTTCTTTTTCCTCTTTTCCCTAATTTTTCCTCTGGTTTGATGAGTTGAACTCAAAAGGTTTGGTACCTAAAATGATTATCGATGCTTATAGGAATAGCACTAGAGAAGTGCAATCCTAGAAAAGGCAAATTTTTAACAGAGGTGGCTTGACAAAGTTAAGCATTCATTCTCAATATGACAATGTCTCCCATGTTAGTCACAAGGTTAATGGCTGCTCTTGGGTAGATCCCTTGACCCTGCATGATACTGTAATGCTTCCTAGTGAGGTACTGCAGAGCTATGTCACACACACCCATGAAAGCTTTCAATAAATGCAAAGCATCATTTTAAACCATTTCAGTGGAAAAAATAAAAAAAAATCACGTTTCTCTCGGCTTGCTTTGTTTCTTGAGCTGGCTTGAAGTGCTTTTGGTGATATAGAAGACACAAGAGTTAGTTAGTGGCTACTCCAAGCTCTTTAGACTTCAGCACTTTCCGTTCTTCAAGCCTCAGCACTTTTTTTTTGTGGCAATTATGGTATTCTTCATTAGCATTGCCACTGTCATAGGGCCAACACCTCCAGAAACTGGAGTGATATAACTGGCTTTTTGCCTAACTCCTTTAAAATCCACATTTCCAACCAACTTAGGTTTAGCAGTTACAGGATCTTGAACTGTATCTATTCCCACATCAATGCTATTGCTTCTCCCTTGGTCATATTTGCTGTGATCAGATTTGGAACACCTGCAACAGATATTACAATATCTGCAAGAATTGTATGTTTCCTCAACTGCTCTTTGGGGGTATATCAATGAGATATTATAACAGTGGCATCACCTCCGTGACGTTCATGCACCCCATCTGTGTGCAGTGACATTGCAATAGGCATTACAACATTTTTTGACCTTCCAGCCACAACCACATTCTTCCCTAGGGTTGGAATGCCAGTTTGCTTAATTATTTCCCACACACTGCATGGAGTAGCTGGTATACGGAATACTGGTCCAGATACATTCACCCTACATTAATTACATGAAAGCCATCAACATCCTTATCTGGAAAAACAGAATTGCAGATCTTTCTCTCATCAATGTGCTCTGGAAGAGGCAGGTGGAGAAGGAGGCCATCTACATTACCATCATTATTCAATTTATTGATTAAATTCAACAATTCTTCCTCTGAAATTGAAGCTGGTTTCACAATTATCTCACTGTTGATTCCCACATCTGCAGCTGCCCTGGTTTTGTTGAGGATATGGCAGAGACTTGCAGGAGTTTTGCTGACCAGAGCCACGCTCAGGCATGGCCCTTTGTTGCCAGAGGCCACCTGCTCCTCCACCTCCTGCCGCACTTCCTGCTTGATCCACTGGGCCAGTTTCCTGACAACAGCTTCATTTAGTTGGCAATGGGTTCTTCCCAAGAACCCCACTGCTTCATCCAAAGCTGACAGACCAAGAGTGAGTATCTGACTGCAAAGGCAACAATTTTTAGGTTGGCCAGCTGTTCAGTTGGTGCAAAAGCTTAGCTCATAAGAGCAGTGAGAGTTATCGGAACCAGTAAGAGCTCGTCCGAGGGAGTTCAAAGGAACTGCCGCGAGGTGGAAAGGGCGAGGACAGAGGCGGCAGCTCTGAGCGGGCTGGATCAGCCGGCGACCAACGCTGACATGAGGGAAGTCGCAGCCATAGCCCGCGCCGGTGCCCGCGCTCGGCTGACAGTGATTTTAAATAAAGTTTTGTTGAAGGAAGATAGGTACGTTTCATTTATGGAAATGAAGGTGGAATTTTTTACAAAAATTAAGTTCCGCAGAAAAGTAGTATTAATGGGATTAGCTGTGACACAGTCTCCCAGCAGGGGGCAACACGTTGGGAATCAGAAGTAGCTGGGCAAATGCTTTTCAACTTTTTTGCCTTTGTGTCCCAGCCTGGTTAAAGTTCTGAAAAACATTCATTTTAAACTAAATTTCAACTAGTTATGAAATGATTAAACACCTTTTTTTAAATATTCTGACTTGGTACCTAAGTATTCGATTTTTTTTTCTGTTACATACCGAAATTTAAGAATACGTAATAATAATAAATTACTGCAAAGTTATTACCCTCTATGTAAATTTTTTTAATTGTTGAAAATGATTTCTTTTGAATTTCATTGACATCCTCATGTTTTGAAAATTGCAGGATTTGTTGCACAAACCCTCAGTTCATGGTATTCTTACATCTTATGATTTTATGAATGCCCATTCTGTTCCCATGGAAATTTTCAGTTTTTATCTTCTAGATATTTTTAAAGCGTGTTATTTATATTGAAGGTTTTCTTATCTATAAAGTTCCAATCCAACAAATGTATTGTTTTTCTAAGTGCAAGCTCTTTTGCAAATGGTTTTGTCCCTGTCTTATTTTGGGTAACCTTCTTTTTATACTCTACAGTTGTCACACATTTGTTGACATACGGTCAGATAGAGCAGCCAAGGGTTGGTGCCCCTTAGCAGCATCCTGTAATCCTATCTCCTTTATTAATACCTAAGCTTACCTTTTCCACTCACTTTTTCCTTTTCTTACTCTGAAACATATACATTTCCAGAAGAGTTCATGAAAATATATTGTAGTTTAATGAGTGCTTATAAAACAAACACTTGTGTAACCTAAGTCAAAAAGTAAAACTGGCAGCATTCCAAAACACATATCCAGTCTATTCATGCCGTTCTCCCCAATTACAGTTCTATCCCTCCACCCTGGAGGTATCCCTATGTCTTAATCAATTTTGTGCTGATAGAACATCTCAGACTAGATAATTTAAAATGAACAGGAATGTATTGGTTCATGTTTCTGGAGGTAATCCATACTATAATATTTGGCTATATCATTTTCTTTTTAATATACTCTCCCATTATATGAATATTTCATAATTCATGCATGCTACTATAAGTGAACATTGAGGATGTTGACAGTTTTTGATTACTGTAAACAATGCTGCTACAAATGCATGTGTGTGGATGTATTTAGGATAAATGGTGAGTTGCACACCTTAACATTTTCCTGGTGAAGCACCTCTTGGATTTTAAAATCCAAACTTCAGAATGTAGGTGTCTTTGCAATATATTACTTGCTGATGTCTTACACACACACAAAAATGTGCAGTCATGCCCCCAAAGCTCAATACTACATTTTAAACAAAACAATGTGTGTGTGTTGTGAAAAAAAGGTGGGGATAAGAGTGAAATCTTGAGTTCTATTTTAAATAGAATTAAGTGTAAATGCTGTGAAAGGTATAGCTGAGAATCAATAAAGGCCATAGTACTGTGGTTACTGTATACAAAGCAACCATTTAATGAACATTTAAATCTTTTTACATCCAAACATGATTGGTTGTTATATATAGGCATTTTACTGTGAATTAGTTCTGTTTTAGAAAATTGGTTGAAGTTTTGAGTTGATATATAAAACATTATCATTTTTCTCATTTAAAATATTGAGAATTTGGTTCTCAATTAGCACTTATAGATGCCTAATTTACAGCAGTAGATATCTGATTTTAAGTGGAGTATCCTGAAATTGAAAAATGCTAAACCTAAAATGGAAATGCTGGGTCATAGATTGTATATATCTTTACCTTGGCTAGATAATGGCAGATTGTTTTCCAAAGAGGTGGTACAAATATTCCCATCAGGGGTGTATGAGAATTCCATTTATTATATCTTCACCTGTTAACCAATTTTCCTAATATTTGAGAAAAAGTTCTGTATAACAGAAGAAAACCAGTTATAAAATATGCAAGAAATTATAGAAAATGTAATTTTACAGGCCCAAATGATATTATTAGATTAAGAGGAAATATTAATTGGTGTCAAAACCATTAAGTAAATGATTGATGATAAACTGGTCATTGGTTAATTGTTAAAAAAAAAAACCCTAATAGATTAGTTTTTAACCACAAGGAAAAAAGCTTATCTGTATAGTGGATGGGAAAAACAAAATAACTTAGTGTAAGAATTTATCAGTCATAGTGCCACCAATGATGGTTAACCAGATATTATGTGACATTGGGTATGATGCTACATGAAGTATACACCATCACTTTAATTGTTATTGGCAAAAATAATTTAAATTTATTAAGCTTCTAACATAATATACAATACAGAATATAGACTATAGACAGGAAATATAGGATATGGGCTAACAAGTTCAATAATAGTATGGCAAAGCAACCAGACAAATTCAGGAATATTCTACAGAATGTAATTGGCTTGGGATTTTTAAAAAGTTAGTATTATGAAAAAGAGATTGTAATCAATTATAAGAAATTTAACAAATATAAAACCAAATGCAAGATTGGATCCTACATTTGATATTTGAATGGACAAATAAACTGTATGTAATATTTTTTGGGTCAACTGGGGGAATTTTGAACATAGTCTCAGCAGTAGATGAGATAAAATGTACTGAAAGAGAAAGTTACTAAAAAAACAAAACCAGATTGAGGAATGGTATGTACAATAAAATTTTATATTGATGTAAAACTAGAGAGAGGTGTGTGTGTGTGTGTGTGTGTGTGTGTATGTGTGTGTGTGTGTATAAAGACCTGGAAAGGTAAACATTAAGGTGATGAGCATTGGTGGACACTGATGGTAATTAAATTGATTTAATTAAATTCAAAAATTTCCTATAGTGCATATGTGCTGCTTCTGTAACTATACTTTTTAAAAGTACAAACAAGATAATAAAAAGTTAACCAATTTAACAGATTACTTTTTGTCAACTGATTACTTTTTAATGGAGTGTATTTCCTGCTAAGAATTAAGATATGAAAGAAAAATATTTTTGGCCTAATAATAATTCTATGCATGACTAGCATTTCATATGCTAGATAATCTTCCTGGAAATAATGATTGCCTTGATTGTTATTATAAAGACCACTCCATAGGGTCATAAATCATCTAGTGTCCTCATCTTCTTTCCTGATTATGTGCATTTTAGTATGAATCTTAAAATAGGTAAAATGTTTCTTTCTCTATTCTAGCATTTTATAGTTTTGGTTCTATCATTTTCTTCTCTGTTACATTATGTTTAGTTTATTAAAGGAAGAAATAGATTGATTAAAATAAATTACAAAGAATTTATGTGCAGATGGCTGTCAATAATTGTGATTAGGTTCTTTACACTCTTACTTATTTCATTTTATAAATATGTATTTTCAAAAACATGCACATCTTCTTTCTACTCTCTTTTCAAAGCCTAGATCATAATTTCTCAGTTCTATACCCCAAAGTGATAAGAGCCATTTATGACAAACCCACAGCTAACATCATACTAAACAGGCAAAATCTGGAAGCATTCCCCTTGAGAACATATACAAGACAAGGATGCCCACTCTCATCACCTCTATTCAACATAGTATGAAAGTCCTAGCCAGAGCAATCAGTCAAGAGAAAGAAATGAAAGGCATCCAAATAGGAAGAGAGGAGGTAAAATTATTTCCCTTTACAGAAGATATATAATTCTATACCTAAAAAACCCCATCCCATAGTCTCTGCCCAAAGGCTCTTAGAACTGACAAATAACATCAGTAATGTTTCAGGGTATAAAAATCAATGTATAAAAATTAGTAGCGTTGCTATACACCAGTAGTGTCCAAACTGAGAGCCAAATCAAGAACATAATGCTATTCACAGTAGCCACAAAATAGATAAAGTACCTAGGAATATAGCTAACAAGGGAGGTGAAAGATTTCCACAATGCAAATTAAGAAACACTGCTGAAAGAAACAAGAGATAATACAAACAAATGGAAAATCAATATTGTTAAAATGACCATACTGTCCAAAGCAATGTACAAGTTCAATGTTATTCTTATCAAACCACCAATGACATTTTTCACAGAATTAAAGAAAAACCTATTCTAAAATTCATATGGAACCAAAAAAATAAGCCTGAATAGCCAAAGCAATCCTAAGCAGAAAGAACAAAGCCAGAGGCATCACATTACCCAACTTCAAACTATACTACAAGACTACAGTAACCAAAACAGTATGGTACTGGTAAGAAAATAGACACATAAAACCAATGGAACGAGCTAGAAAACCCAGAAATAAAGCCACACACATACAACCATCTGATCCTCAACAAAACTGACAACAAGCAATGGGAAAAGGACTCCTTATTCAATAAATAGTGCTGGATAACTGGCTAGCCATAAATAGAAGATGAAACTGGACCCCTTTCTTTCACCATATACAAAAATCAACTCAAAATGCATTAAAGACTTAAATGTAAGACCCAAAACTATAAAAACCCCAAGAAGAAAACCTAGGAAATCTCATTCTGGTCATATGCCTTGGCAAAGATTTCATGATGAAGACTCCAAAAGCAGTATCAACAAAACCAAAAGTTGACAAGTGGGACTTAATTAAACTAAAGAGTTACTGCACAGCAAAAGAAACTATCAGCAAAGTAAACAGACAACCTACAAAGTGGGAAAAAATATTTTTGAAGTATACATCTGACAAAGATCTAATATCTCATATTTATTAGGAACTTAAACAATAAGCAAAAACCAAACCAAACTCATTGAAAAATGGGCAAAGGACATGAACAGACACTTCTCAAAAGACAACATACAAGCACCCAACGCGCATATTTAAAATGTTCCTCCTTACTAATCATTACAGAAATGCAAATCAAAACCACAATGAGATATTATCTCACAACAATCAGAATGGCTATTATTAAAATAGGCTCATGCCTATAATCCCAATACTTTGGAATGGTGAGGCGAGAGGATTGCTTGAGCCCAGGGGTTTGAGACCAGTCTGGGCAACATGGTGAGATCCTGTTTCTACAAAAAATAATAAAAAAAACTAGCCAGATTTCATGGTGCATGTCTGAGGTCCCAGCTACTCAGGAGGCTGAGTGGGGAAGATTGCTTGAACCCATGAGGTTGAGGCTGCAGTGAGTTGTGTTCATGCCGCTGCACTCCAGCCTGGGTGAGACAGCATCTGCAGTTTGGCAATTTCTCAAGGAACTTAAAACAGGACTATCATTTGATCCAGCAATCCCATTACTTTTTACACATTCAATCTTTTGTTGCTATTGTCATTCTTTTTACTTTTACATAAGCTATTAATACATAATGGGTTGATAATGGGTTAAAGCTAATATTTTTGCTTTAAATAGCTGATTATCTTTTAGACCCATTAAACTTCTGCCTGAAAAATTTTCTTTAACATTTATATAGTATATAAACCTGCTGGCAATGAATTCTCCTAGTTTTTGTTTATTTTAGAAAGTCTTTATTTTTCTATTTGAAAGATATTATTACTAGGGATAGAATTCTGGGTTGAGAATTTTTGTTTTTCAGCACTGTAAAGCTAGACTAGTGTCTTCTGGCTTGCATCATCTCTCTAATTGTTATCTTTCTTTCTCCGTATGTATGTATCCTCCTTTTTCTTTTGTTGTCTCAACACTTCTTCTTTGTCTTTTGCTTTCAGCAGTTTTAAGATGGTATCCTTGGTCTGGGGTGTGTACGTTTGTGTAATTATCTTTCCTGGTGTTCTCTGAGCTTCTTGAAACTGTGGTTTGGTGTCTGTCATCAATTTTGGAGAATTCTTGGCCTTTTTCCTTCAAGTATTTCTGTTGCCTTTTTCTCTATTTCTGTTTCTAGAATTTCAATTACATGTATGTTAGATGGTTTGATATTGTTCCACAGCTCTTGGATGCTCTCTTCTTGTTTTTTGTTTGTTTATTTGTTTGGGTTTTTTTGGATGTTTTTTTCCCAGGTATGTTTTTCTCTTTGTGTTTCAGTCTGAGTAATATCTGTCAATCTATTTTTAAGTTTACTAATTCTTTTGCTAGATTCTTGTAAGTCTACTAATGACTCAGTTGAAGGCATGCTTTGTCACTGTTATTGTGCTATTTGTTTCTAACATTTCCATTTGATCCATTCTTTTTTTTTCCATCCTTCTGCTGAAATTACCTGCCTGATCCTGCATGTTGTTCACCTTCTCTCTTAGAACTTTAAAACATATTAATCAAATTTATTTTAAATTTCCTGTCATTTAGTTTCAACATCTGCATCATATCTGAATCTGGTTCTGGTGATTGCTTTTTTGCTTGGTAGTGTGTGTATGCATGTGTGTTTTATTTTCCTTACTTTTTGTATTCCTCATCATTTTTTGTTAAATACTAGTCATGTTACGTAGGAAATAATGGTTTTTATTTCTGGAAGTGGGTGTATCCTTTTTTTCTGTTAGGCCTTTAGTGTCAGGGATTGAGTTAATCTATTTAGGAGGCAGGCTGAGTTTGAAGTGTGTTTCTGCTATGGTCCCAGTGCCATTCTGCAGTAGCTGCAGTTCCTACCTTCAGGCCAGTGCCATAAGAGTTGATTCTTAGGACTCTTGCCAGGCTTTTTCATGAGTGCTAGTGGGGTCTATGGAGAAAAGGTGAGAACTTTACTTTCATCTGCAATCCCTAGGACTCTATGGTCTCTCACTAGCCCACACTTAGCTTCTATTAATTTATTAACAATTCTAGCTGAATTATTCTTACTGACATCTGGCTTTGTCTGCCCCAGGGAAGCAAGTGCTTACATCTCATCTCTTCCTGCTGGAATTGTCTTTCTATAGAGTTAAGACTAATTAATTGATGTATGAGCTCAGCTCTCTGATTTAAGAATTTGCCCAGCATATGTTGTTAGAATGAGATCTCTCTAATCTACAGTAGAAGCCAGAATTTATTAGACTCCATTGTTGCTTTGTTCTACTGAAGCAAGAGATCTAAAGTAAGTTTGCTCAATAGAAAGAATATTGTGTGTATTAATGAGAGACTGGTTAACTATATTAGAGTATATATGGTATATAGTTCTATTACTAATCTTATCTTACAGAGGAGAAAATAAGGCTCTGAAGGGCTAAAAATTGTACAGAACAATTCAATAGTAAGTAATAAGCTGGTACCTCACTATACTAAACTACTTTTATTATTATTAGCTTTTAAAAACTTGTGGCAAAATATTCATAACATAAAATTTAACATCTTAACCATTGTTAAGTATATAGTTTAGTAGTGTTACCTACATTCACATTTTATAAACTTTTTTGATCTGGACACTACAATTAAACTTAGTGTGTTAGGCTGTTTTTGCATTGTTATAAAAGAATACCTGAATCTGGGTAATTTATAAAGAAAGGAGATTTAAATGGCTCATGGTTCTGTAGGCTGTATGAGAAGCATGGTGCCAGCATCTGCTTGGCTTCTAGTGAGGCCTCAAGAAGCTTACAATCGTGGTGGAAGGAGACAAAGACACAGCATGTCACATGGTGAGAGTGGGAGCAAGAAAGAGAGAGGGGAGAGGTTCCATGCTCTTTGAAATAACCAGATCTCACATGAACTACCAGAATGAGAACTCACTCATCACCAGGGGACAGTGCTAAGCCATTCATGAAGGATTTGTTTCTATGATCCAAACATCTCCCACCAGGCCCCACGTCCAACTTTGGGGATTACTTTTCAACTTGAGATTTGGAGGGGAAAAATGTCCAAACTATATCATTCATCCCCTGACCCACCAAATCTCATGACCTGCTCACATTTCAAAATAGAATCATGCCTTTGCAATAGTTTCCCAAAGTCTTAACTTGTTCCAGACTTAACTTAAAAGTTCCAAAGTTCAAATCCAAAGTTTCATCTGAGACTCAAGGCCAAGTTCCTTCCACTGATGAACCTATAAAATCAAATACAAATCAAAGAAATCACTTTCTTCCAAGATAAGATGGTATTATAGGCATTGGGTAAACATTTCCATTCCAAAAGGGAGAAATTGGCCAAAAAGAAAGGGGTAATAGGCCCCATGCAAGTCTGGAACCCAGCAGGGCAGGCGTTAAATCTTAAAGCTCCAAAATAATCTCCTTTGATCCCATGTCCTGCATCCAGAGCACACTGGTGCAAGGTGTGGGTTCCCAAGGCCTTGGGCAGCTCTGCTTCTGTGGCTTTGCAGGGTGAAGCCCCTGTGGATGCTGTCATGAATTGGAGGTGTGTACCTGCAGGTTTTCCAGGCTCAGGATGCAAGCTGCCCATGACTAACATTCTGGAGTCTAAAGGGCAGTGGCCTCCTTTCCACAGCTCCAGTAGGCCATGTCTGTGTGGGGGCTCCAGCTCCACATTTCCTCTTCACACGGCCCTAGTAGAAATTCTCAGTGAGGGATACAGCCCTGTTAACAGGATTCGCATCCTGTGAAATCTAGGAGAAAGCTGTCAAGCCTCCTTCATGCCTGCATTCTGTGTGCCTGCCACTTAACACTATATGGAAGCTAGTAAATCTTGTGGCTTGTGACCTTCAAAGCTGTGGCTCAAGCTGTACCTGGGTCCTGTTGAGCTAGAGCTGCTGGGATGTGGGGAGCAGTGTTCTGAGACTGAGAAGGGCAATGGGGCCCTGGATCTGGCCCCCCAAACCATTCTTTCCTCCTAGGCCTATAAACCTGTGATGTGAGGGGCTGCCTTGAAGACTTCTGCAATGCCTTTGAAGTCTTTTTCCCATTGGTCTTAGATATGAGCACTTGGCTCCCTTTTAGTCATACTAATATCTCTAGCAAGTGGTTCCTCCACAGCCTGCTTGTATTCCTCTCCTGAAAATGCTTTTTTTTCTCTGCCACATGGCTAGCTTGCAAATTTTCCAGAGTTTTACACTCTGCTTCCCTTTTAAATATAAGGTTCAACTTTAAGTCATTTATTTGTTCCCATATCTGATTGCAGGCTGTTAGAAGCAGCCAGACTAACTCTTGAACATTTTGCTGCTTAAAAATTTCTTCTGCCAGTTACTCTGTCATCACTGTTAAGTTCAAACTGCCACAGATCCCTAGACTCTGGACACAAGGCAACCAAGATCTTTGCTAATGCATAACAAGTGTGACCTTTGCTCAAGTTCCTAATAAATTTCTCTTTTCCATCTGAGACCTCCTTAGCCTGGCCTTCACTGTCCATATTTCTCAAAAAACTCCTGACCTCAGGTGATCTGCCTACCTCAGCCTCCCAAAGTGCTGGGATTACAGGCATGAACCACCATGCCTGGTCGCTGTCCATATTTCTATCAGAATTTTGGTTACAATGATTTAATCATTCTCTAAAATATTCCAAACTTTTCCTCATCTTCTTTTCTTCTTCAATGCCCTCCAAACTCTTCCAACCTCTGCCCATTGCTCAGCTCCAAAGCTGCTTCCACATTTTCTGGTATCTTTATAGCAATGCCCCACTTCTGGCACTAAGTTTCTGTATTAGTCCATTCTTGTGTCTCTATAAGGGAATAGTTACAACTGGGTCATTTATAAAGAAAACAGGCTTAATTAGCACACAGTTCTGCAGTCTGAATGAGAAACATGGTGCCAACATCTGCTTGGCTTCTGGTGAGGGCCTCAGGAAGCTTACTATCATGGCCTAAGTTGATGGGAAGCCAGCATGTCACATGGTGAGAGTGGAAGCAAGATACAGATGGGGAGATGCCATGCTCTTTTAAACAACCACACCTCTTTTGAACTATAAGAGCAAGAGCTCACTCATCACCACTTTGTAAAAGGGATGGCGTAAAACCATTTATGAGGGATCTACCCCTGTGAAAAAAACATCTTGCACCAGGTCACACCTCCAACGTTGGAGATTATATTTCAACATGAGGTTTGGAGGGAACAAACATTCAAACTCTATTACTTAGAAAATTATAAAAGTACTAAAAACACAATAACAAACACATTGTTTAAAAAAGTGTGAAATGAAGAAAATATAGAAAGAAGAAAACAGAAAAGAATTTATAATCTCTAAACCCAGATAGAACCACTTTAAACATTTTGGTAAGTGGTTTTTTTAGGGTTCTTTCTAAATATTTAAGTTTGTATGTATTTCTTAAGTAGTATTCTGAAAATAACTTTTGAATGACACTTTGTTTAACCTACTAAACTTCAACTGATATTGTTTTAGATGGTGTTGGCTTTATTTAGTGGCCAAGTTTTTCTCATATATAATCTGTAGACACCTAACTTTCCCAAATTTTTTCTTTCAAAATGAAATAAACATATATTTTTATTCATTAAAAAAACTTAAGCTCAAGTCTTTTACATTTATTTTTATTTGATTTAAATTTGTGGACTTTGACCAAGATTCCAAACTCCTGAGTTTACTTTTAATCTTCATTCCATCATACATCATGCTTCTATTCTTGGAACTTGGTGTTGAGGGCAAAGCCCTCTTGACACATTCCATGAGAGCCTTAATTCTATTGGGATAAAGGTATTGATCCTCTTAAGCAGGCATCAGCAATTTTTGTTTTTTTTTGTAAAACGCTAGATGGTAAATTTTTTCAGCCTTGTAGACTGTGTAGTCTTTTTACAGGCAATGCATAAATGAGCATTAATGTTTTGCAATAAAGCTTTATTTCAAAAGGTTTAAGCAGTGCCTGGATTTTGCCTCTATGTCTTAGTTTGTGGCCCACTACTCTCAAGGTAAGATTGGTTAATTGGTGTGAATCTGCATAATACTGTTGCCATCCAGACAACCATAGGTCATAGAACTCTCTCAAGTTGTTGGATTAAAGTCTTCAGTCAGGATTGTGTTCTTCAGTACTCCAGAGGTCTTATTGCTTCTCATTATTAAAAGGTGACAAGCTATCCACATTTCTTATGTCTCTGGCTTTATCACTTATTTCTACCCAGTGTTAATTATGTTGCTTGAAGTAGTACAGCTATAGTGCACAATCATACCTACCACTGATTATGTTATTAAAATTCTCAAAACTATACCCCCTCATTAACTGTGTGTTAGCAAATGTTTAACAATCACCTCTCAGGAAAAGACAAACAAACCTTACTTTGTAGTGTTTGATGATATCTGTGGTTTAACCACTCCCAACATGGCCAGTTTCAAACTACCAACATGACATCACTCAATGTGGAGGTAGGAAGAGATGAACACAATGGCTTTCCTGAGCCAGTGCAAGTTGGTGCCAGCATACCACTGTTAAGCTCAGCAAGTCCCCTGGCATGGCTAGGATGTGTCCTTGGTTTTTGGTTACTATTTATATTTCTAGAAACTACAACCTTAAATTCTGAGGCTTTCTATTATCCAAGAAGTCTGCAATAACAACATGCTTCATCCTTCTGCTAAAGTGTATCCTCTCTTATTGCTAAAGACTTCAGGTACATTTAAAATGATCCTATGCCCTTCACAGACTTTCTTTCTGCTTTCAAAAATACCACCAGAGGCTTAATTATAACAATTTGTGATAAGCCTACATGAATCAATCTAAAGACAAAACAAAACAAAGAGATGCATCAATCTATTTTGCAGTTAAAACTTGTTTGTAATAGCCAGGAGGAGGTCAGTCTGTCCTAACCTGGGGGCTTAGTGCAAACTTAATATAGGGATAGTCTTAAGAGTCTTAAGAGTTATTTTAATTCCAGTCTTTTTAGGGAACGAAGAGACTGAGCCACTCATGGTAATGTTAAAGTAAAAAGCTTTGGCGGGTATGTGTTAAATAAAAAAATTACAGAATCTATTCATCAAGACTTTTGACTGAGAACTAAAATACTAAGAGACAAGGAAGGTTCATAGAAAGTCTCCAGTATATATTCAGGATAACATTTGGAATAATGAATTTTAGTGAGCATACGTATAGGTTAATACTTTCTTGTGTTATCATTTCTCCATATTCCAGGATGAAATGAATAAAAAAGGATAGAAAGAATCTTGAAGTTAATTAATTTCTCATTCCTTACTCCGTTTTCTTTAATCTCCATATAGCACACTATCACCAATTTATCAACATTCTTCTAAAGGAGGAAATTGGAACATAAAACACATCCTTATGATAAATAAAAGCATACAGGCAGGAGTTGTAAATTATTTAAACTTTCTTAGGGATTGTGATTCCAAAACATTCCTAAGTGAACTGTTATTGCTATTAATCACCTTTATAGCCAATAAATTACGTTTTATGGGTTTTTTTTTGCCAAATGTATGCATCCCTTTCTTTGTGAATTAAAGAGCATTTACTTAGATTTATCCAATAGCATCTTAAATATATGAGAACCACTTTAGGTTACACTTTAGCTACCTGTGTATTTTTTTTTTGTTTCTTTTAACCCAAGTATTTTTTTTCTGAGATAAAAAGAATATATGCTCATTATTAAACAATTGGAAAATATAGACAAGATTTAAAAATAAAACTGAACAATCAACTGTAACCCTAACATTTGTAGAGAACTACTGCTAACATTCATAGTATGTCATTTAGACCTTTTCTATACACATAAATATTATTAAAAATTGGAAATACACTCTCTATACAGTTTCAAATACTAACATCCTCACTAGATATATATAAGAGCCTTTCCCTGTACTGTAAAATATTTCAATTCTGTAATTTTTATCTGCTGAGTCATAGTCTATCATATGGATACTTCATAACTTAATACTATATCATTACAATTCCTCAATCCTGTATATATAATTTAAAATCCAAATAGCTATGAAAAGTATCTTTGTAACTCATTTGGTGGCACCTGAGCTGGTATGATTTAATTTGGTGGCAAGATTCAACTGAACTGATTTGAGGCTATTAGTTAATTTATCCCAGTTAGAGTGAGATATTTCACAACCAAAATATTAACAAGATTGATTATGAAGTATTGCCTGAAAACTTCAGGGGTTCAGTATATGCATTCTAAAATTTTTTTTTAAATGGTAAATTAAAAAAAAAAACCTTCCAACAGTCCAAAATAGAAGATTATGGATTTTTTGGGTTTGGATTTTTTTCTTTTTATTGCTAATATTTCAAGGAACATTTATATGGAGAAATCTTTTGCATACTTTGTATTATTTCTATAACGTATACTCTACTGAATAAAAAGAAAATATGTGAACATTGTTAAGGCTATAGTTTTTCAATTATTTGCCAGAAATCTTTTCTACCAGCAGTGTATGAAACTGCTCAGCCTATGACATCCTCTCTTGGTTTAATAATTAAAAAATTTATTTGTTAGGTGTCCTCTAATTTCTTTTTTTTGGTTTTTGGTTTTTTTTTTTTGCTTTTTTAATATACATATTTTTATTGTACTTCAAGTTCTAGGGTACATGTGCACAACATGCAGGTTTGTTACTTATGTATACATGTGCCATGTTGGTGTGCTGCACCCATTAACTCCTCATTTAGCATTAGGTATATCTCCTAATGCTATCCCTCCCCCCTCCCCTCACCCCACAACAGTCCCTGGTGTGTGATGTTCCCCTTCCTGTGCCCAAGTGTTCTCATTGTTCAATTCCCACCTATGAGTGAGAACATGCGGTGTTTGGTTTTTTGTCCTTGCAATAATTTGCTGAGAATGATGGTTTCCAGCTTCATCCATGTCCCTACAAAGGACATGAGCTCATCATTTTTAATGGCTGCATAGTATTCCATGGTGTATATATGCCACATTTTCTTAATCCAGTCTATCATTGTTGGACATTTGGGTTGGTTCCAAGTCTTTGCTATTGGGAATAGTGCTGCAATAAACATACGTGTTCATGTGTCTTTATAGCAGCATGATTTATAATCCTTTGGGTATATACCCAGTAATGGGATGGCTGGGTCAAATGGTATTTCTAGTTCTAGATCCCTGAGGAATCGCCACACTGTCTTCCACAATGGTTGAACTAGTTTACAGTCCCACCAACAGTGTAAAAGTGTTCCTATTTCTCCACATCCTTTCCAGCTCCTGTTGTTTCCTGACTTTTTAATGATCGCCATTCTAATTTCATTGCTGTTTTAATTTGCATATATTTGATGAATAATGAGCTTAAAATTTATTTATATTTTTGTTATATATCTGTATCACTTCTGTTGGTAGTCAGTCCTTTGCTCACTTTTCTATTGGGTTGCTAACATTGAAAAAAAATTATTTATATAAATATTTATTTACAAAATCATATCTATCTGTATTGTTGATGCCAAATAGTCTAATTTGCCTACTAATTCTCTTTGTGATAATTGATATAGTCGAATTTATTGATTTTGCAATTATGTATTTTATTATTATTATTATACTTTAAATTCTGGAGTACCTGTGCAGTATGCACTGTTTTGTTACATAG
Organism: Homo sapiens; assembly: GCF_000001405.40. Lineage (NCBI taxonomy): Eukaryota > Metazoa > Chordata > Mammalia > Primates > Hominidae > Homo > Homo sapiens. The sequence continues at coordinate 41,982,785 of NC_000005.10, forward strand.
GTATACACGTGCCATGGTGTTTTACTGCACCCATCAACCCGTTATCTACATTAGGTAATTCTCCTAATGCTATCCTTCCCCTAGTCCCCCACCCCCTCAACAAGCCCTGGTGTGTGATGTTCCCCTCTCTGTGTCCATCTGTTCTCATTGTTCAACTCCCATTTATAAGTGAGAACATGTGGTGTTTGGTTTTCTGTTCTTGTGTTAGTTTGCTGAGAATGATGGTTTCCAGCTTCATCCATTTCCCTGCAAAGGACGTGAACTCATCCTTTTTTATGGCTGCATAGTACTCCATGGTGTATATGTGCCTAATTTTCTTTCTCCAGTCTATCATTGATGGGCATTTGGGTTGGTTACAAGTCTTTGCTATTGTGAATAGTACCACAATAAACATACGTGTGCATGTGTCTTTATAGTAAAATGATTTATAATCCTGTATTTTATTTTTAAAGGAGTGATACCTATATTGTATAACATACTCTGTATTGTCTATATGATACAAATTAAGTGAGTGTATAATTAATATCCTTTATATGCTAATTTTTGCCTACCAAATTTGCTAAAATATGAAGGAGGGGTTATTATGCACTTCTAATACTGTCAACTTTATTTCTGTCAACTTTAGCATTTTCTGTCAACTTTATCATTTCTGTCAACTTTAGCATTTTCTAATTTTCATATTTGCTATTGTGAGAGCATTATTCAGTAAAGAAGTTTTGTGAGAGTCATCATTTTATTATGAATTGAAATGTTTTTCAACATAAAATGATTTTCCTTATATAACTTAATTATTTAACTGAATTTTTTCTTGGTCTTTTCCTAAATGTCTTGGCCCATCACTTTTCTTTTAACTTATCTGTGCTATTTTGTTTAATTTTTTTAGGCAAACTGATTTTGTGTTGAATTTAAGCCATTGCAATTGCTATGTCTGTTCATTATATTTCTCTTTGATTCTTTTGTTAATAATTATTTGATACTTCTCCTTTTCAGTTTTTAAAAATATGTCATATGTTTCTCCAGTATTTGTGATAGTAAATGCCCTATTTTAAAATTTTACTAGTGTTATATTTAAATTATATATTTTTTAGTTTTTAATTGTCAGACTCAATACTTAAATATTATCATTTGAGTCCCCATGGTGTAAATCTCATTATTTGGCCACACTTTATTTCCCTTCTGTTTATCATACCTCTGCCTATCATCATTGCTAATATAATTTCATATGTTCTTCTCATAATACAGCCTATCAGGACAGAGATAGTGAATAAAACTATCTAGTATATAAAAAATAGTAAATCAAATAGTAAATAAATATAGTAACCCCCATTAGATAATATGAGGTTACTATTCATTTTAATTAGCAAATTTTATCCATGGCATTTTTAATAGTTTCTAACAATCAGCTTCCTGTCAATTTTAGTTTTTAGTGTTGCTATTATTTCATATTTTGTGTTTTTATAAGTATTTTACTTGGAAAATGAAAAAAGAGAACTTAGTCAATCTGATAATGTTAGCTAGATGCAAAGTAAAATCTTTCAAATTTACTTTATGCAGACTAAATAATTCACCTCCACTTCTTTAAATTAACTCTCTAGAGCTCAAAAAGTGATGTTAAATGTGGCAAGAGTTAGAGGGGTAGCTCAGCTAGGGTTGTAGTTATTTGTGGTAGTTGGTCATGTGTTATATTACAGGGACATAAGGGCTCACTCTCTGACGTCTCACTTATACTCTTGGGCTTTGGATCATCTTTCTTTCTGAGGAGGTGTCAGGAAATTTTCCTTTATGTCAGAAACAATTAGCTCCATACTTTTCTTCCCTTGTTTTCTCTGCTCTACAGAGCAACAGATCTCATTCCTCATTTGGCCAGGAGTGTATGAAGATAAGCCCCGCAAATTTTTGTATTTTTGGCAGAGATGGGGTTTTACCATCTTGGCCAGGCTGGTCTCGAAATCCTGACCTCGAGTGATTCGCCCACCTCGGCCTCCCAAAGTGCTGGGGTTACAGGTGTGAGCCACCCTGCCCAGCCTAGCTTTCCTTCTATGCATGAAAACTCCAGGGTTGATGTGTTTCTGTCTCTGTTGACACCCTGAGCTGTATGGAGGGACTTTTTATTCTCAAGTGTATTAGGTATTTTTCCTTCTTGCTGTCAGTACACAACTTCAGTCTGATTCTCTCCAAGTTGGGTTCTCTTCAATAGAGAACTTCTATCTACCCTACTTCTCAATTTCTCATATTGTGATAGATCCAACCTTCATTATTTCTTGCCTAGATTGGACAACAAAATCCTCTTTACAAATATCCCTGCATTCAGTCTCACACACTTTTTTCCAAGCTCTTCTCCAAACATCCAGCCTTGTGATTTTTCTATCGTCAAATCAGAGTATACCATTATCCTACTAAATATTCTAAATGCTTCCCATTGCCTTCAAGGGGATGGTTTAGCCAAATGCATAATTCCCTTCATATTCTCATACTAAACCATCTCTTTATTAACTTATTCAACAGAGCCTAGAACATTATATTTGCTAAATGAATATTTTCAGGCAATATGAGTAAATATTTGTGGATTTGCTGATGGTAAATATTCTGTTCAGGTGCAACATTGAAAGAAATAGGATTACAAGGCACAGGTAAACAAAGCTAGTAATAGAAAAGCAGCAATGTCAGAAAGTAGTTTCCAATTTACTTCCTGGAATCTTTATAATTACTAAGGGATGGTTCCTATTTAAAATAAAGTTTAAAGAATGAAAAGAAAATTTTCAGGTTTGGTGAGGTAGTAGAAAGGAAGAATATAGGCTTAGTGTTAGAGTCTGTGCAGGAGAGAGGTGAAGTGTGCTTTTAAGAAAGTCAGCCTGCGTTATAATTTTGACTTTTTCACTTACTAACTTGGGAGAATTACCTAACTTCCTTGAGATTTGGTTTTCTTGGCTAAATGGTTATTACTAGAATCTACCTTATAAGCTGAAAACTAACCCAGCTCATTTAAGAGCTTAACATCATAAGCTTTCAGTAAAATGTAACTATTAATGTTATTATTATTCTTAACCTCAAAAAACTGTTAGCTTTTTGCTAACTTTGTAAAAGACAGTTGAATGACATAAGCCATTAGCTGTTCCTTAGTCTACAGGAAAAGTCGAACTGTTAAAATAAAAATAGAGAAAATAAGCCATTTTATACTCATTGATTTCAAATTTTCTATTTAAAATTCCCGACTCTTGTCTTTTTTCCCTTAGAGTGAAAGGTTAGACATTTGACTCATAAAATACACTTCAAACTCAGAATTCACTTGTGGTAGTAATAATCATTGAAACTGTAACTTAAAAAATAAATTTAGAAAGTATTGCGTAAGGCTAGATAAGAGCAGTCCCCATGCTTGAGGTAGTTCAAAGATAATTTAAAGGCAGGTTCCACCTACATTGTGATATAAAAGCCCTCATTTCACTTAAAATTTTTTTCTGGTCCTACTCTCTATTTTCCTTCCCTCTAGGCTCCACTGTTTGGCCCCATTTACCAAAAAGATTTACCATCTTTTTGACTAAGAGAGAGAGAGGAAAAAAAACAAATCCAAGCCCCACAACAACTATTGACTGTAAAATTGCTTTCACTTGGAGGCACAGGTGGAGCAGGTGGAGAAAAGATATAAAAACAAAGAAGGATTGAGTTATTTTCAGAGAATTTATTGGTTTAAGGACACATCTAGCCTACTATTCACTTTCTTCCATTCTGAAACATAATTGAATTTCAATGAGGTTTAGGACAAAGAACAAAATGTGATGCTACCGTTTGTATTTATCTACTAAACACAGAGGGCACTTCAAAGGAGTGTTCCCTTTCTCCAGATCATTTGTTTGGGATGTTTATGTGAACTTTTGAACTTTGTTCTTTCACTCAAGTGCTAACCTGAGGCAAGATAGCACAAAGACCCCAAATTATGATATTATTACCTCTCAGAATGCATAACACCACAAAAACGCAAACATGTTCTAAATAGAAGGAGAAGGTTTGTGAATCCTCGAAAAACTTCTGTTATTCCTTTTCTCATGCAAAAAAATAAGATAGGTTTTAGGTGGATAAAACAACAGAATTCTAGAATTTATATAAATTGTTGTGATTTGTTTTTATTTTCATTGTTGTTGCCTTAATGTGGAAATGTTACAGTCATCCTGCTGTTTATAGAGAACAAAATGTCCTCTAGTTTAAATCCATTTAGCTTTAATGCCTGAGTTCAGATTCATGCAAGTAAATGCTACATTCTGACTAACTAGAAAATGATGAAACAAATAACACACAGGAGTTTGTTTATGAATATGCTATTATCTAAGAATAAACAGTGTTTTTACAGAAAAATCAGACCTTTAAGATTGCAATCTTAACAAGAGGCAATTAGACTTGGTTTTCTTAGAGATTATAACATTATGTTCATTTAGAAAGCTTTATCTTAAGTAAAATGGAAATAATAAATATTAATTTCATTGTAATATAATGCAACCATCTCTCTTCCGAACTTGACTTCTCAGTTTCTGGCCCTTCACAAATTTCTTTAACCACCAATGTTGAACTGACCTCCCCTAACCTGGGAAGTTAAATAATTTTTCAAAGGATATGATCAAATCTCTGTTCCTGCATGCCTACATATATCTATTTTCAGTTGGGGTGTTCTCAAATTTCTAAGTTCAGTTTAGGCACTGAAATACCTTAGAAATGAAAAACCATAGAGAAGGGTAATTGTAATAAGCTCCTTGTGAGGAATATTACTGTAGAGAAATGATCTTAACATTTTCCTGAAATTTACACAAGCCTGCGTGCCATCTCATTACAATGCCTTTTTGCAGCATGAATGTGTTGAAAACTAGGGTATATGCTAAGAATATTCAAGTTTCAAATTAACTAATGAAACATTTGCTTGTGTGCATTTTACCATCTTCCTGTAATTGAAAGTAATGGCAAAATTCACAATTACTTTTTTACCAACCTGATAATAAGCTCATCAAAGGCATTCTTCATTTCTATTACAGTATTTTTAATCTTCAGCATTTCATTTTGGTTCTTTCTTAGGATTTCCATCTCTCTCCATACATTACTTGTCTGTTCTTGTATGCTGTCCACTTTATCCACTAGAGCTTTACCATATTAATCATAGTGGTTTTAAATTCCTGGTTTGATAATGCCAATGGCCCTGCCATATCTGATTCTGGCTTTGATGCTTACTCTGGCTCTTCAACTTGTGTTTTTTGCTTCTAGTATGTCTTGTAATTTTTTCTTGACAGTCAGAAAAGATGTAATAGGTAAAATGAACTGTAACACACGGCTTTTAGTAATATGGTGGTAACATGTGGGGGGGAGAGAAAATGTTGTATAGACCTATGTTTAGGTCTTAGTCTTTAGTGAGCCAGTATCTCTGGATTGTGAACTTCACATGTCCTTCTCATTCCCCAACCACTTTGTGTGGCACAGGATAGCTAAAGTGGGCTGGAGTTGGGTATTTTCCTTTCCCTAGGTCAGTTAGATTGTGGGAAATAGCAGGTTAGGCTCTGGTTAAATAGTTTCTACTGAGGGCAGATCTTTTTAGGAAGAAGGGAATGCTCTTCATCTTTCTTGAAGGGTATACTTAAAAATGATTCATTTTTCCTTTCCCCTGCTCAAAGTATGAGGATGTTTTTCTGTGATATTCACTGTGAGAACATGGTAGAGCTCCAGGAGGTAGAACTCACAAAAGTGTTGGGGCCTTGATGACTGGGCCCCCTGGATGTTTTAAATTCTCATGCTTGTCTGCATTGAGACTCCAGCAATTATTCATCAACTACAGTTTAGGTTTTCCTACCCTGGCACTGGGTTTCATGGAGGTTGCGGCTCATGAGTTTCTGGTTTGATGAGCTCTGTGATTCTCTTTATTCACCTGTCAGTCTTTCCAGTTGGGGTGTAGCAGTTTGCTCTATGATCTCACTTCTCTTAGGATCTAATAAGAGTTGTTGATATTTTGGTTTATTCAGCTTTTACCTGTGTTCAGGACAGAGTGATGACTTTCAAGCTTCTTACACTGCTTCACCAAAACTCAGAAATAATTTTGATTTTAAAATATATTTATCCAAAAGAACAAAAAAGATATAGAAGATCTGAAAACAAAATTATCAAGCTGACTTAACAAAGCTGTGGAAAGCACTTAACCACAAATGACAGAATTCACTTTCCTTCTAAGGCGCATAAATGCTTAGCAAAATTTAGATTATAATGTAAGTCGAACAAATTTTAAATAATTGAAGTCATTTGGGGCACGGTTTCTGATCACAGTTGAATTAGTTCAATATTTAAGAAAAAAACGGCCACAATGATGTTAATATTGAACACAATACCAGTGAACCTGATATATCCCTTTTACCCTAAAGAATTTCCAGTTTGCCTTAGCAGGGTAGCTTGTAAATTAATTAGATATTATCATTGATATACTTAATAAGAAATGCTTATGAAAAAGTAGATTCAAATGTCAGCAGTCAAGGGGTGACTAATTTCTGTGTAAGTAAACATATATATATAATTAATGTAATTAAGTTTACAGTAGCATTTTAAAGCCAAAATAACTATTAATTCAGAACTTAGCATAGAACTTGGCAATCTAAATTATTTTATGATAAAAATAATAAATATATTCCGTTACGATCTTAGCAAGTTACTGTAGAGAAAGATGAGAAAAAGCATTCAGTTGCAAAGTTATTACTGTAATTTAGGTAATTTACTTTAAAGCTCCCTTTGTATACATTAAAATATATTTGCCTTGGAATATTATTGCAGATCCAATTAAACAGTTTGAAGATCAGAGTGTGCACCCAATTAAAAGATCAGCAGTAGTCAGGTGCTCTATATGCTTACTGTTATTTCTTTATTATATTTGTCGAATTGCTCAAGTCAAAGATGTCTACCCTGTAATGATTTGCTAATTCAAGAAGTATCATCCCAAAATAGCTCCCCATTGCTTCCCCTATCATCTGCTCCTTATTCATCCTAGTTCAAACATTCCACCTTAGATTCAGACCAAAGATTACTAATAAAATGCTTATAATTATGAAGCATATTATTGGCTACATGACTGCTGGGTCTATTTAGCAGTTTAAGATTTTGCATAAATTTCACCAAAACTAGGACTGGGGAAATACGGCAGGGACCGAATATATGCCTGGTGGATGCATATTGATTTTAGAGGGACCTAGTGGGTTCTGACAGTTATTTACGAAGTAGGATTTAGACCTGGGGTGCATCTTGAGTCCTTCCTTTAATTCGTACAATAATACCATCATCATAAAGCTACATTCATAATTTCAATATATTACTAAATAATTTACATCTCACACAGATAAGTTTCCGATTTCAATGAATCTCTTTTGATCTTTTGACTCATTCAATGATTGCATTTTTGAGATCCTATGTATCCCATGCACTAAAACTGAATGTTAAAATTTTGGAATACTGCCTGGTTTAGAATCCCAAGGAAATTTAGACACATGCAATTCATTAATTCACTCAAAAAATAGTTCAGTGTGGTGGGCAATCTATCAGACATTCAGCCTATATAGAATAAAGTATTCATAGTCATTGCTTTATGGAATTTACAGTCTATTGTGTATTCATGTGGATGGGGAGACACATTCATCAAAGTTCAAACAATGTAATAGAACAACAGTGATGACTGCTATGAAAATATATTGGTAGTGGGAATTTCAGAAAAGACTTCTCTGAGAAAATAATGTTTGAGCTAAGATCTAAAAAGTAGGAGTTAACCAGGGAACTTTCTCAATGTCTGACTAATGCTCCAGGAATAATACCAATTCCCTAAAACTCTTAAGATTACAAATTTTAGTTATTATCATTTTGGACAGCATTGTAGATAGTTTTCTATTTTTTATCTAAGTTGGGAAATAACATTAATAGCATTTTTATTAGACCATGGAAAGAGAAGCAGAGGGGAAAAGTAAAGCAAAAATAAAAAAATGTATTAATGGCCACTATTTATTTTCTTGGCTTTGGACTTACTAATTTTAATATTAGGCCAGGCAACTTCTTTGACCTTTTATGGAAGAAGTTCTTGCTCCTTACTACCAAAGAATATGCATTTTCTGCCCCCACCACTGAATAAAACTCCTTCCCTTTTGTAGTCTACATTTATATTGCCTTTTCTCATCTTCATTGTCATGAACTTTATTCTACCACATCTTAAGGACAAAAGCCAAAGTCTAGATGAATTAAATATGATGGGTTGCTTAGAATGTCAGGGTCTGCCTCATTACCATCCTGGGTGAGTCAACATTCACGTTAACGTCCCTTTCTACATCTCACTCTTATATCCATATCCCCAGCCTCTACTAACCTGCTGACCATTTTATCAACATAAGCCTCCCATGATGATACCCTGGGACTTAGCATCACTAAAACTCTTCTTCAGAATTTTAAACCATAACCTTTGTAATGTCAACCACAAACTATTTACTGTCCACCAACTTTCTTATTCCTACCAAAGTGGCAGTTTATTATCCAATTATGTTCTCCCAATTTCCTGGCTGTCTTCTGTTAAATCTTGAATCTACTCCTAACCTAAAACTAGGCTGATGATATCGTCCTCAGAAATTCCTGCTCTTTTCTCTGCTTAATCCTGTGAGGTCTTTTTGTGAAAGCATAAGCCTGATTAACTTACCCCACATACATTCCTGGGTTTCCTTTCTGGGCTCCTAAACATTGGTTGAGAAATAACCAAGCCATGCTGATTTGTCTCTTCAGAGTCCTGCTATCAAACTCAAATGGGTCTTCAATGCTGCTCAATAATTCTGGTGTAAATTTCTGTTGGACTCTGGTATATTTCCACTATTGTAAAATTTTTTGCTCTCTCCTAAAATCCTTAACTCTAACTCCAGCTCTGCCTTTTAACTCACAGAAGGTGATTTTATCTCCTAATCTGTAGAGGTATTTAAGAACTTACATGCTTGATCTTCCTCAATTTTTTGTGTCTTAAGTATTTATATACCTTCCGGCCGGGCACAGTGGCTCACGCCTGTAATGCCAGCACTTTGGGAGGCCGAGGAGGGCGGATCACCCCAGGTCGGGATTTCGAGACCAGACTGACCAACATGGAGAAACCCCGTCTCTACTAAAAATACAAAATTAGCCAGGCGTGGTGGGGCATGCCTGTAATCCCAGCTACTCGGGAGGCTGAGGCAGGAGAATCGCTTGAACCCGGGAGGCAGAGGTTGCGGTGAGCCGAGATGGCGCCATTGCACTCCAGCCTCAGCAACAGGAGCAAAAATCGGTCTCATAAAAAAATATATATATATACCTTCATCTTCTATTTCCTCTTAGGAAGAAACATCTGTCCTCCTATATAATAAATAACACACTGGTTTATTTAGATTTTCTCTAGCTCTTTATATACTATTGGAATATAGTACACATTACTAGTTGGTTTATTAAAACTAATAATAGTGTAAGCAGTCAATCCAAATCCTACATATGAAATTAAGTATAAAGTCTTTGTTTATTTGAGGTACATGAACATGATGGTTTACAAACATTTAGTGGATCAGAGGACTTTGGTGCTAAAATCAAGGGTCTGGTGTGGCTTATAAAAATATGTTTTTTCTATTGGGAATCTTCATGGACCCATACAATTTTTTACCCTTACCTTCCATTGCTAAAAGGAAAAATGGAGAAGCACAGAAGAAGAAGAGTGGGGTCCCTTATCCAAACTTATAATCCCAGAGCTAACATTTCTGAGTTCTATTGTGGAAGGCAAATGGTAGACTGCTTGGGGACAGCAATGGTCTCTAGAAAACTATTTTCTTGATAAGACAGTCAATCAAAAAGTTTACACGAAGAAATTAATTACAATGGCCGGTTATTTCATTGGGGAGATATTTTTAGATTTGAATTGTTATGTAAAAGTGTTTTGGAATTTTTCTTTTTTTAAAATTTGCTTGCAATTGATTGGAAATCTTGAAGAGCCTTCATCAAATAAGTGATTTCTAGAATAAAAACAAATTTTGAGTTAAAATATTTTCAGCAAGTATGCTGCCTTATTCTTTCTACTGCCAGATTTGAAGACTTCTAGTTATAGTATTCTATTAGCTTCTAAATGTTTTGTATGCTGATTTTTAAGAAATAAATGCATTCTTCAACTGTAAGTCATGCTCTTTTAAGTGGAGAATGATAAAACTGAGAAGAGAAAATTGTGATCACATTATAAACACACTATTTTTTAATTTGCTTTTAAATGTAAAAACATATTGTAAACCCTTTTTAATAGACTGAAGTATTACTTAGTAGCATTAGTTTTCGTGACCACAGTACCTTCTATCCTTCATAAATTCATTTAACAAATATTTGTTGAGCATCTGCTATTTATCAGGTGACAAGGATAAGGCAATGAACAAAATATACAAAACTCTTCTTCATGAAGCTTGATAATATTTTCTTATAGAGCTGTGTTGCAACTTTTTATTCCCTTTTTATATTTCTGCATGAAGTACTTAAAATTTTTCCCAGATTTATTGATATATATTTGACAAATAAGAGTTACATGTATTTAAAGTGTAGAAGATAGTGTTTTGATATACAAAAACTTTGTGGAATGATTACTGAAATCAAGCTATTAAGCATATGCATCATCTCACGTAGTTACAATTTTTTTTGTGGTAAGAAAACTTATGATCAACTTTCTTAGCAAATTTCAACTATATAATTCAGTGTTAATTATAGTTAACTTGCTTACATCAGATCTTCAGGACTATTCATCCCATATAACTGAAACTTTTTACCCATATTAGTCAGGGTTCTCAAGAGAGACAGAACTAATAGGATATATATATATATATATATATCGTTTTATGTATGTGTATATGCATATAAAGGGACGTTTATTAAGTATTAATTCACATGATCACAAGGTTCCACAATAGGCCATGTGCAAGCTGAGGAGCAAGGAGAGTCAGTTCGAGTTCCAAAACTGAGGAACTTGGAGTCTGATGTTCAAGGGCAAGAAGCATCTAGCATGGGAGAAAGGTGTAGGCTAGGAGGCTAAGCCAGTCTAGTGTTTTGCATTTCTCTGGCTGCTTTATATTGGCTGGCAGCTGATAAGATGGTGCCCACACAGATTAAGGGTGGGTCTGACTTCCCCAGCCCATTGACGCAAATGTTAATGTCCTTTGGCAACATCCTCACAGACATACCCAGGATCAGTATTTTGTATCCTTCAATCCAATCAAGTTGACGCTCAGAATTAACCATCACAAGTCCACTCCTAGACAACTTGAACCCATACGCATCTCCTGAGATCATACATAGTCTTCAAGTAAGGACAATAATAAGGTCATAATTATGCCTAACATAATACAACTATCCTTCGTACAACCAGAAATGCACCAATCCCCAAACAAAATGCTATTACATAAAGTTAACAATACTTAAATGCTAATAGGAACTCAAAAAGTCTTATGTCACATGATAAAGAAGAAAATGAAATAAAATGAAGATATTTCCTTAGTACAAGTGTATACATGCATAAACATGTTTTTAACAAAAGAAGGAGGAAATACTCATGACAATTACAGTCCTTGTGTTCTGCAGTTGGTACATGGTGGTAGCTTGTATTGATGACTACCTTCTTCTACTACCCATTCTGTATTCCCTTTGCCTTCAGCAAGCACCTCAGCAGGTCGTGGTTTTTTTCCTGATGGAGTGACCCCAACCTTCATTCCTGAAGGGTCTGGGCCATTTCTAGCCCTGCCGGATTGGACTGTTGTAGTTTCCCTTTGACCTTAATCATAGGGCATGGTAATACTAAGAGACATTATAACACCCTTACCTGTGTTGTGGAGTAGTAGACTGATTTCATCTTGATAGTCCAGATCAATCACCCCAGCCAACACTGTAACTCCCTTCTTATCCTATTGACTTAAAGGTGGGAGGAGCCCAAAATGTCCAGGTGGCAATCTTAATTTCCAGTTCAGAATCATTGTTGTGTTTCCTGGTGGCAGCATTCCTCCCTCTGGAACTAAGACCTCTAGGCCGTCAGAATGTAATGTCGTGGGAACAGGAAGCAAAAATTTTGCACCATCACTAGGGGTGATGGTGAGTGTTGTCACTTCCACTTCCAACCCTTGATTCCTGGGCCCATGAATCCTGGCCATGGAAGAAACACTACCATATACTGGGTGCTGATTCAGAGCATACATGGCCTCCTGGAGAACTTTTCCCAAGCCCTGCAAAGTACTATCACCTAGTTGGCGTTGTAATTGTAACTTCAAAAGGGAATTTCACCATTCTATTAGTCTAGCTGCTTCAGGATGATGGGGAACATGGTAAGACCAGTGAATTCCATGAGCATAAGCCCACTGCCACACTTCTTTAGCCGTAAAGTGAGTGCCTTAGTCAGAGGCAATGCTGTGTGGAATACTGTGACAGTGAATAAGGCATTCCGTGAGTCCATTGGTGGTAGTCTTGGCAGAAGCATTGAATGCAGGATAGGCAAACCCATCCCTGGAGTAAGTGTTCATTCCAATGAGGATAAACCTCTGCCCTTTCTATGATGGAAGAGGTCCAATATAATCAAGCTGCCACTAGGTAGTTGGCTGATCACCCTGAGAAGTGGTGCAATATCAAGGACTAAGTGTTCTTCTCTGCTGCTGGCAAATCGGGCACTCAGCAGTGGCCATAGCCAGGTCAGCCTTGGTGAGTGGAAATCCTTGTTGCTGAGCCCATGCGCAACCTCTATCCCTGTCACCATGGCCACTTTGTTCATGGGCCCATTGGGTGATGACAGGGGTGTCTGGGGAAAGAGGCTGAGTGGTGTCCACAGAACTAGTCATCCCATCCACTTGATTATTAAAATCCTCCTCTGCTGAGGTCACCCATTGATGAGTACTCACATGAGATACAAATATCTTCACAGTTTTTGACCACTCAGAGAGGTCTATCCACATACCTCTTCCCCTTTCTTTGTCACCAATTTTCCAATCATGCTTCTTCCAAGTCCCTCACCATCCAGCCAAACCATTCTCTACAGCCCATGAATCAGTATATAATCGCACATTTGCCCATTTCTCTTTCTATGCAAAGTGCACAACTAGTTGCACTGCTTGAAGCTCGGCCCACTGGGAAGATTTCCCTTCACTACTGTCCTTCAGGCATGTCCTAGAAAGGGGCTGTAGTGCTGCAGCTGTTCACTTTTGGGTGGTGCCTGCATATCATGCAGAACCGTCTGTGAACCAGGCCCTAGTCTTCTCTTCCCCTGTCAGCTGATCACAGGGAACTCCCCATGAGGCCATCAGTGCAGGCTGGGGGAGAGAAGGCAGGGTGGCAGGAGTGGAGACCATGGGCATTTGAGCCACTTCCTCATGTAACTTACTTGTGCCTTCAGGACCTGCTCGAGCCTGATCACATATATACCACTTCCATTTGATGATGGAATGCTGCTGTGCACGACCCACTTTATGGCTAGATGGGTCAGAAAGCACCCAGTTCATGACAGGCAGTTCAGGTCACATGGTGACTTGATGATCCATAGTCAAACGTTCAGTTTCCACCAAAGCCCAGTAACAGGCCAAGAGCTGTCACTCAAAAGGAGAGTAGTTATCTGCAAAAGATGGCAGGGCCTTGCTTCAAAATCCTAGAGGCCTCCACTATGATTCACCTATGGGGTCCTGCAAAGGCTCCAAACAGCATCTCTATTTGCCACTGAGACCTCAAGCACCATTGGATCTGCTGGGTCAGATGGCCCAAGTGCCAGAGCAGCTTGAACAGCAGCCTGGACCTATTGCAGAGCCTTCTCCTGTTTTGGACCCCACTCAAAACTGGCAGCCTTTTGGGTCACTTGATAAATGCGACAGAATAACACACACCACATGAGGAATGTGTTGCCTCCAAAATCCAAATAGACCCACTAGGCATTGTGCATCTTTCTTGGTTTTCTCTTGGTTGTAGGGGAGGCCACATGCAGCAACTTATCCTTCACTAGAAAGAATACCTCAGCAGGCCCCACACCACTGGACCCCTAGATATTTTACTGAGGTAGAAGGCCCCTGAATTTTAGTCAGATTTATTTCCCATCCTCTGGCACACAAATGTCTCAGCAATAAGTCCAGTGTGTTTGCTACTTCTTGCTCACTGGATCCAATCAGCATAACGTCATCAATGTAATGGACCAGTGTGACATCTTATGGAAACGAAAAGTGATCAAGTTCTCTCTGAATAAGATTATGACACAAAGCTGGAGAGTTGATAAACACCTGAGATAGGACAGTAAATGTGTACTGCTGGCCTTGCCAGTGGGAGGCAAAATGCTTCTGGTGGGCCTTACAGACAGGAATGGAGAAAAAGTCATTTGCCAAGTTAATGGCTGCATACCAGCTACCAGGAGATGTGTTAATTAGCTCAAGCAATGAAACCATATCAGGTACAGCAGCTGCAATTGGAGTCACCACTTGATTAAGCTTATGATAATCCATTGTCATTCTCCATGATCCATCTCTTTTCTGCACAGGCCAAATGAGAGAATTGAATGAGATGTGGTGAGAATCACTATCCCTGTGCCTTTCAAGTTCTTGATGGTGGCACTAATCTCCACAATCCCTCCAGGGATGGGATATTGTTTCTGAGTTACTATTTTTCTAGGTAGAGGCAGCTGTAATAGCTTCCATTCATCCTTTCCCACCATAATAGCCCTCACCCTACCAGTCAGGGAGCCAGTGTGGGGGTTCTGTCAACTGCTAAGTATGTCTATGCCAATTATGCATTCTGGCACTGGGGTAAAAACCACAGGATGAGTCCAGGGACACACTGGACCCATTGTAAGTTGGACCTGAGCTAAAACTTCATTAATTACCTGACCTCCATAAGCACCTACTTTAACTGGAGGACCACAATGACTTTTAGGGTCTCCTGGAATGAATGTCAGCTCAGAGCCAGTGTCCAGTACTCCCCAAAATGTTGGATCATTTCCCTTTCCCCAGTGTGCAATTACTCTGGTAAAAGGCTGGGAGGTCTACTTGGGGAAGAATGGGAAAAAGATTAACAACATAAATTGTTGGTAGTGTAGTGGGGTTCTTCCTCAAGGGGACCCAGCCTCCCCTTCATTCAAAGGGTTCTAGGCCTATAAACTGGCTCAAGTCTAGAAATTAATTGAGGGGCCATGATTCTTTGTTTTTATAATTCAAATTAGTCTTTCATCCATTTGACCTGTAAATTTCCTGCTTATACAACTTAGGTAGGGATGCAGCAGGCTCCCTATCAATTTCACTTCTAGGAACACTGTAATTAATTAGCTAATGCCAAAGCGCTACATGAGTCAGACTATTCTGATTGCCACTTTGCCTCTGGTGTCCATTATGATAGCTATGTCTACCTTTCCTTTGACGATTGAGTGCCACCACTTGGTCCCTGACATCTCAGGATCCAGTTATCCCCATTATATTTAAATTTTGTAGTTGAGTGACTGTGGTTCCCACCATTAGATCTGATATACAGAGAAGAGCAATTACAGGCGCCTTCAAAGATGCAGGTGCTGCCCTCACAAATCTATTTCAAAAGGCATTGGTTAAGGGTGTATCTCCTGAACCCTCCCAGCGGGGATGAGTAGGTCTAAAGTCACTAATCCACTCCACCATCCAATCTCCCTAAGCCTTAGGATCCCTTCCTCTACATTAAACCAAGGGAGATCAGGCATTTCCAGCTAGCTCACAGTGGGCCATATTTTAATCCATGTTTTAGTTAACCCAGCAAATAAATTATTAGAACCTTTTGTAACTCCATGAGCTGAAACATTAAATGCAGAGTCCCTACTTAGTGGGCCCAAATCAGTAAATTCAGCCTGATCCAACAATATGTTCCTCCACAATTATCCCATACCCTTAATATGAGAGGGGATGTTGTCACTACTGGGGATGGGGAAGCTATTTCTTCTGCCAAAAATGTTCATCACAGTTTACAAACTCAGTGACACCTGGTGAAACTATGCATGCACCTTTGGTTGCAGGTCAGCCACTCACATGATAAGAGCTTGTGTCTATTTTTCCACTATTTCAGCTCTTTCTCTACAGGAGATAAGACTCTCACTCAGGTAAATCTTAGCACATTTGAGGCTCGGTATCTCCTTCTGAAGCCGGAAGTTAGAATCCGTGAGTTCATAGTTTTCTTTCATCACTTTCTCCACTGAACTTAGGAGCAGCCAACCAGCTTCATTACGTTCCTTGGTTCACATATGGTCCATATATGGACCACATATGGTTCACACATGGTCCATATATGGACCACATATGGTTCACATATGGTCAAAGGTATTATATATAGAGTTGCTAAACTCCTTGCCTCTCACAGGTGGTGAATCAAGAGTGTCAAATGCATTTATTTTGCATAACTCTGTAAACAGTTAATACCAAGGACTCTCAGTGTTCTCCATACTATTAGAAGTAGAGACCTTAGCATTTTGGGGTCTAATCATATTAAGCAGCCAACTCCAGAAACCCCAAAACCAAGGAAAGAACTCCATCCTTAGTATTCTGTTCCTCTAGAACCACTCCTGGTACCAAAATATGTATTAGTTAGGGTTCTCTAGAGGGACAGAACTAATGGGTGATATATATATATTTATATATATGTATGTATAAATATATATATAAAATATATATGTGAGTGTGTGTGTGTGTGTGTGTATATATATATACACATATATATATATACATATATATATGTGTATATATATATATATACATATATATATACATATATATGTATATATATATATATATGTATATATATATAGTAGTTTACTAAATATTAGGCCACATGCTCACAAGGTCCCACAATAGGCTGTCTGCAAGCTTGAGGAGCAAAGGGAGCCAGTCTGAGTTCCAAAACTGAAGAACTCAGAGTTCAATGTTAGAGGGCAGGAAGCATCCAGCATGGAAGAAAGATGTAGGCTGGGAGGCTAAGCCAGTCTCATCTTTTCACATTTTTCTGCCTGCTTTATATTAACTGGCAGCTGATTAGATGCTGCCCACACAGATTAAGAGTGTGTCTGCCTTCCCCATCCCACTGACTCAAATGTTAATCTCCTTTGGCAACACCCTCACAGACATACCCAGGATCAATACTTTGCAACCTTCAAGCCAATCAAGTTGGCACTCACTATTAACCATCATAGTACCCAACATTTCCCCATTTCCCTCATCTCCCCAGGCCCTAGCAACCATCATTATACTCTCTGCTTTTAAGAATTTGACTATTTTAGATTATATATATAAGTGATATCATGCAGCATTTATCTTTCTGTTTCTGGCTTATTTCATTTAGCAAAATGTCTCTAGGTTCATACATGTTGTCACAAATGGCAGAATTTATTTCTTTTTTAAGGCTGAATAACATTTCATTAAATAATAATAGTTTACACTTGCTTTATCCATTTATTTGTTGATGGGCACCTATGTTGATTCCATATCTTGGCTATTGTTAATTATGCTCCAATGAACATGGGGAAGGGATAAGGCACAGACATCTCTTTAAGATACTGATTGCATTTCATTTGGATATAAACCTGCACATGTACCCCTTGTATCTAACATAAAAGTTGAAATTTTAAAAAAGAAAAATATCTTTTCAGTTCCTGAGTTCAGTTTTCATTGTGTTACTTGTTTTTGAGATATTGAAATATTTGTTTTATATATTTTGAATATCCCTTGTTGAATATATGGTTTGCAAATATTTTCTCTCATTCCATAGGTTGCCTTTCATTTTATTGATTGTTTTCCTTGCTCTGCATAAGATTTTTAGTTTGATGCAATCTAATTTTCCTGTTTTCCTTTTGTTGCTTGTGTTTTTGTGTCATATCCAAAAAATCATTGCCAAGACCAACGACAAAAAATGACAAAAAGCTTTTCCCTTATGTGTTCTTCTACTTGTTTTATCATTAAGTATTTACTCTATTTCATGTTAATTTTTGTACATAGTGTCATAAAGATTTGGTTTCATTCTTCTGCATGTGGATATTGAGTTTTCCCATAACAATTTACTGAAGAGACCATCTTTCCCCCATTGTGTGTTCTTGGCATCTTTGTCAATAATCAATTGACTGTAAATGTGTGTTCTTATTTCTGGGGTCTCCGTTCTGTTTCAGTGATTTATGTCTGATTTTATGCCATAGCATATATTGTTTTGGTTACCATAGGTTTGCAACACATTTAGAAATCAGAAAGTGTGATGATTTCAGCTTTGCTATTCCTATTAAAAATTGTTTTGGTTATTAAGGCTCTTTTGTGTTTCCATATTGGTTTTAGGATTATTTTTGTGTTTCTGTAAACAATGTCATTGGAATTTTTGGTAGGAACTGCATTGGCTCTCTAGATCAATTTGGGTAGTATGAAAATTTTAACAATATAAATTCTTCAAATCCATGAAAACATTGTCATTCATTCATTCATTCATTCATTCATTTATTGAGACGGAGTCTTGCTCTGTCACCCAGAGTGGAGTGCAGTGGTATGATCTCGGCTCACTGCAAGCTCCACCTCCCAGGTTCAAGTGATTCTCCTCTCTCACCTTCCTGATTAGCTGGGGATACAGGCACACGCCACCATGCGCAGCTCATTTTGTTGTACTTTTAGTAGAGACGGGGTTTCGCCATGTTGGCCAGGCTGGTCTTGAACTCTTGACCTGAAGTGATCCACCCCTTTCGGCCTCCCAAAGTGCTGGGATTACAGGTGAGGGCCACCATGCCTGGCCAATGTCTTTCATTTATGTCTGTCTTATTTCTTTCACAGTGTTTTATAATTTTCAAAGTACAAGTCTTTCACCTCTTTGGTTAAGTTTATTCCTAAGTATTTTATTGCTTTTGTTGCTATTGTGAATGGGATTGTTACCTTACTTTTTTATTTTATAAATTTTCTATGTATATACTTTTGAGACGGAGTCTCACTCTGTCACCTAGGCTGGAGTGCAGTGGTATGAGATCAACTCACTACAAACTCTGCCTCCTGGGTTCAAGCAATTCTCCTGCTCAGCCTCCCTAGTAGTTGGGACTACAGCGCCACCTTGGCTGGCTAATTTTTTTTTTGTATTTTTAGTAGAGGTGAAGTTTCACTATGTTGGCCAGGCTGCTCTCGAACTTGACCTCCTGACCTTGGGCGATCTGCTCGCTTCAGTCTCCCAAAGTGCTGATAACAGGCGTGAGCCACTGTGCCCAGCCACCTTAATTTTTTAAAAAATAGTTTGTTGTTTGTGTTTAGAAACATGACTAAATGTGTATGTTGATTTTGTATCCTGCAATTTTACTGAATTTATTTATTCATCATAATAGGTTCCTTTTTTGTCTAGTCTTTAGGGTTTTCTACATAAATGATCATGTCATCTGTAAACAGGCCACCCAAAGTACTGGTTAAAAACAAGAATGCTATGGAATGACGATGTCTATGGTTACTCAAAGTATTAAGAATGATCATAGTACCTCTTTCCCAGAGGGTCGTTGTGCACACAAAAAGAGTTATAGTAGTGCAAGGCTTAAATAAGTGCCTGCCGCACAATGAGCACCATTAAAGAGTGGCTCTCACTATGATGATCCTAACCTAACCTTGCTATATCTTCAAATTCTTTAAAATATTTTGATCAACAAAGAGATATCTCTTGAAGACTCAATCATATACCAGTAAAAACCATCAATAGGAACTTTGAAATTAAGACATTTCCTTTTATGATTGCCCAACTAAGATTTTTATTGAAGGATTTCTTTCCCTAATATAATTTTCTGTGCAAGGTAGAAGTAGCTATAGCCTTTTAGATCCTGTTTACTTTTGCATATGTGTGATAAGAGAGATGTGTCTGTGTTAAATAACGTTTTTTCCTTTTTGCTGCTCTGTATCTATGTCATCTATCTATACCATCTGTCTCTATATCTATCTATATTATCTATATCTATCTATATTATCTATGTCTTCAATGTTGCCTTCACGTGTACTCCAATAAGTGCGTGAGACATAGTGGTGTTCAACAAATCCTTGAAAAACTAAATAAATGAATAGGCTCAGATAATATAAATTTTTCTTCAATTTCAGTATACTCATGCCCTGGTGCTTAGAAGCAAACTTGCTGAGATGTTATCACCATCACCTTTTGTTTATATTTTGCATTTTGGCTTATAAAGCACATTTAGATTGTATTTCTATAATGGCACAATATATGTTGGGCATGTATTTTGTGATTCCAGTTTTACATATTATAATTGGATATGTTTTTGTAACGTAACCTGCTTAGAAACATTTTCATAAGTTATGTATTTACCCATTTTACCCTCAGAACGATTTAACGAGATAGATTATACAATCACAAAGTCTTTTCAAAGGAGAAAAAATGAACTAAGTAACTTTAAGCAACTCAGACAATAATAGAATTAGATAAGTTGTGGAGTTGAGGCAAAAATAGAGATTTAACACTTCACTTTGTCTTGAGTTACATGCTTATCTTGGGATCACCTCTTGTGTGATGAAGGATGCAGTGTTGTAATTGGCCAGACCTGACACATAAGACTTACCATGGAATTTTTTAACTACAGACACTTAAGAATGAAGGAGGGAAGAGCTATTCAAATGAAAATGTGGTACTGTTTTCAGAAGAGGAATTGAATGTTGGCTTGGTAAAAATGATAGATGAACATCGTACCATCTAGCTAGCTTATTACCACAGATGCCTGTAATTTGGCTTTCTGTATTTATTTATTTATTTATTTTTTAAATTACACTTTAAGTTCTAGGGTACATGTGCACAACGTGCAGGTATGTTACATATGTATACATGTGCCATGTTGGTGTGGTGCACCCATTAATTCTTCATTTACATTAGGTATTTCTCCTAATGCTATCCCTCCCCCTCCCCCCACCCCACAACAGGCCCCAGTGTGTGATGTTCCCCACCCTGTGTCCAAGTGTTCTCATTGTTCAATTCCCACCTATGAGTGAGAACATGTTGTGTTTGGTTTTCTGTCCTTGCTAGTTCAACCATTGTGGAAGACAGTGTGGTGATTCCTCAAGGATCTAGAACTAGAAATACCATGTGACCCAGCGATCCCATTACTGGGTATATACCCAAAGAATTATAAATCATGCTGTTATAAAGACACATGTGCACGTATATTTATTGCGGCAATATTCACAAGAGGAAAGACTTGGAACTAACCCAAATGTCCATCAATGATAGACTGGATTAAGAAAATGTGGCACATATACACCGTGGAATATTATGCAGCCATGAAAAAGGATGAGTTCATGTCCTTTGTAGGGACATGGATGAAGCTGAAAACCATCATTCTGAGCAAACTATCACAAGGTTTTCTGTATTTCTGTAGACACCTCCTTGTAAAATCATTTATTCCAAGTTATTTTATCACCCATTTCCTTCCTCCAATGTCCCATACACATACTTCTGCATTTGGAAACAGTCTTACCTATTGAAACTTTTTTTAACTTAAGAATTATATTGTAATATCTTTGGCAAATTTAACTTTCACAACCATTAAATTTGTTGATTTTAAATTAAGAAACAAAAGATCAAAATAATATGTGTGAGAGAAAGTGGGTAATTTTCTTAAGGTGAAGAGTAGAAGTACAAAGGTGGGTATATTCGAGAGGTAAAAAAAGTCTATTTAAGAGATCTAGAATCCTAAAATAATGTATGTAATACTCAATCGATTAATGAACAAAAATAGCAGAAATGTTTAAATACATAGGACCATAGAATAATACATGTAAGTTTAAAAATCATTAGGACTGGAAAAAAATTATTTGGTTTTGAAAAGTTGGTCACTTGTGCAGATTCAAAGCTCTTTCCTCTCTGACATATAGGCTGTCTTTTCTATTTCAGATAAAAATGAATTAGAATTGAGTAGGAATAACCATAAGCACACAGTCTTGATTCCAGTTCAATTTCTGCTACAAGGATAAAAAAAACAAACCACAAGAAGTTTCTACGCTTCAAATTCTTCTTCTGTAGAATGGGCGGTGGTGAGGTAGGGTGGTGAGTTAGGGTCAACTTACATTCGACTCTACAATTCTTAGTGATGCTTTTGAATTTACAGTTGGAATGGACACTAAAACCATGTTTTTCATCCTCTTCATCTTATAGATGTGGAAACTGAGGGACGGAGGCATTGATTGATTGATCTAAATGAACACATAGCTGGTTATTTTCAACACTGGTTAGCAAATTGCCTGAAACAATTGATGAAAACTTGCTGCAGGGGGGTGGGTAATATAATGCTTCTCTCTCACCTCATCATCTCCAAACTTTCAGCCATTCATGTTCCATGTTATTTTATTCTAAATAAAACATCTTGGAAGAGGAAGGCAAAGTAGAGAAGAGAAGATACAGCCGGAGAACCTGAGGGTTGCTGGAGAGGACTCATCTTCTGATGTAATATAACAGTGAAGCTCTTTCTAAGAAATTGAAACAGAGTTTTACCTTGTTCTCCCTTGTTCAAAGTTCAAATTATAAACTTTATTTGCTTCATAAGTATACTTTGTGATGGCTATACGTGCACAGTTCTTAGGAGGGATTTTGAACTGCACTCTAATGCAGTGCTTCCAACTTGGCTTATCTTGAAAGCTAATTGAAGTGAAAGACTATAAAAACATTTACAAACCATTTTCAGATTTCTGAAGGTGTTTAAAATGAAGATTTATATTTTTCCTTTCTCCACAAGTTCCTAACTCAGCTGATATTCTCTAATCACTGAAGAAATCTCTCTTCTCATTCTGAGTCCTCCATCTGAACTTTTATTGCATATTGGCTACTTTTCAGAGAATAATGCTCTTAACTGTTGGGATTATTTTGCTTGAATATATTTTTGGCATTATTTCATTCTGAGGAAGAGGGTTTCCTCCATGCTTTATTCCAGCTGTACAGAAGTTGATCAAATCTGTGCTGTATCACCCCTTCCTTACCAGTAGGGGGCAACTGAGAATTTTTAACCAAGTCTTTTAAACTCATTTCTATTTAAAAGAAGCCACAGTGGTCAAGTTCTATTTGTTTTTGACCTCCTCTTCTATCACCCAAGCAAACTTTTTAGATTTCCTCTTTAAAAAAACCAGTGACCCGCTATTGCCTATCAGTAACTTTTCAACCCCTTAGCCTGGATCCTAAGGCCCCCTGTGACCTAACATTTACTGATGAAGCCCTGCCTCTCTTCCCCTCTTTCCATATTGAGTGCTATCATGTAACTAGTGTTCCCAAATGTTTGGCTCTTTTGTATTTATGCACCTCAAAAATATATTGACATATGTTGACATATTTTTGAGGTGCACAGATACAAAAGCTTAGCTTAGCCTAAGCTGAAAGCACTGCCTGAGTTTTCATAAAATCAGTTTCACGAAATTACAGTTCAATTACTACATTTCTATCATCTCACTAGTCAAGAAATACTGACATTTCCTCTTAATATCAGTAAATAATTTTTAAAAACCAGAAGTTCTTCATGGAAATGCTAACCAAAAGTTTATTTTCTATTATCTTAAAGGAGAAAAACTGTAATGTGTTTTATATCATGCCAAGGACCCCTAATTAATTTCTAAAATGCTGCTACAATATATCAAAGTACCTACCTATAAGCAAGAATTATGTTAGGCTACAAATAGTTAAACCAAACAGCAGTTACTTTACATAAAATAATATATGTAACATACTATGATCTAAACACCTTGGCAACATGGAGTGGGAAATAGTATATAGCAATAAGTAAATTTCCTTTAAAAGTACAGCGAAAAATTACATTTAAAAAGTCAATTTTTTGTCTAAACTGTTACTCATCAAGTAATGTGTAAATATGAAGTTTGAAGAAAGTTGAGAAGGAAGAAAGGAAGAAGGGTCTTAATAGCCTTTGTTTGACACTGGTTGTGGAAAGTATTGCTGGGGGCAAATTGGGTAGTAATAGAGAAATTTTAGGCAAACCATCAGTTTCAGAGTAATTAATTGTGATTCTCCTTCACTTTGGTTCTGTTGAAGATACACAAAGAAATGCTTTGCAGAATATAGCCAAGGCTTTAAGATAAAACATTTGCAAAATGGAGCTTTGCCTACATTCCTAAGGTTCATGCTGATATATATATATATATATATATATATATATGTATATACACACACATACATACATATATATACATGACATATATACATAAACATGATATATATCAATATTATATATATCTATATATTTTTGGGAGGGATACAATACTTATTATGTGTTGAACTGCCTCCCTTCACCCAAATTCTTATGTTGAAGTCCTAAGCCTCACTACTACCTCAGGATGTGATCTTATTTGGAAATTTACTTGCAGATCTTTACAGAAGTAATCAAGTTAAAGTGAGGTCATTAAGGTGGGCCCTAATCTGATGTTACTGATGTCTTTATAAAAAAAGGACATTTGGACACAGAGTGAGGCCCTGTCTCTAAAAAAATAGTATGAAACAATGTATATTGTACTTTTTATGAATGATTTATGATATTTTCATTTTTATCATATTTTTACTGCCTATGAATTGACTTTAGATTCTTAACCTCTTTTGAGATGTAAAGATCTGCAAATAATTTGTATTAAAAGTAATTTAAAAAGTATTAGCCATCTTCTAAGACGTGTAAATTTGCAAACTACTCAGGGGCAGAAATACATATTCTTTCTATTTCTTAGACACAGTATTTAATAACTACTAACTACATATTATCCGTAGATAAGTGTTACTCCTGAGGGAGAAAACTTTTCTATTGCAAACACTCCTTGATTAATCTGAGTACCCAGTCCCTTGCTTAATCTCTGTAGCTTTCACAGGTTGGACAATTCCAATAGTTCTAATGCAACATTCACTTTCACCTAGAGCTAATAAACGTTTGATTCTTAGGTGATCCAACTCATTGGGCATCAATAGTTTTTTAAATATATTCAAGCATTATTGCAAAACTATAAAATATTATGTCTTTTTGTACTTGAACAGTAAGAGTATCCTACTGGTGGAGTGGCGCCAACATATAGTAGACTAATCCCAATTATTTCTAGAATTGGGTGGTAGTAGGGGCTGCTCCCTAGTTAGTATTCGCATAGGAAAAGATCTACTCAAGCAAAACTTTTTTTCTAGTCATTTGTTTTCATTTGGGATCATGAGACAGTTAATAATTTGGAGTAGGTACAGAGAAGGGAAAGAACAGCCACAAGAAAAGAAAAAGAATTAATAATGGACTCAGGAAGAATCACATGAAGATGACTCTCATTAAAAATCAATGAGACATTGTGATGTTACCATTAAGTTATTGCTAAGAGAGTTGGAATCCAGAGAAAGTTGAGTCTACTGGGTAACATGCCAATAATAGGAAATACATTGGACACATATTTGCCCAGGGATAATTTCAGTTAATGATGCAACAAAATCAATAGGTGAAGGGTG